>NC_000017.11:40685980-41310980 GCF_000001405.40 Homo sapiens
TCAAGTGATTTTCCTGCCTCAGCCTCCCAAGTAGCTGGGATTACAGGCATCACCACCAAGCCTGGGTAATTTTTGTATTTTTAGTAGAGACAGGGTTTTGCCATGGTGGCCAGGCTGTTCTTGAACTCCTGACCTCAGGTGATCTGCCTCCCTCGGCCTCCCAATGTGCTGGGATTATAGAAGAGAGCCACAGCGCCCAGCCTGTTATTCAAGTTTAAATATGTTAAATCGTCTTAAAAAGGAGCATATATACTTCTTGATATTCAATGAAATCCTAGCTGACCTATACGCAGGAATTTTATCTAGATTAATTCTTTTAAGCTTTCAGCCAGGAGCCCTGCCTAATCACCTACCTGGAGAGAGAAACAGTGATCTCATTCTGAACGTGGGCCAACATTTCCCTAACAGCAAGTTCATGCTGACATTTGTGGTATCTCAGCTAATTCAGTGGCTGTCGTGTTTGCAAAATAGGGCCTGACATGTGCAGTTAATAATTTTGTTTCCAGGTGTTTTTCACACATTAAATGGAAATTTTCCTGTCCAAGTTACTAATTGGAAAAGCCCAAGATTTTGGCTTTTTCTTAAGAACCCTAAAAAAAACCCTTTTTAAAGGGAATATCATGTTTTGGAAACATATTGCTGAGAATTTATGTGAAATCGTGCAGTTGTCTGTGTGGGCAATTGGTTTATGGTGTTTTCACCCAGGGAAAGATTTTTTTTGTTTGTTTTTGTTTTGAGACGGAGTTTCGCTCTTGTTGGCCAGGCTGGAGGGCAGTGGCGTGATCTTGGCTCACTGCAGCCTCTGCCTCCTGGGTTCAAGCAATTCTCCTGCCTCAGCCTCCTGAGTAGCTGGGATTACAGGCATGCACCACCACGCCTGGCTAATTTTGTATTTTTTTAGTAGAGATGGAGTTTCTCCATGTTGGTCAGGCTGGTCTCGAGCTCCCAACCTCGAGTGATCTGCCTGCCTCGGCCTCCCAAAGTGCTGGGAATACAGGTGTGAGCCACCGCGCTGGGCCCCACTCAGGGAGAGATTTTTATGTACCAAGTCTACTGTAGACTGTAGTTCAATCTCCAGGGCCTACAAGGCTGGCTCCTGTACATTCGTCTCAGTCTTAGCAGAATTGGATGCAGCAGCGGCAACCTGCCGTTGCAGCATTCTTTTCTGAAATACCAAAATAAAAACAGAGTCATTTATCAGTGAAGCGAAATTGTCCTAGATTTATTGACCTTGGCTGTGTTTTTTGTTTACTTTATTGTTGAATCTAATTTCAGCATCTTGGTGATTGTGATTGGCCATGGCTTCATAGTGCATTCTCATGTCATGAGGAGCTGTGTTAGATCAGCTCCAGGTGGGCTGACCCATTCCACCTGCAACTCAGAGCCTGCAACAGCTGGCTGGCCTTTAATTTCCTGAATTGGAAACAACCCTCGCTCAAGGAATTCGGCCATTATGGTAAGAAAATAACTTCATTTATTAGAATTTTCCTTCACCTCATCAGACTCAAATTGAAGGCAGGAATTATGTAAGAAAGAGGAAAGTTACGACGTGCTGTATGGGCACATACCTCTTCCTGGTTCTTTTTGAGATGAGTGAACTCCTCCGCCGGGTTTCAATCTGCATTTCTAGATCATCTTGGACAAAGTCATGTCATTCCGGACTTGGTGCAGACTGTTGATGTCAGCTTGACGCTCCAGCGCAGGGTCAGTTCAATCTCAAACCTGGAAAAAGTTTCTAATGCTTTCAGTGGTCGTTAGGTTTGTATTATTAATATCATGCTGCATTTTAAATATTTTATTAGAATATTATAGAAATGCCAAACGTCTGTTCCTTATTTGTTGTTAATATAATTTGCTATTAACTTTCCCCATTTTTGGCAGTATGATGGCACTCCATATAAAATGCTGCAAGCTTCGGGGAAGAACCTTTTCAGCATTTTTGTTTCTTAGAACAGAGTGACCATACCTTGTTGGCCTCTTGTGTGTTGGGGTCTTCTACACACACATAAAGTAGGGAGTTAAATTAAAGAATCCTCAGAAACACATGCTGGTTCTTTTCAGAAATCTCACTTGAAATATACCTAACTAGAAATTCTTACTTACGGAAGAAAATTAAGTGGTGGTTCCTTCGGACGTAGAATCAGCACAGCATTCTCGTAAATAATGTGCTTCCCTGAGGTTTTTAACTAAAATATTTTTCCATTGTTTAGGATTCTGTTTCTAAGAAGAAAAATATTCTTTTATAACTGTGATTCCAGTGTAAAAAGAAGCATGGCTTCACATAGTGTTTTTTTTTTTTTTTTTTTTTTTTTTTTTTGAGACGGAGTTTCGCTCTTGTTGCCCAGGCTGGAGTGCGATGGTATGGCCTCAGCTCACTGCAACCTCTGCCTCCCGGATTCAAGCGATTCTCCTGTCTCAGCCTCCTGAGTAGCTGGGATTGCAGGTGTATGCCACCATGCCTGGCTAATTTTTGTATTTTTAGTAGAGATGGGGTTTCATCATATTGGTCAGTCTGGTCTCAAACTCCTGACCTCAGGTGATCCGCCTGCCTCGGCCTCCCAAAGTGTTGGGATTATAGGTGTGAACCACCACGCCCGGCCTTACCTAGTGCTTATCTCCATAGCTTATGTTTTTCATCATGCTGCTAAGGGTAACTATATCACACTTTTGTCTGAAGTCCACAGCTGCTAGTTTTACGCTGACGATCTGTAGCATGAAGTTGCATTGTCAGTGTTTGCATCTGAAATCTGGAAACGCAGGACACAAAAAGTTGTGTCTGATACACTTGCATTCTGAACCTCTGTATGCTGGTGTTGAGGCATGTCAATTTCAGGTCTTTCAAACAAATTTTATATGTATACGGTTCTTTAATGGAAAATAGCATATACCTCTGCTTTTGAGAATAAAAGAACTGTAAGGAATTTAGTTTACTTTTTCTTAAGTATTTTGGAAACATTTCTAGAATTCTTTCCGTAAAATGAACTATACAAAAGTAAACAAATTAGGAAAAAAAACATAGCTAAGAAGTATATTCTGTTGCTTGTTAAATTTCTTCCTTAATCTGCCAAATTGAGAAAAGTACAGGTATATGTGGAAGATATTGCCAATCTTTTCAAATTTTGTCATTTTTAGTGTGGTTCTTTGTCTAGCAAAACGTCTTACCTTGTTTTTAAGTTCTGTAATTATCTGGTAATACTTCTTGTTGTCCTGTTTTTCTCCTTGATCATTAGCCCAGGCTCAAATTTCTTATTCCATTCTTTGATTTTATATTCAAGTGTACTCTTTGCCTGCACCAGAGTTGAGACCTTGTCCAGGGAAACTGCAACATGGTCATCTAGATTTTACACTGCATCCTTCTTCTTACCAGAGAAGAACCCACCCACCTCCTCCCAAGTTGGTAGAAAATCTCCATCTGGGTTACATTTCTGCCTATAATTCTTTCTTTCCAATGATCAGTATCTAATTGCCATAGAGTAGATTTTGGGGCTGCGTGTGACTTGATGGAAGAGCTTAGCTCTACAAAGCCCAACAGAGAGAGTGGTAAGGGAATCATCAATTAGTAATTCCTCTTATGGTTGATAATGTGGCTGTTTCATCTCTGCTATAATTGTTTTAAATATTTTTAATGAAATATATAATAGTGTTATTATTTTGTTAATTATTATTATTATTTTTATTTTTTATACTGTAAGTTTTAGGGTACATGTGCACAATGTGCAGGTTTGTTACATATGTATACATGTGCCATGTTGGTGTGCTGCACCCATTAACTTGTCATTTAGCATTAGGTATATCTCCTAATGCTCTCCCTCCCACCTTCCCCCACTCCACAACAGGCCCCGGTGTGTGATGTTCCCCTTCCAGTGTCCATGTGTTCTCATTGTTCAGTTCCCACCTATAAGTGAGAACATGCAGTGTTTGGTTTTCTGTCCTTGCAATAGTTTGCTGAGAATGATGGTTCCCAGCTTCATCCATGTGCCTACAAAGGACATGAACTCATCATTTTTTATGGCTGCGTAGTATTCCATGGTGTATATGTGCCACATTTTCTTAATCCAGTCTATCATTGTTGGACATTTGGGTTGGTTCCAAGTCTTTGCTATTGTGAATAGTGCCGCAATAATTATTTGTTAAACTCAATAGACTATCTTTTTATTAAAAGGCGCAGAAAATGCCTTTAGGTATTTATTTCATATTGGAGGGACAAAGCAGATAATATTTACATGATATCAGCCCAATTAAATTTGTGTTTTCCCTTATGGAATTTCTGCACAAAGGAAAATACCTTTTTATAGGCACAATGCTTATAACACAAAGTCCTTTGGAATGATATGATAAATATTACTTATTTTCAGATGAAGTTATTTGAAACTAATTTTAGGGATTTCTGGAGAAGTAACAGAAAGGGGCAGATCCTTAATTTCTGTATCCTGTATATTAAATATTTGAAGTATTTAAGAATAAAATTTAGGAAAATAATATGAAAATAAATGACATTCTTCTATTTTTTTCTTGAATTTGATTGATTCTAAGAAAATAAAAATTTAAATTTATTAAAGCCTGTCTTGGAATTTTGAAATAGCTAATGATGTCTAACTTTTTCCCCTTATCTTATGAAAGTATATGACCTCTCCCCTGCCCAAGAGAGTTAAAGAAGAATGGAGGAACTGACATAATAGAGTTTTGTGGGTGGATTTAATGTTAAATAGCAAACTTGTAAGTTTCTCCAGGTTCTTGTAAACCTCTGCAGTGGCTGTGTCTTGCTCCTTTTGCGGTTCCTTTTGCAATCATAGGAAAAAAAAAAAACATGATTTCTTTTTTTTTTTTTTTTGAGACAGAATCTCGTGCTGTTGCCCAGGCTGGAGTACAATGGTGTGATCTCAGCTCACTGCAACCTCTGCCTCCGGAGTTCTCCTGCCTCAGACTCCCTAGTAGCTGGGACTGCAGGCACCCGCCACCATGCCCAGGTAATTTTTGTGTTTTTAGTAGAGATGGAGTTTCAGCATGTTGGCCAGACTGGTCTCGAACTCCTGACCTCAGGTGATCCGCCCACCTTGGCCTCCCAAAGTGCTGGGTTATAGGAGTGAGCCACTGCACCCAGTCCCCCATGATTTCTATATTACCAAATGCATTTTTCTTCATGTTTGTTGTCAGTGCAGTGAGATAAACCCAGAGGTTGATGAAGGATGTTTCTATCTATCGTTCGTCAATCAATCAATCTTTAATGAAAGGTGTTAGACAATATTTTTTGGTAAAAACAAACGTGGTGTGAGTTGATGTTCTTTCTCTGAATGGCTTTTGCTTCATTTTACTTTATTGGAGAGTCTGAGTTTATCCCTATGGCTTCGAACATCCTAGTCACTAAATAAATATATTTTTTAACACTTTTGTTAAAATTGAAACAACTTAACACTCATTCTTAGAAAAAATATTCCAATGACAAATTTAGGAAACTTATATATCAAGCTGATATTGTTATTGGCAAGTGTGGGGCTATTGGTGGATGCTACTTGTATTTTAGTTCTGTTGCTTTTGCTTTTTTTTAATGACACAAAATATATTTAATACGTTAAATGAGAGACTAGGAAATATATTTAAAGATCTTTCAGGCTGACATAATGACCGCAAATAAGTAAGACAAAAAAGCTTTGGTAAAATAAGTAGAATTAAAAAAATGCAGTTCTGTGAATTAACACAAGAAAACATCAGATGAAGAATAAAGTTTCTCTGCCAAAGTTCCAGCTCAACAGTGCTGTGAATGTGATGTGGCTGCTGCTGTTAGACAATATTAAAAAATTTACAAAGCCCAGAGGTCGTCTTCCCCCAGCTCTTGGCCCTTCTGTTTAGTTTTGCATGTCATATTCTAGAGAGAATATTTAATAGCAAATATGTTAACTACATCCGAAACACCTGGCCCATATAATGAAGAGTATGGAAACAATGCCAAATGAGGCATGGCTAAAGAAATTAGGATTTTTGTCTAGAAAAGAGGAGACACAATGGCCATTTGAAAATAGCTCTAAAGGGCTAAACCAGAATCAAAGAGCTGGAAGTTACACAGGGAGACAGATTTGGAAACGAAGACATTTCTAACATTACACCTGTTCTTAAATGAAATGGACTGCCTTACAAAGTCATGATCTTTCCAAGCTCCAGGGACCTTCAGCCACAGACTGAAGACCTAGAATAATCTTTCAGGGACAATTTCTGTTCTGGGTGGGAGGTTGGAATAAAAGTCACCACCCAACTCTTTAACATTCTGGGAATTTTATGTTGCTATGATTGTAATAGAAATCACAAAGCAATGATATTGAATCTTCATAGAAAATTTGGATGTGGAACAGCCAGTGGGGCAAGCAAAGTTACCTCATCTTGAATCGGTGTAACAAAGCCCTCATTTGCATAAAACCCATCATGGAGATTTAAAAGTCTAGTGTCTTGGTCTTAGTCAAACTAATAAAAAATCACATGAAGCAATTTATTTAAAATTAATAAAGATCATACGAAGCAATTTATTTACAGACACCTGCAAGCTAAAAGCAGAGTGTGTCTAAAGATGAAAGTGTTAGAATTAATTAACAAAAGTTGTGATAGTTATGGAAAAGCTCTTTCCACAGGTCAGTAAATTCTGGGCATTAATCATTTCAGTTATGAATTGCACAAGTAGAGGGTTTTCAAGGATGAGAGAGGATGCTTGGAAATGTGATTACATTTCTCAAAATATATGTTAATTTTTTAATAAAATTCTTTGCAGAGGATCACCTCACCACCTTATTGTTATAAAAATTTTAGAATGGCTCTTGCTTAGAATTACATATCATATGTACTTTCTGCACATATAAAGTTGGTTTTTGGCCAGGCGTGGTGGCTCATGCCTGTAATGTCGGCACTTTGGGAGGCTGAGGCAGGAGGATCACTTCAGGCCAGGAGTTGGAGACCAGCCTGGGCAACATATTGAGACCCTGTCTCTATTTTTATTTTTAAAAAATTGGTTTTCAATGAAATAGTTTCCTCCAGTTGCTACTACTGTGAGATTATGAAGCTCATTTCAAGATGCTCCTGTCCTGCTTAGAAAGCTGGTCTTCCCCTGGTTTTGCCCTTAACTTGAAATCCAGCTTCAGTTTTAGTGGCCAAAGGGCCATGTGGTAGCCTGCTTTATATCTGAACTCAGACCAATGGGTATCTTTTTTAGTTCTTCTGGTCTCCAATGTCAACAGGTTTCTCCTGTCTACATAGATAGAAAACTGTTCTGGAAATTTTGAAGCCTCCCTGTTTAGGCGAGGGAGAAGCAGTTTTGGAAAAATGAAAAAAAAAAAGTACTTTTGGGGGGTACCTCTCACAGAAATAGGCCACTTGGTGAGTCTAGGATATGAAACTACAGAACTTCACTTATTTTGGTAGAGTAGAATTCTAGCTCATGGAATTAGGAGATGGAGCTTTAACTTGTAATTTTTCCACTTTATTTAAAGGGAGAGGCCTTTAAATAAATGACCTCTCCCAGCTTTATTTTCTTCATCTATAAAATGGGAACAGTAATACCTACATCAGAGAGTTTGTGGATTAAGTGAAATAAAATGTAAACATAGATACAAAGTGTTTATATACATAACACGTGCTTATGAAATATAAATTCCTTTTGCCCTCCTGTTTTTTCTCCTTTGGATTGCTCAAAAAGTTATTCTGCTCGACATCACTTATTATAGAAACATCTACATAGGTTAATTATAGACATTAATTTATTGTAATGCTTTTACATCACAGGTGGAACCACATAGAGCTACACTTTCTCTAATTTTTTTTTTTCTTTTTGAGACCAGGTCTCACTCTGTCACCCAGGCTGGAGTGCAGTGGTGCCATCACAGCTCATAGCAGCCTCAACCTCCTGGGCTCAAGCGATTCTCCTGCCTTAGCCTCCTGAGTAGCTGGGACTACAGGCACATGCCACCAGTACCAGCTAATTTTTGTATTTTTTTGTAGAGATAGGATCCTACTATGTTGCTCAGGCTGGTCTCAAACTCCTGGGCTCAAGTGATCCTCCCGCCTCAGCCTCCCAAAGTGCTGAGATTACAGGTGTGAGCCACTCCCGTAATCCCAGCAAAACCCCATCTCTACAAAAAATACAAAAATTAGCTGGGCATGGTGGAGCACACCTGTAGTCCCAGCTACTCAGGGGGCTGAGGTGGGAGGATCGCTTGAGCTCAGGAGGTCTAGGCAGCAGTGAGCTGTGATTGCACCACTGCACTCCAGCCTGGGTGACTGAGGCATGCAATGCACATCCTATCGCAATTTTGTTATAAGCTCGCATGTGCTTATAACAAAGCACATGTTATAAGCTTCATGTTCCTTGTGGTTCTGTCAGCAAAATAACTTCATCATGCCCCCTCTCTGGAAGTCCAAGCTTTGTACACAGGATACCTCTGGGCTTGTCCCTTACCTGCTATTTAAGTGCTAACTTTTAAAAAAGTGGTTGAACTATTAACATTTGCTTCTTTCCTGCATTATCATTTCATATTGACATTGATATTACAAATGAGTACTTTGTTTTCAGAAGGGCTTGATCAATATTTTCTGTTACCCAAGTGTCATATCTCAGCCACTGAAAAGTTTTTAAAGTGGTTTATTACTTGTAGTATTTTGTTCCTTGAGGAGGTTGTGTGGATAATATTACTTGAGCTTCATTTTGGGTGATTTATATTCACCAGTTTGTCTCCTCCTGGGTGAACACTGTCTAATTCCACGAAGTCGTCAAGCCAGTTTAGGCCACTTTCCTTAGAGCTTCAAATACTTTAGCCGTTTACTCTGAGCTGCCTGCTGTGAACCTTGTTTCTTGTTTGTCATCTCTGTGAGGATGGATGCCACGTCGACCATTCTCATCATTCTTGTGTATACTTCCCTGAGGTGAGAAAGAAAAAACAACCCTGTGAATCTCTGGATTAAAAGTCAACGGGTGAAAACCCATGTGCGAGGCTGGGTGCGGTGGCTCACGCCTGTAATCCCAGCACTTTGGGAGGCCGAGGTGGGCGGATCCCAAGGTCAGGAGTTCGAGACCAGCCTGGCCAACATGGTGAAACCCCGTCTCTACTAAAAATACAAAAATTAGCTGGGCTTGGTGGCGCGTGCCTGTAATCCCAGCTACTCAGGAGGCTGAGGCAGGAGAATCGCTTGAACCTGGGAGGTGGAGGCGAGATCGCGCCGCTGCACTCCAGCCTGGGCGACAAGCGAGAGACTCTGTCTCAAAAAAAACAAACAAACAAAAAAGAAAGCCCATGTGCATGTGGGCATGAGCTCTCCCTTCTTACAGTAAATCCACTCTTAGAAAAAAGAAATGTGTTCCTCTCATTCAAAAGTTGAGGCTGAATGCAGTCGTTCATGCCTATAACCCCAGCCCTTTGGAAGGCCGAGGTGGGAGGATTGCTTGAGCCCAGGAGTTTGAGACCAGCCTGGGCAACATAGTGAAACTCCATCTCTACAAAAAATAAACAAAATTAGCTGGGCATGGTTGCCTGCAGCTACTCAGGAGGCTGAGGTGGGAGGATTGCTTGAGCCCAGGAAGTTGAGGCTGCAGGTGAATCGAGATGGCACCACTACACTCCAGCCTGGGCAACAGAGCGAGACCCTGTAACAAAACAAAGCAAAAAAATTGCCTGGAGAGCTGAACTTTAGGGTCTCACAATAAACATATTCCTATTGTAGAGTTTTAAAATAATTTTAAGGCAAGTAATAATGTATGAACACCATGTCCTTAACTTTTTATTCAGCACTGTAAATACGTTTTATGATCCAAAATGGTTGAATAGTTTCAGTTTTCAAAATTGAACATGCCCTTAACAACACATTCTATTGTGTCTCAGTGTTCTGGTGTCTATGATTGGGCCTTTTCTATATTTGTAAACAATCATTCAGTACAAACGCAGCATCTTAACGCATGACAAGGAAGAACAGATGAGGGTTTTCACCTCGAGATGACTTTCAGAGTAGCCTTATACTTTTGCCTTGACATGAAAATAGTACTAGCCATGAACATAGGTCTCAGGTGGCCAAAATCCACAGCTAGAAGGTTAGACTTGAGAAGACCCACAGAGAGAGGCTTCGCTGATGTGGCCGGGATGGCTTAGGTTCTGCAGGCTGCTTACGGCAGATTTCCATTTCTGCTCTTGAGCTATGAATCCAGTTGGATGAGCTGGTTCAGACTTTTAGTATTTCAGCAGAGAAGAAGCATTCAGGGTTTTATTTATTGTAATGATTTGATGGTGGAAAACAGCTTTGACTTAAGCAACTTAACATTGCTCTTTTTCTTTGAGTAGTGGTTTAATGTTTATTCTGTGGTTAGCTATTAACCTTATTCTGTGGTTAGCTATTTAAGCAGAAGTCATAATGTACCCAGAGGTTCATTTTAAGTTTTATTCAATGTGCCCAGAAGATGAAAAACTACATGTTTTGATGATAGGTTTGATATGCTCACACAATTCTTAATTGGTTTTATATTGGAAGATACATGTTCAGATTTGTCCTTTTATAACTTTACATTTGGCTTTTTATGCCACGTCCCGTGTTCTTTCCTTGAGGACTGGCTTGTAGAGTTGATTCTCTAATTTGTGATATGGGCATATTAAATTCCTTGATTGAGAAAGCCCTTAGCCAGCCTGGGTTGGTGCTATGCCTGGTTCTTCCTGGGGCCCGTACCACCTCCTACCCAATCTTAACAGGTTTCATCATCCCAAACAAGACAAGACAAAGCCATGTGGCCTCAGGGATACTGTAGAAATGAAAGAATAGGGCTATGACCACCAACGGGATGAAAGATCTTAGCAGTGGAGACTGGGGAAAAGAAACACCAGCTTGGCGAAGTGGCAGGTTTTGGCTAAAGATGTGGCTAGATTTGGCAGGGGAACAAGTGCCTGAGGATCTCTTCTCTTTGGGGCTTTCAAGGTTTCAGGAAATCAGATTGCCATATCACATAGCCAATCTTATTTCCCAAGACTCTTTTTTGGCCCCTGTCCTAAATGTCCTGTAAACACACATGTCTGATTCCTATGTCACTTCTGATGCAGATTGTGAAATCAAGTCTTTACTATTAACAGCTTTTTATTGCTTGCTGTCTTCTTTGTGTTTTAGCTCTTCTTCTCTGCTGAAATGTGAGCTTTTTGAAGTAGGAGGGAGATTTTGAGTTTCTTTTTTATCTTATAAAATATCGAGTTCAGTGATGGACATATATAAACTAGACATTAATTATAAGTTGATTATTAAAATAATCACATCCTTCTTTGTGGGCTAAGCCGTTGACACGGTAGTCTAATTTCAGCTATCATGCCACTGAGTTCTTATGTGATGCCATTAAAAATGCCCACATTAAAAAAATGACTATAATCTGAATTGTATAAAGAAGGTAATGTGATACCCTACCTCGTTTTAACCTGATTGTCTCTCTTAGCTGAGAGAGCCGGACAGACTCCATTTTTGTTTCTTCACTTGCAGCTCCCCTCCCTTAAAGGCATAAGTAGTGCAAGCTGACTCCGAGCACATCCAGGAATGCGCTTACTGATGAGATATCGAGGCAAGCTAAATCAGCAGTTCCTGAGGACGCGCTTGGGGGATGGCACCCAAAGCCCCTGCATTATCTCTTTGTGATAGTTTGAGCCCCTGCACCTGGAACTGTTTACTTTTCTGTAACTGTTTCTGTAACCAATTAATCTTTCTTAATTGGTTTGCCTGTTCTGCTTCTGTAAAAATTGCTTCAGCTAAACTCCCTCTCCCCTATTTAGACCACGATATAAAAAGAAATCTAGCCCCTTCTTCGGGGCCGAGAGAATTTTGAGCTCTAGCCGTCTTGTTCGCCGGCAATAAAAGGACTCCTGAATTAGTCTCAGAGTGTGTCATTTCTCTATAACTCGCTCAGTTACAACAGTAAGATATAAAGAATGAACTGACATTAGTAATATAGTCATGCAGCTAGATCATACTTGATAGCTTCCTTCCTAGGTAAAATACTTTTTAAAAAAATAAGTAATAATTAACTTGCAAAAGTAAATTTATTGAAGCATAGAAACAATTAAAGCAAAGTTGTTAATTCAGCTATTTCAAGAGCATTCTAATGAGGAAATAAGAAGATGCAGAAAAGTTGGCTAGTCATCCATTTCTGGACTGAAGCTTTTCCTGAAATTATCCAGAAAGATGCCTAGATTGATGCCATTTCTTCGCTTGTGTCCTTCTTGATTTTTTTTTCTTTGAAAGACACTTTTGTTGATCTGGAAGTTCCTTATTTAACTTTCACCTCAGAAATACTGCTGACTTGAGACGAGACAACCTTGCCATCCACCAACTCCTCTACGATAGTCTTAGTCACTCTAGTCTTGCTTGAATCTGAAAATCATGGGATTGCAATGTCAGTCTGGAAACTCTCACAGAAACACAGAGCAAGAGAAATTCAATCACATGCATTCAACGTGTTCTGTCTGGGTAAGATTATGTAAAAAATAGCGGACTCTTTTAGTATGACAAGCAAAGTATGTCTTCACTTTTAAATTACAGAACTATTATCAATATTAAAAAAAGTCTACCTCGTCCTTGACCAGAACAGCTTCCAGATCTTGAGTCACCAGATACCAGATCCCTGGATCCCATGTTTACAGATCCTGAGTTTCTACCACCAAATTCTGCAAAACTAGAACCACTGGAGAAAAAAAGAATTATGTTTTCCTTTGCAGTTTGCAAAGGCAGGAGAAAGCCTCCGCCCCGGGGATTCTTCATGATGAAGTTTTGGATGTGTTTATGTGTTTTAATTGGATTGTGTCTGCTGCTTTTTTGTTCAACCTTGCACTCCTGGGCTCAAGTGATCCTCCTGTCTCAGCCTCCCCAGTATCTGGGATTATAGGTGTGCACCACCATGCCCAGCTAATTTTTTTTTTTTTTTTTTTGAGACAAGGTCTCGTTCTATCACCCAGGCTGGAGTATAGTGGCATGATTACAGCTCACTGCAGCCTCAGCCTCCTGAGCTCAAGTGATCTTCCCGCCTCAGTCCCCTGAGTAGCTGGGACTACAGGTGTGTGCCACCACGCCTGGCTAATTTTTGTATTTTTAGTAGAGACAGGATTTCACCATGTTGGCCAGGCTGGTCTCGAACTCCTGACCTCACGTGATCTGCCTGCCTTGGCCTCCCAAAGTGCCGGGATTACAGGCATGAGCCACTGTGCCCAGCCTCCAGCTAATTTTTTAAAAATTATTTTTTGAAGAGGAAGGGGTTTTGCTATGTTGCTCAAGCTGGTCTTGAACTCCTGGGCTCACGTGATTCTCCCACCTCAGCCTCCCAAAGTGCTGGGATTACAGGCCTGAGCCACTGCACGCAGCCTGTGTCTGTTACTTTATTACTCTCTATATATACAAGTCTAAGCCCTGAGTCCCATTTTGGTTTTATAAAATAAATTCACTAAGGTATGCATTTTAGTTTGTTCATGACTTTGGTTTACCCTCCCTCTCCATCGAGCAGGCGGCGGTAGGTCTCGATCTCCACCTCCAGGCGTGTCTTGATGTCCAGCAATTGCTTGTACTCTGCGTTCTGGCATTTAGTCTCACCCCAGATCTGGCAGATCTCCTCCTCCAGGGCACTGATCTGCGTTTGAATTTCTGACAGCTGAGCCACGTAGCCAGCTTCTGTGTCAGCCAGGGTTCCCTCCAGGGAGCTTTTCTAAGAGAAAAAGCAAATAAAAAATTCATGATGAAAATAAATCATTGGATGATTTTTTAAAAATGCAATTTTATGTGGCACTAGAAGTGCACCTTCGCCATATAACCTATATTGTTATATCATTGCTTCTTTAATTTTGGTTGGCACTTCTTTTTAAACTAAATCTTTTATGCAAAATAGAGTACATTATCTTTAACTTTTAATGCTTTCTATAATCATAATGCAGTTCTCCTTAACACTGCCTTTTTTATGTGCCTAGTGAACCTCTTGGCAAAGAAAGAAAACTGCATTTGCTTAACTCCCTGTTGGAAAATGTGAAAAGCTATTTGCACATACCATGGCCAGTTGGGACTGAAGCTCAATTTCCAGGGCTTGCAGGGTACGTTTTAGTTCTGTTATCTCATTCTTGGCAGAAGTGGCTGCCCCAGCATCAGTGGAGATTTGTGCTTGTAGTGATGCGCTCTAAATACAAACATAATGCAGCTGTTGTAGGCTGATGAAAGGAGCAGAAGCGGCTTGTGTGTGGCTACTGGCTTAGGTGCTCAGCAGAGAGGATCTACCTGCTTGTTGAACCGCTCCTCAGCCTCTCGGCGGTTTTGCTCAGCCAGCTCCTCGTACTGCGCCCTCATGTCATTCAGTAATTTGGTCAGGTCGGTCCCTGGCGCAGCATTCATTTCTACGGTCACCTCCCCTCCAGAGCTTCCTTGCATATTCTTCATTTCCTAGCATGAAGGAAAAAAGACTATCGTGATGCAAACAGAAAAGTGATGACTTCCGAAAATGTGCCTAGACAACAACAATTTGAAAGTAGGACACTGAAAGGAAAAAAAAAAAATCAAATCTAGGTATAATTTACTCATGATTACTTTTGTTTCCTGGTCATAGTATGTGGGAAATTCACTTAGATAAAAATGAGTTTATTTTACCTTTTTTTCTTTTTTTTTCTTTTTGAGATGGAGTCTCACTCTGTCACCCAGGCTGGAGTGCAGTGGCTTGATCTCGGCTCACTGCAAACTCCGCCTCCCCAGTTCAAGTGATTCTCCTGCCTCAGCCTCCTGAGTAGCTGGGATTACAGGTGCAACAGGTGTGCGCCATCATGCCCTGTTTATTTTTGTATTTTTAGTAGAGAGGGGGTTTCACCATGTTGGTCAGGCTGGTCTCGAAATCCTGATCTCATGATCTGCCTGCCTTGGCCTCCCAGAGTGCTGAGATTACAGGCATAAGCCACCGTGCCAGGCCTATTTTACTTTTTTAGAGACACAGTATCTCTCTGTTGCTCAGGCTGGAATCCAGTGGCATGATCATAGCTCACTGTGGCCTCCAACTCCTGGGTTCAAGGGATCCCCCTGCCTCGGCCTCCAGAGTAGCTGAGACTAAAGGCATGAGCCACTGCACCCAGCCAATTTTATTTGTATAGAATGCATATGGGGAGAAATATGTTAGCTAGAGTTATTCGTTTATGTAGAACATGTTCCTACCTCCTCGTGGTTCTTCCTCAGGTAGGCTAGCTCCTCGGTGAAACTCTCAATCTGCATCTCCAGGTCAGAGCGGGTCATAGTCAGGTCATCCAGGACTTTCCGCAGGCCATTGATGTCAGCCTCCACGCTCTGCCGGAGACACAGCTCGTTCTCATACCTGGAAGGGGCAGCAGTAAGGCAAAAAATACTGTGAGCTCACCTGGCCGTGTTTCAAAGGGTACCTTCCATTCTTACATATTGAAAAAGTTCTCACTTGTGGGCATTTTAATAAATAAAGGTTATTAAGTTTTCTCTTGGGAAATTTTCCCTTGTAAAGAAAAATACCAATGTAATGTTAATTCTAATCATGTCTAACATTTTTAATAATAAAATTCTCATTCTAAATTTGCCTCTTTCTTTTTTCTTTTTCTTTTTTCTTTTGCAGCTGTTGTAGGCTGATGAAAGGAGCAGAAGCGGCCGGTGTGTAGCTACTGGCTTAGGTGCTCAGCAGAGAGGATCTACCTGCCCCAGCATCAGTGGAGATTTGTCTAATGGTCTAAAGTTTACCCTTGGGATGTTTGTAAATTTAGGTCATGATCCTCTAGTATATATATATATATATATATATATATATATATATATATATATATATATATATATATTTATTTATAAAATGGAATAAAATTTATTTTTCTCCCGTAACACTTGTTTTCAAGTCTTTATGTTTCTTACTTCAGTCTGAAGTCATCAGCAGCCAATCTGGCATTGTCAATGTGCAAAATGATCCCAGCATTTTCAACAGTGGCAGCAATGATCTAAAAAAGATGTTAATAGTGAGTGAATCACGAATGATTTTTACCTTGTGTCTGCATGCCTACTTGTAAGGGTAGCTGTTGCCTGTGTTATTAGCTCTTTTTTTTGTGTGTGTGTAGAGACAGAGTCTCGCTCTGTCGCCCAGGCTGGAGTGCAGTGGCAAGATCTCAGCTCACTGCAACCTCCGCCTCCCATGTTTAAGCGATTCTTGAGCCTCAGCCTCCTGAGTAGCTGGGATTACAGGGGCGTGCCACTATGCCCGGCTAATTTTTTTTGTGTGTGTGTTTTTAGTAGACACGGGGTTTCACCATGTTGGCCAGGCTAATCTCAAATTCCTGACCTCAAGTGATTTGCCCGCCTCAGCCTCCTAAAGTGCTGGGATTACAGGTGTGAGCCACCGTGCCCGGCCTGTGCTATTAGCTTTTAAAGGTGACTTGCTTTGCAAACTTACTTAGTAATGACTAAGTATACAGCCCCAGACCTGTATATCTGGGGCTGGTATATTTAGGACTACATCTTTCTGCAAAAAGATAACAGTCTGCACATTTATTGGACTAGGCACAGGAACCTGTTTTACAGGACATAGTCCTCTGCATATTTCTGCTACTTTGTTAGATCATTATCTCATGAGCTTTTTCAGAAAATAGTGCAAAAATTGTATTTCACTTCCAAAAAAGTCTTTAAAAATATATTTCCCATACAAAAGTGGCTAAACATTTTAGATTCTACTACATTCTTATGTAATGTTTGCACCAGATTTTCTGGGAAGAAAAATAATACTAAAGAATATTTAAATCTTGTAAGACAATAAAATGTGTCAGTCTGTCAGAATTCATCATAAATAATTAGATTAAACTAATGTTGACTCACTGCCACCATTCTTATATATAAATGATAATTAGCTGCCTGGTGTTGTATAAGTTTTACTGTTATGTAGAAATACTGAAACTGAGATGGAAACAGAAAATTAATGTGATTGGACATCACATAAGGTACTATAATAATTAAGACACATCAGGTCCCACTTTGCATATGTAACAAGCAAATATGTTTTCAAATAATTTCTTAAAATTTTCATTATAGTACATGATCTGAAAAGAAGTGAAAGATCCACAAATAATAGAAACTCAGGCACAGATAGTCTCACCTGGTTTCTGAGATCTTCAATTATTGAATAGTATTTGCTATAATCTCTTCCCGATCCACCGTCTCCAGACCCAGGCCCATATTTGTCATACCACTCCTTGATTTTGTTCTCCAGATCAGTGTTAGCCTCCTCCAGGGCTCTGACCTTGTCTAGGTAATTGGCCAAGCGGTCATTGAGGTTCTGCATGGTTTGCTTTTCCCCTCCAGAGAAAAGCCCCCCATCGCCAACACCACCTCCCATACCACCACCATAGCTGTAGAAGCCTCCAGTAGCACCACTGCTGAATCTAGAACTCCCACAGAATCCAGAACCCCTGCCAAATCCAGAGACCCCGCCAAAGCTAGAACCCCCACCAAATCCTGTCCCAGAGCCTGAAGCTCCCCCAAAACCACCCCCTACTGAGCAGCTACCAAAGCCCCCTCCAAAGCTGCCCCCAAAAGCACCGCTAGACCCCCCACTCAGGCTGCAGCTGCTGGCTCCTCCTCGGAAGCCCTGGGCCGAGCTGCCCCCCAGACCACATCTGCTTCCACTGCTGAAGCTGCTTCCACCAGCAGACACCCTGGCTGAGCTGCTGCCTCCAGCCCTGGAGGAGGAGGCGCGAGACGAGCAAGACATGGTGCTCCTGCAAACATGAGCTTGTCCAGGCGAATAGGAGAGGTGATGACGAAGAGTGTATTCAAGGCTGCCTTTTTGGCCTTTATATACACACTTCGAGGGTGTTCCTTTTCTCTGTCACTTCTTAATCCCTGTTACAGTTTTGGTAATCCGTAATTGGATAATTTCTGTTTCTTGAACACTTCTCTGAAGCTAGGTCAGAGCCCTGGGACATTTACTATATCAATAAAAAAAGAATAAAGTGGAGCAAAACAAAAAAATTTTCAGAATTACAGTTTTAATCTTTCAGAGGTTTTGATGATTGGTAACTTTTCTCTGGAAGTGTAGTTCTATTAAATTTGCTTCATGATTTCACATTTGCAGAGAATATCTCCAGGTTAACAAATGTAATTAAAATACTTAATATGATGAGAATAAAAATTTCCCATCAATCATGTAACTTTTTTGTTCATATTGTTCTCAAAAGTTGAAATTAGCTTTCACATCAGCAATAATTTCAGATTTGATTAAGCATCCATCTCTTTGATTATTTCAATCAGCGTGTTTTTTAAGGTTGTTGAAGTTTGTGATTTTAAGTTATTGCTTTCTTTTTTTGTATTTTGTATAATATACAAAAAAGCATATAATTTGTAACAATTATGTTTTATAGTTCATAAGAAAAACATAAATAATAGTTTTCTAGGTAAGTATTATTACATCTCAGCAACATGTTTATTCAAGTAGCTAATGTCTAAGAAAGATTGAAAAGCTTTTAGGCAGATTGTTTTAATACGATTTTCTTTCTGGTTGAATTCTAGTCTGATATAAAGACAGCAACTTCCTTTTTGAGTCAAATTTCAAGAAATGAAGAGATGATGCAGATATCTCCTGCCTTCGTTTTAAAGATAAAAGAGGATTTGTATCTACTTCTGATAACTAGTGTTACAATTGGAGTTATTTTATAGATTCTGAACCCTCCTGAGCTCCCTTTGTGCTTCATGGCTTTTTGTCCCTTTGTATTTTAGACTGTTTCCATTCATGTCTTCTAGTCACTTCACCGGTTTAATAGTGTCTTTTTGAAAGACAGATACTGTATAATTCCAGTACTATGAGGTGCCTAGAGTAGTCAAATTCACAGAGACAGAAAGTAGAATGGTAGTTGCCAGTGGCCGAAGGGTTGGGGATAGACAGTTGTTGCTTACTGGGCATAGAATTTTAATTTTGCAATATGAAAAGAGTTTGGGGCCAGGCGTGGTGGCTCACACCTGTAATCCCAGCTCTTTGGGAGGCCGAGGCAGGTGGATCACCTGAGGTCAGGAGTTCGAGACCAGCCTGGCCAAGATGGTGAAATCCCGTCTCTACTAAAAATACAAAAAATTAGCCAGGCATGGTGGCAGGCGCCTGAAATCCTAGCTACTTGGGAGGCTGAGGCAGAGAATTGCTTGAACCCGGGAGGCAGAGGTTGCAGTGAGCCAAGATTGTGCCACTGGACTCCAGCCTCAGAGACAGAGTGAGACTCGTCTAAAAAAAAAAAAAAGAAAAGAGTTTGGGAGATTGGTTGCACAACAATGTCAGTACACTTAAGACTACTGAACTGTAAACTTATAAATGATGAAGATGATAAGTTTATGTTATATGTATTTTACCACAATTTTTAAAAAGTCTTAAAAAACAGGTGCTTCCAGAAATAGTTTGTATCCTCCTTAGCTTTAAACTTAAGTAGCTGACTTTTGTTTATTTAAGAATTTCTTCCTTCTTTTGCCAGTCTCTGTTAAACTATGTTCACACCTTAATCTTTATATTCAATTATTTGTTAAACAATGTTCTGCTTTAAATTTTTCCTTAAATTGCATTTTATTGGGACACATGATTAAATAGGTAATCATTCACTTTACTATGTAGCTCTTATGTGGCTTTTATGATCTACCTGTACTGTTTTCACAGGAGTATGATGTTACTCTTCTTCATATTTAGGGTGACATATCTCCAAGGGGTACATGGTGTACAAAATTTTAAATTGTTAAGCTGGGAGTAATTTTTATAACGCCCTTCTAAAGTAGCTAAAAAATGCACCACACATAATGTGTTGGTCATCCTGCCTCGCCCATCCCTAAAGCTGTGAAACCAAAGAAAACTAAACCCTAATGATTAAATGGTATGCAAATGCTGGCAATGGGAGGAACAGTCACAGAGTGTTTCTCCCTTTTAAAACTATGAAATGTAATCTTTCAATTTTCATAAAGACTTGCATTTGGCTGAAAGCACGTTTAAATCCCAGCTCCTTCGGAGGCTGAAGCAGGAGAATTGCTTGAACCCGGTGGGTGGAGCTTACAGTGAGCAGAGATTGTGCCACTGCACTCCAGCCTGGGCGACAGTGCGAGACTCCATCTCAAAAAAAAAAAAAAAAAAAAGACAGAGAGAGAGAGACAGACTGAATCTTAGGTGTCTGGGCTCCCAGTTCAAATTTTGAATAGTTTGTGATTAGAAGTTTATTTCTACCTGTAAAGAAACATATAAAAGCTATATTTCCTTATAGAATATGATTTTAATAATAAGTGCAGAATGATTTGCAGATAGTAACCATCAATTTTTTTTTGTGTGTGTGGGGGATAGATTATTAGTATTTAAATATTTTTCAGATTAACATATTGCAGGTTTTTAGACTAGTAGGAAAACCAAATACTGAAATGCATGGCATATGGCTCCTGATGAATCTTTACAGAATTGAGAACAGAACTTGGGTATTCTATCTTCTGTTCATTCAAGAAAATATACTGTTTTGTGTTTTTCAAATAGAAGCATCACATCAGAGTAGTTAAGGGAAGTTGCTGGGTTTAGAGTATTTGTTGAATGTTGACAAAACTTTCTGTGGCAGACAGTAAAAAAGAAGGGAAAATATACATTTAAAAAAATTTTAACTTTTAACTTTTGTGGGTGCATAGTAGGTATATAGATTTATGGGGTACATAAGATATTTTGATATAGGTGTACATATCCCATCAGGGTAAATGGGGTACCCATCACCTCCAGCACTTATCCTTTGTGTTACAAACATTCCAATTATACTATTTTTTAGTTATTATAAATTATACAAGTAAATTATTATTGACTATAGTCACTCTGTTATACTATGAAACACTAGGTCTTATTCATTTTTCTAACTATTTTTGGTACCCATCAAGCGTCCTCACTTTTCCCCTACTCCCCCGTTTCCCTTCCCAGCCTCTGATAACCATCATTCTACTCTCTATCTTCATGAGTTCAATTGTTTGAATTTTTAGCTCCCACAAGTAAGTGAGAATACACAAAGTTTGTCTTTTTGTGCTTGGCGTATTTCACTTAACATAATGACCTCCAGTTTCATCCACGTTGTTGCAAATGACAAGATCTCATTCTTTTCATGACTGAATAGTACTCCGTTGTGTATATGTGCCACTTTTTTTTTTTTTTAAGACAGGTTTCACTCTCGTCACCCAGACTTGAGTGCAATGGCGCGATCTCGGCTCACTGCAACCTCCACCTCCTGTGTTCAAGCGATTCTCCTGCCTCAGCCTCCCGAGTAGCTGGGATTACAGGCACCCACCACCATGACCAGCTAATTTTCATATTTTCAGTAGAGACAGGGTTTCACCATGTTGGCCAGGCTGATCTTGAACTCCTGACCTCGTGATCCGCCCTCCTTGGCTTCCCAAAGTGCTGGGATTACAGGCATGAGCCACCGCGCCTGACCTGTGCCACTTTTTCTTTATCCATTCTACTGTTGATGGATGCTTAGGTTGCTTCTAAATCTTGTCAGTAGTGCTGTAATAAACATGGGAGCACAGACATCTCTTTAATATAGCAATTTTCTTTCTTTTGGACACATTGGAAAGTATAAATTTGATGTGTGAACAGTCTCTTTGCAATGCCGTTGCAATGACAGATAGTAGATAGACAATAAATATTCCTTGAATTAATAAAAACTAACATGGCCTGATTTTCTTCATGAACAACTTGGATCACTGATTACTTTTGTTCTTTACTATGTGTTGTGTTTTGTTTTCTGAATCTTTATGCTCCACTTCTGGGTTAGTGATTCTCAGTGTGTGGTGGCGGAGAGCGGGGCTTGGCAGTAAGAGGAAATGTTGTTTGGGAAGAGGGCAGAAAGGTCAGGCAAGAGTCAACCGGGGACCTTCCTGTAGGGAATCATTGTTTGGGCCAGCTTCCTGCTGGTGGCTGCTCTAGGCCCCGCCAGGGTCAACTACTTGGAAGAGAAAAAAGGTTTTGCAATAATAACATGACTAAGAGCCCACTCCAGTAGATCTGGCACCACCCGTCGATGGATTGGGTGTGTCATTGTCACACCCCAGAAATCCACCAATTCTGTGGCTGTTTCTCTTCCTTCATCACTTTCTCTCCTTCCCCACCACCCTCGTCCATTCTTTCTCTTCCTGGTTTCACTTAAGTGTGTCTATTTGAAGGCTTCCTCTTCTCCACCAGGAAGCATCTGCTTGGTCATGCCATTTTGCCAAATTTTGTTCTGGGAAGAAAAATCACCTGGCTTTGTTCTTGTATGTGAGTGCTTTCAAATCTCTTTAAATAACTCAATTCTCTATGTTTCCTGAAGATCTTTCCGTGAGTTTATGGAGAATTAAGAGAATGGGTGAGTGACTTTGCGGGGGTTGGGATGCTTTGTCCTCCAGGCTCCACAGATAAGACAGTTTGAAATAAGCACAGTTTTCAAGGATTAGCTCTGCTTAAAAAGTCCTTTTGTGCCTTTCTTCATACCAGACAGACAGTAGTCTTCTCTTCAGAGAATCCAAAAGCATGAACAATCCAGATCATAACTTGAGCAGTAGGGCCTAGCCCCTGTGCCTCTTGCCAATGCTAAGTTGATACACTGGGCCTTCCTGCTCTGTCTCTTCCAGCTTGACCCCTCAACCTCCTGCTGCCCTCTGATGTCAGAGAAGCTGCAAATCTTTGGTCAAGGAATCCAGGGCTTAAATAGTAGTTTCATAGCAAAAGAATGGCATGGTATTTTACACAAGATCATATTTTATATGATAGGCTCAGAAGAAAGCTTCATCAGTCTCAAGTCTCTTGTCCTCTGTCCACCAGAACTATAACACAACATTTGAGTACAGTCGATGTCTCTTGACCAAGCCACCATGTCCTCATCTGTAAAATTATTATATTGGTCTATCCACTTCTCAGGTTCCCTTCCAGCTCTAATTTTTAGCAATCTGGTAATTAAATGTATTACTTCTCAGATTTAGAAAGTGTTTTATATTACTATTAGGTGAGATTTTCTTTTTTTCTTTTCTTTTTTTTTTTTTTTTTTGAGACACAGTTTCGCTCTTGTTGCCCAGGCTGGAGTGCAATGGCGCAATCTCGGCTCATGCAACATCTGCCTCCTGGGTTCATGCCATTCTCCTGTCTCAGCCTCCTGAGTGGCTGGGACTACAGGCAAGCACCACCATGCCCAGCTAATTTTGTATTTTTAGTAGACGCGGGGTTTCTCCATGTTGGTCAGGCTGGTCTCGAACTCCCGACTTCAGGTGATCCACCTACCTTGGCCTCCCAAAGTGCTGGGATTACAGGCGTGACCACTGCACCCAGCCAGGAGGGATTTTCTTTACTAGAGCATTAGCTGCAAAAGTTCACTGCTTGTGCTTGAGAACTGGGTAGAGTGGAAATTGTGCTTAGAGGTCCCCTTAACTGGCCTCTACGTGTCTACTCCAAGGTAAGCTCTTATAAAGGCACCCAACTGAGGAAAAGAATACTTGCCTAGAGATTCTTTCAAGACAATGTTCTTGATCAGAGTTACAATTAGAACTAAACAATAAGAAAGACAACCAGAAAAATCTCTGTGAGTTGATACATTCTCTTAGATAACTGTGGTATAAAGGGAAATATATATTAATGATGAGAGTGTCTTTTGAATACTGATGAGATGGCTTGCGGCTAGGGGCCTCTCAATAGCTTCAGGATAAGGACTGGTCTCCAGAGGACCAAGCCTTGATTAGAAGCTTAGAACTTTCAGCCACGTCTCCTAACCTTTGGGGAGGGGAGAGGGGCTGGGTATTGAGTTAATCACAAATGGCCAGACTCATGTCTATGTCATGAAACCTACATAACCCTTAAGTCAGGGGTCCCCAATCCCTGGGAATTGTATGAAGGAACTGGGCCACACAGCCAGAGGTGAGTGGAGGCTGCACGAGCATTACCGCCTGAGCTCCACCTCCTGTCAGATCAGCAGTGGCATTAGATTCTCATAGGAGCATGAACCCTGTTGTGAACCGTGCATGCGAGGGATCTAGGTTGTGGGCTCCTTATGAGAATCTAATGCCTGATGATATGTCAGTCTCCAATCACCCCCAGATGGGACTGCCTAGTTTCAGGAAAACAAGCCCAGGGCTCCCACTGATTCTATGTTATGGTGAGTTGTATAATTATTTCATTATATACTACAATGTAATAATAATAGAAATAAAGTACGCAATAAACGTAATGTGCTTGAATTGTCCCGAAACCACTCCACCCACCTGGTCTATGGAAAAATTGTTTTCCACAAAACCAGAGCCTGGTGCCAAAAAGGTTGGGGACTGCTACCTTAAATAATGGGGCTCAGAAAGCTTCTGGGTTGATGAACATGTGGAGGTGCTGGGAGTATGGTATGTCCAGAGAGGGCATGGAAGTTCTGTGCCTGTTTCCCTATATCCTGCCCTATTTATCCTTTCTGTTTAACTGTTCTTGAGTTGATCCTTTATAATAAACTGGTAATAGTAGGCAAAGTGTTTTCCTGAGTCCCGTGAGTCATTCTAGAAATTATCAAAACTTAAGTGGGGAAGATTGTGGAAACCCCAAACTTTGTAGCGAATCAGAAGTATGGGTAACCTGGTGTACAAGTCTGTTCTTGCACTGCTATAAATGAATAAATACCTGAAACTGGGTAATTTATAAAGAAATGGGCTCACAGTTCTGCAGGGTGTACAGGAAGCATGATACTGGCATCTGCTTTGCTTCTGGGGAGGCCTCAGGAAACTTACAATGATGGCAGAAGGCAAAGGAGAAGCAGACATGTCTTACGTGGCCGGAGCAGGAGCAAGAGAGAGATGGGGGAGGTTCCACACACTTTTAAACAACCAAATCTCACAAGAACTCACTCACTATCACAACGACAGTACCAAGGCGGGGATGGTGTTAAACCATGAGAAGTGGCCCCCATGATTCAATCACCTCCCACCAGGCCCCACTTCCAACATTGGGGATTACATTTCAACATGAGATTTGGTGGGGACAGAGATCCAAACCACATCACCTGGGGACCTGATACTTGTGACTAGCATCTGCGGTGAGGGCAGTCTTATGAGGAGGAGCCTTTCAACTTGCGGAGTCTAACACTAATTCCAGATAGTTAGTGTCAGAATTGATTTGAATGTTAGGATACCCGCTTGGGTATCATAGGAAAAAAAGAAGCCTTTCATAACTGTTGGATCAAATATGACAAACCAGAAAGTAGTGAAAAAGTCCAGGCATGGTGGCTTACGCCTGTAATCCCAGTCCTTTGGGAGGCCAAGGCAGGAGGATCACTTGAACCTACGAATTTGAGGCTTGCAGTGAGCTACGATTGTGCCACTGCACTCCACTCTGGGTGACAGAGCAAGACCCTGTCTCTAAAAAAAAAAAAAAAAAAAGTTAAAAGAAAAGCACTTCATACCTGGACTTTTGGGATGTAGCTAACTTTGAACAGTGAAGAAAATTTATAGCCTCTAATGGCTGCTTTGTTAAAAAAGAAAGACCAAAGATGAAGACATTTAGTATAAAAATTTCTTTTAAAGAACAGCAAGATAAACTAAAAAATATAAAAATAAATTAGTAAAAATAAAGGCTGAAATTATTTAAACAGAAAAGAAAAAAATACATAAATATGTCGAAAAGCTGATTCTTTTAGAGATCAATTAAATAGACAACCTCTTCATGAGCCTGATTAGGAAAAGAGAGAGAGGTCCAACACACAAGGTTGGAAGTGGGAAAGAGACATAACTGGGTATAGAACAGATTAAAATAATTATAAGAGAATACCACATATAAGGCAATGGCAGCACTCTTGGAGACCTTTCTGGTAGTTAGCCAAATTATTATTGCCCAGTGGGTGATCTCTGTGCTCATCAGACCAGTCCTGGCAAGACTCACCCCAGGGACAGTGACAGGGACAGACTGGGGTGCTCAGCCTACCTGCAGTGGCCCTGGGGCATGCTGGGAGAGAAAGGGGCACAGGGCTTACCCTAGGAGGAGAGGGCCCTGGAGAAGCCATGGCAAAGCTGTGACCGTGGGTGGGCAGAGCTGATCAGAGTCTGCAGATTTGAGCTGGGCATAAGAGGCTGTGGGATTTGGACACAGGGGCCATCCATACTGTTACCAGAACGTGGAGAAGAGCCAGTAGGAATACTGGCTATGAAGCCAGATCCTTCCAGAAAGGGAGAAAGGAACAGGACTCTGTTGTGATGTGGAGGCTGACTAGGTGGAGTGAGGAGAAGGTCCCAGCAAGCAATTGTGCTTGTCTTTTTTGTGCCTGTAACCAGGAGGGAGACAGAGAAACCAGGTGCCCAGGAAACCTTGATTGAAGGGTGCCAGGTAAGCCCTGTCCTTCCCACAGTGGCATTCAACAGCAAGGCCAGGACCTACCATTATCTTTCTGTGTGTAGAGTGGACACAAGCACATATTTCTAAAGAGGACTAATGGATGATCTTTAGGTACTAACTTGTGACCCATTCATTGGAGGTCACTGGGTGTTTCTAGAAGTACTTTTGATGTGACTGATCTTGGAGCAAAGCCTCAAATCACACCTTATTCTGTTCTTTCTATGTATCCAAATTTTACCACTTTTCAAGGGCTATCTCTTCTGGAACACTCTTCTGGAACACTCCAACCCTTCATTTACCAGCTTCTCCTTTTCCCCACATAATTTTTCTTATTATTCTTACGGTTTCTACCACATTACTTATCACTTGGTCCTTCTTGTATTTTTCTTTGACAATAAAAAAGGAGAGGTCGGGCGTAGTGGCTCATGCCTGTAATCCCAGCACTTTGGGAGGCCAAGGTGGGTGGATCAATGAGGTCAGGAGATCGAGACCATCCTGGCTAACATGGTGAAACCCCGTCTCTACTAAAAATACAAAAAATTAGACTGGTGTGGTGTTACATGCCTGTAGTCCCAGCTATTCGGGAGGCTGAGGCAGGAGAATTGCTTGAACTGGGGAGGTGGAGATTGCAGTCAGCTGAGATTTTGCCTCTGCACTCAGGCCTGAGTGACAGAGCGAGACACCATCTCAAACAAGACAAAACAAAACAAAACAAAACAAAACAAAACAAAACAAAGAGTATTCATTTAAAAAAATTTAAACATACAGATGGCTTTTCTTTAAAGACTTTTAAATTTTACAAGTTCTACACGTTTACTTCAGAAAAATGAGAAAATGCATGTAAACATGCAGCAGGAAATAAAGATCACTCATAATTTCACTATCCCAAAATAGTCACTGTTAACATTTGGATGTATATTGGTTTTGCTTCTTTTTTTTTAAAAAAAAAAAACAAAACAAGTAAGTACAGTGATACAGTTTGGGCCTGTGTCCCTACCCAAATCTCATGGTGAAATGTAATCCCTGATGCTGGAGGTGGGGCCTGGTAGGAGGTGATTGGATCATTGTGTAGGGGGCGGTTTCTCACAGTTTAACACCATCCCTCCTCCAGGTGCTGTTATTGTGATAGTGAGTTCTTGTGAAATGTGGTTGTTTAAAGGTGTGTGGCACCTCCCTGCCCCTTCTCCCTCCCATTCTGGTTATGGGAGACATACCGGCTTCCCCTTCACCTTCTGCCATGATTGTAAGTTTTCTGAGGATTCTCCAGAAGCAGAAGCCGCGATGCTTCCTGCACAGCCTGCAGAACCGTAAGCCAGTTAAACCTCTTTTCTTTATAAATTAGTCAGTCTCAGATATTTCTTTACAGCAGTGTGAGAACAGACTAACACATACAGTGTTAATATACATGTAATTACATTCTTATAAAAGCAGATCATACTATACATATTGTCTTAAAACTCTGCTTTTCATTTCTCAATAGACGATTGACATCTTTTTAGGTTAATAAATGAACCTGAGCATTCTTAATGGCTGTGTGACCATCCTTTGATGGACTTTGATGGGTGTTTCATAACTTAGCCTATTGATTCTCCATTGTTGAATATTTTATTATAGCTTACGTTTCACTATGATGAACAGCTGAGAGGAGTATACATATATTAATAATTGATTATGTAAGAATAAATTCCTAGAAATGAAACTGCTGGCTCTAAGGATATGCTCTTTTCTTAAAAAGGCTTTTGATACCTGTTGCTGAATTGTTTTCTTAAAGGTTTTGCTAGTTTACACTCCATTAGTGCCTTTTCCCTACATCCTTGCTAAAATAGGTATTTATTATTATTAAACAAATTGGACCTGTTTTGATGCTGAACATGGCATCTCATTATTTTAATTTGCTTTTCTTTTATTACAAGAGATGTTGGACATCATCACTTTTTAATGTTTGTTGGCGATTCGTATTTTACGAATTTCTTGTGTGTATCATGTATCCGTTTCTTATTGATATGGTTATCTCTGTTCCTGAGTTTATATATGGGGACATCAGCTCTCGGATGGCTGTATATGACAAGTGCAGTGAAAACCCCGGGTACCATGTGGCATTGCTGAAAATCTAGACTTAAAGTGATTGGCTGTTGGCTTCCATTCTACATGCAGCCCCCAAGAGGGTAGGCTAAAGTTCTTATTTTCTGGAGTGTTGGGGGGATATATGGCAGGTGGACAGGCGGATGGGGTGGCTAGGGAGAAGATGGGGAATGGGGAGGCTGAGGATGAGTCAGGGCAACTAAACAGGCTGCCCATTCCTGGAACTGCTGCTTTCTTGGAAATTTGCAAGCCCCCAAATCCTCTTGATTTTAGACAGATAAGACAGCAGACAGCAGGTGGTGCCAAACTGCAGCTAGGGCATCGTGATTTAAAGCGTGCGGTCCACGTCTGGACTCTGTGGTCTGGCTGCACAGACTTCCCTTGGTGTTGGAGCAGGTTTTCACCATACTTCACTAAATTTATTTTTTCTTTTGCTTCTTATTTCACGTTATTTTCTTGATATAAATCTGTCCTCCTTTTCCTTCATGATGTTTTTGTTTTTGATGAAACAAGCCATCACCATTCCCCAAATACATAATTAAAAAAATTTAAAGTCTGTAAAAGTTTATTTTCTTTTATTTCTGCAACTTCTGTAGAATTTATTTTGGTGTGTGTGATATAACTATTCAACACCCTCCTTAGCCTCATCCCCATCCCGGCTCCTACCCCTTAGTTAACTAGTTATTTCAGCAGCCTTTATTGAATAATCTACTTGTCCACAACTGATTTGAAAATGTCATTCTTATATACTGATGGCCCTTTTTCTGGGGTGTTCATGCCTGTGTCAGTGGCACATTGTTCTAATTGCTGTAAAGAATACTTTTTTTTTTTTAACTTGTGTTTCCTGGAAACAGACTCTGAGATGGAGAGATGTGTGCTGAAGTTTATCAGGGAGTTCTTTTGTGAGATAAACTTGTCAGCAGGTGGGTAAGACTGGAATGGGCATAGGGAGAGGCCTATGCAATGCTGTTTTAATGAAGGCTTCCGCTGATTCTTTGGGGAGCTCTGGACAGGGCTCACCCTTCAGAGTTATCCTAATTTAAGACAGGGGGCCAGAACTTTGTATCCCCTATAAGCGAGTTACTGGCCCATGGGCACTCTCCTGAAGGGGCATAATCCTGGGCAAGGCAGAACCCTGTGAGGGTGGCTGTTAGCAGCCCATACGCCAGCACCTGGAGCTGGATGCATCTGCCCTGGGGAGTATCCACACTACATGAATGTTTTGCTATCTGGAAGCTCAAGTCATTCCTCATCATAGGTCTTGTATTTTTTTTTGAGACAGGGTCTTACTCTGTTGCCCAGGCTGGAGTGCTGTGGTGCCATCTCAGCTCACTGCAGCCTCAACCTCCCGGGCTCAAGCAATCTTCCCACCTCAGCTTCCCAAGTAGCTGGAATCACAGGCATGCACCGCTATGCCCAGTGCCTGGCTAATTTGCCCAGGCGGGTCTCAAACTTCTGGGCTCAAGCAATCTTCCCACCTTGGCCTTTCAGAGTGTTGAGATTTCAGGTGTGAGCCTCCGCACCCAGCCCTGATTCCTCTTTTTAAAAACACTTGAAGTCTTCATTTTCATTTGTATTAGCACTGTCTTTACAGGTAGAGTGTAGGTTTTTAAGCCTGGGCACCATCTTAATATGTATGTATTTTTGACACAAGAAAGCTGGAAAACTGCAGCCCTATCAGATATTTCATAATTTTTTTGGAGTGGTTTTGGACTATATGAAATAATAGATTTCAAGAGTCAGTGTGAAACTACAGTGAGATACCACTTAATATTCACTAGGATTGCTATAATTTAAAAAATCATTAACAAGTGTTGGTGAGGATGTGAAGAAATTGGAATCCTCCTACACTGCTGGTTGAAATGTTAAATAGTGCAGCCACTATGGAAAATAGTCGGGTGTTTCCTCAAAGGTTAAACACAGGGCTAACATATGACCCAACCATTCTACTCTAAGGTATATTCCCAAACAGAAATGAAAACATGTGTCTTCACAAAAATTTTTGTGTGAATGTTCATAGCAGCATTATTCATAATAGCCAAATATCATAAATAACCTAAATTCTCATCATCCAATGAATGGATAAATAAAATATGGTATATCCATACACTGGAATATTATTCAGTAAAAAAAAAGAATGAAGTACTGATACATGCTACAATATGGGTGAATGTTGAAGACATCTTGCTAAGTGAAAGAAGCCAAACACAAAGACCACGTATCATATTATATGATTCCATTTATGTGAAAAGTCTAGAATGGGCAAATATATAGGACAGAAGATGCATTACTGGTTGCCTAAGGCTGGGGGTGGGGGTTTGTTGGGGGAAAATAAGGACTGACTATTGATGGATATGTGATTTCTTTTTGAGGTGATAAAAATGCTCTAAGGTTGACTGAGGTGATAATTGTACCGCTCAGTGAATATGCTGCAAACCATTGAATTGTGCACTTTAAATGTGTGAGTTGGGCCGGGTGTGGTGGCTCACATCTCTAATCCCAGCACTTTGGGAGGCCAAGGCAAGTGGATCACTTGAGGCCAGGAGTTCGAAACCAGCCTGGCCAACATGGCAAAACCCTGTCTGTTCTAGCAATACAAAAAAACATTAGCCAGGCATGGTGGCATGCTCCTGTAATACCAGCTACTTAGAAGGCTGAGACAGAACTGCTTGAACCCAGGAGGTGGAGGTTGCAGTGAGCCGAGATCGCACCATTGCACTCTAGTCTGGTTGACACAGTGAGACTCTGTCTCAAAAAAAAAAGAAAAAAAGTGTGGATTGTATGGTATAGGAATTATATCTCAATAAAGCTGTTGTAAAACAAGTCAGCGAAACAAAAGGACAAAGATTGATGTAGTTGATTTGCAACAGGCAAAAAGTTTATCGACACAGAATGATTAAGAAGGAAAACACATTTTGCAATTTAAAGACAAAACCGAACCAATAAGACAAAAGAATCTGAGAAAGGATTACAGGAGTAGCTGCAGCTCTGTGGCCGCAGGTTTGTTGCAGTGCTTCAGCACGCCTTTGTTAGGTGTCATCATTTACATCCTGGGGACAGGACTCAGCTGCCTGCATCTTACTCTTGAATTTTACATCAGAAACAGTGTTGAGATGAAATTAGTTGGTCATTATCCGTCACCAGCCTGGTTCCTCTGCTTTTATGTGAATCTAAAACAGAAATAGGGAGAATTTTAGAACTGGAAATGTAAAGGTTGGTTCACAAGTCATGCTTTAAAGTGAATGACTGTAGCCCAGATTTTTGGGGGTAAGGAAAGCACATTTTATTCATGATGGATGCTCATTAAATAAGCAGAAAGTATTACTTTAAAAAGCGACTCTTCCCCTCGATTGAGCTGTGTTGGTTATTCCTTTGGAGTCCACAGAGAATCATCCTTTAGATTCAGCTTCTCTGGCCTCAGAACTGTTGACAAATAAAAGAAATGATTGTTGTCAGTTACTTCTCTTTGGCCAAAAACTGTAAAGAAGCAGACATATTTTCTTTCTGAATGGAACGAGTGTTGGTGAGGATGTGAAGAAATTGGAGCCCTCCTACACTGCTGGTAGGAATGTAAAATAGTGGAGCCACTATGGAAAATAGCCTGGCAGTTCCTCAAAGGTTAAACACAAGGCTAACACATGACCCAACCATTCCACTCTAAGGTATATACCCAGTCGAAATGAAAACATATGCCCACACAAAAATTGTATGTGAATGCTGGTGCCAGCTGAACATTATTAGTAGCATGCTGGGCGAATGGTTCATGCCTGCAATCCAAGCACTTTGGGAGGCTGAGGCGGGAGGATTGCTTGAGACCAGGAGTTTGAGAATAGCCTGGGCAACATAGTGAGACTCTGTCTCTACCAAAAGTAAAAAAAATTAGACCAGACACAGTGGCTCGTATCGGTAATCCCAGCACTTTGGGAGGCCAAGGTGGGTGGATCACAAGGTCAAGAGATCGAGACCATCCTGGCCAACATGGTGAAACCCCGTCTCTACTGAAAATACAAAAATTAGCCGGGTGTGATGGTGAGCGCCTGTAGTCCCAGCTACTCAGGAGGCTAAGGCAGGAGAATCACTTGAACCCGGGAGGCAGAGGTTGCAGTGAGCCGAGATTGTGCCACTGCACTCCAGCCTGGTGACAGAGCGAGATTCCGTCTCAAAAAAAAAAAAAAAAATACAGGCATGGTGGCTCATGTCTGTAGTCCCAGCTACTCAGGAGGCTGATGTGGGAGGATCATTTGAGCCTGGGAGGTCAAAGCTGCAGTGGGCTGTAAACACAGCACTGCACCTAGCCTTGGCGACAGAGTGAGACCCTGTCTTAGAAATGACTGCAATTATCTAGGAGATACAAAAAAAACTAATGAACACTTTAAGGAATAACATGTAATTTCTTATTTACATTCAATTATCAAGATATAGATGCAGAAAAATTTTAAAGGAACTAACGCCCAGTGTCAATTACATTCTAAATAAATCTAGAGTGATACCATGGAAAGTTGTTTTTTTTTTCTTTTCTATTTTCTACTAGCTTTTCAGATTGTACTTGATTTGAAACTTGCTAAAACTGTAAATCTCAGTCTCTGAATAAAAAACAATTTCTTCATTTTTAAGAAAGTGATTTTAACAACAAAATCATGGTATCGGTGACTCACCCTCCCTCTCCACCGAGCAGGCGGTGGTAGGTCTCGATCTCCACCTCCAGGCGTGTCTTGATGTCCTGCAGTTGTGCATACTCTGTGTTCTGGTATTCAGTCTCGCCCCGGATCTGGCAGATCTGCTCCTCCAGGATGCTGATATACATCTTAATTTCTGACAGCTGAGCCACGTAGCCAGCTTCTGTGTCAGCCAGGGTTCCTTCTGGGGAGCTTTGCTACAAATGCCCATGAAAATTGAAGCATTGTCAGAATAACTGCTCAGTATTCAACATATGAACCCTGAAACATATATTTTGTATGGTGAGGGTGTCTCCAAATGAACCACTTAATAGAGATTTACCTTTGATAATTAATACCGAATAATAGTAATGATAGCAAATATTAATCAGAGAGTACTACTGTAACCATATAGCAATTCCTACTCACTATTAGGCACTGTTCAAGTATTTTATAAATATTGACTCATGTAATTCTCATAACAACCTTATGAGATAGGTACTATTATTCCCATTTACAAAAGCCAACATTTTGCTAGCTTGCTTCAAACAGTGTCTGCAAAACAATTTTTTAAAACTATAGAAGAAAATTGAGTGAGTGCCCCTTTCCCACCTACCATGGCCAAGACAGACTGCAGTTCATGCTGGAGGGACTGGAGGACTTGTTTCAGCTCCATTATCTCACTCTTGGCCGAGCTAACTGCTTCAGCATCCGTGGAGATCTGTGTCTGCAAGGATGCACTCTGCAAGCATGAAATCAACAAAGTACAGTGAAATCAAAGAAGCTCCAAGCACTCTGCCTGGCTTTCTATCTTCTCTCACTTTGCCAGGTTAGGGTTCATGTTAGGATTAGGGTTGAGCTACCTGCTTGTTGAACCACTCCTCGGCCTCCCTAAGGTTTTGCTCAGCCAGTTCCTCTTACTGTTTTGCCTCATGCAGTTCAGCCGCTTGGTTAGATCTGCCCCTGGGGCCGAGTTCATTTCTACAGTCACGTCCCCACTGGACTGTCTCGGCAAAGTACTCATTTCTTGGCGGAGAAGAAACGCAAAAGTCACAGTAGCAAAAATCCTTTGAGGTTGGGGACCTTGCTGAATGGTGATGGTGATGGGAAGTCCCTTGATGGATTTATTTCTCCTATCTCCTTGGGGTTGTTCTGGAGATATGCCAGGTCTTCTGCTAGGCTTTCGGACTGTATTTTAAGGTGCCATGTGGTCACATTCAGCTCACTGAGTACTTTTTGCAGATCATTTACATAGGTTTCAACTGACTGGCATTAGATAGAGCTCGTTTTCATACCTTAGGAGATCTTTGGAATATGATGTATGAATTAGATTAACTACTTTGAGAAGCTTTATTTTAAAAAGGACTTGTCCACTGACATCCAGCTCAAGTTGAAATTCTTTTGAAATATTTAAACAAAGACTATGAAATCATTTTTATTTCTTAATTAATTAATTTTGAGAAGGAGTCTTGCTCTGTCCCCCAGGCTGGAGTGCAATGGTATGATCTTGGCTCACTGCAACCTCCACCTCCTAGGTTCAAGTGATTCTCCTGCTTCAGCCTCCCAAGTAGCTGGGATTACAGGTGCCTGCCACCATGCCTGGCTAATTTTTGTATTTTTAGTAGAAATGAGGTTTCGCCATATTGGCCAGTCTGGTCTCAGGTGACCTCCTGACCTCAGGAGATCCACCCTCCTTGGCCTCCCAAAGTGCTGGGATTACAGGCACGAGCCACCATGCCCGGCCTGAAATCATTTTTAAAAATTCCAATTTTGGAATCTCTTGTCATTAAATATACATTAAAATTGGCCTTTTTTCCTTCAGTGTAGATATTTTACACTAATATATTACATTTATCTGATACTTGGATCTAATTGCCTTTATATACATTTTATGTTAAAAGTAAAAACATAAGTCTTATTTTTTGTCATGGTAACAACTGATATTTTGAAACAAACTCACTTCATTTTGAAGTCATCTGCTGCAAGTCCAGCACTGTCAATTGGGGAAGTCATGCTGGCATTATTAATCGTGGCTGCAATGATCTAGGAGATGCAATAAAACTCATGAACATTTTAATGAGTAACATGTCATTACTGATTTACCTTTGACTGTCAAGATATAGTTGCAGAAAATTTTTTTAGTAACTAATGTCCGTGTGAATTACATTCTAAATAAATCTAGAGTGACATCATGGAAAGTTTTTTGTTTCTTTTCTCTCTCTCTCTCTCTTTTTACCAAATATATATCTGAAACATTCTGCATGGAACAATTGAGCAAAAAATAAAAGAACAATTTCACATTGTCTTCAAATTTAATAAATAAGTACAAAAGAGGTACCATCATTGAGTTTCTCACCTGGTCCCTGAGATCTTCAATTATTGGATAGTATTTGCTGCAATCTCTTCTAGATCCACCGTCTCCAGACCCAGGCCCAAATTTGTCACACTACTCCTTGATTTTGTGTTGGCCTCTTCTAGGGCTCTGACATTGTCTAGGTAATTGGCTAGGCCGTCATTGAGGTTCTGCATGGTTTGCTTTTCCCCTCCAGAGAAAAGCCCCCCGTTGCCACCACCACCTCCCATGCCACCACCATACTGCAGAAGCCTCCACTAGCACCACCGCCTAATCCAGAACTTCCACAGAATCCAGAGATCCTGCCGAAGCTAGAACCACCTCCTACAGAGCATTTATCAAAGCCCCCACTAAAGCTACCTCCAAAGCCACTGCTAGACATCCCCACTCAGGCCATAGCTGTCGGCTCCTCTTTGGAAGCCCCGGGCAGAGCCGCCCCCCAGACCACATCTGCCTCTACTGCTGAAGCTGCTTCCACCAGCAGACAGCCTGGCCAAGCTGCTGCCTCCAGCCCTGGAGGAGGAGACACAGGAAGAGCAAGACATGATGCTCCTGCAAACGTTGAGCTTATCTAGGTGTGAGAGATGGAAGTGAAAAGCACACCGATTTGAACTCCTTGGTCTTTATGTACACAGGTTTTAGGGCATTCATTTTCATTTGGCTCTGTCCTTGTTTCACGTTTCCAACCTATTCTGAGTTAATTTATTTTGAGTTAACCCCTCCCCGTTGGGCCAAATAATATTTGAAAAATTGGGTAAACATGGAGTAAGATTAGATTTGTTATTATTTCATTAGAATTCATTAGTGCTGTACAATCCATTACTTCCTGGCTATCATTTTTTCACCTTCCTAGACCTTTGTAGTTGGCAAATCATACATTTCTCTAGGTCCATTAAACTCATGCATTTTTCCTTTGTGATTCTGGGAAGATTATTAAACCAGATTCCAGTGTTAGTCACAATTCAAATACTCAGAAGTGATTTGTCAGGAAATATTTCTTTCTTTTTTAACCCAGTAATAATGATGAGTAGCTTCATATTCCCTTAACAATTTTTGGGAACAAATTGAGCATTGTAACTATTCTTGCAGAAAGAAAGCCTGACTTTGCTAATTTATGAGGATTAGCTTGGAGAGCACACTTCGTTGATAAGGGTGGGGTTGTTAGTAAAGTGTCATGGGATTCTTCTGTGCAAGACTTTTGAGCAATAATAATGTTTCTTTTTAGCCTCCTGATTCAGCAGCCAAAGGAATTGTTCCTCTTACTTAAATCCATTAGTTTTGGCCTACTCCTAAGGATTTTAAAAACATTATTCAGATTTCATAGCCATAGTTTTCATTAAAAAAATTCAAAGATAAGAGCCCACTTTCCTCATTAATTATGGATGTCTACAATATTTTATTTTACTCTGAAGAGGTAAGCCTATAATATTTACCTCTGTCAGCTACATAGGTGAAAAGGTGATTTCAATGTTTTAAATGGAATACTATAGAAAATTGAATTTATTGAGGTGGATAACAAGTGCCTACACTATGCGTGTCTTGGGTTTTCCTGCATATTACTGATGGAAGGACCCAACAACCCTGTGTGGTAGGCACATCTTCTCTCCCTCTCTCTCTCTTTTTAAATCTATTTTCAGTTTTTAGATGGTCTTTTCCAATGTGTAGGGTTTAATATCATCCACAAGTTGACAACTCCCACATGTATATCACCAGTCCAGATTTCTCCTGGAAATCAAGATTGGCAAATGCAGCTACCTACTTGACATTGACACTGGGGTGCTAAATCAGCATCTGAAACTCAACGTGTCCAGTATTGAGCTCCTAACATTTTGTCCCCTCCTCTTCAACTCAATAGCTCCTGCAGTCTTCCCCATCTGGGTTAATGGCAGCTCTATCTTCTAGCTGCTTAGGCCAAAAACTGTGTTGCCATCCTCTCTGGTCAGGAGTACTGTAGTAGCCTTCTTCTCTTTTTTTTTTTTTAGATGGAATCTGGCTCTGTCACCCAGGCTGGAGTACGTGGTGTGATCTTGGCTCACTGTAATCTCTGCCTCCTGGGTTCAAGAGATTCTCCTGCCTCAGCCTCCCGAGTAGCTGGGATTACAGGCATGTGCCACCATTCCCCAGCTAATTTTTTATTTTTGGTAGAGATGAGGTTTCACCATGTTGACCAGGCTGGTCTTGAACTTCTGGCCTCGAGTGATCTGCCCACCTTGGCCTCCCAAAGTGCTGGGATTACAGGCTCGAGCCACCTCGCCCGGCTATAGTAGCCTTCTAACTGATCTGTCTGCTCTTGAGTTTACCCCCAAGCTTCTTTCAACACAGCAGAGTGAGCCCACCTGAAAGCCATGCAACTCTGTAAAACTTACTAGAGGCTTCCCATCTCGTGCAGAATAAAAGCCCAAGTTCTCCCTAAACGACATGTGTTGTCTGGCCTCCAGTGGCTCCCGATATCAGCTCCTACCTCTCTCGCCCTCACTCACTCAACACTAATTCCTCAAGCACACCAGGTCTCAAGGTCTTTGTGTTTGCTTTGCCTGGAAAGCTCTTCCCTCAGATACCTGCAGGGTTTAGCTCTCTCATTTCCTTCAGGTCTTTACTCAAGTCCACTTTGGAATAGTAAGGGCTTTCCAAGAGAATGTATCTAAAATTCTGCCCCCAGTCTTCTGCTAGTTCACATCTCCCTGATATTTTACATTCTTCTTTCATACTTTTTCTCTTTGACATTTATCAGTAACCCACTATATGTTTCATTTATTTATCTTATCCGTTGTCTTCCCCAGCCTACACTAGAATGTAAGCTCTAAGCACTTTTTGGGGTTCTGTTTTGTTTACCCAAGAATCCCCAGTACCAAGAAAAGTGACTTGCATGTAGTAGGTGCTCAACATATATTGTTTTGAGTGAGGGAATTAATGAATAATTAAGTAGAAGCTGTGACAGACACATAGATGACAGACATAGAGATGCTCAGATCTCCTTTCAAGAAAGGACTCTCTGCCAGCTGCGAGGGTTATTCATTCCTGCAGGGTTCCCTGGTCCCTATTCTTGCAACTAACCCTGGCTTATATGGTTTGGCTGTGTCCCCACCCAAATCTCATCTTGAATTGTAGTTCCCATAATCCCCACGTGTCATGGGAGGGACTCAGTGGGAGGTGATTTAATCATGGGGGCCGTTATCCTCATGCTGTTCTTGTGATGGTGAGTGAGTTCTCATGAGATCTGACGGTTTTATATGAGGCTTTTCCCCCTTTTGCTCAGCACTTCTTGCTGCTGCCATGTGAAGAAGGACATGTTTGCTTCCCATTCCACCAAGATTGTGAGTTTCCTGAGGTCTCCCCAGCCATGCTGAACTGTGAGTCAATTAAATCTCTTTCCTTTATAAATTACCCAGTCTCAGGTACGTCTTTATCAGCAGGATGAGAGTGGACCACTACACTGGCCAATGACTCAGCAAGACAGTGGTAGCCAAGGGCATCCTCTTCTTGGGGTGGCCACAAGCCAGTATCTGACTAAGGGGTTTGAACAGGGCTTAGCCATTTTTACAACACAAGGCTTCACTAACACTTGATATATCATCAGGAGCCACTGGACCCAATTTAATTTTTGACTGTCTTTTTAAAGCAGTTCTAACTATTTGTAAAGACTGATATTTTGTGACTTATAGTCTTATTAGTCTTCCAAAGAACAAAGAGAAAATTTACTTATTTTTTAAAAAATAGAATAAAGTTTATTATCTTATAATTGCCATAAGGATTCCCTGGATCCTTTCATAAATCTAAGACACATTTATGGGACCTTAATGGTTTCATTTTTTTCTATATCTTGAAACATTTTGCTATTTCATTATCCTAAAAGTTATTTCATCTTCACTCATCAGTTATTCCTAACTATACTAAAAAAGGCTAAAATAAGAAAATGAAAGAATGATGGAATTGCCTGGAAGGATGATACAACAATGAAATAAATCATCATTATTCCATCATCAGTTTTCTCAATACACTGCCCAAAGTATTATTTCACTTTTCAAGAAGGTATAAGAGAAGTATGGTGATACCAGCTTTGAGTCTCTCTTTTTTTAAATTATAACTGAACAATATTGAAAATTTAGTTTTAGAATTTCTGCCCGTAATGGCAAAGAGAAGAAAATTGAGGAATATGTTTGACGATTTTTAGAAAAATCAGAAAATGACGCATAGGAGAGATAGCAACACTTTAGACTCTAAAGAGAATGGTGAAGTTGATTGCTTAAGCAGATCTTGGACTATGAATGTCCAGATGATGATATTCTAGAATAATTTTCTCTATATCAAGATTTAAAGGGTAATTTATTTATGGTTTGGCTGTGTCCCCACCCAAATCTCATCTTGAATTGTGGCTCCAATAATCCCCACATGTCATGGGAGGTACCTGGTGGGAGGTAATTGAATCATGGGGGCAGTTTTTCCCCTTGCTGTTCTTGTGATAGTGAATAAATCTCACGAGATCTGAGGGTTTTATAAGGTGCAGTTCCCTGCACACTCTCCCTTGCCTGCCGCCACGTAAGATGTGCCTTTGCTCCTCCTTCACCTTCTACCATGATTGTGAGGCTTCCCTAGCCATGTGGAACTGTGAGTCCATTAAACCTCTTTTTAAAAATAAATTACCCAGTCTCTTGTATGTCTTTACTAGCTTGAGAACAGACTAATACATCATCTATACTCATTCGACAGAAATAATTTCATCATACAATATTTTGCCACAAGCTCCTGGGCCATTCCATTTTGCTGAAAGAAGGTGGACAGTATTCTTTCATCTTTTATGATGTTTGTTCCAAAATTTATGCGATATGATTTGCAAGTGCACAGGTGTTAAAGGCAGGTGTGTATACAAAGGTTGATTGGGAGGAAATAGGTAATGTAGAAATAAAAAACATTAGATTGATTATACAATTGATATTTATAAATGAAAATGTTTTGCAATTATGGAGCAAAGAGGGTGGCTCCTCTCTTAAAAAATCTTGTGAGCTATTAAAGTTCCCAAACTTATTGCATTTTGTAGCTGCAAGTGCAAGAGTTGAAAGTAATGATGAACTAGAACCTATTACAGATGCATTTGAAATCTGGAATCCATAAATACAGAATGGGTATGTTCCAGGGGCATGCATGACATGCATTCAAAGATGTTGCCCATTTTAGGTATATATACTTCCAAACCACAAAATTATAGAATAAAAATTTGGGTTTTCTATGTTTTAGTTTATATTAACATTTTAAATAAATTAGTTTTGTGCTATCTTTTATATCTTCTGTATATTATTTGTAAAAGTCACTTGAAATTATAAAAAAATAAAATGGGCCTATCTGATGCAGTTGATAAATGGTGATGACTTATTTTTGGGGCATGCTAGGGGCCAATGGGCAATCTTTGTTCCAGAACTCTCACGGGGCTGACAGAGACTTTGGTCTGCATCAGTCTGCTAACTATCCTGCAAAAGACTAAAACCCTCCCTGGTCTTGCTTTCTCCCTTTTCCTTTCATAAGTATTACTCCTTAGGATAACTTTTGATCCTCAAACTCAGTCTCAGCATCTACTCACTGAGAGTCAACCTGCAACAAAACTTAAAGAAATGAAGTGACTTTCCCAGGGCCAGATATCTGGGAAGTGTTGGAACTGAGATTCCAACTCAGGTCTATGCACTCATATTATTTGCAGAAGTCTGCCTGGATTTAGGGTCAGAACTAGTAGAGTCCTCTAGTGGTAGAACTCTACTAGTTACCAAGAAGCCTTAACTTCATCTAGAAACTTCGATTTCTTGAGCCATAGTTTTTTCACCTGTAAAATTAAGGATAATAGTTCCTGCCCTACACATGGCATAGGATTATCACATCAAATGGAGAGCGCAGAGCACTCTGTAAATTGTAATTCCATATTCAAGCATAAGGTTTGATCATTTTTATTGCTGTTTTCTTGCATTTGTACTGTATTAGTTATTCCATAAGACCATATGTTTCTAAACCGGGAGGTCAGCCTAACTTCATCTATTGAAAGGTCCGTCATAGTCCTCACCATTTTTCTATGTACATTTGGTGTTCCATTTGATGTCTTTTCTAAGGGGCTTATCTTTGAAATTTTTATATATAATTATTTACAAAAAAAGATGTAGACCCTATCTATGGATTCTTTCTGATTTAAGTTTGAGGTTGTATTCAGCTGCTCTCACATACCTTAGCTATTAGGGATTGTAGCTCAGTGTCATGGGTGTGAAGAATACGTTTTTCAGTTTCATGATCTCATATCTTGCTGCTTCAGTGGAGAACTGAGCTGGCCATGACTTACTCTGAGCTATAACATCTTGGCAAAACAGAGCTCTGAAATATACCCCTATTTTATTTATACTTATATATTTGACTAGCTACTCTATTAATTGAATTGTTCTTTAGCTTCTTAATAGTTTTGCTTGACAAAAATGTTGCGTTACGTTTATCAACATTCAAATATTAAGACCGGTCGGCAGCTGGGGCAGCATTCCTTACAGTAATTATATGACTACTAGACTATTCCGCAATCTCATTGCCTAATCAAAAGGAACAGAAAAGATTACATTAAAACAGGAAAAATCTATACTTCTATTTTCTCTGATTTTTTTTTTTTCCTAAAACAAACCCTGAAGAAAATGATTGTTTTGGAGGAGAGGTGGAAAAGCATTGAGGCGTGATTCCCTTCTGTGGTGAGTCACTTTCTTCAGTTTGGTTTCATATTCATTTCCAGGCCAGCAGTTGTGAAAGTTTTCAGGGCATTGCCTGTGTCGTTGACCTCCATTTTGCACTCTACATAAACCCAGTTTTGATGCTGGTGTTTTGGAAAAGTGGTTAAAATTGTTTCAAATAAAAATATTTTCCCAAATGTTTTCTATTAAATTACGTGTATTTTTTTTCCCCCTGATATCAAGTCCAGTAACTTCAGGCAAATTTAGTGAAATTCTCTACCATCTAGAAAGGGATGAAGAACTTAAAGGAAGGCAGATGAATTCCTTCCTTTTTTTTTTTTTTTTTTTTTTTTTGAGACGGAGTCTCTCTCTGTCGCCCAGGCTGGAGTGCAGTGGCGCGATCTCGGCTCACTGCAAGGTCCGTCTCCCAGGTTCACGCCATTCTCCTGCCTCAGCCTCCCGAGTAGCTGGGACTACAGGCGCCCGCCACCACGCCTGGCTAATTTTTTGTATTTTGTTTAGTAGAGACGGGGTTTCACCGTGTTAACCAGGATGGTCTCGATCTCCTGACCTCGTGATCCACCCGCCTCGACCTCCTAAAGTGCTGGGATTACAGGCATGAGCCACCGTGCCCGGCCTCCTTCCTTTTAAAATTCAAAAATCTTAATTTTAAAAAGTCTTAACTCAGAGTAGTGGTTTCTTTAAGATCTCGAATGAGTTAGTGATAGTGCTTGAACAAAGATCCAAGACACCTGCACTTTTATTTGTTTACTGACAAGATGAAGATTATTCTTCCTTACATGGCTTTGTAGATTTTGGTGTTGTATCCAAAGAGGAAATTGTATTAAAATATCTGAAAAAACTGGAACCACATCTTCCTGCTATAAGATACAGATTTTAAAGATTAAAGATGGAAATGTTGATAGCTTCAGAATAATTTATTTTGGACAAGGATACATGTAATGCCCATGTTGCTCATATTGTATATTGTATAACAAGGTAATATGAATATTTCAAACTCACTGTGCTGTTTATGATGAACATAGCAGTTAAAAGTTGGTGCTATTGCTTCATTCATTTACAATTTTTCTATCACTCCATTATTCTGCTTATTTATTATTCTTTTATTATTCAATTTATTATTCTATTCATTTATCAATTATTCTATTTAGCTATTTTATTATTGTTATATATTATACATCTTATATATAATATATAAATAAATATATATAATATATAAATGTAAATTGTATATATATATATTTGAGACAGGGTCTGGCTCTGTTACCCAGGCTAAAGTGTTGGGGAGCGATCTTGGTTTACTGCAACCTCTGCCTCCTGGGCTCAAGAGATCCTCCCCCTTTGTCCTCCCTAGTAGCTGCATGCACCACCACACCTGGCTAATTCTTGTGTTTTTTGTAGAGACGGGGTTTCATCATGTTGCCCAGGCTGGTTATTTATCTTCTATTTTACATTATCAGTAGTAAGTCAACTTTTATCAATTATTTAATATTTATTGAGCATCTTGCAAAAACATTCTGCTAAACCTTGGGAATAAAACTAACAAGTAATAGTCCCTGCTCTTAAAGAATTTCATATATAAGCCTGGTCAATATATCGAGAACTTGTCTCTACAAAAAGAAATTAAAAAGTTAGCTGGGCATAGTAGTGCATACCTGTAGTCCTGGCTACTCAGGAGGCTGAGGCGGGAGGATCACTTGAGTCCAGGAGTTTGAGGTTAGGGTGAGATAGGATTGTGCCACTGCATTCTAGCCTGGGAGACAGAGGCAGGGGGGTGGGGGTGGGGCAGTGGGGAGAAACCCTTCATGTATAATTTTTGTTGTATTTTATATAATCACAGCAAGTCTTCTCTTACATATTCTTCACCATGTTCAGTAAGTGTCCGAAAAATAATTTGCATTTTTTTTTCGCCTGCTGAGAAACAGTAGGGAGATATTATTAATTGTCCAAGTGTTGACCTAGAGGAAGACTCTGGGCTGCAGATGGCTGATTTATCATCTTCCCTTGTTGGCAAATAGCTGCCCTAGTTACAGACCCAGTTTCCATGTTTCTTGGTACCAGAAGCTCACTTTGCCATCCCACTACCTACTTCCAGTCCACCTTCTGCCACAGACTTGCAACCATGTCCTGCTGCCCAGTAGAACCCAGATTCTCTCCCCAGTTTGCTGAAGTTTTGTGCTGCTGCTTTGCTGCTAAAACCAAAACCCCATCTGTCATCTGCTGCTAAAAAGTTGTGCCATCTCCATAAGGTCCAATCACCCAAATTCCTTTCCACCACCAAACCGTCGAGACCAGTGTAGGAGACGCTGTAGGGGAGCACGTCTATGTCTCTGCCATTGACTGCTCCAGTGTTCTAGAGTGTTAACATCATAAGTGGGGCACCTATTCCATCTTAAATTCAACAACGCTATTGAGCACTTCCTCTGTGGTAAGTACTGAGCTGGGAGCCAGGGATAGCACTTTGATAGATCAATAGAATTTCAGCTACATGTGGTTTAAATAGGGTATTGTGGAATTTTATAACTATTTATACCATTGCTTCTGTGGAGAATTACATCAAGTTCTGAAAGGTCAGCATGGCATGGCAGCTAAAAAATCCTGGAGCCACATTTTTGTACTTCCAGCTCCCCACTGATTATTTGGCTATTTACTAGATGTGTGACCTTCAGCACGTGACATAACATCTCTGTGCCTTCATTTTCTCATCTGTAAGTTGAAGACAATAGCTCCTGCTTCATAAAATTATCACAAGGATTAAATAAGATATGTTTGTAAAGGACCAGGAGTAATTCCTGGCATACAGGATGTGTGAAATATATTATTAAATAAAAACATTTATTAACAACTCTTGGAATACAACCTTCTTTTGGATGATTGAGAACTGCTTTTGTTTTTAATGACAAATGGATGTAATCAATAACCATTATGGCTATCTATAAGATTTTAATGACTAGCAGCTGTTAACTTCAAAAATAGAAAGCAAGATTATGTTGCAATGCATTATTTTTTTTTATTTTAAAAGCCCCTCCTAACAATTACATCTAATAAAGAGGTTGAAGAGTGTAGGTTTTTTTGCTTGACTCATCAATTCTTCAATTAGTGGATAATACTTGTTGTAATTTTTGGCTGGACCAAATCCCTGCTGACTTTGTTGAGTGAGCAGCTTGTTTAATACTGTACCCTGGTAACTGAGGGTTTCCCAGACCATCTGTTCTTCATGTGGGAAAAGCCCACTGTTGTAGAAGTTGGCCTTTACATCTCGACACTACCTAAACTGCAGGTCTGTTCATCATCATGGAAAGCTACACCACCTACACCGCTATCCCTAATCTGCCTCAAGTGCCACTTTTCAAAAATATGTCCTAATGATTTATCAGATTAAACACGTTTGGCTCCTTTAAATAAGACATCATTTTCTTGTCTAACCTCTTCTGCTATCGATGCTTTTGCATTTCCACATCACTTTTGCAGTTTTCAGCTACATTTGTATGTGTCATTGTAAGTGAATACTTACTAGAGCTGTGAGAGGCAATGAGGGCATTTTACAGAGAAGAAAACTGAGGCTCAAAAGTTATGTTTTCCTCTATGCAATACAATCTGTTACTGCAAGAATCAGGATTAGAATCTGAGTCTCTTGATTCCCACCCAACACTCATTTTCCTACCTAAAGTCCCCTGAGGTACAGGGCTTATGGTTGCCACCTTCGCTGATAGTCTCTGAGGGTGTGTCACTGACCATCCATTTACCTTGAGGAGGTGCTAGGCTGAAAGGTGTACACGCCTGCAGAGATGAAGTTTATGGGTAAAAAACATGGTTCTCCCAGTTTTTATGATTCCTTACACATGAAATTCAGTGTTCCTCCATAAGTTCTGTCCCTTTGTAGTGATTTAAAAATTATCACCACATATTTTATGTTTCATAATATTTTATTTTTTGGGGGAAAGAAAGAACATCTTTGTGTATATTTGTGTTTTAACTGTGACACAGGCAGATACAGTAATGCGGTTTTATAACATTAAAATTTTAATCCTTTTTAATGAGTAATATTTTCTTACCTTTTACTCTAATTTCACCAACTTTGCTTTCAGATCTTCCTTGTGAGACAAGTTTGGTGAACATTATAATTAAACAAAACTTCCCATGAAATCTACCAATTTTCCTATGATTCTGAGAATCATACTTGTTTCAATAACCGAGAGGCATTCTGTCTTTGTCTTGGTGAATTCTCCTTAGTGAAGTGAATATATTTTATTTTCTCTTCATTGGCATTAACCAGTGGCATAAAATTAAACATTTTTGGTTTGCGTTGCAGAAAAGACGTGACATCTGATAGTTTGTTGCTATGCCTGCCCATAAGTTTTGAAATCATTTTCTATAAAATTGCTTTTTGTGGAATAACTTTCAAGGGGTTGAGTTTTTTGAAATCCTTGCCAAATTCCTGGGGTAGTGTGTTGAGTGGGAAGAACACTGGACTAATAATTTGTAGACCTGGGTTCAAATTCTGTACTTTCACTAAATTGCTTGTGACCCAGGACAAAACAAGTAACATCTCTAATCTGGATCTTGATCTATAAATGATCATCACACTTCTTGTAAGGGTTTTGTGAAGATCAACTTTTACTTTTTGTCTGTATATTAAAATCCTAAACTAATATATAAACGTAAAGTATAATCACTATTAAATTAATTGCCAGTGTTTGTTTTCTTAAGTTCTGTCTCTAGACGTTAAGAAAAATCTATATTGTAGGTGAAGAGGAAGGGAAGAGTGGGTTTTATGTCTTGGAAGATAAATTTTTATGTTAGATTTAAGGCAGTACCCATTTGTAATTTTGTCTTGCATTTCTGGGTCTAGAAACTTAATTGTGGCAATAGATTGAAAATACTACTTTCTGATATGTTTGAAACATGCCTATTTGCATTGCTTGAATTTCCCACTTTTGCTTTAATCACCTGGAAAATGGTTTCAGTGAATGTAAGTTTTTCTTAAGCTTGCCCTGATTCAATTATTTCTCACACAAAAACTTCATCCCTCTTCTATAGTCAAAGATTCCGAACACTGTTAGATCCCTCTGAGCCTGAGTGGAGATTTAGGTACTCTCAGGGGTAATTGTCTTTATTTTCTGCTGAGGTGACTTCTGTAGAAAGATCTCAAGTCTTTTCTGCAATTAGGCTTTGCATACATGCATGTGCCGAAGATTGGCAGGAACTCAGCAGATGCTAAATATTAAAGACGGTCTCTAACAGAGAACTCTTTTTTTTTTGAGATGGAGTCTTGCTCTGTCACCCAGGCTGGAGTACGGTGGCGCAATCTTGGCTCACTGCAGCCTCCGCCTCCTGGGTTCAAGCGATTCTCCTGCCTCAGTCTCCCCAGTAGCTGGGATTATAGGTGCCCACCACAAGGCCCAGCTAATTTTTGTATTTTCAGTAGAGACGGGGTTTCACTGTGTTGGCCAGGCTGGTCTTGAACTCCTGACCTCGTGATCTGCCCTCCTCGGCCTCCCAAAGTGGTGGGATTACCGGCATGAGCCACTGTGTGCAGCTTTTTTTTTTTTTTTTTTTTTTTTTTTGACTGGGTCCTGCTCTGTTACCCAGGCTGGAGTGCAGTGGCATGATCTCGGCTCACTGCAACCTCTGTCTCCTGGGTTCAGCCATTTCTCCTGCCTCAGCCTCCTGAGTAGCTGGGATTACAGGTGCCTGCCACTGCGCCAACTAATTTTTGTATTTTTAGTGGAGATGGGTTTTCACTATGCTTGCCAGGCTGGTCTCGAACTCCTGACTTCAGGTGATCTGCCTGCCTCAGCCTCCCAAAGTGCTGGAATTACAGGCATGAGCCACCATGCCCAGCCCAAGAGAACTCATTTTAAGGAAGGATGGACTCCATTATGAGCTGTATGTGACGACAGAGCCTAGATGTCCAAGGGTATGGAGGGCTTGAGTGTGGGGTGCTCATGCATGCTGGCAGTTGGGGGTAGGACTTGTAGGGGATGAATGTGCTGAAGTGAAACTCCGTACTATCTTGGGGCTCTGCACAGGAGACCTCTTCTGCAGGAAAGGGTTAACTCAGCAGGCTTGGGGTGTTTAGATCTTGCACATACCAAAGAAAGGCGTAGCCCTTACCCAGCTCTTGGGGAAAAAGCTCTCAGCTTTGGAATATTCTGCCTGATAGGAGTGTCTTTGTATACCTGGGGCTTTAGGCCACGGCAGAGAGTTTATGCTAACAGTGTGACTTATAGTGGCGTTCTTGGGCTACGCTGTATCAGTTTGACTTCTGGAGGGGCTGCAGACTGAGTAACTGAGGTGAACCATGTGGGCGTCCCATACCTAAGTGACTGACCCCCAATAAAAACTCTGGACACCAAGGTTTGGGCAAGCTTCTCTGGTTGACATTACTATGTATGCATTGTCACACATCATTTCTGGGAGAATTAAGTGCTGTTTTTTGTGACTCCATGTGAAAGAACAATTGGAAGCTTATGCCTCGTCTCTCCTGGACATGGCCCTATGTGCCTTTTGCCTTTGCTGATTTTAATGTGTATCCTTTTACTGTAATAAACCATAACCATGAGTATAACATTTTTCTGAGATCTGTGAGTCCTTCTAGTGAACCATTGAAATTGAGGATGGTCTTGGGGGCCCCAACATACCCCTATAGAATGGAGCTCAGAAAAAGTAGAAGGGTGTTTCTTTTCTCCCTTTTTGGATAGAAACTTCCAAGTAATTGTAGCATATCATGAGACTTGAGAGTATCAGTGGCCTAGTGCAGAGCATTAAATTATAGTGGAAAAGACTGGTAGCCAGAGGTTTTGTATGTAGTTTTTTATAGGTGGCAACTAAATAACTAGAAAAATTAAATTAGTGCATCAATGTTAAGAAGACTTCATGGATCCCTGTAAACTGGTGGAGAGTGAGGACTTCTGGTTATGTTTCAGTTACTAAATCCTCTAGGTAATTTACAAATTATAGCCATGCTCTCTTAGGTATATAAATATACCTCTTTCCATATTAAGCAGAATGCCCTCAAGAACCAATGTGGTTACATTTTTCTTCCCTTTTTGGAAAGCTTTCAATTACTTCCTACCTTTGACACTAGTTCAGGCATGTTAACCACCTTGCCACATAGAACCTCCCATCTGAGCAGGAAGGTTTAGGCTGCAATGAGTGCCGTGTTCCTGCAGGTATAAGTATCACAGAGGACAGGATTAGGAACAGTGCTCTCTGTATGTTCTTTGTAGACTTGCCATTTTGGCAACACAGTCATTGGAACTAGGTCATTTTCTCCTGAATATTTTTGTTTTAATTGGCTAATTTATTCAACTCATTGTCTGAGTCTTATGGTAAAGTAGGGAGAATTGTCATTCACCTTTAAGAGGATTGATAAGGCTGGGCGTGGTGGCTCATGCCTGTCCCAGCACTTTGGGAGGTTAAGGAGGGAGGATTGCTTGAGCCCAGAGATTTGAGACTAGACAAGGCAACATAGGGAGACCCCATCTCTACAAAAATAAATAAATAAGTAAGAGAATTGATAAGATGAAATCTCTCATTCTTCTTACTAGAAATGCCTCTGAATCAACCACTTCTCATGGGGCATTAGTTTCCTCAAGGGGAAATGACACGGACTAGTCTCTAAGCTCTCTTTTATCTTTAAACTTCTCTGATAACATACAATTAATTTTTAAATTTTTATTTCCTTTTCACCGTAGTAGCTACATTGATTGAGGGTTTAATATGAACCAGACACTCTCCAAAGCGCATAGATTAGATATTTAATCATCACACCAACTCTCTGAATAGGTGTTAATATTATTATCACCATTTTACAGGTGAGGAAATTGAGAGACAAGGTAATCAGATAACTTGCCCAAGAAAACACAGCTAGAAAGGGGTAGAAATAGTTTTAAATCCAGAAAATTCGAGGCTTGTTCCCTTAACCACTCTTCAGTGTTGCCTTCTCTGACAAGTAAGGGACTACATTTTCTTTAGCTTGATATATTCCTTTGATGCATTAATAAAATGAATTAGAGGAAAAGGTCCAAGCCATGGTGCTCTGACCTGCTCACTGAGGCTGGAACCACTCAGCTGTAGTCTGAATCCTCATAGGACTACCGCTCCTGATCACATTCTCATGCCCTGGAAATTGATCACCTGGAATTGTGGAAATAGTTCTATGTACAACCACTAGGCCATTCCTGAGGCTACAAATGGTTTCTGAAATATTTTCTAAGACGTGAATAAGAAAAAAGCAAGGGAAAATGAATAAAACCAGGTGTGATATCCAAAATAGTTAACAATTATATGGCATGGACATGGATGAGTCAGAATGAATACTAGCAGCTGGTAAGTCTGGACTGGGGTCCTGGACCCCCCCCCCTGCTGTGCCTAGCATGTTTGGTTACTGATGGTGTACAGGGGGTCATGGGCAAGCCCTGCGGCCATCGTTGAGGCCATTCAGAGGGCCTCTGGGCAGTGGCTACTTATCAGCCCTATGAGCTATTTTGGTATTTTATTATATTATTTATTTATTTAGAGACAGGGTTTCAATCTGTCGCCCAGGCTGGAGTGCTGTGCTCACTGCAACCTCGACCTCACAGGTTCAAGCAAACCTCCTGCCGCAGCCCCTCAAGTAGCTGGGACGACAGGAGCGCACCACCAGTCCTGGCTTATTTTCTGTATTTTTTGTAGAGACGGGGTTTTGCCATATTGCCCAGGTTGATCTCAAAATCTTGAGCATAAGCAATATGCCTGCCTTGGTCTCCCAAAGTGCTAGGATCACAGGCGTGAGCCACTGTGACCGGCCAATTTTGGCATTTTAATGACTTGTGCCGGCACCTTTGTGGCCCTTGCTGTAACTTTGTACAAATTAGAAGAATATGCCTCCTTTCCTGGGCCCTCAGCTTGGAACATGGAGTGTGGGCTGGGCACCTTAGTGCAGGGAGTAACCTGCCAAACCTCATAGGAGACCTTTGTAATAAATATTCTCTGTTGAGAGTGGAAAGGGAAGTGCATATCAGAACTTCTAGTAGGGCTGGGATGCTGTTTCCACATTTACCCCAAAGGGACATACATTCAGCTGAGCTGCTTTATAACATGATCAGCAATGGTCATTCTTTGCAGTTTGGCTACGTTACTACAGAATGGTTTCTAGTTATGATACAGATTATGGCCCAAATTTTTGCCTACATTATCTCAGGAAAACTACTGTATAATCTGTCCCTTTTCCCTGATTGATTATCTGATTGTCTTTAATAGATGCCTTTGGATATTTATGAAGCTAAGTATGGTACAGGGTAGAGTAATCCTAGTTTATTTTGGTACTGAAGAGCTTCAATAATTAATTATTTAAATTCCTTTTAGGGTGAATCTGAATAAAGTCTTTAGTTTAGTTGATAGTACTGTACTAGTGTTAATTCTTAGTTTTGACAAATGTACTGTAGTTACATAAGATATTAATACTAGAAGATATTGGATAAAGAATATGTAGTAACTCTCTACTGTCTTTGCAACTGTTATGTAAATCTAAAATTATTTCAAAATAAAAGGTTTTAAGACAAAACAAAACAAAAATTAAATTCCTTTTAGGCCTTAGGTGCTGCTTCGAATTAGTTTTGATACAACTTGAGTCATATCATTCATTAATTCAGCTCTGAGTCTAGTACTGTGCTAGGTGGTAAGGATTTGAAGATGATTGAAACAGCCCCTGTTTGCAACAGCTTACACTGGGCCAAATCATGAGATGAATGGATAAACTGGCAATTCCAACACAGAGTGAAGATACGGTCCAAAGGTGCTATAGGATGGGTGTTCTGGGAGGACCCCCACAGGAGAATGAGTAGAAACCTTCACAAACAGCCCATGCTTCCACCATATCATGTGTAGGTTACTGCAAGAGTCCCCTGCATCCACTTCAGCCTTCCTGCATTCTCCGCACTGCAAGTGGAGTGATTTTTCCAGAATCATGGCACTCTGGGGTCTGAACATACCCATGGCTTCCCGCTGAACTTTGAATGAAGTCCAGATTCCTCCATGGCCTCATCTGATCCTCCCTCTTCTTTGCTCGCTCTGCTCCGGCCACTCTGGCCATGCTTCTATTTGTGGGACATGCCAGCCTTTTTCCTGCCATGCTGGGATCTGTGCGCAAGCTGCCTGCAGAGCTTCTTGTGATTGATTCCTTCACATCATTTGGGCCTCAACTCAAACGTCACCCCTCTGAGAAGTCTTCAGTGACCACCCTTTTCAAAGGAGCCACCCCACTCCTGTATTGGTCATGTTTTTAATTTTCTATATTTTATGATATTTCAATACCTCCAAAACTTGCTGGCTGGGGAGAGAACGCCCCTCCCTGTGCTAGCCAATTTTTAGAGGTAGCAAAGGGCTCAGCCAGGAGCACGTCTTTCTTCCACAAACCAGTTAATCCTGAGTCTAGAGCTCCAACCACCTCCTTATCTAATTCACACACCAAGCCATATTTCCCCTGCCTTACATCACCCCAGGGCCAGGTACCAGGCACCTTATAGACCAAAGCACACTGGAATTAATTCAAACCAGTCTGTCTTAAGCTGCCTACCCTACCCTGCCTTGGCTCTCCCGTGGAAACCCCAATAAAGGCTCTGGTCTAGGCTCTTTCTCCTCATTCCTTTCTGCCTCCTGGCCCACATCGGTGCTCCCCACGTGGTCTTGCACAGAATGACATGCTTCCTTCTCTGGGAAACGTAAGTAATACAAATCTTTAGTGGCACTGTCCCCTCTGTATTGTCACTCAGTTGTGCCTGTAAATTAAATCCCAGGTATCATCTTAATACACAAGCTCCATGAAAGCAGGGGCCAGTTTGTCTGGATTCCCCTAGATTCACACTCCCATAGGATTGAAGTGGGCACTGTATTGATATCTGTTGACCAAACTAATGGATAACAGACATCAGTCATCCTTTGCTCAAACTGATGTATCCACATTTTTCTACAAAGATTAAAGGAGAAATGGAACCGAGTTGGAATTATTTCACACAAAAACTATGAATACACAGTTTTTAGTTAATATTTGTAAGCATTCTCCAAGGGGCAGAGTGATAGGTGTTTTAAAAGAACAAATCAGAAATGTTTGCAGAATAAAGGTGGTGACTATGAAATATCAATTTCAATGCTATCTTCCACCTTCTCTTAGATTATCCCTAACTGAATATACATCCACCATTTGGGCAGTTTTATTACCTGTGCAGGTCTATGCGGATATAACTTTAAGCTTAAGTAAGGACAGATGCAATATTATAAGATTTGGTTTCCCTATGAAGTAAGACTTTATCTAGTAAGACATTAATGTAAATACCTGAAAATCTCATAATTGCTATGAACCAAGAATTAGCAATGACAGAAGCCACAGTGGCAGATGGAAGAGAAACAGCTTTGCTAGGGAGCCATGAAGACACACTGGCTACACTGTGTTAGTGGAAGCTCTGGAAACATCTCCAGAAAGTTGTTTTCTTTCTGCAACATAGTAATTATTCTATTTCAAAAATCACTTTCCAAATGAAGTAGTTCTATTACTGAATAAGAGTCTTATTTTTGAGAACATTCTTGATTATTGTTATTAAATGGATGGGAACAGTGGCACAGAACCCAAGGGGCATAAAACCAACAAAGTGTTTTCTATTTGGCGGGGAATGTCTTTTATGCACACATTTGTTGGGGCTGCATTGTTTGCTCTGGGAACTCAAGACAAACAATGCAAACAAAGTCTCCTGACTTACCTTAACTCTCCTCCCTCCTGGGTTCCTCCGACCCTTTTTTTTTTGTTTTGAGACAGGGTCTTGCTCTACTGCCCAAGCTGGAGTGCAGTGGTGTGATCATATCTCACTGCAGCCTCCATCTCTGGGGCTCAAGTGGCCCTCCCACCCCACCCTCCCGAGTAGCTGGGACTACAGGCACTCCACACAATGCCCGGCTAATTTTTTTTTTTTTTTTAAAGTAGAGATGAGGTCTTGCTATGTGACCCAGGCTTGTCTAGAACTCCTTACTTCAAGCCATCCTCCTCCCTCAGCCTCTCAAAGTGCTGGGATTACAGGTGTAAGCCACCGCTTCCGTCCTAACCCTATTTTCTAATTCATGTCTATCTGCATCCTCATCCACTGCTCAATGTGTTCCTGACCTCGGGTCTTCATTGTCTGCAGAGTTCTTCTTTCTGATCGACTTTCAAGGTATCAGTGGTTACCTCTCTCCTATGCAATCCAAAACCTCCCCTCCTGCTCCAATTCTTTCTCTTAGAAAATTGATTGATTGTTCTCACCTTCGTGCTTGTGTTCTAAGCTAAACTCGCCACCTTTCCATTCCACTGAATCCCTTTTCAGTTTGCTGCATCTCTCAATAGCATCGTTATTTTCTAGTCATTAGTCACTTTCTTTACTTAAAATATTGGTATTATTTTTGTCATCTGCTTAAAAATTTTTCATTGTATAATTTCCTGCATACAAAAAATTTAGAAATTGTGTAGTTTAAATAATAAATAATAGTAAAACATACCTGTATCTTAGAGACCCTGCTGTTTCTCCCCAGTGATATCTCCCCTATTACTGCTCAGGTGTCATCACTATCCTGAGTTTTCTTTATTACTTGCTGTGAAATAATAAGAAATATATAGTTGGCCTTTGTCTCTATTTCCTGGCACACAGCTTCTAAAATCCTTGTAATTTCCTCAGTGATAGAAGCATCTTTTCTTGTCCTGACCCAGAGCTCCTAAATCCTTTGAAATTTCTTGTGTGATAGGAGCATCTTTGGTTCTAATGAGGTGACTCTTGGTGGGCCGCTAAGTAGCTTTAGGATGGGGGCTGGCTGCCAGAAAGACCAAACCTTGATGAGAAGCCTAGACATTTCAGCCCTAACCCTTCCCCACCCTCCAGAGAGGGGACAGAGGCTGGAGACTGAGTTAATAATCGATCATGCTTACATGATGAAACCTCAATAAAAGCTTCTAAATGAGGGGGTTCAGAGAGTTTCTGGATTGGTGAACACATCAAGGTGCTGGGAGGTGGCCCACCCGGACAGGGCATGGAAGCTCCGTGTTCCTCGCCCCTGACCTTGCCCCGGGCATCTCTTGTATTCAGCTGTTGCTGAGTTGTATCCTTTATAGTAAACCCACAATAATAAGTAAAGCACTTACCTGAGTTCTGTGAGTCATTCTAGAGAATTATTGAACTTTGCGGAGGGGGAGGTTGTGAGAACCCTGAATTTGTAGCCATGTCAGACAGAAGTGTGGGTAACCTGCGGGCCTGATACTTGTGGCTGGTATCTGATGTGAGGACAGTCTTGTGGGACTGAGCCTTTAGACACGTGGAGTCTGACACTAACTCCAGGGTGTTAGTGTTAGAATTGAATTGAATTGTAGGACACTGAGTTGGTGTCAGAAGGGAAGAAAACCTTTCACCTGCCTTTAAAAAAGGTTTTGCTATCTACATATGCACCTCTAAACAATATCTTGTTTAGTTTTTCTATTTGGAACTTTATACAATGGAATCCGCCTTATGCACTCTGCTGGGACTTGCTTCCTTCATTTGGCTTTATGATTCTGTAACTCATCATTGTTGATGTGTGCGGCAGTTGTAGGTTGATTCTCTGGGAAGCAGAGTCAGAGCTGAGTTCAGTGTGCAGGGTGCTTATTAAAGATTGCCCTGGGATCAATACCTGTGGAAGGGGAGAAGAAAGCAGGATTGGGCACAGGTAGAAAGTGAGCTTCCATGAGGAGCTCTGGAGCTCAGTATTGTCCTGAGTGGGGCCAAGATGGCCAAGCCTTTATACTTCTGTATCAATTATTCATTGGATGTAGGGTGTGAACTCAGGTGAGGTGACACTGCAGCTGAAGCAACCCCTGAGGGGCTGATGGCTGAGGACTGCCTGCTGCCAATACCTATGCAGCTGGGATGAAAAGCTCTCCATTGGAAGCCTGCTGGATCTGGGTAGCCAGTGGGATCACAGCATCACCACAGGGGTTTATAGTCCATTATTTTCCACTGTTGGATAGCATTTTTTGTTATAGACTTCACTTTATTTATCCATCCTACCATTGATGGCTAGTATTTGGATTGTTCCTAGTTTTTAACTACTATGAACAATGTTGCATGAACATTCTTGGACATGTCTCCTGGTGCACCTGTGTAAGGGTCTTTCCAAGTTTTAGACCTCCTTAATCTGTTTGGTCTACTGTAACAAAATGCCATACACTAGGTGGCTTATAAACAACAGAGATTTATTTCCCACAGTTCTGGGGGTTGGGAAGTTCAAGATCAAAGTGCTGGCCACTTTGATGTCTGATCAGAGTCCACTTCCTTGTTCATAGATGTCACCTTCTGTGCCATGTAACACTGTGTCCTCACAAGGTGGAAGGGCAAGGGAGTTCTCTGGGTCTCTTTATTAAGGGTACCATTCTCAATCATGAGGCCTCCACCCTTATGACCTAATCACTTCCCAAAGACCCCACCTCCTCATACCATCACCTAGGCTTCCACATAGAAATTTTGGAAGATTGTAAATATTCAACCCACTGCATAGAATATGCATATATCCAAGTTGATTAGGTGAAACCGAATTTTCGAAGTTCAGAGTTACAACCTCACAAAAGTATGAGTTTCTGTTGCTCCACATACTCATATATATTTGATACAGGAAGACTTTTTGATACTTGACAAGTTGGGAAGTGTGAAATGGAAGCTAACTGTGATTTTTAATGTGCATTTCTCTGGTTACTAATAAGATTGAGTATATTTCATGTTTATTGAATGTATGGATTTCCTCTTCAGTGAGGAGCTTGTTCAAATTTTTGTGCCATTTTTAATAGGGCTGTCTCTTTTTATCCTTTATCCTCTTTTATGCTTCTCTTAAGCTTATCTATGTGTCTATCCATCTATCTACTTACCTACTTACCTACCTAATTTTTTCTCTCTGTGCTGAAGTCTGGATAATTCCCTCATTCTACTTTTCAGTTTACTAATTCTTTCTCCCACTGTGTCTAATCTACTATTGGATCTAAACATTGATATTTTAAATGTTATTTCTTACCTATATCTAGAAGTTTATATTTGGTTCTTTTCAAATATCCTTAGTCATTCTTCATAGTGTTTTGGATTCTGCTTATATTTTCAAAGTTTTAGTTTTAAAAGTATATTGATCATTTTTTATGCTCTATATTTTAAAATTGTTTCTATTGGCTCTTGCTCATAGTAACTTGTTTAGCAATTTCTGATTACCAACAGCTAATTTTCCTTAAAATTTTATTTATGAGAATCATTTGAGGCCTGGGATGATAGTGGGTCTATCTAAAGAGAATTTGCATTTGCTTCTGTTCGGCCCCCAGGGAGGTACCAGTGGTTGGGAACCCTCTTAAAGTAAATTCCCAGCTTAAAGTTATTTTCATGCAGCAAGATAGTGTGGATTTTGGCCATAACCCTATCCAAAGTTTAGCTTGTAACCGTATATTCTCAGAGTTAATTTTCCCTCTTCTCTTTATGCCAGTGGTTGAGACAGGGAACTTTTTTTGCAGTTCTCTGGCAGGGAGGTGAGAGTATTTCTAGGTCATGCTTGTATTGCATGTATGGCTTTTTGGGGCTAACACTTATAAGGAAGGGTCTCTGTTTATACTCCCCATCTTAGGCAGGTGCTACGTTTTATCTCATGTCCTTCATACTCTGTGGGGTCATAAACACTGAAGTCCAAGTTCACAGCTTCAGCAAATGCCTCAAAGTGCAAGCCATCTTCAGATTTCTCCTTTTCTCTCTGAGTTCCTTCCTTCACGTAGTGTTTGGTCAGGGTTTTCCTTGTTATTACAGCTCATTAATTTGAAGTCCTAATTAGGGAAAGGGAGTCAGGCTGGTGGAGGCAGGAAAAAGCAAAAAGATAAAGCAAATAAGCTACAAGTCTGCCTTTCTTCATGGTCCAGGACACACAGCCCTCCTGCGCAAATAATTCACAATCTTCCTGCACCCAACTATCACCAGACACCTGCAAGTTAGCTCACTACAAGCTTTGCATTATCAATACTAAACAAAGCCCTCTTCAGCAGACAGCATAAACACCATCCTATAAAATCTCCAGCAAGCCTTTCTTTGCAGTCAGCTTCTCTTCTTCTGATCCTGCTTGTTGCCTCCTCGCAATGTATTTCCTACTTTCTCTAATAAATCTACCTTTTTTTTTTTTGAGATTTTTTTGAGACAAAGTCTTGCTCTGTCGTCCGTGGTGGAGTGTAATGGTATGATCTTGGCTCACTGAAACCTCCACCTCTCAGTTCAAGTGATTCTTCTGCCTCAGCCTCCTGAGTAGCAGGGACTACAGGCACATGCCACCATGCCCAGCTAATTTTTATATTTTTAGTAGAGACGGGGTTCTGCCATGTAGGCCAGGGTGGTCTCGAACTCCTGACCTCAAGTAATCCATCTGCCTCGGCTCCCAGGGGAGAGATTAAGGGCTTGAGTCATCTTGCCCAGCCAAGTCTGCCTTTCTTTATCTACTACTCTCTTAGTAAATTCTTTTACCCCTGTGCCACCGGCCCCCTTGTTGCTCCCTTGCATCAATTAATGCTTTTTTTAAAATTTGAGACAGAGTCTCTTAGGTTCAAGCGATTCTCCTGCCTCAGCCTCCTGAGTAGCTGGGATTATAGGCATGCACCACCATGCCCAGCTAATTTTTGTATTTTTAGTAGAGACGGGGTTTTGCCATGTTGGCCAGGCTGGTCTCGATCTCCTGACCTCAGGTGATCCACACATCTTAGCCTCCCAAAGCGTTGGGATTACAGGTGTGAGCCACTGTGCCTGGCCAATTAATGCTTTTAAAAAGATTTTAAGAGGATTTTATCCAGCATTTTTAGTTGCTTCCAGTAGGAGAACCAGTTGAAACCAAGTCTCCTGTATCATCTCTTGATTCTCCTTTTTACCCCTGTGACTGTTCCTGTTGATTGTTCTTCATAGATTTTCATTCCTCTACCTATTGCTTAACTGTTGATATTCCCATTTTAGAACATGACCCCACTTCTTTTTTATTTTACATATGTACATTTATCACATTCATTCTCTTTAATATAATTTTTCCTTCAGTAAAACTTACCGACTCTCTACTCTCTAATGGAGATAACTGGTAGTTCATCCCATATGAAGACTGGCTTCTGGTGAGACATCCCAGGCCCCTCACCTTGGAGGACACAGGAACACAGGGCTTTAGCCTTCCCAGCGAGCCTATTATGTTCCCTTTCTCTTCAGGGACCTGTCCATGTCTCTCTACTTTTCTCCTCTGCCATTGGAGAAATACGAAAGGTCACTCAGGGGCCTAGAGTCTCTTCATTCAGGCCAAGACTTTCACTCTTCAAAAACTCATAATTGGAACAATCACTGGGGACCAAGTTGGTGCAAGGCACAGGCTTTGCTGTATGATGAGAAGCTGGTCAAGGATGTGTAGCGTAAGCTCTCCTTCTTTTAAAAGCTTACAGACTAGTTAGGGAGAGGGAGACACCTGACTCATCACAGCTGTGACCTTTTATAGTTTTAATTACCAACTTTAGTCTTACATGTTTCCAATATAAAATACTTCTTCTGGTTTTGATGTGTATATTTATTCATTTATTGAACAAATATTTAATGTGTACCTACCATATGCCAGACACTGTCTGGTTACTGGGGATATGATGTTGAACAAAATGGGCCATATCCCTGCCTTAGAAAGCTTACATTCTGGTGCAGGGGAAGGAACAACAAATAAATAAAATAAATAAACAAGATAAATTCAGGTGCTTATGAAGTTTCCGAAGAAAGTAAGGCAGTGTGATGTACTAATGACTTCTGCTAGAGTGGTCAGGGACAGCTCTTCTGATGAGAAGGATCAAAAGGAATTAGCCATGGGAAGATCTGGGGAAGAGCATTTCAGGCAGGGGGCACAGCTAGCGCAGAGGCTCTGAGGCAGGAATGAGCTTGCTGCATCCAAGGAATAAGAGGAGGGCAATATTGTTAGGGCTTTGGGGGAGGTGAGGGCATAAGATATGAATAGAGAGATAAGCAGAACCAGGTCACATCAGGCTCTGGAGGCCATAGAAAAATATTTAAATTTAGTCCTAGGTACATCAGGAATCCACTGGAGGATTTTTTTTTTTTTTAAAACACGGTCTCACTCTGTCACCCAGGCTAAGGTGCAATCACTGCTCTCTGCAGCTTCAACCTCCTGGGCTCAAGCAATCCCACTGCAGGATTTTAAGAAAGGTAGTGATGTATTCATCTTTCTCTCTGTCTGTGTATATAAAGAGATTAACCATTGTGTGTGTGTGTGTGTTTAAAGTCATCTTTGTTGGAGTACAATCATGATGTGCTGGTAAATGTGTAATAACCAGGTTTCAGAGGAGGAAGAATTTCTGATTTGTGGGGTTTGCTAATTTCTGCAAAAGTGTAAATACCTTCTCCATGCTGACATCAAGCTACCAAGTGATATCACTAAGTGAGGGGTCAGGAAGAGACGTGCAGAAGAGGCTGTCATGAGATGGTAACAGTTCTAGCACATGACTGGGTGTATTACAAACATATTAAAACTCACTTTTTAAGTTGTTCATGTCTATGAATCGTGACATATATAGCTGTGTAAGGATTTACATATGGAATCATCACTCTAGTCAATAAGTGTATTAGTCCATTTTCACGCTGCTGATGAAGACTGGGAAGTAAAAGAGGTTTAACTGGACTTACAGTTCCACATAACTGGGAGGCCTCAAATCATGGCAGGAGGCGAAAGGCACTTCTTACATGGCAAGAGAAAATGAGGAATATGCAAAAGCGGAAATCCCTGATAAAACCATCAGATCTTGTGAGACTTATTCACTACCATGAGAACAGTATGGGGGAAACTGCCCCCATGATTCCAGTTGTCTCCCACTGGGTCCCTCCCACAACATGTAGGAATTATGGGAGTACAATTCAAAATGAGATTTGGGTGGCGACACAGAGCCAAACTATATCAATGAGGGAGGATTTGATGATAGGCGGGGAAAAGTGGTGTAAATTGCTTCAGCACTTAGACAATTACAAGATTTTTTTTCTAAGTGGAATTTTTCTCTGAGATTGTAATATTTTTGTTTCACATAATCTAATGGGGAACATAATTAGGCCTGTGGCTAAGATTGTATCAGAAGCAGGCAATAAAAACAATTCAGGGATAATTACAACACACTTAAAAGACTCTTTTTCTGCTTTATATTTTCACTTAGAGGCAGAAACCATTTTTTTTGAATAGATTATAATATGGATAATCCATCCATACAGGATAGAGGGTCAACTAAATATCTAGAGGTAATATCTGATCTGAGGAAATTATGTTTTTAATTAATCTAATTTATTTCCCTTTAGTAGAGAGAAATCTATTGGTCAAGAGAGTTATAAACATCAGCTACAACTTTGTAGTAGAAGTGGATGGCTCTATTCCTGTAACTTGGATTCTAAACTAAAACTTTTGCTATAACCTCTATTACATTTGGAATATTGTTTAAAATATATATCCAAAAGGAAAATGAGGTTGAGAATTAATCATTATAAATATTGAGTATTAAAAATAAGTATTAGCATCTGTTGAATGCTTATCCCATAAGTGCACTTTGCATTAAGTTATTTCTTTAATCTTTACAATAACCATTTGAAAGAACTACTTTTATTATCCCCATTTACAGATGAAGAACCTGAAATGTATATACTTTAGTTATTACTAAAGGGAATAGGCTTCTTAGTATGTCAAAATATGGCAGATTGGGGATTTAAATAAAAGTACTTTTATTCTTTCTGAATTTGTTTCAGTTTGAATTATAGGGTAAGCCTTATGAAAACCTATGAGGAAATCTATTATTTTGAAAGAGTTTTTATATAATAAAAGCTGTTAGATGTTCACATATTTATATTGCACACATAAACATTCTAAAGACAGTATCACCAATGATAACTTGCTAAAGAAGAGGTTTATTGAATACAAAGAATTGACAACAGATTTCTGTAGGATAATCAAATGAGTCATATTTGTGTGTGGCATTCTTCTAGATGAATGGGGAGATGCTGTCATTGATTGCCCAGAAAGAAAGTAACAGAAAGACAACAGGTTAGACATTTTTCTTAGACATGCACATTTTTCTGGACAGATACATAATGCCTTTTCTTCGCAGGGGCTATGTGGCATACGTTCTCTGTTGCATCTCAAATTAATTGCTTTGAGATTTCTCTTCCAGGGAGTGGAGCCTGGTGGTAAGTATTTTGCTGCGTTGGTCTACCTCCTCAAGAACTTTCTTAACCACTATGGCTTTGGCTGGGTCTGAGCATTAAAAATTAAAAGGAGATTTTATGTAGTTAAAAAAAGAATAAAAATTATATCATTTAAAGGAATAATAGGATTTGCATACAGAATGAACTTTGCACTAAGCACAAATACTTAGACTCATTTTTGGTGAATAATTTTGATTATTTGGTTAGAAAAAACATGGTGACATGTTATTTTGTTTAAAATTAGCACAAATCACTAATATTAGACATCTAGCACATATGGATATCTACTACAAATCTTTATTGTATGTATTCTTACCAAGCCATGGTAATATAAGAACAATCAAGCTATGCATTAAAAATGAAGTAGTTGGGTATATATACCCAGAGGAATAGAAAACATTCTACCATAAAGACACATGCATGTGAATGTTCATTGCAGCATTATTCACAATAGCAAGAACAAGAAATCAACCTAAATGCCCATCAGTGACAGACTGGATAAAGCCATAAACACCATGGAATATTATGCAGCCATGAAAAAGAACAAGATCATGTCTTTTACAGGAACATGGATGGAGCTGGAGGCTATCATCCTTAGCAAGCTAACGCAGGAACAGAAAACCAAACACCACATGTTCTCACTTATAAGTGGGAGATAAATGATAAGGACTTATGAACACAAAGAAGGAAACAACAGATACTGGGTTCTACTTGAGGGGGAAGGGTGGGAGGAGGAAGAAGAGCAGAGAAGATAACTATTGGGTACCGGGCTTAATTCCTGGATGATCAAATAATATGCACAACAAACCTCCGTGACACGTGTTTACCTATGTAACAAACCTTCCAATGTACCCCCAAACCTAAATTAAAAGTTAAAAAATAAAAAATTAGCATTGCACAACAGATTTCATTTTAATTACCTTTGACTTGACTTCCCACATTTCCAGATCCATAATCTTTAGACTTGTAACCCCCAGACTTACAGGCTCTGTGAAAACATCGCAAAAGAGGGTGATTTAGAGAGAACCCCATCAATTCTAGGATCACCATATGGTTTTCTTTAGCTCTTTGGTAGTTTCAACTGTGTAACCCAGTATTTGATTTATAGTGTTTGCTGATTTCTGTAGAGGTATGAATACCTTCTCCATTGCTGATATCAAGTCACCAAGTGACATCACTAAGTGAGGGGTTAGGAAGAGAAGAGATAGGCAGAAGAGGCTGTCATGAGATGGTAACAGCAGTTCTAGCATGCCACTGGGTGTATTTATACAACTTAGGTTGAAATTCACCCTTTTAAGTTTTGCAGGTTTATGAATTGTGACAAATTTATATAGCTGTGTAAGGATTTACATTTGGAAGCATCACTCTAGTCAATGAGGGAGGGTTTGATGATAGGTGGGGAAGAGTGGTGTAGATCGCTTCAGCAGTTAGGCAATTACAAGATACTTTTCCTAAGTGGGGTTTTCTCTGAGACTGTAATGTTTTTGTTCTGCTTCAGCATTAAGAAGTGATTTTTTTTTCTGTATGATTCCTTTTATATTAACATCAAGAATGGATAAAATAATAACTGCCAAGGGAAGTGGGGCACAGAAGAACTTTCTGGGGTGATGAAAATGATCTTCATTGTGAATTCAGGAAGCTTCCTGCTCCTAACAACCCTGAGCTCTAGACATCCAGACTTGTGGCCATGGGACTTTATCAGTGCTATGAAGACAGGATTCTGTGAGTGCTGAGCTCCAGAAACCATTTCCAGAGTCAGAATCCTGGTCCACATATTGAAACTCCATTTAGCCTCCCGTTTGTTCTTTTCACTCTAGAAGTGATATTTTCAATGTTCATATCTTGAACTCGGTGCCTGCTGCATATTGGTTTAAGATATTAATTTGTATTTTGGCAGTTGAGTATGTATTATATTTAATATTTAGTATTCATGATAATAAATGCATGCAGCCAAATTATGTCCGCTTTCCAGTGGAAAGTGGGATCTAAGTTGCAAGCAGATTTCAGTATATTACGCCATCTATGCAGATTATTTTACCTACCCATCATCTCCTCCTATAAGGAGACAGTAGGTCTCAATTTCTTTTTCCAGGTGGAGCTTGATGTCCAGGAGCTGCTCATACTCCAGCTTCTGGCCCTCGGTCTCGGTTCTGACCTGGTGCAGCTGCTCCTCCAGGGCCCCGATCTGAGCCTGGATCTGCGCCAGCTGCGCACAGTAGTTGCTCTCGGTCTCTGTCAAGGAGCACTCCAGGGAGTGTTTCTGTCAGGAAGCAATAAAGAGAACTTGAAATGGATATGCAGATATGCAGGGATTTCTTTGATACATGATTTTCTCCTGCTGTTAACTTTACATATAATTGTTTCAGATTTCACATGGACACATAGTTAAGACTCTGTGATACTGCTTGAAAATGAGCAAATCCTTCTTTTTAGTAGAATAAACCTAAAGACATTCGTGTAGTTTTAGGTGTCAGCTATACAATCCTATTCTTTCCTTATGTTTTGAGACAATTATAAACAAATATATTTCAATATTGTTAAGGTTTTTAAAACCAGCTGGCAAGTATCTAACATGATGACCTGGGAGATGGTGAAAAAAAATTGTTCTTTTCATACCGTGGCTAGGAGAGACTGAAGTTCAATTTCCAGGGTTTGAAGAGTGCGCTTCATTTCAGTCAGCTCATTCCGGGCTGAGGTTGTGGCTCCGACATCCTCAGAGATCTGCTGCTGCAGGGAGGCGCTCTGAAATGACATAAGTGAAGGAGCAAATCTTAGTTTTGTGAATACCAGTAACATGCAAAGGGACCGTTTTCTGGAGGAGAGTCACCTTCTCGTTGAACCAGGCCTCCGCGTCCCTGCGGTTCTGCTCTGCAAGGGCTTCGTACTCAGCTCGCATGTTGTTCAGCAGAACTGTGAGGTCCACCCCGGGGGCTGCGTTCATCTCCACGTTCACGTTGCCTCCAGCTGCGCACTGCAGAACTTGCATTTCCTAGAGGCAGAAAAGTGTTCTGCTCAGCTCTGCAGGAATCTCATGGAAAGTCTAGAAGCTTAGCTTTGGAAGGGCACTTAGAGTTCGTCTGGTTTTCCCCTCCCAGGCTGTGCATTGACCCCCTCCCACCACATTTGATACTTCCTGTCCCGTTGACCTAATTCTCAAAGACGGTGAACTCACTACCTTATGAAGTAGCCTGTTTCATTCTGGGAGAGTTTTAATTGTTCCAGAGTTCTTTATTATAGTGAGCCAAACTCCTGCTCTTATAACTTAAACTCATCAGTTTCAGTTCTACTACTCAGAATGCATCTTAATTCCTTTTCCATATGAAAGTTTTAAACATTTAAAATGAATGGTCCTCCATCGCTTATTCTATTCTCGGCCTTTGTGGACTGGTCTTCCTTCCACTAGAGGCCAGCTTTGGTGCAGTGTTAACTCAGCTACACCCTGAGCACAGCCATGAACATGGTTGAAGGGTTGAGTATGAATAATTCTGAACAATTGAAATGATGATAAATAAATAAATGTATGTGTGTGTGTGTGTGTGTGCGTGCGTGTGTGTGTGTGTGTGTGTGTGTGTGTGTACCCCTCAGGGAAGAACATCATCCCCTAAAGAATCCCAGCTGTCTATTAAGTCTATACAGGGACATTACAGTATCATGTTGGACTTTGGAGTCACGCAGATCTCTCTGAATTTTGGTTCTGCCCTATAGTGGCTAGTGAGTTTGGGAAAGTTGCTTAACCTTTTTACGTTTCTATTTGCTTATCTGAAAATTGAGGATAATTAAAAACCCTTCTCTGAGTTGTTAAAAGAAGTCAAAGAACTAATAATAATAATAAGACTCCGTGATACTGCCTTGCACATAAATGCTAAATGAATGCTGGTTATTATGATTATTATCATCATGGAAGCTGGAATTTATTTTGCAGTCAAAGTCTACATGTTACCCTGTCTGAACTGCAAGCTGTTAGAATGTGTGAGTCAGTTCTAAGATTGTGAATGGTAGGCATCGCTGCGAAGACTGTGTATATTGGAATACCACCCATCAGCTTATGTCTGCTGCAGAAACTCTCCTCCCCATTCATGAATTGGTCTTAATGATGGTAACTAAGGCTTTCATTCCTCCCTGCAGCGAGCCCCTCAGCCATTCCAGCCTTCTTTCCTCCTGGTTGAAACTATGTCTTCCTGATCTACAGATGTGGCTTTTACTTCTGAGGATTTAGTGAAAACTTCCTGGTTCAAGCATAAAAAGAAAAAGATAAAAAAAGATATATGTATATCATCTATATCTATATATCTATATCTATATCTATATCTAGGGTTGCCTGTAAATGAGGCATTACAAAAATCAATTGCTTTTGATTCATCAAAAATTGATTAAACACCATGGGCTGTAACTATATTTGAATCCACGTAGTCAAATCAATGTTATTCAAGTAGTTATATTTATAAGACAGCCTCATGACTAATCAAGTAGGATTCTTAGCTTGATCTTCTGTTTTAAGCATTTGGCTTGACCATAGAAGTCTTTTGGCTATTTAAAATATCAAATTTATTTTCAAAGGATAAAGATTTTTCCCTTTTGGAAAACAGTGCCTCTGAAAGCAATCCTAAAGATGTAATTGCTGCAATATAAAATTTGGAACTTAGCTTCCAACAGTGACCACTTTGGAAGTTTATGATTAAGTGTAAATTCTGGTATAATAGTTTAACTTCATGCTCATTATTTTTACAGCCAGACCTATTAAGAATATGTACTAGCGTTAAGTATGTATACTTAATGTGTGTATGAAGTAAATGTTTTAGTGTTTTAAATCTGCCACTGTCATTTAGAAATTGAGATCTAGTTTTCTAGTTTAAGGATGGCCTTAAAGTATATTTATTTTATATTTATTTTATCTAATTAGACTTAATGTCCAAAGCGGATCATTTTAACTTAGTTATAATTACACAGCCAAACACTGCTCTTATAACCCTGATTGGTCTGGAAAACATGATTCGTTTTTTTTTTTCCCCATAGGAAACTTGATGAGAGAGCAAGGGTGAATCTGTACAAAGAATCTGACACTTAAAAAGACAGCTCAGGCCGGGTGCGGTGGCTCACGCCTGTAATCCCAGCACTTTGGGAGGCTGAGGCAGGTGGATCACGAGGTCAGGAGATCGAGACCATCCTGGCTTACACAGTGAAACCCCGTCTCTACTAAAAATACATAAAATTAGCCGGGCGCCTGTAGTCCCAGCTACTCGGGAGGCTGAGGCAGGAGAATGCCGTGAACCCAGGAGGCGGAGCTTGCAGTGAGCCAAGATCGCACCATTGCACTTCAGCCTGGACGGCAGAGCGAGACTCCGTCTCAAAAAAAAAAAAAAAAAAAAAAAAAAAAAAAAAAAAAAAAGACAGCTCAGCCCTCATGTCTGTCTGACAATGTGTCTTCAGCACCAACTTTTTATATGAGAGGTTATGTACATTATCTCCTGTCAGGTGCACAGTGTCTGCGGAGGGATAGCAAAATGTAGACGACCAGCTCTTACCTCTTTATGGTTCTTTTTGAGGTAAGTCATCTCCTCACTCAGGGTTTCATACTGAATCTCCAGATCTGTTCTGCACAGGGTTATTTCATCCAAAACTCTTCGTAACCCATTGACATCAGCCTCTACACTCTGGTGAAGAGCCAGCTCATTTTCATACCTTAAAGAGTGTTAATGATTTCCTAATTTGTCACATGGTTGGAGACATAGTCACTAGTCACTGATCAATGACAAATGCTAGCATTCTGGAATTTTGAAGATTTGGCCACAAGAGGCATTTTCAAAGCTTGTTGTATAATAATTATTGTTTCTACTTTGCAGTATTTGACAGAAAAAGAACTAGGGTATTGGGCGCTAGTTTTAATAGCAGTTCATGCTTTGTATTTAATAGTCAAAGCATAAAAAAGTAATAACATCCTGTTTATGTGAAATTCAAGTGTTTTATAATTTTGGAATAAGAGTTGCTAAATTTGATGTAATGCGTTGCATGAATTGCCATGAATTCATTTCACTCTGGCAGTCTACTTACTTGAGTCTGAAATCATCAGCTGTAAGCCTGGCATTATCGATCTGCAGAACAGCATTAGCATTGCTGGTGGTGGATGCGATGATCTAGAAATGGGAATTTGACTTTTATCATGAAGTAAACCAACTGAATCTACTTAATGCTTATTTCTAATGCTAAATTGGAATTCTCTTTAAGAAATCACAAGTAGGAGGGCATGGTGGCAGGCACCTGTAATCCCAGCTACTTGGGAGGCTGAGGCAGGAGAATCTCTTGAACCCAGGAGGTGGAGGTTGCAGTGAGCCAAGATCCCACGGTTGCACTCCAGCCTGGGCAACAAGAGCAAAACTCCTTCTCAAAAAAAAAAAAAAAAAAAAATCACAAGTAGGAATGATAAATGTTTTTAGAATTTAATAAAGAAAGGAAAACAAAATTTAGAAATAAAGGTACATGAAAATGATTGTGCAGTATGATTTCTTACCTGATTTTTAAGGTCATCAATTATTGGGAAATATCTGCTATAGTCATGATCAAGACCACGGCAAGAGCCAGGCCCAAATTTCTCATACCAGCCCTTGATCTTCTGCTCCAGGTCAGCGTTGGCCTCCTCCAGAGCATGCACACTGTCCAGGTAGGATGCCAGGCGGTCATTGAGGTTCTGCATGGTCACCTTCTCATTGCCAGAAAGGAGCCCCCGCTCATTCACAGTGAAGCCAGCACAGGGATTACCTCCCCCTGTGTTTCCTCCCGATGAGCTGCCTCCGAAGGCACTAGAGAAGCCACTTCCAATCCCTGAAATGCCACAAGAATTTCCAGTACCAAAGCTGGTTCCCCCACCATAGAGTCTGAGTGATCCAGTGGTGGGACGAGGACAGGACCTCCTGGATGCACTGGAAAGTCGAAGAGACATGGTATCAGGGCAAACGCGTTGCAGAGCTGTATTTGTGAAAGCCAGAATGGAGTGCCTTCTTGTCTAAAAGGTTTGGTTTGCCTTTTTATAGGCAAGTCCCAAGTGTGTTCTGAATGAAATTCTGCCTACACAGAGTAAAACATGGCTTGCCAGTCTCAGCAAGTTGGCATAATTGGGTGATTTTTTCTAATTAGTAACTCACTTTGCTGGGCTCATTCCTGTAGGAGGGCAGTTGCCCTCAGGTTGGTGGTTATCTGAGAAATGGGTCTGGGTGGAGCAATGTCAGGTTCATTATTACGTTTTTAAATGCTGAGTGAGTCATTCTTCACTTCCATCCTTGGAAGTAAACCTCATCAGCTCATTACAGGATAGAAATTTAGCATCATGGTTTTGGGCTATTATGCCAAGGCAGATTGTGATGTTTCTGAGGCTTTTTCTGCTTTTATTTTCACAAGTTTTTCCACATAAGTAGAGAATAGAACTGTAATCATTTCCCCAACCTGGTTCTTCAACCAATAGGTTTTTGTTTTTATTTTTAAATTCCTCTTGCCACTCTTTCCCATGGGAAGTTAACTTCCATTCTGGCTGACATGAGCATCATATTCTGTTGACACTTATGACTGAGGAGAGTTGTCTTACCTTATCCATTTTGGTAATTAGGAGCACACCCCTAATTGGTGTTATGTTTTGTGGGAGTTTGGAAAGACATTAACTTATTTCCTGACCCTGCAAAATCTGAAGCAAACCTGGTAGGAACTATTTTTTCTGTCTTAATTTATTGTGGTTTAGCTCAGATGAAAGTCATCAGTAAGGTATTTAGTCGGTGGGAATTCACATATATTTACTGAAAACTCTACCTATTATGGAAATATAAAAAATTGACAAATAAGGCCAGGCACAGTGGCTTACGCCTGTAATCCTAGCACTTTGGGAGGCTGAGGCAGGTGGATCACTTGAGGTCAGGCATTTGAGACCAGCCTCACCAACATGGTGAAACCCCATCTCTACTAAAAATACAAAAATTAGCCAGGCATCATGGCGAGGTGCCTGTAATCCCAGCTACTCGGGAGGCTGAGGCAAGAGAATCAATTGAACCTGGGAGGCAGAGGTTACAGTGAGCTAAGATTGTGTCACTGCACTCCAGCCAGAGTGACAGAATGAGACTCTGCCTCAAAAAAAAAAAAATGAGAAATAAAAATTGTATATATTTATGGTGCACGACATGATTTTTTGATATATGAATATATTGTGTAATGACCAAATCAAGCTAATTAACATATCTATTACCTCACATACCTATTTTGTGGTAAGAACATTTAAAATCTACTTTCTTATTGTTATTAACTATAGTCACCATATTGTACAATAGTTATCCTGAACTTATTCTTCCCACCTAAATGAAATTTTGTATTCTTTGACCAAAATTTCCCTAGTGCACTTCCCTGATGATTAGTGATGTTGAGCACCTTTTCATAAACCTATTGGCTATTTGTATGTCTTTTGAGAAATGTCTTTTTTTTTTTTGTTTGAGACGGAGCCTCACTCTGTCGCCAAGGCTGGAGTGCAGTGGTGCGATCTGGGCCCACTGCAAGCTCCGCCTCCTGGGTTCAAGCCATTCTCCTGCCTCAGCCTCCTGAGTAGCTGGGACTACAGGCATCCGCCACCACACCCGGCTAATTTCTTTTTGTATTTTTAGTAGAGATGGGGTTTCACTGTGTTAGCCAGGATGGTCTCGATCTCCTGACCTCGTGATCCTCCCACCTCGGCCTCCCAAAGTGCTGGGATTACAGGCGTGAACCACTGTCCCTGGCTGACAAATGTCTTTTTAATCACATTCTTTTCTTGTTATTGAGTTGTTTGAATTACTTATATATTTTGGATATTAAGCCTTGATCAGATGTATGGTTCATAGCATTTCATCCAACAGGTTCATCCATGTTGTCACAAATGACAGAATTTCCCTTTTTAAAGGCTGAATAGTATCCCATTGGGTATATATACTATATTTTCTTTATTACTTCATTTGTTGATGGATGCTTAGGTTGAATCCCTTTCTTGGCTATTGTGAATCATGCTACAATGTGCATGGAATGCAGATATCTCCTTGACATACTGATTTCGTTTCCTTTCAATACTCAGTAGTGGGATTGTTGGGTCACATGGTAGTTCTACTTTTAATTTTTTGAGGAATCACTATACTGCTTTCCATAATGGCTGTATTAATTTAAATTTACACAAACAGTGTACAAGGATTTTCTTTCTCCACTTTCTTACTAACACTTGTTATTTCTTGTCATTTTCATAATAGCCATTCTAGCAGGTGTGAGGTGATATCTCATTGTGTTTTTCATTTGCATTTCATTCATGATTAGTAGTGTTGAGCATTTTTTCCCATATACCTGTTGGCCATTGGTATGTCTTCTTTTAAGAAATATCTTTTAAAATGGGTTATTTGTTTTTGTTATTTTTGTTGAGTTGCTTGAGTTTCTTATATATTTTGGGTATTAGTCCTGTGTCACAAGTGTGCTTCACAATATTTTCTCCCAATCTGTGAGTTATCTCTTCATTCTGTTAATTATTTCATTTGCTATGTAGAAGCTTTTTAGTTTAATGTAATCTCATTTATGTATTTTTTCTTTTGTTGCCTGTGTATATGGGGTCATATAAAAAAATCTTTGCCCAGACTAATGTCAAGAAGTTTTTCCCCTATGTTTTCTTCTAGTAGTTTTACAGTTTCACGTATTATGCTTACCTGTTTAATATATTTTGAGTGGATTCTTGTATATAGGGTGAGATAAAGGTCCAATTTCATTTTTCTGAAATATAGTTTCCCCAACACCATTTACTAAAAATACTGTTCTTTCCCCATTTTGTGTTCTTGGCACCTTTGTTTGAAAATCATTTGGCTGTAAATGCATAGATTTATTTTTGGGCTCTTTATTCTGTGTCATTGGTCTATATGTCACTTTTTGTGCCAGTGTTGTGATGTTTTGATTACTATAGATTTGTAGTAGATTTTGAGATCAGATAGTGTGATGCTTCAACTGTTCTTTTTGCTCAAGATTGCTTTGTCTATTCAGGATCTTTTGTGGTTCTATATGAATTTTAGAATTCATGTTTTTTTCTCTTTTTGTGAAAATGTCATTGGAATTTTGATTGGAATCACACTGAATCTGTATATCACTTTGGGTAATATAAACATTTTAACAATATTAATTCTTCCAATCCATGAACATGGCATATGTTTCCATTTATTTTTGTCTTCATCAACTTATTTCATCAATGTTTTATAGTTTCACTTATTTCTCTTCTGATCCTTGGTATTTTCTCCTTCTACCAACTTTGGGCTTAGGTTGTTCTTCTTTTTTTCTAGTTCCTTCATGTGTAATGGTAGGTTATTTCTTTTTTTAAATGTAGGCATTTATTGTTATAAACTTCTCTCTTAAAACTGCTTCTGCTACATCCCATAAATTTTGTCATATGTTTCCATCTTCATTTGTCTCTAGATATTTTTTGATTTCCCTTTCGATTTCTTCTTTGCCCCATTGGTTGTTCAGGAACATATTGTTTAATTTTCACATATTTGTGAACTTTCCAAATTTCCTCCTGTTATTGATTTCTAATTTCATACTATTGTGGATAAAAAATACTTGATATAATTTTAATCTGAAGTTTGTTAAGACTTGTTTGTGACCTAACATATAATCTATCATGGAGACTGTTCTGTGTGTGCTTGAGAAGAATGTGTATTCTGCTCTTGTTTGATATAATGTTCTATATACATCTGTTAGGTCCACTTGGTCTAAAGTGTAGTTTAAGTCTAATCTTTCCTTACTAATTTTCTGTCTGGATGATTGATCCATTGTTGAAACTGTTGTACTGAAGTCCCCTACTATTGTTGCATTGTTGTCTATTGCTCCCTTCATACCTGTTAATGTTTGCTTTATATATTTAGGTGCTCTGATGTTGGGTGCATATATATTTACAATTGTTATATCCTCTTGATGAATTGTCTTCTTTATCATTACATAATGACTTTCTTTCTTTTTATAGTTTTTGACTTAAAGTCTACTTTTCTCTGATATAAATATAGCTACCTTTGCTCTTTTTTGTTTCTATTTGCATGGAATATCTTTTTCCATCCCTTCACTTTTAGTCTATGTGTGTCCTTAAAGCTGAAGTGAGTCTCTTGTAGACAGCATACAGATTTTGTGTATGTGTGTGTGTGTGTTTGCCTTTTTAGTACCCTTAGCTATTCTGTGTCATTTGATTGGAGAATGTAATCCATTTATATTCAAGGTAATTATTGATAGGTAAGGACTTACTACTGCCATTTTGTTGTTTTCCAGTTGTTTCGTAGATCCTTTGTTTCTTTTTTCCTTTCTTGCTGTCTGCCTTTGTGATTTGACAACTTTCTCTAGTGGCATGCTTTGATTCCTTTCTCTTTCTCTTTTGTGTATCTACTATAGAATTTTGCTTTGTGGTTATCATGAGACTTACACTGAACATGTTAGAACAGGTTATTTTAGGCTGATAACTTCAACTGCATTCAAAAACTTTACAGTTTTACTACCCCTCCATCTATTTTTTTGATGTCACAATTTATATCTCTTTATATTGTGTATTCCTTAACAAATTATTGTACTTATAATTAGTTTTAATAGTTTGGTCTTTTAACCTTTATACCAGATATAAGTGATGTGTACACCACCATTACAGTAGTATATTCTGAATTTGTATATTTACCTTTAACAGTGAGTTTTTTTAACTTTCATATGTTTTCATGTTGCTAATTAGAGTTCCTTTGTTTCAACTAATTGACCTATCTTTATCATTTCTTGTAAGGGAGGCAATGAACTCCCTCAGCTTTTGTTTGGGGATATCTCCTTAATTTATGAAGCCCAGACTTTTCTGGGTATGATATTCTTGGTTGGCAGGTTTTTTTCTTTCAGCACTTTGAATATATTATCCTACTGTCCTGACTTGCAAGGTTTCTGTTGAGAAGTCTGTTGATAGCCTCATGGGGGTTCCCTTGTATGTAATCAGTCTCTTATCTTTTGCTGCTTTCAAGATTCTCTCTGTCTTTTGGCAATTTTTAAAAAATTTTACTTTAAGTTCTGGGATACATGTGCAGAATGTGCAGGTTTGTTACATAGGTATATATGTGCCATGGTGGTTTGCTGCACCTATCAACCTGCCATCTAGGTTTTAAGCCCCACATGCATTAATGTGCCTCAGAGTGTTTGTCTTTGGGTTGATCTTGCTTGGGATCCTTTGAATTTCGTGAATCTGTATGTCCATATCCCTCTCAAGATTTGGGATGTATTTCTTTACATAAGCTTTCTTTCCTTTTCTCTCTTTCCTCCTTCTGAAATCCTCATAATGTATATATTTGTATGCTTGGTGGGATAGACTAGATCCTGTATGCCTTCTTTACTCTTTTTTATTATTTAAACATTTTTGTTCCTCTAATTCAGTAATTTAAAATGCCCTTTCTTTGAGTTTGCTAATTCTTTCTTCTGCATGATAGAGTCTGCTGTTGAAGCTTTCTATTGAATTTTTCAGTTTTGTCATTGTATTCTTCAGGTCTAGGATTTCTGGTTTTATTTTTATGGTTTCTATTTTAAAAATTAAGCTTCTCATCTTGTTTATGCATTGTTTTCCTAATTTCATTTAGTTATTTATCTATGTCTTTTTGCATCTTATTGAGCTTCTTTAAGATGATTATTTTGAATTTTCTTTCAGGCAATTTGTAGATCTCCCTTTCTTTGGGGTCAGTTACTGGAGCCTTATTAGTTTCCTTTGGTGGTGTCATGCTTGCCTTATTCTTCATTATTCATGTAGTCTTGCATTGGTATCTGTGCATTTGAAGGCACAAATACCTCCTTCATTTTTTTTTTTTGAGACAGGATCTTACTCTGTCACCCAGGCTGGAGTGCAGTGGCGTGATCTCAGCTCACTGCAATCTCTGGCTCCCAGGCTCAAGTGATCCTTCCACCTCAGCCTCCTGAGTAACTGGAATGACAGGCATATGCCACCATACTCAGCTAATTTTTATATGTTTTGTGGAGATGGGGTTTTGCCATATTGCCCAGGCTGGTCTTGAACTCCTGAGCTCAAGCCATCCACCCGCCTCAGCCTCCCAAAGTGCTGGGATTACAGGTGAAAGCCACCACACCTGGCCCTCTTTAAATCTTTATAGACTGCTTTTGGCAGTTTAAGGCCTTCTTCTATTAGGTTCCTGTGGTGATGGGATTGTGGTCAAATGAGGTTGGAGCTGGATCACATGGCTATTGCTGAGTCCACAGTGGGGTCTATAGTTGATAGGTCTGTTACCAGGGGCTGTAGTAGCTGTGGATTCTGTGTAGTCTCTGGGTTGACTGGACTGTCTGTAGAACCTTGGTCCATAGAGCTGGCACTGGGATGAGAGTCCATTTCAAGATCTGTAGATGATGGGCCATTACCAGGTGTGTGAGTGGGTGTGGCTTCTTCTGTGTCTCTGGAAAGTCTCCCAGTGGATCACTAAGTGAGACCCTGGGTATGTAGTGCTGCTCAAGTCCATGGCTGAGACAAGTTAGAACTGAGTTTTGGGGCTGCTTTAGAGCCTGTAACTGAGACTGAGCTCTTCAGACCTGTCTTTGGGGTCACAGAAGGGTATGTTTTCTGGTGGGTCCCCGGGCAGGCAGGCTTGCTCTCAGACCACAGTTGATAGAGGCTGGTGCTGAATTACAGGGCCATTTCAAGATCCACAGCAGGACCAAGATCAGTGGGTCAGGCTATAGGAGCACTGATGAGCATGTCTGTCTCCAGGTCTTGTGTGCGCAGCACTACTCTCAAGCCTCAGCTGAGAGGGGCTGGGACTGCTTTTCAGGGCCATTTCAGGATCTTCTGTGGGACCCAGGTCAGCTGGGCTGCCTGTGGAGCTCAGATGAGAGTGCCTCCCTCTGGATTCCTGGGCAGTTAGAACTTCTCTCTGACCACAGCTGAGAAGGGCTAGGGCCCAGATTCAGGTTTGTTTTAGGGATGCTGTAAAATTGAGATTGGCAAGCCTGCCCTGGGGACACAGAATGGTGTGTCTCCCAGCAGATCCCTGACGAGGCAGAAGTGCTTAGTCTGCAGCTGAGAGGGGCTGGGGTTGAAATTTAGAGCTATTTAGGGATCTGTTGTGGGACCAAGATTGGCAAGCCTGCCCTGAAGACTCAGATGGACATGTCTCCCTCTGGGTCCCTGTGGAAGCAGGACTAATCTCATGCTGTAGCTGACAGGGGCAGGGGATGAGTTAGAGGATATTTTTAGGATGCATAGCTGAGACAGAGGTTGGTGGGCCTGTCTTCTGATGTACTAGTGTGCATAATTCCTCTTTGACAAATGTTTTTGGTAGCAGGACCAAGAGAAAATGGGGTTGTAGCCAAGCTTGCAAGGATATGGGGCAGTTTCTAGGTCTGGGGATGGGACCATGATCAGTAAGTGCCAACTGGGTGTGGGTCTGTCCTGTAAAAATGAAACTCCTAGGTCTTGGGCTCTACCAGAGCTTTATAAACTCCTACCTGAATCCCAAGGCTCCTACAAAGGCACTTTTGCCTGTTGATGACTATTATGAAATTATTGTTCCTTTGGGGGATATGAGTGGGGGATCTCCTATTCCACCATCTTGCTAATGTCTTTTCTGTTTCATGAATCTTTTAAATATGTAGATCCATGGATCATTTAGAAGTATGTCATTTAATTTCCAAGTGTTGAGAGATTTTTCTTTTGACTTTGTATTATTAATTTCTGGTTTGATTCCATTATGATCAGAGAACATATTCAGTATAATTTCAATTCTTATAAATTTTACAAGGTTTATTATATGACCTAAGATATGGTCTATGTTCCACTGGTGCATGAGAAGAATGTGTTTTCTGCTCTTATTGAGTGCAGTGTTCTATAAATGTCAATTAAATTCTGTGGTTTGATGGTGTTCAGTTCTTCTATTCATCATCACTAATTTTCTGTCCAGTAGTTCTATCAATTGCTGAGAATTGGGCATTGAATTTTTCAGCTATAATTTTGGATTTGTCTCTTTCTCCTTTCTACTCCGTTAGTTTTTGCCTCATGTATTTGAAAGCTTAGTGGTTTAGTGTATTTAGAGTTGCTGTATCTTCTTAGGGACCTTTTTATTATTACATAATATCACTCTTTGTCTCTAGTAACATTCTTTGCTTCAAAGTTTACTTTGGTATTAATTCAGCCACTCCTGATTTTTTAAATTAATGTTTGCATGATATAGCTTTTTCTGTCCTTTTACTTTCAACCTACCTGTGTCACTATGTTTGAAGTGAATTTCTTGTAGATAGCATATTGTTGGGTTGTGTCCTAGAGAAACTCATGCAGTCATGTACTAGGTAACATGTAAGGGATATTTATAGTAGTAGTATTCATAATAGTTTCAAACTGGAAACCATTCCAGAATAGAATGCATAACATTGTGGCAAATATTTTAAAAGTGCTGCCAATCTGGTTGGTGTGTGATAGTATTTCATGTGGTTTTAATTTGTTATTTTTCTGGTTACTATGGGGTTGAGCACTTTTTAGAAATTTAATGACAATTTGGAATTTCCGTCAGCATATTGAAGATATTGTTCTATTGTCTCCTGCCTTCCATTGTTGCTGTTGAGAAGTCACTGTGTATCTCACTGTTACTCATTTGAAAGTAATCATTATTTTCCTATATGGCTGATTTTTAAGGTCTTTTGTTTGTTATTTTGTGGTTTTACTATGATTTTTCTACATGTGGATTTCTTTTTATCTTGTCTTTAGTTTCACAATTGGTAGCTCACAATTAAGGATGTCCCATAAAAGTTTTTGGGATTTGTCAAGTGTTGGTGACAGTCTTTCACTTTTTTCATTTTTTTGCTAATACTAACTTTTTGGAAACAAAGCTGAGTACGTAAACTTTCCAGCCTTCATTTCAAGAAGTATGGTTGATTCATCAACAGCATGTATTTTGGAGTCATGGGTTATGCTTGTATTAAGTGCAAATCAGTCTTATCTAGATAGGGAAATCTATTTAAGTAGAAAGAGTGGATATAGAAAAATGGAAGTTGGCCCAATTGTTCTTGGAAAGAATAGGACCTCTGTTGGGAATAAGAAAGAGTGAATAGTACTGGTGGCACAAGAGAAAGAGGGTCAACATTGTGTTTCTAAGGTGGTGAGTTAAGCAAGTGTCTTTGGAGAGCTGATAATGTAGTTTTACTCTTTTAATTCTTGGGGTATCGAGCCTCTGAGAGACCCTACCTGTCAGAATGAGAGAGTAATGAAGCATAGTGATGGAAACTGTAGCAGAAGTGAGGGGGCATCTGGTAACCAGGACTTAATAAATATGGAGGCAGAAAAGGGAGGTGCTGGGAGAGGAGCTGGAGATGGGTAACTAGCAGATAGGAAAAGACTACACATACTGCAGGCATGCTGTAGGCTTTCTGTAGGGATGCTGTAGGTATCTGTAGGCATAATGTAGATATACTGTAGGCATAATGTAGACATCTTTCAGCATACTGTAGGCATACTGTAGGCATGCTATACACTGTAGAATGCAGTAGGCATACTGTAGGCATACATACTTGAGAGATTTGTAGTCATGCTACAAGCATGCTTGTTTTATGTTACAAGCAGGCCACTGCACTGAAAGCCATACTCCTGGCTTTCATTGTATCATTGATAGTCAAGCACATAAAAGTCTGCCTGATTGTGGTCCCTCTTGGGTGGTAATGGAAACTTAGTGTGAAAATAGTGAATTCCTATGCTTATTTTTGTTCTGTTCAATGGAACTCAAATCACCATGGCAGAGGAGAGCTGGATTTGCATCTAAGACCCGCTACACATCAGCTGTGTAGCCCTGGAGAAATTCCTTAATCTCTGAGTATCTGTTTTCCTCATATACAAAATAAAGATGATAAAACACCTACCTCATAAGCATTTATGAAAATTAAATTGGATAATGTATATAAAGTGAGTTAAAACACACTCAGTAAATGTAAGATATTGTCACTATAGTTCTGCAATTGAAAGTGCTTCTAACCAGACTTAATCTAACTCCATACCATTGAAATATGGCCTTTGTCATCATGGTTGGGACCATTCATCACAGGAAGACCCTGACAAAAGGAATTTTCAGCTGTATCTACATCTCCAGAAAGTGTCATCAGGCTAAGGTCAACTACCTTATATGGAAGCAGGAAATAATGGTGACCAAGCCTATATTTGAGACTTGTAAAATGCAACCTCAGAGGGTTTAGCACCCTGAAATGGTGCAGTTCAGTCTTCATGGGCCATTTTGAATCCTGCATTGTCTATATGCCAGTTGATTAAAACCTTTCAATGTTGTTCTTGCCATGCAAGTTGGAAATCCAGGTGATTATAGAGGTCACTGCCTCATTCCACTCCAAATGAAAAAAACCTCTTTAGCCTAGAACTTTGCTGCTTTCCAATCCCAGCTGCACTTTCCAAAATAATTTAGTAAGGATGTCAGGCAGAATTTTGTGTGCAGGAGAATATGAGCAAGATTTAGAACCACCCCTAGGCTTTAGTTCTAAATTTGCTTAGTCATTACCATGGTAGAGGCAGAGAGATGCATGTGCTGGAAAATGGAAAAACGGCTTTCCAGGTTCAGATTTTACAACAAACATTTGCTGATCACCCAGGCTAGGCATTGTAAGGGTAAACAAATCCTAGTGATCAGTGGGTATTATCTTCTTCTTTTATGTCCATAGACACTCAAACCCAAGAAGATCAACTTATTTACGTAGTCAATCAGGGACAGATTTGGGACCAGACATTAGAGCTAGTGCTCTTTCCACCTTATTCTGTTATTAATTGAGGTAACTGTGACTATGAAATGAAACACATTATTTTATTAGCAGGTCCTTAGTATTGCCACATTGGGATCAACTTTAGCAATTAAAAAGAATCAGATATTAAAAAAAATAACTTGCAATAGAAGAATTTTTAATGAAATGTCAAAAAAGGCCCCCAAAATAAAAACAAAAATTAGGGACAGAGCAGGATTTTTCTACTCTGGAAAAGGATTACATGCATAGAACATGAGAAAAGGAAGAGAAGGAGAACAAATTCTAGCCCTTTTAAGAACAGAAATGAATAATTTCCTTAGGTTATTTGACCAGTAGGATTTTTGCAAAGGCAGCCTTTCTTTCTTTCTTTCTCTCTCTCTCTCTTTCTTTCTTTCTTTCCAAATAACTTTTTCCTCATTATGGTGCTTTAGAAGGTACTCGTTGCTCTACTGTAATGTTGCTTATTTTAGAGGACTTTTCTTCAACTGAGTGGACTCTCAGTGAAAGGAGATTGCCAATTTGATCCAGTTCCTCAACCACTGTTTTAACAATAGTTTCTTCTGTTGAGTCTAAAATAAAATAAATAAAACATTAGTGGTCATTTTTTAACAGGTTGAAAAGTAGCCATAATAGGTATGCTTTTTGTTTGTTTGTTTTTTTGAGAAGGAGTCTCGCTCTGTCACCCAGGCTGGAGTGCAGTGGCATGATCTCGGCTCACTGCAGCCTCTGCCTCCCGGGTTCAAGAGATTCTTCTGCCTCAGTCTCCCGAGTAGCTGGGATTACAGATGCCTGCTACAATGCCTGGCTAATTTTTGTATTCTTAGTAGAGATGGAGTTTCACCATGTTGACCAGGCTGGTCTCGAACTCCTGACCTCAAGTGATCCACCTGCCTTGGCCTCCCAAAGTGCTGGGATTACAAGCATGAGCCACTGCACCTTTTAAAAAATGTTTGCTTTTTAAAAATGTTTTTTGCAAGTTTGCAGTAAATCGATATATAATACTGTGTTTGAAGTCAGTGTTTAGCAAGATCCTGGACTATCTCTCTTATATTTGCCACTGCTTTTAGAGCAATGGGCATTTGAAAACATAAATGAAACATGGATTAAAACAATCTAAGTATCAGGCAGTAAAGGCTGGCTGCAAGTAATGTTGTCTTCTTTTAAATACCAACTTGCCCGATTTTTGTGGTTTAAGATAAAGTAGCTCTTTTATCAAAGTATTGAAACTATGAAAGATAATACATTCCAGGTAAGAAACATGTTGTGGGATTAATTCCTCATTTCAATAATTTCATAATTTGACCACATCTGTTGATCTACGGGAATATAAAATACAAATATTAAGAACTATCATAATGACCCCTCATCCCTTTATTCACCAGAAGTAAACTTAAAAACAAATTTTATTTAGTTAAAAAATAAGTAACTTAGTTAACACAATTGATGGAGTTTAAGGAGTTACACCAGGTAAAAAAAATCTATCTATACCTTTGGCTTGATTTCCAGAATTCACAGGCCTGTATCCTTTTGATTTGTAACATGTGGATTTGCTTTTTCTGTGAAGAGAAGAGTAAATTATTGCATTTTTTTTTCTTTCCTTAGTGAGCTTATAAATACCTCTAAATTGGAAATAAGAGTTTTGGAATTCTAGTTTCAATAAGATTCAAATTCCTTATATATTTAAAGGACATTAATAAGCTTTTCATGACTTCAACATAGTGAAAGAAGAGATTAAATGGATGTTTATGAATAGAAATTTTCTCATGACCAGAAATTACCTCTTTCATCTAGCAATATTTCTCACTCTGACTTTTCAATCAACTGGCCAGTGAATGTGTTTGGAGTGCCTACCATGAAAAAGGTGTTGCTGGGCTAGGTGCTGCAGAAGATATAGAACCAAGACACAGTTTTTACAGTTGGAAATAAAGTATACACATGCAAAAAGTTACCTATAACATGAAAAGTGCTGTAAATTAAGTGAAAAGTGAGTGGTGTAATGAGTGCTTTGTTCTGAGGAGGGAGCAATCACTGTTGGGTTCCTGTGAGAATAGGCTGCAGAGGGCTGATGGGCCTTGGAGGGTGCAAGACGTTACCTCCTCACTATGCGGCCATGGGCAAGCATTTAGTAATAGGCAGTGATTACCAAATACCTTTTCTGTGTATGCCACTGTCATGAGCTCTTTACCTATGTAGTGAGACATTATAGTTAAGACTTGTTACAAGTATGGTTTTGGCTTTATCACAATTTCATCAACGAGGAAACTGCATTTGAAAAGGTTAAACAATGTGCTCATAATTCACCCAGTATTTGATTCACAGCCAGGGCTGCAATTCCAGGGCTGTTGCTATTGACTAAGAAACTATGGTGCCTCTCCAATTAATTCTTCCTATATCTTCATTGCTCATCTTTAATACAAGGTACATGTGGGGTAACTAGTGAAGTGATAAGAAAAGAGAATGAGTTATTTATAAGAAATGTGCTTACACACTAAATCACAGAAAGCAATTTTCCCCTTGAATTGGAGTACTGGAATTGTTAAATATTCTATATTTAAATGTCCTTTATATATTATACATACAAATATTTTGCATACTTAGAAATTTGATTTTCAAATTTCTGCATGTTTTAATTTCACTTGGCTGCAATAATATACATTCCTGAGGATAAATATGTATGATCTCCAGAGTAGGAAATTCTAGGATGCAATATTGGCATACCTATACTGTGGGAAAACCTAGTTAATGTGAGGTTTTTTTTTTTTTTTGCAAGTTAATCTTTACCTTTCTTCTCCATCTAGTAAGTTGCAATAAATGTCAATTTCTTTTTCTAAAAATATTTTTACATCAAGAAGCTGTTCATACTCCAGCTTCTGGCCTTCTGTTTCTGTTCGAATCTGTTGCAGTTGTTCCTCCATCACCCCTATCTGATCCTGAATTTGCTGGAGTTGATTGCAGTAATTTCCTTCAGTCTCAGCCAAGGAGCATTCATAGGAATGTTTCTGAAAGAAAAGCAAAGTGAAGCTTGAATGTGTAAAAGAGAAATGGCATGGTCATCTTATATTATTTTATTTATTTTTTTGAGACTGTGTCTTGCTCTGTCACCCAGGCTGAGTGCAGTGGCATGATCTTGGCTCACTGCAGCCTCTCTTCCTGTGTTCAAGTGATTCTCCTGCCTCAGCCTCCTGAGTATGTGGGATTACAGGTACATGCCACCACACCCAGCTAATTTTTATATTTTTAGTAGAGATGGGGTTTCACCATGTTGGCCTGGCTGGTCTTGAATTTCTGACCTCAAGTTATCCACCTGCCGTGGCCTCCCAAAGTGCTGGGATTACAGGTGTGAGCCACTGTGCTTGGCCGGCATGGTCATATTTTAAATATTCTCAAGGTAGAAATAATTATTTGTATAAGGTCTGAATATTTTCAATTGAAAATCAACATTTGCAAGATTTAAAAAAATTCCTCTATTGTAAAAAGGCATTTTTCAAGTTTTGGAATTGGTGAGTTTAGGGACAGAATTCTTGATATTTAATATATTTTATACTTTTAGTCATATGTAAATGGTTATACGTACTTGGTGTTATATGTATTTTTATATCTGTATTGACTTATACATATTCACACATATATTCAATTCAATGGCGATTCCTACGTACCACAGCCATGAGGGACTGAAGTTCTATTTCCAGGGTTTGCAGATTGCGTTTTAATTCGGTCAGCTCATTTCTGGCTGCTGTGGCTGCTCCCTCATGATCGGAAATCTGTTGTTGCAGCGTTGCACTCTGAAGTGTAATTGTCGAAAGGGTTAGTGACTGGCCTGATTGTCTCCTGAGCAAGCCCTTTGTAATTTGCCATAGACCTACCCTCTCGTTGAACCAGGCTTCAGCATCTTTGCGGTTCTGCTCAGCCAAGTCCTCATACTCAGCCCTCATGTTGTTCAACAGGACAGTTAGGTCCACTCCTGGGGTTGCATTCATCTCCACGTTCACGTTCCCCCCAGCTGTATATTGCAAGACTTCCATTTCCTAGAAAAGGGATCGGTATTCATCCTCAGTGGAGGATTTTGATTGATGTTCATGCCCTGCTACGAAATGAACAGTGGACTTCAAGAAGGAAATTAGAAACTGTATGAAGCCACTCTGCAGGCTTCCTTACCTCCTCATGACTTTTTTTGAGGTAGGTCAATTCCTCACTGAGGGTCTCACACTGTATCTCCAGGTCGGTTGTACAAAGGGTCAGTTCATCCAACACTCTGCGAAGACCACTGGTGTCGGCCTCAACACTGTGGTGCAGAGCCAGCTCATTTTCATACCTGAAAGATTAGTAAGGCACCTGAGAGTTGTCATCGTAGGCAGGTGCAAAGCACAACTTTTTAAGGTATTTCATATGCTGAAAGATATGATGTTCTGTACATACCTCTGAAGCTTCTTGCAATGGCAAACTGCTAAAATGGTTTGAGATACCTAACAATTCATGAATTGTATTTTGGGGATGTTATTTCTTCAGAGCTGATTTTTGTCATCCAATGTGCTTAACAATTAAATAAAATATTGCTAGATTTTAGATTTTAAAAAATATGTGATTGCTCTTTTTTGTTGTTTGTTTTTGAGACAGTCTCACTCTGTCACCCAGACTGAAGTGCAGTGGCCCCATCTCAGCTCACTGCAACCTCCACCTTCCGGGTTCAAGTGATTCTCATGTCTCAGCCTCCCAAGTAGCTGGGATTACAGGAGTGAGCCACCATGCCTGACTATTTTTTTGTGTGTGTACTTTTAGTAGAGACGGGGTCTTGCCACATTGGCCAGGCTGGTCTCAAACTCCTGACCTCAAGTGATCTGCCTGCCTCAGCCTCCCAAGGTGCTGGGATTACAGGCATGAGCTACTCTATCCAACCATGATAGCTCTTTTTATAACGGCTTATTTAATTCAATTTCTTTATTGATCTAGTCTGGCTTTAGAAAAACATTTTGGTTTTCAAAGCAAAATATATATTCCTTAATCCAATTGTAATATTTTAACTTTTATTAATATAATTAATCAGTTTGTTTTCACCTACTTCAGCCTGAAGTCATCAGCGGTCAGTCTGGCATTGTCATTTTGTAGAACAATGCTGGCATTGCAGATGGTCGCAGAAATAATCTAAATAGGGAAGATTGTGAAAAATGTTAATTACCAAAAGTCAAAGGAGGCTCCAGACTTCAGTGTGATTTTATATCTTCTTAATCTGTCAAACATCTGTTTTAGTATCTTTTTTCTATGTTAAAGAAATCTGGATTTTCTTCAGATAATAAGCATCCAGAGCTTAAGAGCCACATAGATACTTTTACTACTTTTGATCAAATGGTATGAGCTAAATATATGAAAAACGAAGTGACTATATCTGTTTTGAAATGATTTCTTTTTCATTATTTAATTCTACAAGATTTTATTGCCAGGTACTGTGCTTAGCACTGGAAATACAGAGTGAACAAATCTTACATCACATAAATTTGTTAGGCACATTTTATATTTTCTCTTCTTTAAATTATCAACACACAAAGTCTGTAGTAAAAGTATGCAAATCCCTATTTCTTACCTGCCTTTTAAGATCTTCTATGACTGAGAAGTATCTGCTATAGTCATGATCGTGTTCCCGGGAAGAGCCAGGCTCACATTTCTCGTACCAGCCCTTGATCTTCTGCTCCAGGTCTGCGTTGGCCTCCTCTAGAGCATGCACATGGTCCAGGTAGGATGCCAGGCGGTCGTTGAGATTCTGCATGGTCACCTTTTCATTCCCAGAGAGGAGGCTGTGCTCATTGCCAAGAAAACCAGCACAGGCACCACTTCCCAACCCTCCACCGCTATTGCAGAAGCTTCCTCCAGAAGAGATGCCCTCAAGAGTACAAGAAAAGCTGCTTCTTGCTCCCGATCCAACACACACATTCCCAGCCACGAAGCCTGTTCCTCCACCGGACAGCCTACCAGACCCAGTTCGCGAGCAGATCCTCCTGGATCCACCAGAAAGTCGAAAAGACATGGTGGCAGCACAGCCGGGCAACCCCTTCCCAGAAAGAGGAGCAAAGCCAGGGTTCACCTTCCACACTTGTTAGCTCCCTTGGCCTTTTATAGTATTCACTGGGTCATTTCAGTCTTGACTATGCCAGTCTGTAATAAAATTTACTTGCATCCTAATTGTTGTTTTTCACAATTGGGTAATTTTTAACAGCGTCCAGTCTGTAGGTGGAAAGGTGCCCCAAGGATATTTTTTATATATAAAAATGGTGCCAGGTGAAGTAAAACTAAATCATAGCCTCAAAGGCCAAAATTAAATATGACTAAATGTGCATCTTTTTGGCCACTGGAATATTAATAGAATCTAGATTCTCCCCCTGCCACATATAACAAAGAATTAATAATTCCAATGAGAAATGTCTCCTACTTTTGTCCTGTTAACGCTCATAGAGTATTTCTAGTATTCCCACTTCATTGAGTGCTTCCTTTCTTCCTTTCGTTTCTTTTTCTTTTTTCCTTTTTTTAAAGATATGTGGTCTCGCTATGTTTCCCAGGCTGGTCTCGAACTCCTGGCCTCCAGTGATCCTCAGCCTCAGCACCCAGCTCAGCCTCCTGTGGCCAGCATTACAGGTGTGAGCCACTGCCCTGGGTGTCTGGGTGTGTGTTTTCCTTCTTATCAAAACCAGAAAATCTCAGCATCTATTGATCTTTTGGTAGTGGGAGATTTTAAAAGAAATCTACCATTTCTTGAATTGAAAACTGAAGTAATAGAAATCCTGCAGTCCTGCTTATTGTTAATTTCAATATAATTCATGAATATGTGATGATGGTGGAGAATTAATTCGATTGAGATTTCTTGGTTTGGTCCAGGAGCAGGACATCAATTCAACTAACAGTCTCCAAATTGTTCACTTCCCTACCCCTAAATAGTGTTTACTGTCTTTTAGTTTAAATGTATGTATTTAAGACATTAGGAATTATTTTGAGAAGTGAGCATCATATTGATTAGCAAGGAGTAAAATATATAAGGAGGGAGGTGTTTTCATCATTACCTAGAAAACCAGTACTTATAGTACCCTAGAGAGAAGATAAGTTGTCACAGGGAAGTACTCTTTATTCTCTTGCCTTGATGCTCTTGGGAAGTTATCCAGGCTTGGATCATTTCCCTACTGGGCAAATGAAAATAATAGCATCAAAGAGTCTCAAATGAATGTTGAGCAGTTCCAATCATGAATGACGATAAGACAGTTTGAAAGGCACAAACATTTTTAAATGTTAATTATTTAAATTATTATAATAAAGTGGACATGTCAGACAGGGTCGGGTCTCTATCACCTATAATGATACAAATTGATTGGTTAACTAATTATGGGTTTAGTTTTGAAACAGTAATTTTCTTCCGAATGATATTTTTCAATGTTGTGGATAGTGAATCCTTTGGAAAACATCCAACATTATTGTCACTAAATCGTATGGAACATTTAGTGGACTGCATGGATTTTCTAAATCAAAAATATTTAAAAATAAATAATAAATACAGAGCTATAACTGGACCATCAGCTTATGTTTAGAACAGTGCATGATAACCTAGATACAGTTCCTGTTTAGAGACTTTTTACTGATTTTGTTGTGACCTGGTCAAATTTTTAATCTTTTGCTAATTTTTCCCAGAAATAAAACAAGAAAAACAGAGAGTATTGTCAGTTTAATGATTTATAAGGCTTGAGTTTCTTAGGTGAGTTATTATGAGATTTCAAAGTATTATTAACATAATCTATTTATCTCTAGATACTTTATAAATACAAATTATCTTTTGTGAAACAAGTTAAACACATATTATTAGGACTATTTTGGAGATGAGTTGTCTCTGAAGCTAAGTGGCCACACAGATTACAAAGCATTTCTATATCAAAGCAGGACTGGAATATATGATGCTTAACTCCTTCTTGAAATGTTGTCGCCTATTTACTCACGTGAGTAGGTCTTTTAAATTATTTTAATCATAGATTTTCCTCTAAACTAATACTTATTTTAAAAATTTAGGTATGCTCTAGTTCTTTCTGGAAGTGGAGACAGATTTAACACATTCTCTGGACCACTTCAGTCTATACATTTCTTCCCCGGGATTGATTATTTTATCCATGGCAAGAATGGATGTACATAATAGATCATTTCTTGATAATCTACTAGATAGTAGAACATTACATGATGTGCATACGTATTTTAGATATTCAAAATGAATCGAATTAAGCTTTATGCAGTGTTGCTGTCTCCTTATTTCAGGATAAAGTTTTTCATTACATTATCTTATTCTAATGATCATATGCTAATTTTCCCCTGATACATTTATTGTTTAGTTTCAAGTACACTGTTGTTTAAAATTCACATTCTATATTTATGTTAGATAACCATTTTTCTTGAACTTGAATGAGGTTTGTTTTGTCACTAGATTCCTAATTTTTGGTTTTGTTTTTTGTTTTTTTTTTTCCTGAGAATCAGATTCTGGTATACTAAGTCCGCCCACAAAATGGCTTCCCTGGTTTGTTTTGGGAAGAAGGAGATACTGATGTCTCTGCTAATCTCAGACCGACTGGAGTGAGCATGCACGTAGTTTCTTTATCCCTTCTCTTGTTATAGGGAAGGTGGAGTCATAAAGTTCTCACTAGCATGGTATTATGTCGTGGTGAAGCACCAGACTCTGAGCTATTCTGTGTGGTTTACGTATTTCAGCACTTCATGTTATTACTGTGTGATCTTGGGCAAATTATTCAACCAGTCTCTGCCTCCGTTTCCTTATCTGTAAAACGAGGACGATAACAGTACCTACCTCATAGGGTTGTTGTGAGGAATAAATGATGCTTAGAACAGAGTCTAGCACCTAGTAAGTGCTGGTTATCAACTATTATTGACTCTTTCCTGGAAGTCATATTTAAAGGTTTTAAATATTGGCCTGGTTTTAGCAGAAAGAATTTATTTCCTGAGTTATGGTGAGTTGGTGGTCAGGCGTTTCAAATACTGTGAAATCTGAGCTAAGTATTCGGTGGCTCACGCCTGTAATCCCAGCACTTTGGGAGGCCGAGGCAGGTGGATCACGAGGTCAGGAAATCGAGACCATCCTGGCTAACACGGTGAAACCCCGTCTCTACTGAAAATACAAAAAAATTAGACGGGCGTGATGGCAGGCGCCTGTAGTCCCAGCTACTCGGGAGGCTGAGGCAGGAGAATGGCTTGAACCCAGGAGGCGGAGCTTGCAGTGAGCCAAGATGGCGCCACTGCACTCCAGCCTGGGCGACAGAGCGAGACTGTCTCAAAAAAAAAAAAAAAAAAAAAAATTAAAGACTTTTTAGTATTACCGTTTACTCTTAGTGTTGTATATTCTACGGGTTTGGAAAATGTATAATGACACGTATCCGTTCTTATGATATTATCCAGAGTATTTTCACAGCCTTAAAAATCCTCTGTGTTCTGCCTGTGCATCCCTCACCTCCAATTTCTGGCAGCCAATTATCTTTTTACTATCTCCATAGTTTCGCCTTGTACAGAATGTCATATAGTTGGGGTCATACAGTATGTAGCCTTTTCAGATTGGCTTCTTTCACTTAGTAATATACATTTAAGGTTCCTCTGTGTCTTTTCATGGCTTGATAGCTCATAGCTTTTTAGCACTAAATAATATTTTGTTGTCTAGAGGTACCACAGTTATTTATCCATTCGTCAACCAAGAGGACATCTTGGTTGCTTCCAAGTTTTGGCAATTACGAATAAAGCTGTTATAAACATCTGTGCACAGGTTTTTGCGTGAATGTAACTTTTCAACTCTTACGTGGTAGGATGTTTCCTTTTCCTAATTTTGATATGAGGGTATATGATGTGAGGACTGGTTAATTAAAAAGTTAAGTGAGAGGGTATCTGCCTTACATTCGCTTAGGTATTATTACATGCGTGTGGGAAAAAGAGGAGGAAAGACAGCTTGAAAGTGACTGTGTTTCAACTGTGCTGAGCCAATTCTACAGAGTTCAGTAATAGGACACTGGTTCCAGAGAAAAACAGGCTGTTTCTGTTACGGGATTGGTGAGGGGGAGCCAAATCTCTCACCCACAAATAAACCTCTGGAGGGTTTTCTGCTGAGTTTAACCTCCTCCCACTCCCAGCCTTGAAATAGATTCATTAATGGTAGGTGCTGAAATTATTGCACTAAAAGTTACCTTTGACTTGAGAGCCACATGGCTCTGCAGTCTTGGATGGCAAAAACGAAGGAGAGAACTTGTGAATTCCTACCGTTATGGTGGAGTGATCAAGATTATGAATTAGATGCCTGCTGGAATTCTCCTCTTACCCTTGTCCTCACAGCTCTCTTTTTCCCCTTCTACCTTCAAATATCACTACTTATAGCCTTTCCTTTATGTTTAAGTTTGTTTCTGATTCTTCAGGTTCTTATTTCTACATCTATGAGCATATTGACTTCAGGGACTGGATCTTATTAACTGTTTTATCCTCGTTATCTGGCACATAGCGTGTTCTCAGTAAGTACTTTTCGTACTGAGACAAAGGAGACAAAATTTTACAGAGAAGTCAAAAAGACTCCAACTAGTTTTCACATTAAACTTACTTCCAACTTGTGAAGACTGTTGAATTAAACAGAAGAAATTAAAGACAAAATTCAGCTTCCATTTGGGAGGGTATATCTAAAATGCAAAGATTGGCCAGAACCAGGGAAGATGACTTGCAACAGGAAGAACTTTTATTGAAACACCACCATAGAGAAAAAGCCAAAGAAATGGTACTATTCTAAAAATAACTTGTCTTAATTCATTGGAAGAAAAGCAGAAAAATAAGGGGACCCTTATTTAGGAAACTAGCTTCATTTTGGTATTTTAATTTGGGGGCCATTCTGTCTCAGAGGCTGGAGTTCAGGAAGACACCCTCTGTTCATTCTTGTTGTTGACTTTGGTGGATTTCTCTTCCACAGTGTGAACTCTGGATGAGAGAACTTTGCCACGAGGATCTATCTCTTCAACAACTGTTTTGACAATGGTGGTTTTAGATGAATCTAAAATGCCACATATAAACTGTTTAGAATTTATCAAATTCATAAATAGGAAATAAAACATCATTTGAAACACATACAAATAAACACTGAATGCCTAACACAGCTTTTGTTTACCTTTTGTTTGATTTCCTGGGCCTCCATAGCCTTTTGATTTAGAACAGGAGCTGTAAAAGTATAGAGCGCTTATATTAATTATTCTGTTTTACTGAGGAAACTGAAAAATAATGATTTAAGGTGGGAATTCACTGCATTCTGAAATAACACTAAAAGAGTATTATCTATGCGTGATCTAGATCATAGATATTTTGTACTTGATTTCAAATCATCTTTAGTAACCTTAAAAATGAATTGTTTTCTCAATGGCGGCAATACTGACCCATCTTCTCCATCTATCAGGAGGCAGTAGGTCTCAATTTCTTTTTCCAGGTGGACCTTGATGTCAAGGAGCTGCTCATACTCGAGCTTCTGGCCCTCGGTCTCGGTTCTGACCTGGTGCAGCTGCTCCTCCAGGGCCCCGATCTGAGCCTGGATCTGTGCCAGCTGTGCACAGTAGTTACTCTCGGTCTCTGTCAAGGAGCACTCCAGGGAGTGTTTCTGTAGTTTGGTAAGACATGGTTTAATAGAAAAGGTCACGGTGTTTTAGAATAAGCCAAAGCATTTAAGAGATAATTAAGAGAATTATCCTTACATCATGCAAATAATTATATTTACCCAAAAGATTCCACTTCTTCAATATTAATTGTTGCCTTTATTAAATGTCCTACTACTTTTCTATTTGAGAATGACACAGCTGGTGCTGAATGTCCCTCAGATGCCCAGGTGTGCTAAAAAAGATGAAATTGTCTCTTCATAGGGCACAGACTGAAAGATCCCTCCCCTGCACCAATATAGCCTGTGCTTGTAGAGTGTGGCACAATTTGCTACTTTACCCACAACTAGAAGTCCGCCTATACTTTGCTACTCATTTCTAGCCATGTGACAGTCTTGTCTTATGAGGATTGTAGCTCTTCTATTAAAAAGTCATCCTGCAGTAAACCGCATAAACGTTCCATGAGTAGAATAAACCACAGAAAATAATTACCTTCTTAGACTTTAAATACAGTAGTTCAATTCATTGGCTTGTGAATCTGAATGGGTTTACAGATATACTCAGAGGGAACACTCACTGCAATTTTACATGGAATGAAGATGAGAGTGTCTTATCCTTTCACCTGCAAGTATTTTTTATATAAAGTCTTGATTTTATATACATTCATAGCCTCATCTGTGGATAAACTCTGGTGGTTTACTAGCCATAGTGGGAAAAGTATAGACTTGGGAGTTAGAAAATTTGGAGAGAACTTCTGGATTCCTTCATACCCAACTGTGGGACTGTGGGAATTGCTTAACTTCTTCGAATCTCAGAGTCCTCTTTTGGAAATAATGACATGAGTTATAACGTCTGCCCTGCCCATGCCCCGGGGTTGTTGTGGACTCACATGTGGGCGGAAGTGCTGGGCAAACCCTTAATGAAAGCAGTTATGATTATCATTACACATGTTTAGTTTTATAGTCAGCCTTCATGCCTCGACTTTTCCTCTGTCTATGCCACTTACAAAGGAACTTGTAAGTGCTCTTAATTGAGTGGCCAAAAGGAATGCTAGATGAAGCTAGGAGTGGTGCAAATGTATTTTTGCTCTCTTTAAGCAGTAGGATTTTTTTTCTTTTTTTTTAAATGGACACATAAGAATTGTATATATTTATGGGGTTCCATAATTATATTTCAAAACACACAATGTGTAGTGATAGAATCAGGGCAGTTAGCATATCCATGGTCCCAAACATTTATCTTTTTTGTGTGTGTTGGGAACATTCAAAATCCTCTCCTTGAACTATTAGAAATTATAGAATAAATTATTCTTAACTGTAGTCATTCTACAGTACTATAGAACACTTGAACTGATTCTCCCTATTTCTCTGTAATTTTGTATCCTTTAACCAACCTCTTCCTATCCCCCCATCCCCTTCCCAGGCTCTAGTAAGCACTTATCCCACTCTCTACTTCTGAGATCAACTTTTTTAGCCTCCACATATGAGTGGTTTTTGATATTTTGACTTATGATAGAAGATTCAAAGTCAAAACGATTTTCTTTTTCCAGTATCTTGACTGTATTTGCTAATTTCTAATATTTCATAATTATTGGCATCCAGCTATACTTTGTAGGCAAAGAGGATTGTCATGTGCAAAATGCAAATATGTCTTATGTCAAGCACTGTAATTAATGGTTAAAAACTAAAATATGTAATTATGTTGGAAGAAAATTCTCTTCGATTATTTTTTTCTCAATTTCTAAAGCAAATCTGTTTTGTAACTTTTCGCTTACCGTTGCTAAGAGGGACTGAAGTTCAATCTCAAGGGTTTGAAGAGTGCGTTTCATCTCGATAAGCTCATTCCGGGCTGAGGTGGTGGCGCCAGCGTCGTCAGAGATCTGCTGCTGCAGCGAGGCGCTCTGGAACGGCAGGGGCCGCGTTAGGGCGCTGGGGCTGAGTCCGCGCCCGGGCGCACCCAAGCGTGGTTTTACCTTTTCGTTGAACCAGGCCTCCGCGTCCCTGCGGTTCTGCTCTGCGAGGGCTTCGTACTCAGCTCGCATATTGTTCAGCAGAACCGTGAGGTCTACCCCGGGGGCCGCGTTCATCTCCACGTTCACGTTGCCTCCAGCCGCGCACTGAAGAGCTTTCATTTCCTGAAAGATATTTGTTTAACGGAATTAGGATCTGAATATTTTATTTATTGCACTTTTTGAGTTAGGGTCTCGCTCTGATGCCTAGGCTGAAATGCAGTGGTGCAATTATGACTCACTGCAGCCTCGAAATCCTGGCCTCAAGCGATCCTCCATTCTGGGTCTCCTACAGTGTTGGGATTATAGGCATGAGCCACCGCTTCTGGCCTGAATATTTTTAAAGGAGTCAGATGGACAAGATCTATAGGGTTAGAAACTTTTTGGGAGGTTTGTTTCTTTTGAGAAGAATGAATAGAAGCGTCTCAAACAATCTAAGCCTTATGGAGAAACTGACAGGTTCCTTCTTGAATGTTAATTTAAGACATTATATTTATCATCTGAAATTAGTTTTAAAATTTGGTAGGGAGGCGATTGTGAGAGCCAGCCGGGTGGAGCTTCTACCTCCTCATGATTCTTCTTGAGGTAAGCGAGCTCCTCACTGAGAGTTTCCAGCTGGATCTCCAGGTCCGTTCTGCACAAGGTCAGCTCATCCAGGACTCTTCGCAAACCATTGATGTCCGCCTCCACGCTCTGGTGAAGCGCTAGCTCGTTTTCAAACCTTAGAAAAGTATTTGGAAGTTTCATCATTAGTCATTAGACATGGCACATCACTTTTTAGATCATCATACAACTCAGACTAAGCTTTGAGGTAAAACTACTAAGATAATACTTAAAACTTCAGGCCGGGCGCGGTGGCTCACGCCTGTAATCCCAGCACTTTGGGAGGCAGAGGCGGGCGGATCACGAGGTCAGGAGATCGAGATCACGGTGAAACCCCGTCTCTATTAAAAAATACAAAAAATTAGCCGGGCGCAGTGGTGGGCGCCTGTAGTCCCAGCTACTCGGGAGGCTGAGGCGGGAGAATGGCGTGAACCTAGGAGGCGGAGCTTGCAGTGAGCCGAGATTGCGCCACTGCACTCCAGCCTGGGCGACAGAGCGAGACTCCGTCTCCAAAAAATAAATAAATAAATAAATAAATTAATTAATTAAAAAAACACATTTCAGTTAGGTCATCTATCATGCAATAAATACATTTCATTGAAGCAAGAGAATGGGAATAGCCAAAATTCTTTCTCATATGACTTTGACACTCGTTTTTGTTAGTCCCGAAATTTCCCAAGTAAAATTTGTTGCTCAGCTAGTTACTCATTCTAACAGGCATTTTGTTTAAAACAAATACATGAATAAACAAGAACAAAGGCTTGAGACAACGTCAAATAACTTAGAAGAATAAAGGAGAAAAAATGCTTAGACAACTTTTTTTTCCCATTTATCTTCAGCTCTACTTACTTTAGTCTGAAGTCATCAGCTGTTAGTCTTGCATTATCATTTTGCAGGACAACATGGGCATTACTGGTAGTTGCAGAAATTATCTGACAAATGAAAAGTTAGTTAAGATTGAGGAAATATTTAAGATGCATTTCAAAGTTCCTTGAAATAAAATTACCCATGAAATTATAGTAATATTTCTGGCATCTGTCTCTAATAATCAGACCATTCTTTTGAAGATGGGTAATTTAAGTATGGTCTCTCTCTCTGTCTTTTATTTTGAGACCGAGTCTCGCTCTGTTGCCCAGGCTGGAGTGCAGTGGCACGATCTTGGCTCACTGCAACCTCCACCTCCCAGATTCAAGTGATTCTCCTGCCTCAGCCTCCCAAGTAGCTGGGATTACAGGCATGTGCCACCACGCTCGGCTAACTTTTGTAGTTTTAGTAGAAACAGGGTTTCACCATGTTGGCCAGGCTGGTCTTGAACCCCTAATCTCAAGTGATCCACCTGCCTTGGCCTCCCAAAGTGCTGGGATTACAGGCTGAACCACTGTGCCTGGCTGGGTATGGTCTCTTGTATTTCCCACCCCAAGCATTAAAAAAAGCTCTTTCTATGGGAAAGCCTATAAATATATAACTGGAGACACTGGACAGCTTTTGATATTTTAATATTACCAAAAGCATATACCTAATACTACATGATGGACGTGCCATGTTCAAATATTAGAATTTATTAGAAATTATTTTTAATATTGAAAATGAACTCCTAAAATTTAGAAGCTGAGGGCAAAGCCCTGTTATTGTGATAGCTTATACATTTGTGCATCTGTGAGTGGCTAAACACTCTCAGGAGTGCTAACACTCACGCCATGGCGTTTCTTACCTGGTTCTTAAGTTCGTCAATAATTGGGAAATATCTGCTGTAATCATGATCAAGGCCACGGCAAGAACCAGGTCCAAATTTCTCATACCACCCCTTGATCTTCTGCTCCAAGTCAGCGTTGGCCTCCTCTAGGGCTCGAACATTCTCCAGGTAGGAGGCCAAGCGGTCGTTGAGGTTCTGCATGGTCACCTTCTCATTGCCAGAGAGGAGGCCGTGCTCATTCCCTGTGAAGGCAGCACAGGAAGCACTTCCCCCGCCCAGACCTCCGCCATAGCCTCCTGCAGATGAGCTGCCCCCAAAAGCACAAGAGAAGCCACTTCCAATGCCTGGCACACCGCATGTGTTTCCAGCCCCAAAGCCTGCTCCCCCACTAGAGAGCCTCACAGAGCCAGTGCCCCCGCAAGAGCCAAGTCTCCTGGAGGTAGAAGAAAAGCGCACAGACATGGTGTCCGGAGGCTGGAGCCTTTGTTTCTGCGGTGATGCTCTGATGGTGAACGGCCTACTCAAACAGCTTGGTTTGCCTTTATATACACATTATTAGGGTGTTTCTTGATGAGCTTTGCTCATAGCCAAATGATGTTTGCCAGCTCATTGTGAATTATCCATAATGGGGTGATTTTTTTTTTTTTTTAATGAATGGCTTTACCATACTGTGTCCATTTCTGTAGGTGGATAGTTATTGTGGGGTTATTTGTTATCTCTGGAGTTGGACAGGGTGGAGTATTATCAGGATTATTATAGTGATGCATTTCAAATTTAGTATGAGTAACTCTTCCTGTCTTCCAGGCTTCAGGAATGCATAATACCTATAAGAATAAAAAAGTATGATAGACAGATTTCTCTTTCCCTTGCTCAAATCAGCATTGCATTTTCTTCAGCAATGAAGTATCATAGTATCAGAAGAAGGAGGGGAGGTCCTAAAGGAAAACTGAGGCATTAAAGGGAATCTTCTTTGGAGACAGAAAGTGTTCCTTTGATCCTTATCCTTCCTGAATTACCATTTCATCTGTACTGGTTTTCTGTCTAAGTTCCATTGCTAACCAGGTTAAGTAAAGGAATTGGTCACCTCCTCGGGCCTCAGTTTCCACATCTGTAAAGTGAAGGGTCTAGACTGTGGTCTCTATATTCACTTTCTGTCTGTAGATTGCTCATATTTCTGCATTCCTTCTATTGGCTGTCCATTTCCATAGCACTTTTCTGCATTGCTTCTTGTACTTTTCACCTCTTATTTCTGAATTGTGGTCCCACTATTTTACTGAAATTAACCTCTCAGACATCACTGCACATCTCTAATCATCATTTCTTTTATTTTTTCCCCTATACCCTCTTGGTTACATTCAATACTGACAACCTCAGTCTGATGAGTCTGATCGAGTTTCAGACAGTTGCTTTCTAAGAAATTTTCTACATCTCATGTTGCTCCCCTTTTCTCTTCCACTTATAGCTCCTGTGCCCTACCTTTGTCATTTCTTATAGTTTTGTGCTTGGTATTTACGACTCTCTCTCTTTTTTTTTTTTTTTTGACAGGGTCTCGTTTTGTCACCCAGGCCAGAGTGCAGTGACATGATCACAGCTCACTGCAGCCTCAACCTCCCAGGCTCAAGTGATCCTCCCACCTCAGCCTACCAAATATCTGGGACTACAGGCACACGCCACTATGCCTGGCTAATCTGTGTATTTTTTTGTAGAGTTGGGGTTTGCCATGTTGTCCAGGCTGGTCTTGAATGCCTGGGCTCGACAGATCCTCCCACCTTGGCCTCCCAAAGTGCTGGGATTATAGGCAGGAGCCACCTCACTGTCTTAATGTAAATTTTCCCGCACTGACTTGTCCGTTCTGTTTTACTACTTCCCTCTTTCCCATCTCTTTGCCTTTGTTCATGTTATTCTTTCCACCTGGTTTTCTTCTTCAGACTAAAAATTATAACAAATCATTTGAGATCTTGCATTTGCCAAGAATGATTGACATCACTTTCAATTACCTAGATTGAAAATGAAGTTGGCAAAAATATAAATTTTCATGACTTAATAAATGAGCTTGCGGAAAAAAAGCCAGAAAGATTTGTCAATCAATTTAATACATTATTAAAGTATTATGGTTTATTGTTTTACATAAAATTAGGACACCAAAACATTATTTCTTTGCTGTTTGTAGTTTATGCTGTTATATATGTGTACCCGTTACCTCATTACATGTTATAAATAATAAGACTTTTTAGAAGAAAAAGATTTATATTTTACTATTTCTTTTTTTTTTTTTTTGAGATGGAGTCTCGCTCTGTCGCCCAGGCTGGAGTGCAGTGGTGCCATCTCGGCTCACTGCAACCTCTGCCTCCCGAGTTCAAGTGATTCTCCTGCCTCAGCCTCCCAAGTAGGTGGGATTACAGGTGCCTGCCACCATGCCCGGCTAATTTTTGTATTTTTAGTAAAGACGGGGTTTCACCATGTTGGCCAGGCTGGTCTCAAACTCCTGACCTCAGACCACCCACCTTGGTCTCCCAAAGTGTTGGGATTATAGACTTGAGCCACCGCGCTGGACCTATTTTAATATTTCTAACTGAACTTTTTTTCTGACTTTTCAACAGGAGACCTCACATTTTCATTTTGCACTGGGCCTTGTAAATTATGTAGCCAGCCCGAATTGTTGGGTCTCTCTGAGGAAGCTGAAGAATCTCAGAGAAAATACCTCCAGATAGAATTGTTTGAGTGTTCTCCACAAAAAGGGAGCTCACTGTACAACCACTCTGGAAGGAAACACAGACACTTCACACAAAGCTTTCAAATGTTTAAGGTCTTACTCAAAACGAACATAATTTAAAATATCACGATACATTGAAAAACACTCCAACAAGAAAGACAGAGACTCAAACAAACAAAAAATAGCACTCAGGGGAAACAGAGATAATGAAGAACGTTGAAGAAAACTTTAAAAAAGAAACTACCTATAATTATTACTTTCAGAAGTAACAAAAATACTGTATATTTAAAACATGGATAGAACATCATTAAAATTGAACAGGAAGCACATAAAAGACCTCTTAGAATTAAAAACTAAGTCCCAAAAGAAAACTTCAATAGATGAATTGGAAAATAAATTTAAAAAAAAACTCCCCAAAATTAGAACAAAAAGATGAAAAGATAAATATGTGAGCCTTGAAAGAGCCAGTCTCTCTCTCTCTCTGTTTTTTTTTTTGAGACTGAGTCTTGCTCTGTCACCCAGGCTCGAGTGCACTGGCGCGATCTTGGCTCACTGCAACCTCCACCTCCCAGGTTCAGGTAATTCTCCTGCCTCAGCCTCCCAAGTAGCTGGGATTACAAGCACATGCCACCATGCCTGGCTAATTTTTGTATTTTTAGCAGAGATGGGGTTTCACCATGTTGGCCAGATTGGTCTCGAATGCCTGACCTCAAGAGATCCGCCAGCCTCGGCCTCCCAAAGTGCTGGGATTACAGGTGTGAGCCACCGTGCCTGGCGTAAAGAACCAGCCTCTTAAGATGAGTCCTGAGCAGCTAACTGGGCCTAAATTCAAATTAAAACCAAGCAACCATTTGCTGACTACAGGTCACATATTTACTCTGAGTTCCCAGAAAATGTGCACATCTGCTTAACTTTGGGACTTTCATAGCTTCCAGTTTATGCCACCTGAACCAAACAATAGGCTGTAACCTACATGGATCAATCAGAAGTCTGCATGCCCTGACTAATAAGAGCTAACTAAGCAAACATCAACCAACCAGAACTAAGTAAATTTCAATCCTGCATTTTGCATAAGCAGACCTAAGTGGGAACCTGGGTGGGAACTTTCTCTAAAAGACAAATTCCCTTCCTTTGTTCTCTGGAACACATTTTCATTTTACACCAAAGGCTGTGTCTCACCAGCTTGCTAGCTGTTTGCTGGAATGAAGTCTCTGTCCTTGAATTTCCTTCTCAGAGAACTTGTTTACAGATAAAAGAAAATATTAGAAAATGAGAGACTTGGGCCGGGCGCGGTGGCTCACTCCTGTAATCCCAGCACTTTGGGAGGCCGAGGTGGGCGGATCACGAGGTCAGGAGATCGAGACCATCCTGGCTAACACGGTGAAACCCTGTCTCTACTAAAAATACAAAAATATTAGCCGGCGGTGGTGGCGGGCGCCTGTAGTTCCAGCGGCTGAGGTAGGAGAATGGCGTGAACCCGGGAGGCGGAGCTTGCAGTGAGCCGAGATCGCGCCACTGCACCCCAGCCTGGGCGACAGAGTAACACTCCATCTCAGAAAAAAAAAAAAAAAAAAAAAAAAAAAAAAAAAGAAAAAGAAAATGAGAGACTTGGTCAAAGAAGAACAACATCAAGTAGGTCTTCTGGAAAGAGAGAAGGGAGAAATCATGAAGAAATTATTTTATAAACATATTTTCTGAAATACTACTCAGAACTAAACAACTGAGCTTCTAAATTCAAAGAGACCACCAAGAACCATGAATGATAAATGAAAAACATCCACAGTGAGGCACATCCACAGGATCTTTCAGAGAACCATGGCTGGGGGCGGGGGCGACAAACAAACACTTAAAATGTCAGGAGCAAAACCAACACATATTCAATTTTAGGAAAGCCATCATTCTAGTGAAGAATGCTTTCAAAATACGAACCCAGGCCAGGCGCAGTGGCTCACGCCTGTAATCCCAGCACTCTGGGAGGCCGAGGGAGGTGGATCACTTGAGATCAGGAGTTCAAGACCAGCCTGGCCAACATGGTGAAACCCCGTCTCTACTAAAAATACAAAAATTAGCTGGGCCATGGTGGTATGTGCCTGTAATCCCAGCTATTTGGGAGGCTGAGGCAAGAGAATTGCTCGAACCCATGAGGCGGAGGTTGCAGTGAGCTGTGATCACACCACTGTACTCCAGCCTGGTTGACAGAGCGAGATGCTGTCTCTTAAAAAAAAAAAAAAAGTGAACGCAAAATGATATCCAACCTTTTATTTCTAATCCTTTCCTAAGGTTTGTCACCTCATTTCTAAGTTTTTTTCTAATTGTGACTTATGTAGAGAACCAAAATTCTCTACTTTAACAACCACAAGTGAGGGTGGAATAAAAATCTTTTCCGACATGAAAGGTCTCAAAAAAATTATCTCTTTTGCACATTTTGTCAGGAAGCCACTAGAGAGAAAAACATGAAAAAGGAAAACTTAGGTTCCTGGAAATGGAGTTCCAATGTGAGCGCACTGAGTGAGTGTTCCCACATGACAGCTGGGTAGCAGGCTTAAAAAACAGCCAATGTTGCATAGGAGGACAGGAGATTCTGAAAGTGAGCACTTCAGGGGGATAGATGAAAATGATTTCTTGGTAGTTTTAATTGCATAAGAAAGTGGCATGAGAGATAAAGATACGGAGAAAACAGGGGTTAAACTACTTAGAAAATCGTTCTAACTTTAAACTAAGGGTCCTCCATGAATTCAGAAGGGAACGGAACGGCCTAGATCCTGTGAATTCTCAAAACTGACCAGCCATGGTTCCCTCCTGGGAGAGCAACCCACGACAAGGAGAAACTGCTAGGGGAAGAATCAAAATTATTCAGGAGAGGGTCACAGAGAGGAAGGAAACAGAAGGTCTAGATACAAGTGGAGGAGGGAAAAAAAGACAGGAAATTTCAGAAATCAAGCCAATGTATTTTTGAATCCTAGATAAAAACAAGAGAAAAGGGAGCTCTGTGAAGTTAGTAAAGCTATTTGGAATTATACTTTATTATTATTATTTTTTGAGACGGAGTCTCACTCTATTGCCCAGGCTGGAGTGCAGTGGCACGATCTTGGCTCACTGCAACTTCTGCCTCCCAGGTTCAAGTCATTCTCCTGCCTCAGTCTCCTGAGTAGCTGGGATTAGAGGCGTGCACCACCACGCCCAGCTACTTTTGTATTTTTAATGGAGAAGGGAGTTCACCATGTTGGCCAGGCTGGTCTCGAACTCCTGACCTCAAATGACCCACCTGCTTCGGCCTTCCAAAGTGTTGGGACTACAGGCGTGAGCCACCACGCCCGGCCTGGAATGATACTTCAGTCTAGAAGTTAAGGAACATGAATTGGCAATAAAACCAAGCAAAAGAAAAGGATTGAAGTAAAATCCCGGGAAATGTTAATACAAGATAATAAGGATGAGGAGCAGCATAGTGTCCCTATAGAAAATGAAAGCATACCGGAAAGACATGCCTACAAAACTGAGTAAGATACAACCCACCATTTCAAAGTGACTTAAAATCGCTAAAATGATAAAAGAAAAAAAAATTCCCATAAACCAGAATTAGAAAAAAACTTAGAAATGAGGTGACAAACCTTAGGAAATGATTAGAAATAAAAGGACAAAAACCTAATTAAACTAAGATACAATCACAGAAAATGAGAAATTTAGGGGAAATCAGTCACCAGAAGAAAGACATATTCTGGAAATAATCTTAAATAAAATATTAGCAAATACAATTCATTAATATATTAAATAGCAGAAAATATCCCAAGGAAGTTTTTCACCAGAAATGACAATGACTCAATATGATATGTAGCAGATAAAAGTGTCCTATGACAGAAACCATATGATCACCTTAAAAGTACTAGAAGAAAATGTGGGTCCCAGCAGTTGTAAAACTCAGAACCTATGATGGAAATTTTTATAAATATGACAATGAATTATACATTCCTATATGATGACAAAAATCGAAAGAAAAATAGAAATGTCAAAACATTTGCTACACCCAGTAACAAGTGGCAATTTATTTCCCTTGCAAAAAGCTCCCATAAATCTTGGGTTTTTGTTAAAAGAAGGAATAGCAGCGTGTAGTTTTTGCTTTAACAACCACTCGAGTACAGTGGTTGCATTCCTTTTTCTCCAGATGGAGACTGATTTTTGGGAAGTACTTTCAGTGTAGTAACCCAATTCAGCAAAAAGCAGGATGAAGCTTCAAGGATTGGAGAAGAACAGGCAATCATTAGCAGAATGTGTAAAGAACTCAGGAGCCCTAGAATTCCGCCCAGCAAAGGAAAATCAGTGAACCGAAGGCCATAGTCTGTTTTTATAAGCCAAGGAAGGAAGGACAGATTTAAGACCCAAAAGCCTGAGGACAAGATGTTTCCTCCCATCCTGTGGACTCAACAGAACTTAAAGGAAACTTATCCAGAATTTAATTTTACTCCCATTCCTTTGCTGAATAGATACACAGTTAATTCTGGTTTATTTGTTTCAGCAAGAAATGGTGAATTTATAGTTATCTTTTCAAGTCAACTGTCCCCTCACCACAAAGTGTAGTGTGCACTTTCTGTGCTGTAATGGGCCTTGCCTTGGAAAGCAGGCCACCATGAAGACAGTTAAAAAAAAATCAGTGTGTCATGAGCATACCTGATAAGCAGGTCTGGCATCACAGGCATAAAGCCTGTGTGTGCAGCTGCACAAGGTCTCATGTTCAGAAAGGCCCCACATTTGGATTAATGCTCTCCCGTTACTGTCTTGAAAATCTTAGTTTCAAGATGGTAACAGAACTTTATCTTTTAACCTGTCTCTTGTTAGTGAATTCTGTTGGGACCATGGGGGCATACAAGTGAGCATAGAAGTATGCCAGATATGTTTGCCTGCAGGTGCTCCTTACTGTCTCAGGGGCATATGCCCATGTGCCCAACATTCTGGTGGATCCACAAGGTGCAGGAGTCTAACAAAACCCAAAGCAAGTACAAGGTAAGTATATTGTGTCTTTGACTGAGTAATCCCAATCTCTGTCAAACCCAAGAAGCCAGGCTTTCCATTCAAACCAGAACTTGCTCTCTGAGTATAAAAAGAAGACATTGGTCTTCTAAAAAATATGAATGACCAAGGAACCCTATCATATACTTTTTTTTTTTTGAAACAGAGTCTTGCTCTGTCACCCAGGCTGGAGTGCAGTGGTGCCATCTTGGCTCATTGCAACTGCCACCTCCCGGGTTCAAGTGATTCTCGTGCCTCAGCCTCCTGAGTAGCTGGGATTACATGGGTGTGCCACCACGCCCAGCTAATTTTTGTATTTTTAGTAGAGATGGGGTTTCTTCCTGTTGGCCAGGCTGGTCTCGAACTCCTGACCTCAGGTGATCCAACCGCCTTGGACTCCCAAAGTGTTGGGATTACAAGAATGAGCCACTGCGCCCAGCCTATCATATAGTTTTTTCTGCTGCTTTCCTGCTTGCCTGTGTTGCCAACTGCATAAGTGGAAAATGATGACATAGAAAGATCAAACAATCCATAGTTCCTTTTCCTTTCAGTCTTTTTACTCATTGGTAAACCAAAGGTAGAGAATGCTGGTAGAAGGTGGGTATATACAGAAGTGAAATAAAAACAATTGAGTTTGTTTTGTGCAGTGTTTCCACTGTTTTGGTAGGAACAAAATACATATGCATGTATGAGCTACAAATTATGAATTGTGTGATTTTGGGGATTCTGTATACAAGTTAAATGTTCTTTTGCTTGGATTTCAAACTGGCATGGCACAATATAAAAACTCATAGTAACATGTATGCCAATAATTTAGAACTTTAATTTTTCATTATGATATGGTTTGGCTCTGTACCTCCACCCAAATCTCACCTTGAATTGTAATCCCCATGTGTTGAGACAGGGAAGTGATTGGATTATGGGGGTGGTTTCCCCCTGGTGTTCTCTGAGATAGTGTGAATTCTCACGAGATCTGATGGTTTTATAAATGGTAGTTTTTTCTGTGCCCTCACACACTCTCCCTTTCCCGCCACTATGTGAAGAAGGTCTTTGCTTCCCTTCACCTTCTGCCATGACTACAAGTTTACTGAGGCCTCCCCAGCCATATGGAACTATGAGTCAATTAAACCTCTTCTTTATAAATTACCCAGTCTCAGGTAGTTTCTTTATAGCAGTGTGAGAATGGACTAATACACTTTACTTAGAACAAAACTAAATAGCAAAAAAAAAAAAAAAAAAAAAGAAAAGAAAAAAAAAGAAAGGAAACAAAACAGCAACAACAACAACAACAACAGAAAACCCCAAATCAAAACAACAAAATCCAGGACAAATTGAAAACATAAATGCAGATGCAAGGAAACAGCTTGATATTTTAGTGCCTTTGGGTGATACATTTTTCCTGATTGTTGAACAAGGAATCCTATGTTTTCATTTGGCGCTAGGTCCTGAAAATTATGTAGCTGGCCCTGAATATTGTACATTTGGAAATCATTTCTCTGTGGATTTCTAGTATTTGCTTCATTTGATGGCTTTTGGCTGAAGATTTTGTAAATATCTCATTCTTTGCCACTTCTCTGAATCCCATGTGACTGGAGGATTGTGAGACAGAATTCCTTCTCTTGCTGGAGATTTTCACTGGAATCAGGCCATATACCAGAGAAATAAAGGAGCTGCTTTCCTTTTAGGCAATTTAATATTTGTTGGGAATTCCTACCATACATTTTGATCCAGAAAGGTATAAATAGTCATAATCACAAGAATCATGATGTTCATCAGCCTCATGGGGCTTCACATTCGAGAACAGGTGTTGGTGGGTTAAATTTGGCCTGCTATGTGTTTTTGTACAGACTGTGAGCTAGGAATGGTTTTACATTTTTAAATGGTCAAAAAAAGTTAAAAGAAGAAGAATATTCCACGACAGGTAAAAATATTTACAATTCAAATTTCAGCATTAATAAATTAAGTTTTATTGGAACACAGTCATGTTCATTCATTCATCTATTGTCTACGGCTGAGGTTTGTAGTTGAAATAGAGACTTTACGGCCTGCCATGCCTAAAATATTTACTATCTGGGTCTTCACAAAAAAAGCTTCTGACCCCTGTTCTAGGAAAAGTGTCACTAACACAAGCCATATTGCTGTGGATTTTTCCGGAGATTATCCTGTTTAGACGAGGAATGGTATCCTGGGTATTGTGGAAAGAAGAGTTTGAGAGAGGCTCTTGGTAAAATACCAGGAATGCGTCATCTAGTGGTGAGACTTTTCAGTCACAGGAGAATTTCTGAAGTTTTTGATTATTTGCCCACATAGACACGATGTGATTTAAAGATTATGCATAGTGAATGTTTCATATTCAAATGCCATGTGGCGGTATTGACTATTATTTAAAACAACAGTGAAAGGCAATTAAAATATATTCCACAAGTGTTTCTCTATGAATGAGACATAGAAAAAAATCACAAATAGTTATTTATTAGTCATCAGTGAATGGAAATGAATGCACATCAACTTTTTTATTTATTGGAAACAAACACTCAATATCCTGTAAAACTAAGAAAACAGGTATTTTTGCTAAGTAATGTATCTTTAAAAGTAAAAAGTGTGTATATTCTCTCTGATATTTAGAATAATGCAATTGTACAGGATCCTTTCCCAAATTATTCTTTTCTCTAAAATGACAGCTAGAAAGGAACCCTTTGTTCTGTCTTGCCGTTGGTCATTTTAGATGTCTTTTCTTCAATGGAGTGAATCCTTGATGAAAGAACTTTACCACGTTGATCTAGCTCTTCAACCACTGTCTTTACCAGTGTGGTTTTGGATAAATCTAGAAATAAAACATAGGCATACATATATTCAACCAAAAAGATTACATGACAATTCCACTGCTAGTTCAATATAATATATTATGCATATTTTTGATTGAGGGAGTAAGTATATATTTATAATAATAGCTTGGGATAGTTTTAGCCACTTGATACTTCCTATTCAGAACAGTTTAGCTAAAACTACTTAAATATTGACTACGGTTGTAGTGTATGACTGCCATTAATGTAAAAGTATTGCTGTGATAGAAATAGAACTAGAGGGCTCATGCTTGTGATCCTAGCACTTTGGGAGGCCGAGGTGGGCAGATCACCTGAGGTCAGGAGTTTGAGACCAGCCTGGCCAACATGGTGAAACTCCGTCTCTATTAAAAATATAAAAACTAGCTGGGCATGGTGGTGGGTGCCTGTAATCCCAGCTACTCAAGAGGCTGGGGCAGGAGAATCACTTGAACCCAGGAGGTGGAGGTTGCAGTGAGCCGAGATAGCACCATTGCATTCCAGCCTGGGCAACAGAGCGAGACTCTGTCTCAAAAAAATTTAAAAAAAGAAAAGAAAAGAAAAGAAATAGAACTAGATTTTATTACCTTTAGATGAATTCCCAGGGCTTCCTGATCCAAAGCCCTTTGATTTGGAGCATGAACTGTAAAAGAAATATAGTTTATTCTTTTATATTTCTGCTTACTATCGCTTCAGAAATATTCATTGACTCAATGAATGAAATTTGTATGCCAAAAACAGGTCTTAGTTTTCTATAGAGGAAACTCTTAAGATTTTTATGTGTAGGAGCTGAAAGTAATTAAATGTTATCTAAAGAGAGAATATAAATAAATCTTGTTTCCATTTGATTTTTTTTTTTACACCCAAGAATTTAAAACTTAAGGACATACATATATATATGGATCCAGGTGGTTTGTACAGAGTACATTTATTTCAGGGCAGCAGTGAAATTAGGTATGCACTGAAAGAAGGATAAAGCCTGCTTGTGGGAGGTGGAGAGAATCTTGAAACCCACAGTGATTAACATGGACAACAGATGGGAATGGCTGCAGGAACATTTCCAGTCATCTAATGCAGAGGAGAACACTGTGATGAACAGGATTTGGAAGAGATGACTCTCTTCCAAAAAAACAAGAGATGGACATGCTTTTCTGCAGTGGGAATGAAAAAGAAAAGGCTTGGAAGTATGGAAGGCTAATGGGCAGCCCACATTTGTAGCTTAAAAGAGGTAAAAACTGGATTTTCAAATGGCTTTACTTACTTTCCATCTCCATCTATCAGGCGGCAGTAGGTCTCAATTTCTTTTTCCAAGTGGACCTTGACATCGAGGAGATGCTCATACTCCAGCTTCTGGCCCTCGGTCTCGGTTCTGACCTGGTGCAGCTGCTCCTCCAGGGCCCCGATCTGAGCCTGGATCTGCGCCAGCTGCGTACAGTAGTTGCTCTCGGTCTCTGTCAAGGAGCACTCCAGGGAGTGTTTCTGAGGACATCAAAGAAGCCGTGGCAAGGGATGAAAACACTCTGAGGACTAGTAGAACATTGTTTCTCAGTAATCAGCAGGATTGCTCCCTGGGCAATTGTGGAAATTTGTGAGGCTTGTCACAATCAAATGGGAAAGAAAGGAGGCTGGCATTTATGAAGTGAGGGCCAGGCATGATGGACGTGGGATCCTGACCCGGGATAAATGGCCCTTTTCCCACAAGACTTTTGATGTTCCACTGGACATTGATGATATATAGGTCATATTTCTATTAAAACCAACTGATATATTAAAGCACCTTTTAAGGGTAGCAGAATAAAAAATCGATATGGGAAAACTTGTATTTTGAAATTATATATTTATTTCAGGGTTACCTGTTGTTTCCATCTTACTCTGCTACTGTCCCCGCAGATCCACTCCGCTAGTGTTCCATGGCCTTTTGTGCTACTGCTTTTTTTTTCTCTAATCCATCCTTGATTTTCTAGCCTCTATCAAAGGTCTTTTATTAAGGTACCTGAGATTGAATGAGTGCCTTAACAGATGTGAGATTTCAAGGCAAGAGCTATATCTCATAACACAATACAGGTCATTATTTCGACACTACTCTTATGAATATCATACTTCCTCTTTGCTACTTCTACAGTCTGTAATTTGTCTTGGCACCTGCTGCCTCCTTTAATTAAGGTAATTTTCCTCTTTCCCTTATTATAGATAAATATGTCTGGGCAATTATTACTTCTGTTGATATTAGTTATTATCCAAGTGTCCACCCCAACTTCCACTCTTTCATTTTCCTTTTCTTGTGTGGAGGAACTTCTGATCTTACATGGTTGAAAATGAAAGATTTATTAAGAGAAGATGCAAGGCTCTGCCTCTTTCATTACATTTTCTAGGGTAGTTAGGCCCAAGTATTTACCTAGTAAATACATTTTATCTTAAAATACTTGCCTTTTTATTGCATTTATGGTATTATACTTTAAAAAATAATTTTGTATATTTCTAAATCTATTACCTAGTGACTTCATTCTAGCATTGCAAAGAAGGAATTACACAATATTTGTCTTAACGGGCAGACATTGGGTCTAATGGGGCTGAGAACCTAACACTGACTTAGAGCTACTGACTTAGGCAAACAGACGTGTTACATGGAGGGTGCTGGGCTCTCCAGGAGCAGGTAAGTGGAAGGAGATCAGGATGGTAATGCGGAGAGTAAGGCAACAGGTAGCAAGACGCCAGTGAGGCGTGTGCTCGGCAGCTCAAAACTTTAATTTCCCTGGTAATGCGTCCTCCTAGGGTATTCCTTTTTATGATTGCTAATACACTCATAAGTCAGAGAGGACAGCGTCTCTACTTCACAGTCTTCCACCGTGAAGGCTGGCTTGTCAAAGAGGGAGGAGAACAGGATGAACTTGAAAGTTTGTACATCACAGGAAGCAAACGTGAACATTTGTGTATTTAGACAACTCCCAACTTACAAATGACTTGTGTTCTAACTCTAGGAGATTGAGCTTAGAATTCATAAGACAACAGGGCCTCAGGGATGTAAGTTAGGTACTATGCTCCCATTATTCTAGAATTCAGTTATGTCCTGTGTTAAGTGGGCTTTTTATGTGTGGATTATCCTATGAGCCCAAATTATAGTACCACTGGCTGCACAGACTCTAACTACTTTATAACATCCTTGTTTCTATGTGAAAATGCTCACAATTCTGGTCTGGGGACTCGAAAATGTATTTCCATCAGCGTAGCTCAGAAATAGAGGGAGGATTCACTCACACAGCTCCTGCAGCAGGAACAGAGTCCTCAGGGATCTAGTTCAGGGAAGAAGGGAAATGGAGAAGAAAGGAAGGTTCCAGGAGCCCACAGTGGCAGGGGTGTCTCGGGTACCTGCTAGCAGCAGTGATGAGGGAGAGGAGAAGAGGGCCATCCTGGTTAAGTTAGGGGCCAGTCAGTGTAAAAACAAGTCTCCCATCTAAATCCGATATAGGGAGAAAGCACACACCTTTAGAGGGCGGCTAAATCAAAAGAATCTCCCGTTGTTTTGAGTCATCTTTTCCTTTTTGGCTCACTGCACTCACTTGGGTAACAGCTGCTCTCTTCTTTGTGTTACAACCTGGTGTCCTCAGGAGGCACGAAACCTCTTATGGGGAAGGGAGTCCTTAGGCCATGTGCATGCCGTAATTCTCAAAGTCAAGCCTTTTGGGCACTGCCAGCTCACACTCTAGAAGGGAAGCCATTTTTAATCCTGGGTTGACGCCATGCTGACCTTTGAAGTAAGCCAGGAGCTGGTGGTATGCCCAAGTGGCTGAAGGCCTGGCTCCCAGGTGTGCCCTCCGGGATTTGACCTCTGCCCTGGACTCTGTGGCGATGAAGAGCCTGACAGTGCCCATGTGGCATTCAGGTGTGTACCCTCTCTTCCTCTGCCTGGTGAAACCACATGTGGCTTCTAATATGTCTTCATCAGTATCAGGAGATGCTGGTGTGATGCTGGCTCCCTGCCCTGTGGGACACTAGCCCCACACCCCTGATCATAGACCTGTGGCTAATTTTCTGGTGCAGCAATATTGCTGCTGTTTGTTTTGCGGACCTAAGCTGAATTACCCTGAGAAAGGATCTATGTGAAATGTCTATTTTCATGAAATGAGCACTAAGCATCAGCCAGGAAGGAAACTCCCAGTGATGTCAAGGAGGAAGAAAAAGCTCTCTTTTGAGTGTCTATGCATCTGTTTTTTCCTGCTCTCCTCCACTCTCTCTGCTAAGTATTTGCAGGCAAAGGTATAATAGGAAAAAAGAAGGAAGGGCAGAGGGAAGTGTTTCTCGGAGGCTTTCTAGAATCACAGGATCCAGGCTGACCTTCGCTGTCACCTACCGTGGCCATCAGGGACTGCAGCTGGATCTCCAGGGTCTGCAGGGTGCGCCTCATCTCGGTGAGCTGGCTCCGGGCGAAAGTGGCTGCGCCTGAGTCGTGGGAGATCTGTTGCTGCAGCGAGGCGCTCTGTAGGGCCGGGAAAAAGGGTCACACGGAGTCCCCACCCCCGGGGAGGTGTGAGCAGGGAGACGGGGCCCACCTCACCTTCTCATTGAACCAGGCCTCCGCGTCCTTGCGGTTCTGCTCTGCAAGGGCTTCGTACTCCGCTCGCATGTTGTTCAACAAAACCGCGAGGTCTACCCCCGGGGCCGCGTTCATCTCCACGTTCACGTTGCCCCCAGCCGCGCACTGCAGAGCCTTCATCTCCTGGAGAGAAGCAAGAGTGTGGCTTTAGGGGCATTGCAGGTTCACACTCAGTCTGAGAAGTTCTCAAACGTGTTACTTTATGTCTCAAAGTTTGCGGTCAGGTGTATAATTTATGGCACACAATTTTTTAATTGACATATTCGGTCCATATTCATGCCAATCATCTATTTAATTAGTGAACTGTTGACCGGGCGAGGTGGCTCACTCCTGTAATCCCAGCACTTTGGGAGGCTGAGGCGGGCGGATCACTTGAAGCCAAGAGTTCCAGACCAGCCTGGCCAACATGGCGAAAACCCATCTCTACTAAAAATACAAAAATTAGCCAGGCTTGGTGGTGTGCGCCTGTAGTCCCAGCTACTCCAGAGGCTGAGGCAGGAGAATTGCTTGAACCTGGGAGGTGGAGGTTGCAGTGAGCTGAGATTGCGCCACTGCACTCCAGCCTGGCCACAGAGCGAGACTCTGTCTCAAAACAAAGCAATAGAAAACAAACAAAAAAAATTAGGGACCTGTTAATTAAAATTACCACCACCACCAAAAACAGTCATAGCACCCCAAGAGAAGTAATTTATTCTTTTAAATGAGAAAGGGATTTAAAGACCGGAGAGTTACTCAACATATAGTTACTGACTAAATGTCAGGTTGATGGGAATAGAACAGTAGAAAAAATCCTGAAATCCTGGCCCTCATAGGCATTCATCCTAGGGATGACCGCTGTCATTTATTGAGTGATTATTATAGGCCAGGCACTGTTCTGAGCGTGTGATATGTATTAATTCATTGAAGCCTTTTAACATCCCCTCGTAGTAGGTAGTATTATTAGACTAATCTGTCTGTATCCGTTGGCAAATTATAACAATGAACCTGAATTACTATTGTGATTTTAACCCCCAACCCCTGCCCAGTATTTAAAATGTACAGAGTTGTGATTGGACTACAGGTAAAGCTTCTCCTACCTCTTCGTGGTTCTTTTTGAGATATGTCATCTCCTCACTCAGAGACTCATATTGCAGCTCCTGGTCGGTCCTGCAGAGCGTCAGCTCGTCCAGGACTCGCCGTAATCCGTTGATGTCGGCCTCTACGTTTTGGTGAAGGGTGAGCTCATTTTCATACCTTGGGGGGCATTTAAGTGAATTTCAGTGCCAGTAAGACTACCCCAAGAAACAGAAATATTCAATCCCAATTGCTTTAAACTGAAAATTAGAAATTGAATTAGGACTGTAAATAGTATAAAAATATATGAAGAAAGCGCTCCTGCATTACCCCCACTCAATTCTGTACAGGATAATTGGAAGTTATTTCATCACACAAATTCCAATAGCATAACCTAGTTAAATAAAAATACACCATTTTGGAATTTTATTTTAGTTAACGTTTTTCCTTAGTTGACTAATGATTTACTGAGCATCTACTTTGTGCTTGGCAGTATTCTAGGCAGGCAGAGAAATATATTGATATTTTGTCCCAGGAATATAATAACTATGTATAAGTTGATTGTAACATTATAATACAAATCCTTTGCTTCCTTTTATCTTTTAGGTGATAGTTCATTCTACTTGGGATGAAATAGAAATTTTATTTAACAAATTAAATAAATAGAAACTTTTTTCTAGAGCAGGATTTTCTTCTGTCACTTACTTTAGCCTGAAATCATCAGCAGCCAGTCTGGCATTATCAATCTGCAGAATGACATTAGCATTAGTAGTAGTGGAGGAGATAATCTAGAATAAACCAAAACAGAGAACACAACAAGTAAGTATGCTTTTATGTGATTCATTATTTCAGGAAATGAAAAAGGTTACTCAAGTTTTTGCATAAAAATTTCACCTCCTTATGTAATAATCAAAATGTTTCAAGTTTAACTTTTAAAAATTAAAGACATGGTTTTATTTATTCTCATATATTCCCCTAAATTTAGAACTACAATACTTTTTTATTCATATGCCTATGAATGTACTTCAACATAAACAATGGAACTAATAACATTTTAACTACATTAAAATTCATGAATCAAAGGGCCCATTTTTGAATAGTAGGAAGAATTGTTTATCTAAATAAATAAATACAAGTTATAACAGTCATGAAGCATTTCTTATTGTATGTCTTTTGTTAGGTATTTCTTAGTTTTAAATACTTGGGTTAGTTCCAAATCTGTGATTTCTCACCTTATTCTTAAGATCCTCAATTGTTAGGTGATATCTGCTATAGTCATGATCAAGTCCACGGCAAGATCCAGGTCCGTATTTTTCATACCAACCCTTGATTTTTCTCTCTAATTCAGCATTTGCCTCCTCCAGAGCTCGCACATTATCCAGGTAGGATGCCAAGCGGTCATTAAGATTTTGCATGGTCACCTTCTCATTTCCAGAGAGGAGTCCCCCTTCGCTTCCAGCAAAGCCAATACAAGCAGCATTTCCAAGGGCACCACCAGCATGGCTCCCACCAGGAACACTGCCCAAGCCCCCTCCCAAGGCACAGGAAAATTCACTTCCAGCAACAGAGCCACCACATGCACTGCTGCCTGCAAAGCCTGCACCTCCATTGAGGGGTCTGACAGATCCAGCTCCAGACCTTAAGCAAACATGCCTGGATCCATTAGAAAATTGGAGAGACATGGTGTTTTGAGAAATGTTCACCTTGTCTATGCAAAACTGTAATGTCCCAAGAGAACAGAATATCATGCACTGATAATTTCTTTGGGTTTTTATATATCATTATTGGGGCGTTCCTATTTGAGTTATACATGCCAAAAGCAAAATGGCATCACTTAGATTAGCATAAAATTATGTATAATTGGGTGATTTTAAAAATAATTAATGTCTAACATCCCTCGGTGTTGCTTTGGGCTATTTCTTATCTTAAATATAATAGGGTTTGTTCTATATTAAGTTTATTAATTTAACTTCTAATTTTGAGTGAGTAATCCTTTCCTTTCATCTAGACCCTAGGCATATACTGTCATTATCTGGCGCCAGGTATTATCAAATTTTTTATAAAGTTAAGTAAGATTATGATAGAGTTCTGTGAGGTACAGTAGGGTCTCAATTACCATGGAGGGGTATAAAGGACTGCTAATTACAGAAACAGATATTTTATCCCACCAGAAAAAAATGTGTTATTTAGAAAACAGAGGCTAGTGACATCTCTGTTCTTACCATGATTATAACATCTATTTATTATCTTGGACAATGACACAAATATTGACCTATTATTTTGTTTAAAATAGCATGGTTATGATGTTTGGTGCTCTATGCTAAGTGCTAAAATGAAAGACATAGTGTTAACTAAATGCAGAAGTGAAAAATGCGTGATTACAATCTTTAAGAAATCTATTGTCAGGTCCAGACAGGGGCTGGATCATGGTTAGCTTTCTGTGCTGGTCTAAAGAGTTTGTAATGAATCCTAAGTAAAAAGCAGAGGGCAAAATGATCAGGTTGAAATGAAACAAGGTGGTCAATTACAAGGTTGGAATAATGGTCCAGGTGAGAAGGATGAAGGCAGTGGGGATGCAGAGAAGATGGCTTTGAGAGCATATGGTAATATGATTGAATTTGGAGAGTAGGGAATAAGGCAGAATTGGGGATAACTCTTAGGTAATTAATTTTAGATTCTGGGAACTCATAATATTCACTGAGATGGGGAATAGAGGAGGAGGAAGACACTGAGTTTAGGTTTGGACCAACTGGATTTGAGGGGTTGCCAGAATGTTCCAGATGAAGGTGACTGATAGCAAGAATGACTGTTTAGAATATGTATACTGAACTGGAAAAATACTTGACTAGCAATGAGTAAAAGAAAATTGGAGGGTCCAGCTCTCATTTATAATGATGTTCAACTGCATATTTGGAAGTAATCCTGGTGCAGGAATAGAAAGGATGATGATCAGATTGATGTGGGTTTTGGGATTTGAAGACAGGTCCAGAAGAAGGAAATAGTGGCAAAGAAATTTCTGGTGTTCTTGAGAAAACAATTGAGGCGATTGACTGTATGATCATATAGCAAGAAGAAAGTAAAACCAGAGGGACAGATGGACTGAAGAAAAGGGCAGAGGGTGAGTCATTGGGTATCCTTATGAGGTCATGGAGCAGGCGGAGTGTGAGGAGGAGATTGATAAAGGTGAAGGATGACAGGCTAAAATTGGATAGTGGAAACCAGAATTTAGAATTTTAAAGTAGGCACAACTCCAGGTGTCACCAAAGTCCACAGAGTAGTCATGGGAGTGGACCAACAGTCACTGGAACAAGAAGTCAGAAGTGGATTGGACCTGAAAGGCAAGAGAGTAGGAGGTCAGGAACTATCTGTCTGTGACATTAAATGTACCATCTATAAAGGCGTGAAGTTTCTCATGATGGCAGGAGACAGGAGGGAAGTGGGCTGTGAGCCATTGTCAAGGTTTTTGGATGATGAGGCAGAGGGGAGTGTATGTGGTGAGGGGCCATTGGATGGCATTTGCCTCAAAAGAGGAGTCTTAGCATAAGAATTAAGTGGCACAAAGCTAGATGTGGCATTGGGGATCTAGAGAACACAGACTCTGCCTTGAAGTCCTTATGTTAGGTGTGTGGAAGTGGGAGCAGAAGAGGAGATGGAAGTGAAGAAGGAGGATGGAGAGGAGATGACAAGAAAAGATGTGGGAGAAAATGAGAGGAAAAGATGTGGGAGAAAATGAGAGGAAAGGGGAGAGAGATGGGAATGGAGATCGAGGATGAAGGATAAGTTTCTGATAGAAAAAGTTGTTAGGACAATTCAGCAGAAAGTGGTTAATGCTATTAAAGAATCATTTCAGTTGAACTATTTTGCAGAGAGGTCTGCAGAAAAGGTTCATGTAATTGTCAAAGTGTGGGTAAAAAGAGTTTCCACCTCATAAGCTTGTTGAAAAACTAAATGAGATCATGCTTAGTGCGGTGCCTGGCAAATGGAAAACTGTCAATGAATGGAAGCCATTATTATTACTATTGGTGTTGTTCCTAACTGGGTGTGTGAGTGTGGAGGGCTGGGACATCAGGCTGGAAGGGAAGGAGAGGTGACCAAGGAGAAGCCTCCTTCCTCTTGAGGCCATGGCTGTGGAGGGTGGGGATGAAGAGGGTTGGCAGGGCAGGAAAAAGGAGGGACAAGGGACAGGAGACACTTGGTTGGACGTGACTGGTTTTGAGTCCACTTGGTTGGATTTGACTGGGTTCAGGGAGTGATGACAAGTATAAAATTGTTTTGCCACCAGAATAGTCAGGGGTGGTCTCCTGGAATTGCCTTGGCCTAAACAGTCTGGAGCCTGATTAGCTGGTGCTGAGGGTGGCTCGCGTGTGGCCTCTAAGATGCATTTTCTGGACAAAGTTGTAGGATATTTTTAGAGTTGCAAAGAGCCTTAGACATCACCTAATTTAGCCCCTTATTTGGCAGTTCAGGGCAACTGAGACTCAGAAATGTTGAACAATTTGCTCAGAGCTGTGAGGGATAGGCCAGGTGAAAACGTGGCATATGTTCAAGTTGACCTTGGTATTCTGGCACCGTGAATATATTTAGACATAAGTAATTACTCTATGATGCATGCTCATACAAATACTTTATATGTTGCCATTTGTAGTCTTTTTTTAAACATTGGCAACCTCTTTAATATCTAGAGACTAGATATTATAAAATTAGGACTCACTTGTCCAGTATGTACACAATATACACAGTATAACAAAGTTAAATAAAACGCATGTAACACATAGGGAAATATATAAGCTGAAATTTTCTAGCATACACCATCCATAGTCTTAACACGCGTGAGTTGTAAAATGATTCTAATTGAATTGCTGAGATTTAGCTATAAGGAATTAGAATATGAAAATGTATAAAGAATTGCAAATCTCTCATTTATTACTAAACTCCAAATAATAATTAGACAACTCATTGGTGTAACGTGTCTGTATCCTTTATAAGTAAGTAAAATGTTTCCAAAAGGCCATTTTACAACAAGAAAAGAAACAACAATGCATTGCATACTTGAAAATTGCTAAGAGAGTAGAATTTAAGTGTTTTCACCACAAAAGATGATACAGATATGGGGTGATGTGTGGGTTAATTACTTTGACTGAGCCATTCCACAATGTACACGTATTTTCTTTTTGTCTTTTTTTTAACTTTTCTTAATCAAAAGAAAACTGGGTTTTTTTCCTTTAAAAATGTATACATATTTTAAAACATCACCCTGGGTTTTTTTTTGTTTTCTTTAAAAAGTACATATATTTTAAAGCATCATGTTGTACAACATAAATATACACAATTATAATTTGTTAATTTAAAAAACACATGAAAACAACAAAAAGAAAAAATGACAAACTATTTCTTTAAAAAGTATATGCTTAAATAAGCGGATTCTCCTTTTCAGCCAGCGTCTGTCATTAGGATCCTGACCATCCCAGTTGCCGGGCACGCTCACCCTTCTCCTTCCACCAGGGGGCAGGGCTCGTTTACATATGGATTTCGCCGCGCAGATGCCAGGGGCGGAACCTCCTCTCCAGCCTGGGTCCCTGCTGTCCTCAGGTGGAAATGATTAAACCTCTGCAAACAAGCAGCTTCAGCATTTAATTTTGTGAAGTTACAGAGTGTGATAAGTACAAAGACACGATGGCCTTACATTGATATGCTGCTTTACAGCTTCCAAAGGGATTTCTTGTATATGATCTCATTTGAACCTTATAATGAAGGTGGGAATTAGGAAGAGAGAGGTTTTCTTTCCCTGTTTTAAAGATAAGGAAACAGAGGAACCATTCAAGGATACACAGTGTGAAACGGGATGGACAAGGCCCAGAACGCGCCTTGTGTCTCAGTGAGGTGGTCCTTTCAGTTCATAATTATCTTAAGGTCAGGTAGAGAAATGAAAACCAAACAATGCAAAAATCTGTCTTTAATGTCTTTAATTTGTCTTCTTACAAATTCTTTGCAGAATTTCGAATTAATAGCAAAATAAAATTTTTGGCTACAGTTCTGCTATCAGGTGTCATTCATTCATTCACTCATTTGTTCAGTCAAGAAATATTTAGTGATCACCTATTTTTTTAAAACGTTTATTTTAGGTTCAGGGATACATGTGCAGGTTTGTTATACAGGTAAACTCATATCATGGGGATTTGCTGTGCAGATTATTTTGTCATCCAAGTACTAAGCCTAGTGACCAGTACTTTTTTTTTTTTGATCTAGTGAACACCTATTATGTGCCAGGCATTGCATTAGTGGCAGGTGGTACCAAGGGGAAGAAAATAGAGGCCTTCTCAACTCTCATGGAACTTATTGTTTATTGGGGAGTTGAGCCTTAAGCAAATAAGCATAAAATTACAAATTGCTGTAAAAATTAGGGAAGGAAGGAATATGGAACTATTAGGGGAGGACCTAATTTAGATTAAAGCAATCCTTTTGAAGAAATGACATTAAGCAGACACTGGAAAGATGAGAAAGAGATTGCTAGGCAAGGGGGTGGGCGAAGAGGCATTTTGGGAGGGGAAGAAAATATAAATAAAATAAAGTTTTTTTCTTTTAGCTTGAGAAGAGAAGGGTATGGTGCCTTCAAGGAACTGGAAGAAAACCATTATTGCTGGTGGTGAGTGTGCAGGGAGAGAGGACTGCAGAGGGCTGCCCATGAAGAGATTTATTGGACCAGGCTAGGGATTTTGAATTTGAACCCAAGCATAAAGGGAAGCCATTGAGAAGTTTAAGTAGATGAGTGATGGAGAATGGATGGGAGGGGAGTGAGAGTGTGTCGGGGGAAACCATTACAAAGCCAGTTGCAGTAATTCAGATGAGCCAGGGTAGTTAAGATAGAAGTGGATGGAATTGGGATAATTTTGGAGAATGTCTTTATTGCACCTGGTAATACATAGCTGTGGTAAGGATGGGGAGGACAGGAATAGAGAAGAATTAAAGATGATTCTTGAGATAGGCAAAATAATGGCCCTACCAAAGGTGTCCACGTCCTAACCCCCAGAACCTGTGAATACATTACCTTCCATGGCAAAAGAAACGTTACAGATGTGATTAAATTAAAGATATTAAGATGGGGAGATTATCCTGGATTATCTGGGTGGACCCAATATAATCATAAGGGTCCTTAGAAGGAGGAAGGAGTGTCAGAGTCAGAAAAGGCAATGGGATAGTGGAAGCAGAGACGGAGATTGGAAGATGCTATGCTGCTGTCTTTGAAGATGAAGGATGGGGCCATGAGCCAAGACATGCATGTGGCTTCTAGAAGCTAGAAAAGGCAAAGAAATTGATTGTTTCCAAATGGTGAGTGATGGTGCTAGCATTTGCAGCTATGGTTGTTTCTACTGTGTTGTGCTGTCTTCTGGGATTATGTCACCAACTATCAATACCCTACTACCGATGTTGATCAGAAATAAAGATTCTGGGCTGGGTGCTGTGGCTCATGCCTGTAATCCCAGCACTTTGGGAGGCTGAGGTGAGTGGATCACTTGAGGTCAGGAATTTGAGACCAGCCTGGCCAACATGGCAAAACGCTGTCTTTACCAAAAATACAAAAATTAGCTGGGGGTGGCCACGTGTACCTGTAATCCCAGCTACTCAAGAGGCTGAGTTGTGAAAATCACTTGAACCCCGGATTTGGAGGTTGTAGTGTGCCAAGATCATGCCACTGCACTCCAGCCTGGGTAACAGAGTGAGACTATCATCTCAAAAAAAAAATTAGCGAGGCATGGTGGCATGCATCTGTGGTGTCAGCTATTCGGGAGATGAGATAGGAGGATTTCTCGAGCCCAGCAGGTAGAGGCTGCAGTGAGCTGTGGCAACAGAGTGAGACTTTACCTCAAAAACAAATAACAGCAACAACAACAAAGAAATAAAGATTCTGTAGAGATATCACATGGATCACAGTTTTGAAGTTGGGTACCTCAGTGTAGTATTTGTAACTACGCCCCCAGTTGTTCTATAATGCTCTTCCCAACCTTTTGAAATATTTAATTTCTACCATCCACCAAGGCTCAGTTCAAGAGCCACATCTTCTAGCAAACCTTCCCTGACATTCCATTCTGATTTGGATGTCACGGTGCCTTGTCCATGGTCCTTAGCCCCCGACATGTACATTTTCTATGGCATGTATCACAGGGAATGGCTATGTCTTAACTTATTATCTCCATGGCCTAGCACATTGCCTGCCTCAATGATATTTGTTGAATGAATGAATGAATGTATCCCACCCACTGAATTAAAGTCTCAGGGACTCCAAATCCCTACCCTCCTCCTGGCAAGGTGCTGGGGATGATTGTTCTGAAAAGAGCTGGTGCACCAAGCCCTTGATGTAGTTCAGCAGCTTCATCCGTTGTCGGACACAGCTGTTTCTGCTACACCATTCCTCTGCTCTGTTCATGGTGGTGAGGGGTTTTTTTTGCACCAGCATTTGCAGCTTTTATGAAGCTCCCATAGGTAACTGTTTATTTCAGCCCTTCTCTTGGTTCCTGAGAAAGAGGGGAACAAATAGCACCAGTGAGTGAATTGGAAAGCATTTGAGTGACACTACCCAGATTTGCACCTAGAAGTGTCGTCACTGGTTATGATCCAGTGTCTCAAGCCCCTAAATTACCCGCTGTGGGGGAAGTTGCTATTATTGGGGGCAGTCTTTAACGGAGTTTAGGTGTTTACCATGAAGAAAGTCATGAAGATGGAGAGCTAGAAAAGTTCCTAGCACTTGGGAGAGCCTGGATGGCATGAATTATTTTTTCCATTTTTTTAAACCCCAGCATCCCTGGATTTGCCTTGGGAGGTCTTGTAGTCCATGGACTCACTTGTAGGTGACTCACTGATTTTGTCACTGGCTTAACCAATATTTATTGAGCCTCAGCTTGTGTGTTGAGAATTGTGCTAGGTGTGGGTTTACAGCTACCTATGAGTAAGGCAGACAGACCTAACCTTGCTGAGATTAAAATCTAATTTACAAAAGGACTACCCAAGGTGTTACCAGGGACATGCTGACAAGATTTTTTCCTACGCTCTGTCGTCCAGGCTAGGGTACAGTGGCACAATCTCGGCTGACTGCAACCTCCACCTCCTAGGTTCAAGGGATTCTCATGCCTCATCCTCCTGAGTAGTTGGGGTTACAGGCACATGCCACCACGCCTGGCTAAATTTTGTGTTTTTTAGTAGAGATGGGGTTTCACCATGTTGCCCAGGCTGGTCTTGAACTCCTCCCCTCATGTGATCTGCTCACCTTGGCCTCCCAAAGTGCTGGGATTACAGGCGTGAGCCACTGTATCTGGCCGCTGTAGAGATTCTTGATACACCAGGAATGAAAGCCTAGTCCTCAATCTCTGTGCAAGGGGTACTGCTGCTGAGGGCATATTTTGGAAGTGTGTGTGTCTATGTGTGAATGTGTACACATGTGGTCATCATAATGATAGGGGTTGTTGCTGGCATTTGGGGTCGGGGAGGGATGCCAGACATAATGAAATGCATGATACAGTCCTGGACATCAAGGAATTGTCCTGTGTTCCACATGACTTTTGAACCATGAGCTATTCATGAAAGTGAAAAACCTGTTTATAATTACCTGAATCTGGAAACGAGTTCTAAGTTATGTAAAAACACAAAGTTTTTTTTTGTGTGTGTGCAAAGTTGTAACTGAATTTTTTTAGGAATGTAATTGCTGTATAAATCAAGGAAGATTGTACTTAAGCTTATTTTGCCCAGAATTTGATCAAGGGTTGTTTAAAAAATCCCATCACCAACAACATTGCTGCTCATTGTATTTAAGTCAGTGATGTGCCCACGTTTATCAGTCTCTCTTCATTTGTACCTTTTTGCATTCTCGCTGGTTTTGCATATAGATGCAATCATTTGACTACTTCATTACATCTTCTGGTACAATCATACTCGAACATTTCCATATTGAAATGCAAATAATTTTATTACAAGTTATCTTTCCTTCTGTTTTTCTTTTACATCTATCATTAACCTTTCTACACACTATAGATTATAATCATAGATAATATAAACTTCCCATGCATAGTTTCTTTATCTTCTTTTCTTTTTTTTTCTTTGAGACGGAGTCTTGCTCTTGTTGCCCAGACTGGAGTGCAATGGTGTGCTCTCAGCTCAGTGAAACCTCCGCCTCCCGGGTTCAAGCAATTCTCCTGCCTCAGCCTCCTGAGTAGCTGGGATTACAGGCATGTGCCACCACACCTGGCTAATTTTTATATTTTTGGTGGAGATGGGGTTTCACCATGTTGGCCAGGCTGGTCTCAAACTCCTGACCTCATGGTCTGCCCGCCTCAGCCTCCCAAAGTGCTGGGATTACAGGTGTGAGCCACCATGCCCGGCCAGTTTCTATATATGATATATAAAAATGTATATATGAAACACAGAAGTGATAAGTATATGTTTTGTACATGTGATATTTATAGTACCCACCCCTGCTCCTCCTCCGTATACTAGGATAAACTGTGTGTTGGAAGGATATATTACCTATGAATTTCATTTCTCAATAGTAAAGGGGGTGAATCAAAATATTTGCTATAAAAAAGGAATGTAAGTCAGAACTACTGGCAAAATATAGGAAGGAGCAGGGCTAAGCACTACAGAGCACTGGTCTCCAAGTAAAGTATGTACTTTTAGGAGATGCAGGCAACCCACTGGGTGGGAGGAAGAGGGTGTCAGAACTTCTATTTAAGTTTTTGTATTAGAAAGTAAGAATTAAACTAAACTCATATTTAATATAAGAATGACATTGGCATTCTGATTTTATCTTTATGTCAATCTCTCTTCTCAATCAGCTCAAAAGATATTCTGAGAAAAGAATGTTCACCCCACAATGTAGAGAAGTGGATAGTGACATCTTCATTTGCTTGCAATGCACTGTGACATTGCAGTTTATGTCCATTGTATTTCAGGATTGTATTGCTGCTTTTAATGGAGCGAATCCCCCCTCCCCACCAGAAACAGCAAAGAAACAGCAACTGGAAGATAACAGAATCATGAAAGCATGATTGAAGAACAAAAAAATGGGACAGCTGACACTTCCACTTCTGTTAAGAGTTCTTTGCCAGCCACATTATTGGGTAAAATATAATACAATAATCATCATAATGGTGGTATTATATTCCACAAGAAATCAGCTGATAAAATTTGGAGTTCTCAAAAAGATTATTTAAAATAAGGATTTGGGTCTACAGTCTTTATGCTAAATACATGTTGTGCATTGAGCTATCTGATAGTATATATACACATACATATATTTTATATAATTTTAAAATAAATATGGACATCTTGGGGGTGCATACTCAAATGTTTTTACTGTAATAAGAAATGTCTAGTAATCACTGCTCTAGAGGAAGGAGCTCTAGGCTTGAAATCAGAAATCCCACATATAAGACCTAGGTCTGCCAGCTGCTATCCATGAGACCTTGGGGAAATCATTACATATTTCTGAACCCTGCATATGTCCCCAGGTTGTTCTGAAGATGATTTCTACATAGAGGTGTAAGTATATTGAGAATTGCAAAGATCTGTGCACACACACAGTGTTACACTGTTCTTCTATACTACTTCTTGACATACTTTGGTATGTCCTGACCGCATAACACAGTATCCCGCACATGGAGATAATTATAATTCTAAGTAGTGTTTATGAACAATAGAGTCTTATCACTGTTTAAATGGCTTTCCATAATTAGAACAGAGTGGAAATTCCAGTGTGCTTATTTCATTTTTCCCCTCTTAACACAGTTTCCACAAATAAATACTGTAAAGCATGGTGTTCCTGCCAAGATGTGATATCTTAGTCTTTGTCCCCATTTTTGCAGAAGGTAATCAGCTCTACTGACAGGGCAGATGAAAAAACAGTGAAATAATAGAAAGTTTAATTTGAATGTGTATGTAGATTACCTGTAGACATTTTGGAAGGCATAGGTTGCTAGAGGTCATCTCAATTGTACAGGGAGGACTATTGCATTGTCAAGCTCCCATGGCAACCTGGGCTTACTTCTGTGTAGTGCTTTCTACCATGTCTGTGTAGTTGTACATCTATTTCTACTTCTGAGTTCTTTGAAGGCAAGGACTGGGTTTCATTCATTATTTTTAATCACTGTTGCCTGGCACAGTGCTTGACACTGCAGAAGGAATGATCAACCAATACATATTTTAATGCATACTGTGAACCAAGGTCTATGATAGGCGTTGGATTGATTTATATAAATTCCAGTTATTTTTTAAAGGCAGAAAATGATAGTTGGGCTTGGGGAGATGTCAGTGAAAGGGAATAGGTGATGGGCAGTAGTGAGACTGTTACGCATTCTTTTTCCAAAGAGAAAGTGGAAGATGGACTTTTGATTGGAGAAAAATCTTGGCAGGAAGATCACCATGGAGCGTAGAAGGGTGAGGATACACCTAGGTGAGAGGAGACATTGCCGTGAGTTTCTATATTTCTTTTGGCTTGGCATCAAGTAGCGATTACATACCAACTCCTTTTAACTCTTCCCACCATAAGTAACCCAGTTGTCCAAACATTACTCATTCACATTCCCAAACCAACTACCAAAACAACATTCCAGGAGAAGCAGGAGTTTTAAAGGTTGTGCGTTATGACACCTCCATCTTTTCTTTCTAATAACAGGCTGCACAAATATAAACGTGTGATTACAGGCAGGCTATGGTTCAACTTTAATTAATCCGTTGGTTCTATAGATTAAGAATATGATTCACAAAGTTTGTTCATTAAAAAATCCATTATAAGGAAATTATTTACCTGTGCTATTTTTTTTTTTTGCTATAAAGAAATTTTCATGCTCTTTAGTCCTCAGAGTACAAGCTTTTTTTGGAGCTGAAAATACAGCAGAAACTGACCACACTAGAAAAATAAAAAGCTAAATGTTCAATTGCTGTTTTTAATTTTCATTTTTTTTTAAAAGTCAGGTTTATTGAGGTTTAATGTGCATAAAGTAAAATTTACCTTTTTTTGGTGTATAGTTCAATTAATTTTGACAAACAAATTCAGTTGTACAATGGCCACCATAAACAAAACAGAGAATATGAGAATACTTCCATCATTCCAAAAAATCCTCTTGTACCTCTTTGTGGTAAACACACTCCCTTTACCCTCTGACAATCTCTGATCTGTTTTTAGCTCTCTAGTTTGACTTTTCCTTGAATTTCATATCAATGAGCTATAACATATAGCCTTCTGAGTCTAGCATCTTTCACTTAGCATAATGCTTTTGAATTTCAAGATGTAATGTGGTCTGTTTCTTTTGTAGCATTTCATATATGGGTGTACCATATTTTTTTCCATTCACTAGTTTATGGGCATTTGGGCTATTTTCAGATTTCATGATTATGAATAAAGCTGCTCTAAATTTTCCTCATAGGTCTTTATGTAGATATTTTTATTTCAGTTGGATAAATGTCTATGAGTGAGATTGCTAGATTGTATGTTAAGTCTATGTTTAACACGATGACAAACTGCCAAACTATAATTTTGCATTCCCACTAGCAATATATGAGGGTTCCAGTTGCTCAGAATCCCTACTTGCACTTGGTATTGTCCATCAAAAAATTTTTTTTGAGTCATTCTAATAGTTGTATAGTGGTATGTTTAGAATTTGTATTTCCCTAATGTCTAATGATGTCAAGCATCTTCTTTGTGTGCTTATTTGCCATTTGTATCTCTTCTTTGATAAAGTATCAGTTCAAATCTTTTGTCCATTTTTTAATTGGTTTGTGGTTTTTTTCTTGTTATTGAGTTGTAGTTTTTTATATTTATATTCTATATGCCAGTCCTTTATAAGATTTGTATTTTTGTGACTATTTTCTCCCAGTCTTTGGCTTTTTAAAATTATTTTGACGGTGACTTTCAATAGATGACACAAACAAATGGAAAAACATCATATGCTCATGGATTGGGTGAATAATGATATTGGGTCAATATTGTTAAAATGACCATACTGCCCAAAACGAACTACAGGTTCAATGCTATTCCTATCAAATCACCAATGTAATTTTTCACAGAACTAGAAGAAACTATTCTAACATTCATATGGGACCGATGAAGATCATGAATAGCCAAAGTAATCCTAAGTGAAAAGAACACAATGAAATACAAATGGGCTATATAATGATCAAAATACATGAGCAGATGTTTCACCAAAGAGGAGATACGGATGGCAAATAGCCACATGAAAAGCTGTTCAGGCCAGACACAGTGGCTCACGCCTGTAATCCCAACACTTTGGGAGGCTGAAGTGGGTGGATCACCTGAGGTCAGGAGTTTGAGACCAGCCTGGCTGACATGGTGAGACCTCATCTCTACTAAAAATACAAAAATTAGCTGGGCATGGTGGCGCATGCCTGTAATCCCAGCTACTCAGGAGGCTGAGGTAGGAAAATCACTTGAACTTGGGAGGCAGAGGTTGCGGTGAGCTGAGATTGCTCCACTGCACTCCAGCCTGGGCGCCAGAGAAAGTCTCTGTCTCAAAACAAGAAAAAAGAGAGAGAAAAAAAAGAAAATAAAAAGAAAAGCTATTCAGCATATTTTCCATTAGGGAAATGCAAATTAAACTTCAGTGAGCTATAAGTACATACCTATTAGAAAAATACTGATAATGCCAAATACTGATGAGGATGCAGAAAAATTTGCTCTCCCATTTATTGCTGGTGGCAATATAAAATGGTACAGCTTCTCTGGACAACAGTTTGGCGGTTTCTTACAAAACTGAACATGCACCTACCATATGACCTAGCAATTATATGCTTGGACATATAACCCAGAGAAATGAAAATGTATGTTCACACCAAAACGTGTACACAAATGTTCAGTCTCAAAAGGTTACATACTGTGTGATTACACTTATATAGCATTCTCTAAATGGTAAAACTATAGAGATGGAGATTAGTAGTTGCCAGGGGCCAGGAACTGGGAAGGGAGTGTTGAGGTACACATGTGAATACAAAAAGGTAGCATGAAGGAGTTCTTTTGTGGTTATGAAATGGTTCTGTATCTTGATTTGGGTGGTGGTACAAAAATTGTACCTATACATGGGGTACAATTGCACAGACACACAATTTTTTTTTGGTTTGTGGTTTTTTCTTGTTATTGAGTTATAGTTTTTTATATTTATATTCTATATGCCAGTCCTTTATAAGATTTGTATTTTGTGAATACACATGCAGGTTAGGAAAAACAAAAACTGAGTAAGCTCTGTAGTTAAACAGTGATGTACCAATGCCAATTTTTAAATTTTAGATATTATACCCTAGCCTATAGAAGATGTCTCTATTTGGGGAAGGTGAGTCAGGAGTACACTGGACTCTACTATTTTTGCAATTTCCAACGAGTCTATAATTATTTCAAAATTTAAAAAATGTGATTACACATTTTTTTCTGCTTTTTTTTTACTACTTATATGGATGTTTAAGACACTCATTTGGATTATTTCTAGTATGTTTGTTATGGGTTTAATAGTTTATCATTTACTGAATAAACCTTACTTTCTTAGGGTTTAGATTCTTCCTTTATCATACACTAATGTCCATTTATATATAATCATTTCCTACACTCTTAGTTCCAGTGATGAATTAAATTGTGCTTCAGTTTCTTCATCTGTAAAATGGAGATAATAATAGTATATATGTCATAGAGTTCATTCCTTCAAAAACGATATTTTTGGTACCTAACCTGTGTTAGTCACTGTTCTAGTGCCTCAGGATACATGAATGGATAAAGTAGACGAAGATCAAGCGTTGTCTTTCTGGAGTGTACCGTCTAGCAGGGGAAAAGGATGACTAATAATGAATACATTGTATAGTAAGTTGGAAACAGTGCTGTGAAAAAAAGAAAAAGTGGAAAACCTAGGCAATACCATTCAGGACACAGGCATGGGCAAAGACTTCATGACTGAAAAACCAAAAGCAATGGCAACAAAAGCCAAAATTGACAAATGGGATCTAATTAAACTAAAGAGCTTCTGCACAGCAAAAGAAACTATCATCATGGTGAACAGGCAACCTACAGAAAGGGAGAAAATTTTTGCAATCTACCCATCTGACAAAGGGCTAATATCCAGAATCTACAAAGAACTTAAACAAATTTACAAGAAAAAAACAACCCCATCAAAAAGTGGACAAAGGAAATGAACAGACTTCTCAAAAGAAGACGTTTATGCAGCCAACAGACATATGAAAAAATGCTCAACATCACTGGTCATCAGAGAAATGCAAATCAAAACCACAATGAGATACCATCTCACACCAGTTAGAATGGCGGTCATTAAAAAGTCAGGAAACAACAAATGCTGGAGAGGATGTGGAGAAATAGGAACGCTTTTACACTGTTGGTGGGAGTGTAAATTAGTTCAACCATTGTGGAAGACAGTGTGGCAATTCCTCAAGGATCTAGAACTAGAAATACCATTTGACCCAGCGATCCCTTTACTGGGTATACATCCAAAGGATTATAAATGATGCTACTATAAAGACATATGCACACGTATGTTTATTGTGGCACTATTCACAATAGCAAAGTCTTGGAACCAACCTAAATGTCCAGCAATGATAGACTGGATTAAGAAACTGTGGCACATATACACCAGGGAATACTATGCAGCCATAAAAAAGGATGAGTTCATGTCCTTTTCAGGGATATGGATGAAGCTGGAAACCATCATTCTGAGCAAACTATCACGAGGACATAAAACCAAATACCACATGTTCTCACTCATAGGTGGGAGTTGAACAATGAGAACACATGGACACAGGGTGGGGAACATCACACACCTGTTGTGGGGTAGAGGGCTGGGGGAGGGATAGAATTAGGGGAAATACCTAATGTAAATGACGAGTTAATGGGCGCAGCCAACCAACATGGCACACGTATAACTACGTAACAAACCTGCACATTCTGCACATGTACCCTAGAACTTAAAGTATAATAATAATAAAAAAAGTGGAGCAGATAGGGGAGTTGGGAGATTGGCAGGTAAAATTTTAAGCGGAAAATCAGAGTGGGTCTCAAAGAAAAAGTGACAACTGTGCAAAGGCTTGAAGGAGGTAAGGAAGACCATCTTGTTAAAGAATATTAACCAAGGTAACATCAAAAGAGAAATGGAGAGACATCAAAGAATTTTGATCAAATATAATTAGACTTACAATTTGATCTAATATATTAGACTTACATTTTAAAAGGATAACTATGGTTCTGTGTTGAAAATAAACTGTAGGGTAGTAGCTAAGCTTAAATGAGTTCATATACATGTTATATGTACTGAGTCTACCTACCTATCTGTATCTATCTATCTATCTATCTATCTATCTATCTATCTAATCTATCTATCTATCCATCCACACATTTACCCACCTACCTACCTATCTATCCATCCATCATTTACTCAGAACAATGCCCGGTGTGATTTAAAGGCTATTATTATCATTATTTTCATTGTCAAGCTTAGTTTAACCACAACTACCTCATATAAGGTAGCTATCCCTTATTGTATAGGTAAGTAAACAGACTCAGAAGGGTTGAAGTAACTTGTCCAAAGGTACATAATTTGTAAATGCCAGTGCCAGGATAGGAAGTCCAGGGATCACTGTGTTTCAGTTGCATGCTCATAAACCATGAATAAGCTCTTTCCCTAATTCCCATTCTCAAAATGCAATATAGATGAGAAATATTAGATGCATCCTATTTAACCTTAATCGAGTTACTTCCCTGATAAAGATGACCCTAACAAAGCTATTTCTTCACTCCCAAGCAAAATATCAAGCCATCATGGGCACCAAGATTAGGGTGCAAAGCTTTTAGGCCTTTAGCATCATAAGAGAACATCTTTGGGGAAACAGGATTTTATCGTGTAATATTTTTTGACATGGGTGCCGAATTGGCTCTGCCAATCTAATTAGGCACTACCCTGCTTAAATAGCAGGATTCTGTAATGACTTTAGAATCTGTAAGAATGCATACAGAATTTTTTGATTAATAGGTACATGCAAATTTATTTGGTAAAAATAGTGCCCTGTGCTATTTAATAATTTTTAAAAATAATTCTGTAATTTTTTTTACTATAAATACCAATGTCCTTATTAAAGACAAGTGGCTTATTTAGACAGATTATCTTTATTAAACCATAGTGTTGGGCACTGCGGCATGTGCCTATAATCCCAGCTACTCAGAGACTGAGGTGGGAGGATTGCTTGAGCCCAGTTCAAGACTAGCATGGGCAACACAGTGAGACTTTGTCTCATTAAAAAAAAAAAAAAAAAAGCAAAAACAAACCATAGTTATCCAAGTCCAATCAAGAAAGCAGCTGTTTATCTGAGATAAAGTATTTACTTTATCAGAGAGAATATAAATAATTGTTTAAGGAGGTATTGCAAGATTGAAATGGTAAGAAGACAGGACCACGATGTATGCAGACTTTTCAGGAATGAAAGTTTGGGTCACCATCCAACCACATAGAGGACTCTGACTGCTAAGATTGTGGCCTGGGGGAGGAGGGCAGAATGGGTAGAAGAGACAAACTTAACAGCAAGCACTGCTATCTCATAGTAACATATGTGTACTTGCCTCGTATCAGTGGTATTGAATATAAAAAATCTATTTCTTCAGAATAAGGTGAATGGTAACCTCAGATTATAAGTACAATAGGTCCCGGGGATTTGGTTAACCTTATAATACATATTTTAAAAGATGGTGTTTCTGAACAGCAGGCAGTATAGCACTATTTACACAGTAGGAGTTCAGAGTCCTTATACAGCGACGTAAGGACTTCACAGTGTTTCAGGGCTCTACGCAGTGAGGCGTGTTGGGACTTCAATAGTGGATCTGAGAAGACTGGCTCCCAAGGTTAGCTGGTACAAATATCCAGAGGCATGTGAGCATTTAGACATTTAGGCATTTAGAGGCACAGGAACGAAAATGGAGAGCCTCTGGGCTGTGCTAATATTTGGTGCTAAGCAGGTTATGAAGCCTTGACTATAGGGAAATCCATCCCATTGAAACAAGGCTCCTGTCATCAATTTGGGGTACAGAGGGTAGTGTCTACAGAGTGGAGTGCCAACAAATGGCATGGGGATCAGGGCTCAGATCTGGAGCTCAAATCAAGGATACTGAGGAAAGCTGCTACTTGGTGGACATGAGTAATCCAAGAACTCATCAGAGGACACAAGGTAGTCTAAGGGACACGCCAGCTTATTCCCTTCATAGGATCCCCAGTAGAGTACTAAGTAATGTTGGTTGGGTTCTTATTGGCTGAGGGATGTGACTGGGCTATGAAAGTACAAGGTCTTTAGTCCTGATCACTGGGCACAGTTGGGGAAGGCAGAGACCTAGTGGTGTCCTTTTGGTTACACTGGCATCACTACTTCCTGACAGCGTTTCTCACGTTCATCTGATGGACATCAAATAATTTTGTTGGGGGTGATATGATTTTACTTGGGTGGTGTCAGAAGATATGTCAAGCTATATAACAATTGGGAAGAAGTAATATAGTAACTGGAAGAAAGTAAGAAAAGGCAAAGGTGAGAAGTCAGGTAATTAGAAAATATAAAATTTCCAATTATTATTATTTTGGGGGTTTTATTTGAGATATTCCAGAATTTCCAGGATTGAAATAATTTAAAGCCAGAGAGCTGGGAGCCTTCCACATATTGTGTATCTTAAAGAGTAATATTGGGGATTTACAGACTTTACTCAGTGAATTTACTGACGGTGGTCTGAACATACATGATTAAAAAACTTAGAAAAGGCATGACAATAGTTCTGTCTTCCGAATTTCTGGATACATCAACCTTCAACTGCTATGGGTTACTAATCTTTAATTTTAAAGAGTATTATGTACTTAAGTAAAGATAAATTCTGACAAATTGGGATAGTTTGCATCAGTAAGAAAGTTTATTGAAATTCATTAGTAAATGAGAACAGAAAGTTGTTTTTCTTTCCATTAAAGAACACTTTCTGGTAAAGTGAAAAGAAGAAATACAGAAACCACAAAACACCTTGTAGACACCTTATTTTCAAGGTCTATTTCCATAGACCATCAAGACAGAAGTGTTTTCTTGGAGACTTTGTTTTCCATGCATCTGTAAATAATGGTCTGTGTGAAGGGAGACTCTTTCCTCTTGATGCAGTTTAATAGTAGTGTTTCTTGGTTTCTGATTCAACCATAGATGAAAGAACTCTACCGTCGGGCGCCACCTCTTCAATAATTGTCTTGATTACTCTGGTTTTGTTAGTATCTGTGTGAATGATGGAAAAAAAATTTTAAACAGTCTGTAGGGATCCTTAGTAATTAACAAGCAAATATTGTAAAAAGAAGGAAATTTCAACTTTACATTGTTAAGCCCAAAAAAATGCTTAAGGTATGACATTTTGATCATGCCATTTTTCACGGCTGGTGTTAAGAGTAGTTTGTGAACAAATGCAAACGGAACCGTCTCTAAGATTTTTAATTTTTTAAAACAACTCTAGAGCTTAAAGCGCAAAAAAACCATCACAGGAAGTTAAAACTAATTCTGATTACCCCAGCTAGTTTCTGCTGACCTTGGTCCCTTAGATGAAGACTCGCCCACGGACCCGGAAGAGGAGGACTTGTGGCCTCCGCTGGAGCTGCCGCCGCCGTATCCGCCGCCGGAGCTGCTGCCGCCGCCGGAGCTGCCGCCCCCGTAGCCGCCGCCGCCGCCGCCGGAACTGCCACCACCGTAGCCGCCGCTGGAACTGCCGCCGTGGCCGCCGCTGGAGCTTCCGCCCCCGTAGCCGCCGCCGGAGCTTCCGCCGCCGGAGCTTCCGCCTCCGTAGCCGCCGCCGGAACTGCCGCCGTGGCCGCCGCCGTGGCCGCCGCCGGAGCTTCCGCCGCCGGAGCTTCCGCCGCCGTAGCCGCCGCCGAAACTTCCGCCGCCGCGTCCGCCGCCTCCGGAACTAAACGGGGTGAGGTCACATTCGGTTATCTCTAACGTTGGAAAACGGTGGGTAGCTTTCCAGTTGCCGTTAATTTAGAAAATAAGCAAAACGTGTTGAAAAAATAAAACCCTGCCAGGTATATATTTTAAAACCCATCCTTTGAAAACAATGTTAAGTTCACAGAACTCTTAAGAATCATTTTGGGCCAAATTCATGAGAAAGTGAGATTGCGGTTGCGTACTCCTTTTTCTGTACTCTACCCTCTCTCCTCCCTTCCTCTCATTCTCTGGCATCTTCTTGGGGTTTAGATAAGCCTTGCTATCTGGAATATTGAATAAAAGAAACTGGGATAACTTTTCATTTTAAAATTTACCTTCCCTCTCCTTCTAGCAGGCTGCGGTAGGTTTGAATTTCATTCTCCAGTCGGATCTTAATATCCAGGAGTTGTTGGTATTCAGTATTCTGGCACTCGGTTTCAGCTCGAATCTGTTGCAACTGTTCTTCCAGAGCGGATATCTGGGCCTGAATCTGTGAGAGCTGCACACAGTAGCGACCTTCTGTTTCTGCCAAGGAGGCTTCCAGGGATTGTTTCTGAAACGGATTTTTTTGTGGCTTAGTGACTTCCTTGTTCAGTTGAGTATGGTGACGCTTATTTGATTATTTAGTAAGGCATTATATAGAAGAATAAGAAAATGAACAGAATTTGTTGTATGTTTAATGGCACCATTTCAGTTTCAGCACTTTTAGATCAACACTAGTAGTACTTTTCCTCCATTAACATGAGCTTCACTTTGTTTTCTCTTTCTTACCTCCAACTCTGCATTTTTTTGTTGCATTGCATATTCTTAGGTGAGCATGAAACTTTGTATGATAAAGTTGAAGTCATTTCATGAGAGTTAACATACCAAGGCCAGTTGGGACTGTAGTTCTATCTCCAGAGCTTGTACATTACGTCTCAATTCAGTAATCTCAGATTTATAGCTGGATATCTGTTCAATGTTATTATCAATTTCTGTAGTCAGTTCCTTGCTCTAGAGTATTAAAAACAAGGAAAAGGGTGAGGAAATTCTGAAATGATAAAACCTCCATGAGTTTCACTATAAGGAAGATTACTTTACCTTTTCATTGAACCAGGCTTCAGCATCTTTGCGGTTTTGTTCAGCAAGTTGTTCATATTGGCTTCTCATGTTATTCAGAAGTTGAGTCAGATCAACACCCGGGGCAGCATTCATTTCCACATTCACATCACCAGTGGACACATTTCGAAGGTCTTTCATTTCCTGTTTGAGGAACAGAAAGATTTATTGGCTACACGAGGACCATAATGAACTCTCTTTTGGCTGGGAAAAGTATAACTTTTGTGTCACCTCCTCGTGGTTCTTCTTCAGATAGGCCAGCTCTTCAGTCAGGCTCTCAATTTGCATCTCCAGGTCAGCCTTGGTCAGGGTCAGCTCATCCAGCACCCTACGCAGGCCGTTGATGTCAGCCTCCACGCTCTGGCGCAGAGCTACCTCATTCTCATACCTGAAACAAGCATGATATCAATACTGGTTATAACTTATATAGGGGAGATGTATCTGGGCAGAGACTATTTAAAAAGCAGCTACATAGTTGATCTCATGTAATGGCAATATTTGTCATGTACAGTTCTCTTAGAAGTAATAGTGGTTTAATGGAAAAAACCTTAGCAGTTACTTTAAAATGCATTTTCTTCCTTTAATATTGCCAAAAAGGTAACACTGACATGGAAAATTTCTCAGATAACTCCAATACTATTTAACTTTGGGTGAATTCAGAAAAATGTAAATGTTATTGAGGGCATCCCAAGTCATTGTTAAAAACCACTGATGTATTCGTTGTGATAGTATTATACAACGATCACTTAACTTACTTCAGCCTGAAGTCATCAGCTGCCAGCCTGGCATTGTCGATCTGAAGCAGGATGTTGGCATTATCAGTTGTTAGGTTGAGAATCTGGAGGGAGAGGCACAGTTATTTGAGAAGAGGTCAGATGCAGATATGGCTTTTGTAGTGACATAGATGCACTCTGCACTTTTATGTTGTTCTCTTACAAAATCTTGGGAAAATTTTTTATTTTAAATATGAAATATTGCAGGCTTACCCATATACTTAACTTTGAATTATTTGTTCTCTTGGAATTTCTCCAGTCTTGTATTTCTGTACACGAATTATTCCTTTCTGAAAACTAACTGGAATTATATAGATGTATTCCTGTAAGTGTGCCCTCCTCTTTTAGACTATGTGATTTCCATGTATTTCAGCCATGCTTTGGCTGACTCACACCTGCATTTGTTTAACTCATGATAAATACTAATAAATAAATACACTCTGAACTGGTACACAATAGGTACAATTCAGAAATTCCTTAGAGGCAAGCAGTGTCCCATTTTCATACTGGAAAATTTATTTTTCTTGCCATGTTGGTACTGAATATGGCTTGTTATCAGTCTGAATAACATTTTGTTCTGATTCATATCATGATTTTTTTTTTCAGTTTCTACATTTGTAAATAGCCTAGCATATTTTAACTGTGGACTCATTGTATGCTCATTAAAACCTCAAAAGTGCTTAGTAAATCTCCCATCCTCTTAAGACAAGTAGCACACTTGCTGGATGAAGATTGCCATGACCATAGTTTCACAGATGTTTATCTTTGATGAGACTGGGTTATTTTTGAAGGAAGAAAGTAACATGGGTAAGCATAGTGAACAGCCACATTGTGCTTAATTTAAGATTCATCTGTCTGGATTACATGGACAAGATACTTAAAGCTGGATTTAAAAATACCTCTTACCTGATTTTTAAGGTCATCGATGGTTTTGTAGTATTTGCTGTAGTCACGAGGCTCCCCCTGATGTGAGTTGCCATGCTTTTCATACCACTCCTTGATTTTGCCTTCCAGCTCATAGTTTGATTCTTCCAGAGCCCGAACTTTGTCCAAGTAGGAAGCCAGGCGGTCATTCAGATTCTGCATGGTTACTTTTTCATTTCCAGAGAGAAGGCCACCATCTCCTCCAAATCCACCACCAAAGCCTCCTCCAAAGCCGCCTCCACCAAAGCCGCCTCCACCAAAGCTGCCCCCACCAAAGCTGCCACCTCCGAAACTGCCCCCTCCAAAGATGCCTCCATAACTCCCACCAAAGCTGCTACTTCCATAGCTTCCACGAAAGCTACCTCCACCAAAACCTCCTAATCCTCCATAGCCACCTGATGAGCCCCCAAAGCAGCCCCCACCAGAGCTCCCACGGCTAAAAGAGCCACCACTGAACCCCCCTGAGCTAAATCCTCCACCAAGGGAGCCTTTGCTGCTAGAAATTCTTAGGGATGACACTCCTCCTCCTCCTCCACATCCTCCTCCTCCTCCTCCTCCTCCACTGCGGGAGGAAGAGTAGTGCTTGCTTGAGCTGTATCGAACAGACATGGTGATGCTGTTTAGCCCAGGGAGTGCCTGCTACCAAGGACAGTGACAAGCCTTTATATACTGAGAGGGTGTGTCCACATGTGTTAGAGTTTGCTTACTTACATTGTTTTCTTTTTGCCAACTTAGCATCTTTGGCTTATGATTGCATAAATTATCTTCAGTAATAACCAATCCTAATATGTACAATTTTGAATTTGCCCTAAGAATAAACAGGAGGTTTGCTATGTTGAAATTGAAAATGGGTGGAGTTCAGATGAGCATGTTTTATTATGCTTTTCACCTGTTGAAGAACATTGAGCAACCGTTAAGATCCATTTTTCTCAGCACTAATTCAGGTTGCATAGAATGTTTGCAAAGTTTAGAAAAAAAAGTTTCAGCTACAAAATTATAGTTAAAATAAGATTTTTCAAATTCATGTTTTAAACAGTTTTAATTGGAGCAACAAATAGCATAAAGTCTGGCAGGATCATGCTACAATAAGGTTCTTGTAGACAACTGTAGGGAATCAAAAAGAAAAAGTTTCTAAAAATTTAACTAGCATCAATAGTTGCCACACATAAAACATTAAAGCCATAAAACCACAATTTAGGAGATTGTGTTTGTAGGAGATCTTTTAATTTATTTGGCAAATGAGAGTATATTGATATTTTGCCTAAGAAAGTGGAAGTAATGATTTTAGAATTTTCTAATTAATGATGGCATTATTTTTAACATTAAAAAATCTGAAATCATAAAGTTATCCTGGATTATTTTGCACTTTTAAATTCATCATAGTTAAGGTTTCTGTGAAGACCATAATAATGCAGAAAATCTGCATTATTTTCTTAGCATGAAATCCGAAGAACTAACTTGTAGTACTTTACACTAAGTTCTGATTGAGTAAAAAGGGAAAATTTGGATATGTTATGATTGCAAGTAAAAATTTGCTTGCAAAAATGTAAATCTATATTAGAGAATGATACTTGCACCAAATATTATGAACTAGACTGTGCACATGTGTTCCCAAGCTAGGTTCAGTTTCTCAATAAAAACAACACATTTTCTTGGATATACTGTGTACAGAATTTGGTATAACAGTTTGTCTAGTGAAGTAAATTGGGATTTTGGTACATTGTATAAGATTATATCTACCCATAGGCTATGACATTGCTGTTGTTTGGATGTATATATTCATACATGTTTTACAATTATGTAGTGCTGTTTGTGATACTGTGCTTTAAAAATTTCTAGAACAAGCTGTTGAGATAGGAATGGTGGTTATTATTATTTCTTTTCTTTCTTTCTTTCTTTCTTTCTTTTTTTTTTTTTAGACGGAGGCTTGCTCTGTCGCCCAGGCTGGAGTGCAGTGGCGCCATCTCGGCTCACTGCAAGCTCCACCTCCCGGGTTCACGCCATTCTCCTGCCTCAGCCTCCCGAGTAGCTGGGGCTACAGGTGTGTGCCACCATACCTGGCTAATTTTTTGTCTTTTTGGTAGAGACAGGGTTTCATCATGTTAGCCAGGATGGTCTCAATCTCCTGACCTCTTGATCTGCCTGCCTTGGCCTCCCAAAGTGCTGGGGTTACAGGTGTGGTTATTGTTATTTCTAATTTATAGAAGAGGAAGTTGAAGTTGAGAGGTTGTGATTTTTTCCTGAAGATATGTAACAGGTGGTTGAACTGCAATTAGAAGCTTGGTCTTTTAACTCCTTGGTTCTTTTCCACTTTACCAATGTGTATATATATTATCTGCTCCAGTGGATTTGGTCTAATGGAGATGAATGACTCTAATTCTCACCGTAAACTTCTCCAAATGGGGAAAAAGAGCAAAACAAAAAGAACTTAGAATCATGAAAATATTCAAAGGGTAATGATTTGGCACACACTCTACCTTTAGTAATTGTTTTTTCAAATTAAGTTTATTGCTGCACATTTTGGTTTATGAAAACTACAGAAATAGTTTCTGTAGGGAAGGGAGTGTGGTTGGGAGCATTAATCAAATGTTGATTGTTAAAGTGGAGGTTACTACCCAGCAGATTGCAACTCTTCCAACTTGTTAGCACATGCAAATGGGGCAGTAGTTAAAAGAAAAACTGAAACCCAACCATGGGAATTGATTCTTGATGAAGATAACCTACAGTTAAAGAAGGCTATGATAAATCAGGATAGGAAAAGAAAAAACTCCAATAACTTCAGAGAACATGTTGAAACCTTGATATTAATGAAATCTTTTTGGAAAGAAACATTTTAATTAAAAAGATATTTTGATTGATTTTACCTGTAATTAGCACAAGTTTTGGATCTTAGTATTACCAATTTTGTTTTAGTATTAGCCTATAATTTCTCCCCCCAGTGGAAAATATAAAAATCCCAGTCTCCTTTCAGTTAATTAACAAGTGGTATGAAGAGAGCTCTGTTACAATCATATTAAACCAAAGAATATATGAAAGGGAATCTTTGCATAAAAGTACATAAGAACAAATACAGGTATGGAGGGCCTTCTAATACTATAACATTTAATTTAAGCTACCTTTACTGTTATTACCAAAGATTACTTATTAACTTGTATACTGTAGAAATTGATTTGTCTTTATTCACACTGTCATTTGTTGAAATCAGCCTTTGGCATGAGTAAAATTAAGAGATGCCACATAATAATTCTACAGCTAAATTGGATGAACATTTATGATTCTAGTCTTGGCACCATTTACACTTGATTGCTATAATCCACTGTAACTGTATTTTCATTGTGCTCAATTTTTATTGTGTCTCTATGTAAAGTGCATTGGTAGGTATTTAAAATATAGAAAAATGAATGAGATACACCTCCCGTCCTTATGGATCTTGCCAGTAGTTACAGTCTAATTGAGGAGACATGACATATACCATCAGTTTAAGCACTGTATGCTATATAAATGGAAAATGATGGTGGGGCTTGGATGTGTAGGGGGAAGGAGTTAACATTTCCGGAATATCTCTATGATCTAGATGGTTTACTTTTCTTTAATCCTGCCCTAGGTTCTCTAAGATAGGTATTATTATCTCGTTTAATAGCTAAAAAACCTAAACCTTAAAAAGTTTTAGAAATTTGCCAGATTATGTATGTATTTGTTTATTTATATATCAGCAGTGTCTGTGTGATGACACACAGCCTGGTTTTGAATCAAGAGATACAGTTACAAAGGTGCTAGTTTTCATGACACCAGACTGGCATTCTTAAGACTAATGAGCAAGGGGTCATGTTGGAATGGGGCCAATTGACAAAGTTTCATGGTGCAGTTGAAATTTAAGCTGAGTCCTGTAAGGATGAGTAGGACTTTTCATGTGTGCAACAGCAGAGAGAAGACTTCTGGGAAGTCAGGACTGTGAAAATGCCAAGCAAGTGGAGACACTGAGTGACCAGTTTGGCTGGAGTAGATCATCCGTATATGTTAATTTATTCATACCTTCAGCAGGTTTTATTGAGCACCTGCAATATGGCCTGGGGAAGGCATAGGTGACCAAGATACAGCTCCTACCCTTCAAGGAGTTTACAATCTACTTGGAGAGGCAAACAAACATACCCACGAATCAGAGATTATAATATAGGGTAATCTGGGCTATATTTGAGCAATGTTCAGGGTTCCGAGGAATTACAGAGAGGTTGTCTAACAGTCTAGTGAATGTGTGTGTGTGTGTGTGTGTGTGTGTGTGGTGTGAGTGCACAATGAAAGAATATTGAAGTAAAGTTCGGGATTGAGGATGAGTTTTGGTTTAAGACGTGAATTTGAGGTAATACCAGGATATTCATGTAAACATGTCTTTAAGCAATTATGGGACTGCTGTTAAGGAGAGAGATTCAGAATAGCAGATTTTGGGGGTAGTTAGGATCCCTAAGGGAAGGAATTTAGAGAGAAATGTACAGAAGGTCTAATTCTGAACTTTTGGAGTCACTTTAGGGGCTGGGAAGAAGAAGTAGAGCTAGAGAATAATCCTGAAAAGAAGGACATCTAGGACCAGGGAAAGGGGGAAAGAGGATCAGTGAAGCCAAGGGAGAAGAGAACGTGGGTGAGGTGATCATCCGAGAGGTCAATGAAAAGATGGATTGAGGAAAGTAATTTGGAACCATTGGCATCCTTCCAGAGGACAATTTTAATTGAGTAGTGGTGGGGCAATTCATGATGCATACCCAATATTGGAATTGATGACTTTGCTTATGGTATTTTATTTTCATGTTGTCCAGTTTATCAATTTCTTCTTTAATTGCTTCTGAACTTTGAGTCGTGGTTAAGACGGATATAGTTGCTATTCGCATGGGGTTAATTTGGCCGGAGCTCTAGAAGCATGTTGTGGATTCAAGTTTGTTATCAGTTTGACTTGTCTCACTGTTGGGATTTGGATCCTTTTTATTTCTTCCTTATTTTGCTTCAAGTAAAATCCGCTTTTGAAGTTTCTAGCTGAAAATTCTATTTGCAAGTTTCTTTTTCTGATTGAGATATAATACATATAATTGAGATATAATGCATAGTTTAGGTAGTTGCAGAAGGACAAATCTGGTAATGCAGGTTATATCTCAAGATGGCAAGGTTGATCTAAATATTTAGAATTTTCTGTTGTTTATCACAAAGTTTAAGAGTCAGGCATTTTCTTTTTACTGTTCTGTGACTGTGCAAATTGCTTAATATACTTTTGTGATTACTACCCACAGAGTCAAAACAAAGTGGAAAATTGTATCATTATTTGATAGATTTGGTACCCTCTTCTCAGATAGCTAATTGTTGGACAACTAAGATATCAATTGATAAAGTTCATGTCTTGTCATTGGTAAACTTCTAAAATTCAGGGATTTAAAATCTACAAACACTCCTATATCAATTTTTCTGAAACTTCTGGGACTGTACTGTGATGGAAGCCACAAAAATATGGAAACTGCTTGAAGGCTTTTGAGTTTTGAGGGTAGTGTAGCAGGGTAAGTGGGTGGGCTCTGGGGTCAGACTGCCGGGGTTACAATCCAGGCTCCCCCATTTACTGTGAGGTTTCATCTCAATGTCCTCCTCTCTAAAGTAGGGATTATAATTTTTCATACTCTGTGGAGTTGTAGCAGGAGTCAAATGAGTTAATAAATATAAAGCGTTTAGAACAATGATTTGCATGCATAGAATAAGCACTTAATGAATATATTTTTGTTGCTATTACTGTTTTGTGATCTCTGTTTCTCATAGGTTAACCCACTGTCCAACCCACAGGATGCCTTCAAAATAGGAATGAATGAAAGGATAGGGTGAGAAGTTAGAAAATGGCTTGTGAGGGAGGAGAAAATGGCTGGAGAGGAAAGTAGGGTGGGGAAAAGGTGTTCAGCTTGATAACTTTTGTGATAAACCATGCCATCTGTTTTTCTTTGAGTGACACTTCCTTTCACTTTAAACTTCATTTCTTTATCTCCTACATCCACCAAGGCACTAATTTTGTCACCTTCTCTTTGTCATAGCTAATGTATTCGTTTCTTTCTGTGTAGCCCCACTGTAACTGCCCTAATCTGAGCTTTCACCACTTTTCTCGAAGATTACTTCACCAGCTTCTGAAGTGGTTTTCTTGACTCAGCACTGTCAATTAAGATCTGTTCACTGCGGCAGGGTTGATGTTCTTGAAACAGTACTGTCATCACTTCATCAACATACTCGGACCTCTTGTGGATGGATTAAGTCTTCTCCATAACCTTGCCCGACTCTGTCTGTCCAACCTCATGCTCCCTGCGGTGAGTCAGGGTGGGGAGTGGAAGGAGTGCTACATTCTCTTCATAAAGTAATTATGTGGCCCTGGGCAAGATACTCAGCTTTCCGTGTCTCAGTTTACTACCCTATAAAATATGGATAGTAATGTTAAATATTAAAATATGGATAATAATCCATGATTCAGTGAAAAAATGTGTGTTAGCATCTCCTTTAAGAATCCTTTAATTACTTAATCCTTTAAGCAGGCCTTTCTACTCTTGGCTAAGATACTATGCTTTGTTCCATTTTAAGGCTTGTGTTTGTTGCTCTTGGCTTAGAATGCCCATCTTCTACTTTGCTGTTTATTCAAGTTATTCTACCTCAACTCCAGACTCTGACTTAAATGCCATCTCCTTCATGAGACTTCCCACCGTTAGTCTGTAGTTCACGGCTGTCTCTTTCTTCTCATTTCCTATGTTGAACAACTTGGTGTTTTATAATTTGTTATAATATTCTGGCCTCTTTATTAGTGTTTCCAATGCAATACGACATTTAAGTTCCTTTAGAGAAGGGAGGGTGCCTCTGTTCTTGCTGCACCCAGTACTCATTGTTCTCTGAATGTTTTCGTATTGCCTCAGTGCCTTTCCCCACTTTCTTTGCCTTTATTTTTTTCTCCAAACTCTTGGCCTGTATGTTTTGGCAATAGTGCAAGTTAAAAATTTAAATGAAGGCTGGTTGAAGACAACTAATTTAATTTTGCTTTAAAGGAAATTATGATACTTTTTGATGTAAGAATATGTAAGAATGATAAGAAAACCAAGATTCTGCATAGGAATTTTAAAATACCTTAAAGTATATAAAGATATATTCCTTAGAATGGAAATACACTATATATATTAAGAAAACATTTTGGCCCTCACTTTTTCCTCTTCATTAAAGGTCACTTTTTTTTTGTCTTGGATCTGTTGAGATTATCTTGATACTAGTAACCTGCTAAAATATATCTGTAGTTTTATTCTAAAATTTGAATTTTTTTCATACATCACATCAAATTAAAAAGCTTCTGCACAGCAAAGGAAACAATCAACAAAGTAAAGAGACAGCCCACGGAATGAGAGAAAATATTTGCAAACTATCCATCTGACAGAGGGTTAATAACCAGAATATATAAGGAGCTCAAACAACTCAATAGGAAAGAAAATCTAATAATCTGATAAAAAAAATGGGCAAAAGATCTGAATAGACATACAAATCTCAAAAGACATACAGGCTAGGCATGGTGGCTCACACCTCTAATCCCAGCACTTAGGGAGACTGGGATGGGAGGACTACTTGAGCCTAGGAATTCAAGACCAGCCTGGGTAACGTAGGGAGACCCCATCTCTACAAAAAATAAAAATAAATTAGCTGGGTGTGATGGCATGTGTCTGTAGTCCCAGCTACTTGGGAGGCTGAGGTGAGCCATGTTCCTGCCACTGCACTCCAGCCTGGGCAACAGAGTGACCTCAAAAAAAAAAAATAAGAAAACATATAATGGCAAACAGGTATGTAAAAAGGGGCTCAACATCATTGATCATCAGAGAAATGACTCAAAACTGTGCAATGAGAATGTGATTCTCACTGCAGTTGAATGAATAATGTAAATTATTACAGTCACAGTAATTTGTTGTACAACTCACCCCGCTTAAAATGGCTTTTATCCAAAAGAGAGGCAATAATGAATGCTAGTGAGGATGTGGAGAAAAGGGAACCCCCTCGTTCACTGTCCTTGGGAATGTAAATTAGTACAGCCACTATGGAGAACAGTATGGAGGTTCCTCAAAAAGCTAATAATAGAACTACTGTATGATCCAGCAGTCCCACTGCTAGATATATACCCAAAATCATGGAAATCAGTATATCAGTGAGATATCTGCACCCTCATTTTTTTTTTGCAATTGTGTTCACAATAGCCAAGATGTGGAAACAACCTAAGTGTACATCAACAGACAGGTTGATAAAGAAAACGTGGTACATATGCTCAATGGAGTACTATTCAGCCATAAAAAAGAATGAGATCCTGTTATTGCAACAACTTGACTGGACCTGGAGGACATTATGTTAAGTGAGATAAACCAGGCATAGAAAGATAAACTTCTCATGTTCTCATTTGTGGGAGCTAAAAATGAGAACAATTGAACTCATAGAGATAGAGAGTAGAAAAATGGTTACCAGAGGCTGGGAAGGGTAGTGTGGGGTGAGGGGGCTGGGAAGTGGGGATGGTTAATGGGTACAAAAATATAATTAGATAGAACAAATATAATCTAGTATTTGATAGCACAACAGGGTGATTATAGTCACAATAATTTATTGTACATTTTAAATTAAAAAAATATTATTGGAATATTTGTAACACAAAGAAATGATAAATGCTTGAGGTAATGGGTACCACGTTTACCTGGGTGTGATTATTATGCATTGTTGCCTGTATTGAAATATCTCTTGTTCCTTCTGAATAATACAGTTACCATGGACCCATAAAAAGTTAAAAATTTTGAATGTTTTTTATATTAGGAGAATTGACAATTCTAGTTGGGTTTCTGGCTAGGTAGCCTATGAGTATGTTGTAATTTAAGGATTAAATATAATATAACTTAGCTTTTAAATTTCATTAGTATGTCATGGGATTTCTTTTCAGGTAAATTAATTTCATTTTGTAAAAGACAATTGCTCACTATGAGTTAGCGCATTAGTAGGATAATTAATTAACATATAACATAAAATAGAAATGTAATATCCCTTTTAGTTTTCATAAAAAATAGTGAAGCCGAAAGTACCAAACAATTCTCTACAGACCCATTTTAAAATATTGAAACTGAACATTGTCCAAAATTCAGTGGCTGTTTTCTCCCCCTCATAAATCTAAGAAAATTCCTTTAGGTCCAGCTGTGGTTGCTTGTCCAATTGGTCATTTCAAGGATGGCTGGATATGAGAGAAAATAACATTATAATTGGGTATAACTTCATAATTTTTACTTAGAGAGTCTGGACAGATCTAAATAGAGTAGAGAAAGTTTTGGATTAGAAATGATACATACAGAGGTTAAGGTTTACAGTGAAAGCATTTAATCCCCCACTCTAGTGATTTTAAGTCAGTATATGTAACATGCTTAAATTTAAAGGAAAAAGTCTTAAGGAATCAAATTAATTTCCTAATTTTAAAGGTTTTTAAAAAATACTTGACCTTATGGACTCAGACAACTAGTCAATTTCATAATAAATGGACCCTCTGTCTTTGAATCACTTTTTTTTTTTGGTAAGGGGGTTGTAAGAATGGTAGAGGAATAGATTTAAATAATTATTTAAATGTAACACACAATAGTAGCAGAGAAAATAATTATTTAAATGTAACACACAATAGTAACAGAGAAAATGTACCACAACCATTCTGTGGCTTCTTTCACAAGGCTGACGACTGATAATCTCCAAAGAACTTTTGATTTCTTGTATTAAACCCATTAAACAAATATGCAAATAACATTTGCAAAGTCAGTCCTAAGATAGAGTTTATAGAGCTTGATGAGACTTTTTTATGTTCCAAGACCTGTTCTAAATTTTACTTGCATTTTTGTCTCATCAAATCCTGTTGGCAACTTTATGAGGGAAATTTTATTTTATTTTATTTATTTTGAGATGGAGTTTTGTTCTTGTTGCCCAGGCTGGAGTGCAGAGATGCAATCTTGGCTCACCACAACCTCAGCCTCCCAGGTTCAAGCGATTCTTCTGCCTCAGCCTCCCGAGTAGCTGGGATCACAGGCATGTGCCACCATGCCTAATAATTTTGTATTTTTAGTAGAGACGAGGTTTCTTCATGTTGGTCAGGCTGGTCTCGAACTCCTGACCTGAGGTGATCCACCTGCCTCAGCCTTCCAAAGTGCTGGGATTACAGACGTGAGCCACCACCCTTGGCCAGAAATTTTATTTTAACTAAAATTAGTTGGCCAGGCGCAGTGGCTCACGCCTGTAGTTCCATCACTTTGGGAGGCCAAGGCAGGAGGATCGCATGAGCCTAGGAGTTTGAGACCAGCCTGGGCAACATGGCAAAACCCCGTCTCTACAAAACACATGCACGCACACACACACACACACACACACACACACACACACACACACACACAGAGCCTGGTGTGATGGCACATGCCTGTGGGCCCAGCTACTCAAGAGGGTGAGGTGAGAGGATCACCTGAGCCCAAAAGGTCAAGGCTGCAGTGAGCTGTGATTGCACCACTGCACTCCAGCCTGGGTGACAGAGTGAGACCCTGTTTCCCACAAACCCCTCAAAAAAGAAAAGAAATTAGTTAAAATTTAGCATGCCCAAAACGATTCAATAAAGGGACTTTGGTGGGATTTGAACACAGACCTATCTTCAGAGCTTTTTAAAAACACAATGATTAACTTTTTTCTTTTTTTAAACACACTGTTGCTGGCTTAAACTGAGTAACTCCTAAAACTCTTTTGAAATGAGCTAAAATTGTATTTTTCAGTTATGTGACTTGGAAAATTAACAAGAACATAAGGGATTTTAGTTTCTTTTTCAGACTAGACAAGCCTTCCTTATCATACTTCTGTGATGAAAAAAATAGACTAATTTGAAAAGAAAAAGAACTAATGAGGCAAGATATCCTGCCCTGGAAGAGATCAGACTTGTAGGCCTTGTCTGTTCCCAGGAGAGACTCTGCACTAACTTCCTGAGGGTCCGTCTGGCATGGGTTAATGAAGGTTCCTAACTCTTTGGCAGACCAGTCATTAAAATAACAAATCACAGCAATTAGCCACCATGCATAATTGAAGCATTAATCCTTTTATAATGCTGGCTTTTTCAGATGGAGCTAACACCCATTATGGAGATTAACCACTTTTCATCAGGTTTTTAACTTAAGTCGTGAGGAATACAACGGTGAACACAAGGTGTGTATGTGAATTAATTTAGTAGTAAACTATGACATGGAGGGGTTCTGTTGCTTTGAAAGTTTCCAACTTATATACATTCAAAAGCTATTAAACTTTTTGGTGTCTCTCCAAATATTTTCCATATTGATAATTTTGGTTGAAATGTAGAGCTAGTTAGAATTTTCTAGTCTAATGCTTAGATATAAATGAGTGCATATTTGCAGAGCTATAAGATGTTGCATTATTTTTTTTTCTTGGCATCTGGAATATAAATGCTAAATTTGGTCTAGTTAGAATTTCCTGCTTCCCTCCCTCCCCTGCTTCCTTCCTTCCATCTCAAAACTCTCCAAGGATGAAGACCCCACAAGCTATATTGGGGTAACATATTGTAACAGTAGTTACTTTCAGTTTCTGTCAAACTAGATTAAAAAGAAGACAAGTATTACATGTTCTCACTCATATGTGGGAGCTAAAAAAATTGATCTCATCGAGATAAAGAGGAGTATAATGGTTACCAGAGAGGCTAGGAGGATAGTAGGGAGGTGAGGGAGAGAAAGTAGGGGATAAAGAGGGTTGGTTGATGGGTACAAACTTACAATTAGAAGGAATAAGATCTAGTGTTCAGTAGCACAATAGAGTGACTATAGTTGACAGAAATTCACTATATATTTTAAATAACTAGAGTGAAATTAGAATGTTCCCAACACAAAGAAATAAGTGTTTGAGATGATGAATATCCCCATTATCCTGATTTGATCATTACACATTGTATGCTTGTATCAAAATATCACATGTACCCCATATATATGTATAACTACTGTGTATCCATAAAATTTTTAAAAAATTTAAAAGAGGAAAGGAATGGAAAATAAAAGTAAAAAGATGATTCATCAAAAATTACATTGTAGAAGAAGAGTGCAGAATGGCATAAACTAGTACCACATAGAACTTAATTTGTAATTGTGAAGAAACCATGTAAGTATATTTACTCCTGGTATTGTGTCTTTCTCTCTTATCCTAATTTACTGTTCCTCTATAGTTTAAAATTAAAGAATTGCCTTTAAATTTTACAGGGCAAACTAATTATACTGTGGAGACACAAAATGTTTTGAGACATCTGTGACCAGACATGTCACGTGTGAATATACCATTGGATTTCAAAGCAACACATAATTTTTTTTTTTTTTCCTTTTACAACAGATTCATTTTATTTTCATCACCATGGGACGTATCCTGTTGTTGAGTTCTCTGGGTCAGACCTCTGAAGACTTCTCAGATGGATCCTAGTCTCTGGGCTTGCCCTGAAATTACTCGCTGCTCAGGGAGAGAGTTGAAATGGTTGGCATCCTCCCACTCTGTTGCTCCGGCTGTGTCCCCTCGCTCTGTTGTTCCAGCTATGTGCCCTCTGTTGCTCCAACTGCAGCTCATTCTGTTAGAGTTCCTCATTCAGCTGGTCACTGTGGCCAGAGGGTGTTGGCCTGCTCCCTTCCTCAAGTATTCTTAAAGCCATGGATTTTTGTGGAGCATTTTTCTTCCTGGCTCTCCCTTGAGTTATTTTCCTTTCTTCGCTATCTTGGGACTCTTCTTTGTGCTTGCGGTCATCGGTTGAGAGAAGGACTTCTTCTTCCTTGTCTCCTTGGTGTTGGCTCGTGGTTGCTCTTCAACAACTGGACTGGAGGCTCTTGGTTTTCTCTTCATCTTCAACAAGTCAGTCTCTCTCAAGGGTCTCACGTTGCAGCATTCTTACCAGAGGCCATTGGGCCTGGAGTTCCAGTTCCAGTGTCTGGAGAGTCCACCTCAGCTCAGCAATCTCATGCCGGTTGGCAATTGTCAGCAGAAGCCGATGCCTGCCCATCAGTTCTTTACTCTGAGGTGTTAGAGTGGAATAAAAATATAAATACTTATACTAGTTTTCATGACTTCTGCTTAATATTGGGTATTTTTTTGTTTTGTTTTGTTTTGGCGGTGATAGGCTTACCTTACATTAAACCAGGCCTTAGCCTTTCTGTGGCTTTGTTATGGCAAAGCCTCATATTACTCTCTAGTCTGGTTCAGCAGGACAGTCAGGTCCACACCTGGGGCTGTTTGTTTTCTACGTTTACCTCAACATAAGGTACCTTATCATTGTCAGCCTTCATCTCCTGATCCAAAATAAAATAAAATGCCACAGGTTACTTGATTTTGCATCTGGAATATGATTATTTAAAGAAATTAAAAATTTAAAACTGAAAATGTAGAGTTTAGAAATCTTTTTTAAGGTTTCAAAAAAATTTCTAGGAGACAACAAAATAGTGTTACTAGATTTAGCAAATAAAATACAGAATGCCAATTAAATTTGAATTTCAAATGAACATTGAATACTTTTTTTGGTATAACTATATTCCATGCAATATTTGGGACATATCTGTTATATTATTCATTGTTTACCTGAAATTATAATTTAAACTGAGAGTTCTGTATTTTATCTGGCAACCTTATTATGAAAATATTTAGGATCAATATAAAGGAATAATATTTTTAATTTTTACAAACTATTTTAATATAAGTAATTTATTTGATTTTCATTGTCATCCTGAGAGTTAAGTTTTGCCTTACAGTCTATGTTACTTTACCTGTGTTTTATGAAAAGACTGTCTCTTATAATGATAGCCACCACCACCATATCTTGACAAGTATTGACATACTGAAACTTTAAATTCATTTTGTGTAGTTCCCGCCTCTTCATGATTGTTTCTGAGGTAATTCAGCTTCTCCGTCTGGCTTTCCATTTTCAACTCTAGGTTAGTCTTGTTCAAAGTCAACTCATCTAAGACACTTCGCAGGCCCTTGCTATCAGCCTCAACACAGTGATAAAGGACAACTTTACTCTGGCATCTGAACAGAGCCCAATTGGAAGAATCAATACAGCTTAGATGGAGGTCTCCTCATCCAGTGGTAATAAAACATCCCACATAGTGGAGCTTAGAGAGCACAGCACTGGGATGTGAAGACATGGGTTCAAATTGCACCTCTGCCATGTTCAGCTGTCACCTTGGGCAAATTACTTCTCTGAACCTTAGTTTTCTCATCATTAAAATGGGAATATTGGTTTTTTGTGTGTGTGTGGTTTTTTTTTTTTTTTTGAGACCTAGTCTTGCTCTGTCACCCAGGCTGGAGTACAGTGGCGTGATCTTGGTTCACTGTAATCTCCGCCTCCCAGGTTCAAGCGATTCTCCCACCTCAGCCTCCCACGTAGCTGGGATTACAAGTGTGCATCACCATGCCTGACTAATTTTTGTATTTTTAGTAGAGACAGTGTTTCATGTTGGCCAGGCTGGTGTCAAACTCCTGACCTCAAGTGATCCACCTGCCTCAGCCTCCCAAAGTGCTGGGATTACAGGCGTGAGCCACTGTGCCTGGCTAAAATGGGAATATTATGAGAATTGAGTTAATGTGCAAAAGTGCTTAGCACAGCATCAGTATTTAGTAAATGGTAGGAATAACATTATTAAAGCCATGAAAGAGTGAAAATCTCCCCTCTGCTCTTTTGACTAGGAAAGGAAGCAAGCTCCTTTTCACGTACAGTGCAATGCACCTTTGTTTTACAAGGACTGTGTCTCCCTAGTTAAAAAAAAATTAAAGTACAGTATGGGGGACCTCCTGCAGTTCTATAAAAACCAAGTCTCTGACCTACGGATTGGAGAGTCATACACCATACATGAGATTTCAAATCGCTAGCCTGGGAATTTTCACATTGCTAACCTATGACCACTATTGTAATTTAAACATAAAAGAGATTGTTTTATGTTGAGATGTTTAATAATGTGAAATAATGATATTGTAAATTTTGTAGTAACTGTTTAAAGTGGTGAATTGGGGAGGTTTTTTTTTTTTTTTTTTTTTTCAGTTCTTTACATGGTTTCTGACTTACTTGAGCTTGAAGTCATCCACAGTGAGCCTGGCATTGTGGATCTAATGCGGAATGTTGGCATTTTCCAAAGTAACATTCGTTACCTTCAAGGGAGGAAAAGGAACCATATAATTTAACAAAATATGTTGGGTGCCATTAGGTCCAGATTATATACTTCATGGATTTCAATAATTATAAGTTTGTCAGTCATATTTGTGCTAGTCATGGCGGCTCATGCTTGTAGTCCCAGCACTTTGAGAAGCTGAGGCTGGAGGATCACCTGAGTCCAGGAGTTCAAGATCAGCTTGAACAACATAGTGAGACCCCATCTCTACAGAAAAAAATTTAGCTGGGAATGGTGGCACATGTCTGTAGTCCCTACTTGGGAGGCTGACATGGGAGGATTGCTCAAGCCTGGGAGGGTGAGGCTGCTATGATCGTGCCACTACACACACACCAGCCAGGGCAACAGAGCAAGACCCTGTCTCAAAAAAGTTATATTTGTATAAATATATATCAGATAAACAGTAAATTTAAATTTTTCTCGGACTATTACAGAACTTTTCAGCTAAATATATTTTTTAGAGCTTCTGAAATACAGGATAAATGTTTCTCTTTCAAATGAATGAGCCATTTCATATTAATTTTTATGCACGTTAGACACTTTTCTCGACATTAGATGCATTAATTAATCAGATACAATATATGTTTGCCAGGAGAAATGTAAGTTGTCAAGGTAGTAGGCCTGGCATTTGTTTAAATTCTGTGTGGTTTTTGTCTCATTACTTGAAAGAAGGCCACCACCATCAGAGTCACCAGAATTTCACAGGCCCCTATTTAGTCCAGCACTCATGCTACTCCACCCTGTGCCAGGACCCAACCTACCCTCAACACCATAAAAGCCACCAGAAGGCCCACTACCACGGCCCTCTGCTCTCTTGAGAGCCCCCTACAATGACATAGGTTCCCCTGAGCCTCAACAGACTCAGAGCCACTTTCAGTGCTGCTGTGCTGCCACAACCCAGAGGAACAAGCCACTGTGTGGAGGTGTAGCAGAGATCTAAGGTTAAAGTATAGCCCCAAAGTCGGTGCATTATGGGGACCATTATGGAGCCTACTATCTATCTATCTATCTATCTATCTATCTATCTATCTATCTATCTATCTATCATCTGTGTAAAGTTACATCATCTTTAATGAATTTTTTTAAAGTATAGGTTTTTTTTTTGGTTAACAATCTCTTCACCTTATTTTAGTGATTGATGAGCCATGTGTGCTCAAGTGCTATCTCATCAGGGTGTTGGGTACATGCAAGAAAACCGTGTGTGAGCAGGAAAAACAGAGAAGACCATCATTTCATGACTTCATCTTTTGAACCATGATAAGTGATTACTTTTTGAAACACTGCAGGCATTCCTCTAACAGACATCCTTTCTTTCCTTCTGACCCTATAGTCTTAACATTCTCATGCTCTTGCTCAGTTTGCGTCTATTTTTCCATGACCTTCCAGGCTTGCTACAGGGCCCTTTCCAAGGAGTCTAAGTTGAGTAGTGCATACTGCTGTAGAGTTAAATAGGTCTTTGAGTTCTAGCCTACTGTTGCTCAGCTTGGATAAAGTTACTTATCTTCTCTGAATCTCAGTTTTGTCACCTGTACAAATTACAAAATAATTTGGAGGATTAATGAGAAACAGGTAATAGTGTCTGGCACATACTAGGCTCTCAATGAATGCTTGTTCTCTCCCTTCTCTTCTCTCCCTGGTCCCCACTCTAGCTCACAGCAGTCTCTAAAACTCATAATCCTAATTATACCACACTTCTTTCAAGAAATATTTATTGAATGCCCAGTGTGTGCCAGGAAGCCTTATGGACTATTATGGGCTCTGGTTTTATACAGTTGTCATACATGCGTCTTGATCAACATCCCTTCTAAGCTCAGTGTCTGAGCATTGATTCTAGATATCCATGAATACCCTAAACTGAACAGAGTTGCCTTTACACTAAACTAAGAAGTTGGCAAAGTTTGCCATTTGTGTCTAAAAGGCCCGCTTTCCTTTTCTTCTCTAGGTTGAAATATCTCTGCACTTCATCTGAAGCCATTGGCTTTCTTGTGCTTTAACTCATTTTTTCTGTCTAGGGAAAAGACATGATATTATTCATTTACACTAATAGAGACAGTATTATTTGCTCTATGTCATTCAGGAACCTAGGCATTTGAATTTTGAGCTTTTCCTTTAATTATGAAATGAAGGATTGTTCCTTGTGATAGAAATTTCCGTTCTTGGTGAGGAAGAGAGAATTTATTTTGGGCAGAAATCTGCTGAAATTGCACTTTGCCCGCCTAAAAGACCAGCCTTAAGCAAAAGTGTTATTTTGTCTGTTTAGAATACATGTGGAGGAGTAGACTGAAGAGAAGGCATACATGTCTTTCTTTTACCCCTCCTTACTCTATACAAAGATTATCTTCCAGCTCCTGTGCCCACGTCTGAGTTTAGTTCCTGGAGTTCCTTCTGAATTTCAGGAAGTTACCTCTTCTTCAGACTTCCTTCTGTGACTTATTCCTTTCATATCTCCCAATCTATCCTAAGAATCCAAAATGTCTGCAAGTGGAAGCTCTGTGGCACCCCATTCCCTTTGCCATGATCTCCACCTCTTCCACTGCACCCTGTCCCCACTGCAAGGGGACTGTTCTGTCTTTCCTGTGTCAGCCTCCTATGGCCCTAAGGGCCCATGATTTTGTTACACTTAGGTGTACAGGATGGAGAGGATGACAGTTACACATGATTAAGGAATCCCTCAGAGGATGAGGAGAGAAGAGCATGGAAAGATAGAGTCGTCTCAGCTTTCATCAGGGTTTCAAGAGGAGACACTGATTATTGGGGAGTTAGATTCAGGACAGTTTTCCTTTTAGTGTTGGTGTGTATATTTCTATAGCAGAGAGGAAGATGAGAATTAAACTTCTATGTATCAGGAAAATCTGCCAACAAGAACACTAATGTAGGTACTTGAGAACTAAAATGAGAAAAGAGAAACTAGAAATTGTCTGCATACATGTAGTAGCAATAATCTAATTCAACATACATGTATTGAGTGCTGACCCTACAAAGCTGTTTGCCCTTCCATATCCTCTTTCCACCTTTCTCCATTCTGCTCTCTGCACCATGAATTTAACCTTGCCCTCTGGCTTTCATTATGTTTGCCCAGTAGGGACCCCAGTGGAGGGAGGGAGGAGAATGAGTTGGGGGACTTATTCCCCTGGCCACCTCTACAGCTTTGTTGGATCCTTTCATTGAACACCACAGCTCCTGTCGAGATGGCCCTTTCTGTGACTTTCCCTTCCTAAATTACCTTCCTTTGTTCTTGTAGGCATGGGGGTGACACTAGCTCGCCTGGTGGTTTCCCTACGCCATACCCACACCTTTGTCAATAGTCCTTTTTTTTTTTTGAGTCGGAGTCTCACTCTGTTGCCTAGGCTGGAGTGCAGTGGCGCAATCTTGGCTCACTGCAACCTCCGCCTCCCAAGTTAAGCAATTCTCCTGCCTCAGCCTCCCGAGTAGCTGGGACTATAGGCGTCCGCCACCGCGCCCGGCTAATTTTTGTATTTTTAGTAGAGACGGGGTTTCACCATATTGGCCAGGCTGGTCTGGAACTCCTGACCTTGTGATCCGCCAGCCTCCGCCTCCCAAAGTGCTGGGATTACAAGCATGAGCCACCGCGCCCAGCCAGTAAATAGTCCTTTTCTTAAATTTGCCTTGACTTATCCTAATTTGAGCGTGCCAGTTGTTTCCTGTGTGGACCCTACTGTATGATAGGAATTTGTATTGAGTCTTTACTCTCAAGGAGGTTGATAGGAAAATGAATAATTGCAACACCATGCAATAAGGGTTAATACTTGCTTATCAAAGTGTAAGATCCTTGAGGGTAGAGACCATACATTATTCACATTTCTTTCTTGAGACTTAGCATAGTGCCAGGTACAGAGCAGGTGCCTACCAATGTGGAAAGGTAGAGGTACGTATACGGGGTGGGGAAAAATGGAGGATGGAGTTGAGAAGCTGTTCCAGGAAGGCCCAAGTGGCTTCATGGTTTAATTATGTTGGTCAGAAACAGACTGGTTGCACTAAACAAGAAGAGAATTTACTAGAAGGATATCATTGGCTTCTAGAATCAATGGAAGGTAGGAATATAGGAATTGGAGGACAAGGAGAAGCTGGGGTGCTTTGGAGGGCTAGTTTACACAAACCACAGCAAAAGTCAAACAATGGATATGATCCTCAGTGTATGTTCCCACACATTGGTCTCTTGTTCAAATTTCAGTGTCCCGACTGGCTAAGTCTGAGTGGTGGGAGGGGCTGCTATCTCCTCCTACTGCACACACTAGTACTGCACGCTCCCTTTCAGGGGCCTCTTCTGAGGAGACAGCAGCTACTTTCTACTTCATATGGTTTTTATTACTTAGTTGAAATGCTAACATGTTCGTGACCTTGGGGAAATGATTTAACACAGATATGTGTGTATTTTAATAGTTTAGGTGAAAAGAACTGATTTCTGAGACAACTTTTGATAATCTTTTTTTCTTTCAGGATGAAGTAATGTTAATTTTATACCCTATGTATTGCATCTTTTGCTGATACCAAACCTTTAATGGTTTAAAATGTGGGTCTAGGCCAGGCACAGTGGCTCATGCCTGTAATCCCAGCACTTTGGGAGGCCGAGGCAGGTGTATCACTTGAGGTCAGGAGTTCGAGACCAGCTTGGCCAACATGGCGAAACCTCATCTCTGCTAAAAATACAAAAAATTAGCTGGGCGTGGTGGCAGGTGCCTGTAAACCCAGCTACTTGGGAGGCTGAGGCAAAAGAATTGCTTGAACCCGGGAGGCAGAGGTTGCAGTGAGCCAAGATTGCGCCATTGCACTACAGCCTGGGCGACAGAGCAAGACTCTTTCTCAAAAAAAAAAAAAAGGTCTATAGAATCTTCACATTTTAGAACTGGGAAGGATCACGGAGATAATCTCCGATTTCCTCATTCTAAACAAGAGTAAATGAAATTAAAAAATGGTGAGTGTGACTTGTCTGAGACCACATCTTAACCAAGGAGTGGTATTGTTTCTGTTTAATGTAGTCCTTATGATTGTGTTGGTGTTCAGCCTGTGTCAGAAGTAGAGCGAGGCCAGTAGAGTATGTGAACCCTCAAGTCGGCATGGCGGTTGCCTTTTGGCCTAATCGAGGTCAGAAACATGTTGATACCCTCAGAAGAGATTTCCCCTTAAGGTCCCTCCTTTCCTTATCCCTCTTGGGAAAGGATATGGAGATTTCTATCATAGGAAGAGAAAAAATGGCTGGAAAAGGACATAGTCACATTCTTTCTGTACCCATAATACTCTGTGTGTGCCTTTATTATTCTACTTATCACATTTATCTTGGGGAAGTTTCACAAATCACACACAACATAACACTCCCACCCAGAGATTCAGAATTCATTCCCTCCCCTGCCAAGCACCACTGCAAATAAATTGTTACTATTGGGTATATTTTGTGTCCTTGAGCTGCTTTAGGAAAAAAAAAAATTAAGAACCCCTGATAAGCAATTTGGAGCTTCAGATTGCTTTTGAGAGGGGCAGTGACTCAAGAAAAGTATTGCTTCAGGAAGATTAGCCTGTTGGAAGTATACTAATTGGTTTGGGAGAGATGGAGCAAGGGAATCGGTTAGGAGAATGTTAGTGTCTACATATGTCATCATGGACACAGAAAAAATAAGCTGATTGAAAGAATAATAATTATTATTTGATTACTGATTGGATATTGAGGTGGTCAAGACCAAGAAAGTGTCAGAATAGGAAAGCCAGGAGAAAGAGTGGTTTAGAAGTACAGATACTGAATCGGAAATGATGGTTGTACATTCTCATGGTCAGCCTTTTGCTTCAATTTCTTTAACATGTATTGGTGCAGGCTTCACAGAGCAGAAAACACTCCTGCATGCATATTGTTAGCTGTTCAGAAGCTTTCTGGACTTTCTTCCAATCCTTCTCTCTGTTCACTGCTGCCTGTTCACTGCTGCAGGTAAGGTAGGAGGAAAGAGAATATCTCAGGTGGGATCTGGTAATAAAATAAGAGGAGATCTAGTTATCTGTGGCAGCCTTATCTATTGGAACTACAGAAACAAGCTCACTTCTCTCCTGCTTGTCTCCTCATTAGATAAAAGGAAAGATTATGGGGGCAGTGGGTGGGAAGAGTAGTTAAGTTACAGGAGTTAACAGAGTTAAGTAACTATGATGATGAGCTCTTTCCCTGAAGAACCAAGCCTGTGTGCCAAGGTGGGGCCGCTTTTGCTCAGTGTGAGAGAGGGTGTTTCCCCCATCTCTGGGGAGGAGTAGAGGAACCAGTACCTGCTGAGGTTTCCGTCATTGTTTTGCTGCCCTCTTCCTCTCTGCCGCACCACTCTCCCACCCCCTGCCAGCTATCCTGTGTTCTGAAGTTGCTGCCTGGTACCCCAAAGCCACATTCCAGTTTAGTTTGTCCTCCTTTGACTTGCTCCATTTGTCTGTTTTCTCCTCTTTACATACTGAGACTTCTCAGCCTGGTGTGGGAATAGGTATTAGGAGGATAACCATCTGGTGAGTCTAATTCAGTCTAAGGTGTGACTTACTGACTGACTGCCAAAGGTGGGTAGGGTTGGAGAGGTATTCACTGAAGCTATTTACATTTTTTTAAAAAACACACCTTTGGGAGGCCAAGGTGGGCGGATCATGAGGTCAAGAGATCGAGACCATCCTGGCCAACATGGTGAAACCCCGTCTCTACTAAAAGTAGTCCCAGCTACTCGGGAGGCTGAGGCAGGAGAATCACTTGAACGCAGGAGGCGGAGGTTGCAGTGAGCTGAGATTGTGCTATTGCACTCCAACCTGGCAACAGAGTGAGACTCTGTCTCAAACACACATGTGCACACACACACACACACACACACACACCAAAAACAAAAAACACCTTTTATCTAAGTGGAATTTCAGGCACCGTGGTGGTAAAAATTTTGAAGAAAATATTTTTCTGTATTTTTCCAATTAATACAACTTGACTTTAAAATTAACTGTAGCAGGAAAAGCACTTTGTTGTCTCTAGGCCTCTTTTCCTCACCTTCTGGAGGGAAGGGACAGTATCTTGGCTCTGATTGTCCTATCTTTTGTACAGTTCACTGAATATATATCATATGCCATATATTTTACTGGGGTTCTGAGGATGCAAGGATAAGTAAGATGTGGTCTTTACCTTCAAGGAAGTCATATCTTTTGGGTCAAAGGGTAGGAGACAAGGCACAAATAATTACAAAATAGGATGAAGAGTTTGGAAATACAGATTTATCTAAAGTATATGAAGCACCAGTAAAAAGAAACCAGTTTCTGGAGGACTTAATGAGATGTCTTTTGAATGATGTCTTAAAGAATGACTTAGAATTCATTGTATGGGAAAAAAAAAATCTAGGCTGAGGGACCAGCAAGTATAAAGGAGACATAAACACACACGACGTATTTCAAGAACTGAGAAAAGTTTGGTTTAGCTGGGACATAAAGTTTATGTGAGTGAGTGCCAACAAATAAGTCTGGAAAATAGGTTTGTGCTACATAAGAAAAGACCTGTAATGCCATTTTAAGGAATTTGGACTTGATCCCTTAGTCATGGAGTGGACCGTTGAAAGCTGCTAAATAGGGGAGGAACATGACCTTAATTTTTTGAAAGATAACTTTGTTGACAGTGTACTAGATGGATTGGGGGGAAACTGGACAAAGGGAGATGAGATGGGAGAATTTGCAAGAGTCTGGGGAGGGGAAGAAACAATGAAAATTTCACAAAAGTGTCAGTGCAGTGATAAGAATGGGAAGATAGTCATAGATAAGGTGGCATTTGACTTGGCTGTTTGCCCGTTGATGATGGAGGGCATCTAAGATGACAAGACGTTTCTAGTTTTGAACTTCGGGGAATGCTATTGACTGATATGTGAATGCAAAGGGGGAGCAGTTTTTGTAGGAAAGATAACAAATTTAGGGAAAGGAAGATTGAGCCTGAGGTACCTATCAACATTCAGATGTAGATATTCCATAGGCAGCTGCAGTGTGGGTCTGAGATTAGGAGAGAAATTGTGATTTGGAAGTTACTGGCAAAGAGAAACCATGAACTACATGAGATTTCTCAGGGAGAATGAGTAGAGATGAGGACCATGGATAAAACCTTGAGGAGCTGCAATATTTAATGAGAATATAAAAGGCTTGAGAGATAACATTGAAAGATAAAAGGGAGAACCAGGGGACAGAAGTTTCAAGAGAGCCAGTGGAGAGGAGAATTTTGAGAAGATGGGATGGCCAACAGTGTTAAAGATGTCAAGTATGACTAGAACTGCAACATTACTTTACAATCTAGCTGTTTGTTCTGAAAAGATCCTAGAAGTACTGTTGTCTTTTGAGAACAGGGAATGAATTCTCTCAAAGCTACCAATTACAGTTAATACACATTCTCAGTCTTTATAGTTTAAGCATCATTTAATATGACCAATTTTGCAAATTAAAGGATCACTGAAATTGAAATAATTTAGGAAAGAGCTGAAGGCCAGAAATTACCTATATTGAGGTGGTAGTTGAAGCCTTTAGAATAACTGGATTTTATAAAGGGGAGAGCAGAAGTTTAAGGCTGAATGGTGAGGAAACCCTCAGTTAGGCTTGGCACAGAGGAAAAGTACCCAGTGAAGGAAGTGAATAAGGAGTGATCTGGAAGTCTGGAAAAAAATTCAGGCAACCAAGGATGGATTGTAGCATATTATGATTCACCTGGTAGAGTTTCCAGAAGGAGGTTCTTCCGGGTCTTGAGTTTCAAATTCTGCATAGAGACCAGGAAGAATGAGGACTAGAAATTAATGTGCATGATAGTGCCACAAGATCCTTGGAGATCTGGGTGCAAGAATATACTGGACAATGTAGGGGCACAGAAGCCAGACTGTCTGCCATTAGGGAAGGAAAGGGTGGTGATGGAATGAAGCCATCTGTGTCTTGCACTGCTGCAGCACACACAGTGAGTATAAAAGAAAAAAGAATGGTGTGGAGCTAAGCAAGGGTGGAATGAAGACAAGATGGTTGGGTGCAGAACATACTGGGAAACAGAAGCAAGTAGAATTTTATAGCTCTTTAGAGGTATTTCAGAAATGTTTCCTCTGGGAAATAAAGAAAAAGAGGGCCAGGCGCGGTGGCTCATGCCTGTAATTCCAACACTTTGGGAGGCCGAGGTGGGCGGATCACTTGGGGTTGGGAGTTCAAGACCAGCCTGGCCAACATGGAGAAACCCTGTCTCTTGTAAAAATACAAAATTAGCTGGGCGTGGTGGCACATGCCTGTAATCCCAGCTACTTGGGAGGCTGAGGCAGGAGAATCGCTTGAACCCGGGAGGTGGAGGTTGCAGTGAGCCAAGATCATGCCATTGCACTCCAGCCTGGGCAACAAGAACAAAACTCCATCTCAAAAAAAAAAAAAAAAAAAAAAAAGAGAGAGAAAGAGAACACTCAGGGAGCCAATAAGCCAGATAGCACAGGTAGGTACCTGGAAGGAGAGAGAAATCAGAAATAAGAGTGGTTCAAGACACAGTTCAAGAGCTCACATCAGTAATATAGGAAACCATCTGTTGAATGAGCCATTTAAACTGTATCATAGGGAACTTAGCATAAAGAACAGGCATGTGGTATAATTAAAAATGACTGAAAAAATTCTGCATTTTAGAAGCATCATTGTGGCGAATGTGCAGGAAAGTGAGTGCTCAGGAAGTTGGCCTTAGACAGCTGGAAAGATATGTCCTTCATTGCCAGTAAACTGGCATTCTAATGTGCACATCAGCATTGTGTGAATACAGTCACTGTAAGTCTATCATCAAGTGTCAGGTTACCTCTGGGCATGGTGAAGTCTAGTTTCTGGACCTGCAGGGCTATGAGGAACAGATTCTGGACTGTGGTAAGTTTTTTGAAGTAATTCAAATTTATATTAAATTTGTATTTTAAAAAACCCTTTTGATAATCAATCTAGTCTTGTGGGCAGCTTTTCATTTGCTTCATGATATATTCCTGTACCCTCCATGAGTGGTGTTAGGAAAAATGGCAGTAAGTATTACTTTTAACAGTTAGTTGGTAGAATAATTTACTCACCGTATTCACTAAAAAGCTGATGATTACAAATAGAAAAATAGTTTTAGGAAATGTGGAGCTTAGAGAGAACAAACACAAGTCATTCTTGCTGCCACTCTCCTGTACTCATGTCAGACATTACTAATTGATAACACATCTTCCTGCTGAACCCAGACTGGCTGGAGAATTATTCTTAATAAAATTAATCCAGGAAGCCCACAACCAATTGCCTGAATTGAGCCATGTGAATAAAAACTCTGCCCTTTCTTTCTTTGTTTTTTTTTTTTTTTGAGATGGAGTCTCGCTCTGTCGCCCAGGCTGGAGTGCAGTGGTGCAATCTCAGCTCACTGTAACCTCTGTCTCCCGGGTTCAAGCAATTCTCCTGCCTCAGCCTCCCAAGTAGCTGGGACTACAGGCATGTGCCACCACGCCCAGCTAATTTTTGTATTTTTAGTAGAGATGGGGTTTCACCATATTGGCCAGGATGGTCTCAATCTCTTGACCTTGTGATCTGCCTGCCTCAGCCTCCCAAAGTGCTGGGATTACAGGCGTGAGCCACCGTACCCGGCCCCAAAACTCTGCCCTTTCTAGTGTAAATGAGTTGCTAGGAATTCTGGTCATCAAAATTACAGAATTCAGCTGGAAAGAACCTAAAGTATGATTTATCTTTTGAATTTAATGTCATGGGGGAAGCTAAATATGCTCTTTGGCCAAAAGTCTGTGGATATTCTGACAGAAATAATACCAGACTGGATAAATAGACAAATTATCAGGATAGAATTATCTAGACCAATAATACATTCACTGTTATAGCTTCAACCAGAACAGAATTTGCAAAGGATATTAGAGGTCATTGCCAGGCTTCACCTTCCAGCATTGCCTGTTACAGGGTGTATGGTAAATTGCTTAATCTCTTTTAATCTTCACGTGAGAAATAATATCCAATTCATAAATCTGAGAATACCAATTTAGATAACACATACAAAGTGTTCTTCTACAAAGTGTTCTACACAGTGGGTACTCATAGACATCTGTCCTTTCTTTCTTCTCTTGTTAAATATTCAACACTAAACGGAACCCCTTATCAGATATCTCCAATCTCTACTAAAATATTTCTAGTGATGAGAAACTCATTGTCTCATGAAGCACTTCACCTTCCTTTGAAGTGCTCTAATTATTAAAAAGCTTATCTTTCTATTTAACTGAAATCTGCCACACAGAATATAGCTTTGCTGATGGAGAATCTTTTGGGTATTTGACAAGATTACTCTGTGTTTCTAAGTCTTTTATTTTCCAGGTTATGGATCACCAGTTCATTCAACTGTTCCTTAGATGACGTGGTTTTCAATTCCATTATCATGTAGGTTGCCTTAACTTGGATCACTTCTAAATCTGTAGGATTAATCTGACCTCTCTTTTTCTGTTTCTAGTATTAGCTTAGGGAATATTTTTTAAGGAATGCCTGCTAACTGTGTTTTATCCCATTGCACTTGATCACCAGCATAATGCTACTTCCAAAGATATAACACAGAATTTATTGTTTTCATATGTAAATTTATAGAAACTATTTAAATTTAATAATTAATTATTAGTAACCTATAACCCCCCCCCCCCCCTCACCACTCCTTGGTTTCAGGGTTTGGTTTCAGGGTGGCTCAGGTGTCTTGAACACATTTGTAATGGAAACTTGATAAACTCCTATTTTGGGTTCACCCTCTTTTCTTGGGTGTGGGGCCAAAGTTTGTCACTTAGATTAACTAGTTGGCTTGCAAGCTATAATTATCTTCCTCCTCCAATTAAAATCACATTTCTGTATTGCCACATCTAGTTATTGCAAAATCTAGCAATACACCTTGGATTCTTATTTCCCTCTAAGCAGACTTTCCCTGACGATTCATATTTTTTCTTCTGGGTTGTTCAACTCTTAGGTATTGCTCTTGTCCCACTGCTGAGTAGGACATTGTTTCCAACAAAGATTGATCATTGGGTAATTTACAATATTGTTGGTTTTGTTTTTCTGTGTCTCATTTGCTGTATTAGAATGATTAACACACATTATTATATTATTATTTCTAGATTTGATTAATAGAATTTTGGGTGACTCATATACTCCAGCTATACCTATGTGACAGCATAATTGGATCCAAAATGAAAAATTCAATCAACATAGGGTTTTATTTTTAATTGTGCCAAATGAAAGGCTTAATTAATAATTTTCATTGGATTTTAGCTAATCCGTTTACCGGAATTTTTCAATCATGTGTTATGAATGTATAAACCTAATGTGATATTTCTAAACATCATTTCAACCTACATGTATTTGGCATGCCCACATTTTCTGCCAGATGCTGCATTAAGTACTGGGGACTTATTTCTGGATGGCCAATAATACCTGGCCCAGCCTTTGAGGAGGAATAAGATACAAAAATTCGTCTTCTAAAAAGGAAGTGCAGACTACCTGGGTCAAGGAACTTATGGTTCTCAGCTGGTGTGATGATTACTTAGTTTTATGGGAAAACACTCCAGAGGACACGCTCTTTGGTCCTATTCTTGCCAATCCACTCCCATTTAATACCATATGTTGAAATTTTATGTACTCCTCAAGGCTCTGCTCAGATGCCTTTCTGCTGTAAAGAGTGGTCCTCATATCCCAGCCCTTTATATTACCTCCCTTTTCCAAACTTCTGTGGCAGGTCACTTTATACCTGGCGAGGCAAGGTTATTTGCATACCTGACTAGTCCGCTCCCATTTGCTTCCATAGTGACCAGTAAATATTAGTTTGATTGAGAGAAAAGTGTATTTTACTTATTTTTAATTTTTATTCCTAACTGCTAGACCACCAAAGAGAGAGAGCACAATGTTTTTTAGATAGAACACCTCGTTATTAAGGGAGAACAAGTTCTATTTTGATCTAGATTGGCAGGAGTATTACATTTTCAGACTGAATATTTTCATGGAAAGCCAGTGTTCCATCAGCCATTTTAAGATAACTCAGTTTTGTATCTATGGTTAGGCGATTGCCTACATACAAAGCACACTTTAATGACGAATTAGAGGATTCCAAGCTTGCCTTTATAAGTGAATATCTACAGATTTTTTTTTCTTATAAATACTACATGGAAACCAAGTTACTCTATGTTTTGAAAGCAACTTCTAGTACTCTTTAGATGTATGGGAAAAAGTCCTCAGGTTAATTTCCTTAAGAAAAAGCGTCATGAATTAAAAGACTGCTTGTTGAAACTGAAGATCACTTTCTACTGAGTCACCAGATATTGAGCAATATGATTTATATCAATATGCCTTGTGAAATTGTCAAGTTAAAGATTGTACATATTAGATAAGAAAATTTTGTGTCCCTATAGAGTGACAAGTATCTTGAGGGTTTTCTGGAAATATTGAATTCAACAAATATCTCAGTAAAATGCAAACAACTTCTTGATGGATTTTTTAGTCTCAAACAGCCAGCCTAATTCCTTTATTAAGATTTAAGGAGAAGGAAGTAAGTGGAATTCAATTTCATATGACGCAAGCATATTTTAAATAGAGTAACCAAAACAAATAGATTCAAATGGAATCTATGCAAACCATCCTCTTTGCTTCCTTTGTGATGGACACTCCTTAGCTTCTGCGCCTTAATAAGGTAGGGTTTGTTCATTCAGTCTTTCCAAAGATAAGTGTTGGAAAATTTAGAGTTAATAAATCAGTGGATAAAAATTCAATGACTATTTCAAGAAAATAATAGAAGAAATATATCGCCACCATTCAATGTTTGTGCAACCAGTGTTTATTGAGTGCTTTTAATGGTACCTAGAGAGTAATACAGGTGGTCAAGCACAGTGGCTTATACCTGTAATCCAAGAACTTTGGGAGGCTGAGGTGGACAGATTGCTTGAGCCCAGGAGAGTAATACAGGCATTATTCCAGCTTTTACTGAGTGAATATTCTAGCATTTGTACGTAATTCTGTGCACAGGTATTCAACAAGTATTGATTGTCTCCTATGCAGTAGGGTATATGTGCTGTTTTATGCACTGTGCTAGATGCCAGGGCTACAGTGGAGGGCAAAACAGACATGGCCGCTGCCCTTAGAGAGAATGCAGTGGTAGAGCCAGACATTATTTCAATATTCATACAAATAAATGTATAATTGCAAATTGCGCTAAGAGCTGTGAAGGATAACTACAGTATAGTATGAGAAGGTAGAATAGGAGAACCTGACTTGGTTAATGAGGGGCATTTGAGTTAGGACCTAACTGGTGACTAGGATTGTTAACTAGGCCAAAATGGGGGTGGAGGCTCATTCTAGGTAAAGAGGGAAAGTTTGTGAGAAGCTGCCAGAGTGGGAAGGAGCATGGCGTTAGAATTTACTTGACTGTAGTATTGCTGTCACTCAGTATATGTATATCAAAACCTCATATGCTGTATATCTTAAATATATACAAAAATAAAGTAAACAAGACCAGTAGGTTTGGAGAAGATAGAGGGGGAGAGAGGGCACACGATTTGAAAGAGGGTAGAGGGGGCCAGGCCAGGCCATACCTTGCTGGGTTTTGGTCTTTATTCCAAGGACAATAGGAAGCCTTTGAAGGCCTTTAAGCAATGGAGTGACTGGATCAGCTTTTTCAAAATGATCCCCCCAGCTCTGGTGGAAAGAGTGGAAGAGAGGTGGGTACAGGTGGAAGCTGTGTGGTCAGCCAGGAGAGAGACATAAATAGTGGCTTGGATGAGGAGGCAAAATACCAGATATGGCCAGGATATGTATAGGTATCTGTTGAATGAATGAATAAATAAATCTAGGGTCAGGAGACTTGGAGCTTGACCTAGTTAAAAAGCTACAATTGAAAGATTTTTAGATCAACATTGATAGAGGAATAATTTTTCTTTGATTGTTTAGTTAAAGTTCAATTTAACTGAAAGGTAAAAGCCAGTTAAAATAATGCTTTATTATTTGATTTTTTTTTCTGACAAAATGAAACATAATTTAAATGATCCATAGTGATCCTAAATAGATTTTTAGTTCAGAGATAAATTATCATAAGGACATAAGATGTTTGGATATATGTGTATAGCAAGTGTTTTATGATACATATTCTACATGTTGGGAATGTAGTTTTATATGATTAAGTTTTCAGAGTGCCAATGCTTTGGAAAGTGCAGCTAAAAAGTCTCCCTGTGGACAAATTGGCAAATAATTGTGTAACCTGCTACTTCAGCTTTGTGTCTTTGGTGTTATAATATTATATTGTCCTTTAGCTCCTCAGAAATGATCTCCTCTTTAATGCAACTGTTACCTGTGTACCCTGGAGGTGACAGATAATCATGATAATGATGACTAAAACTTTCATCAGGTTCTCCTCCCTACTGAGACCTTCCTTTCCCTTGAGCAGTTCTTGTCTTCCCACTGGCCAGCGTTCAGTTCTATCTCCTTCAGCTCTGCAAGCTGTAAAAACACCTTCCATAGTCACACAGGGGAACTGAGTAAAATTCTCCTAACTTCACATCACCTGAAGGACTTTTTCTTACCCCTAGCCTCTGAGTAATAACACTGAGAAGGACTTCATTGTTGTGCTTTCCTATAACACCACTGCTGGATTCTGATTAGCCTGGATCTAATTCTGTAGTACTAATTTTTGTTCCAGGATTATCTCTATTGGATGCTGATTATATATATTTGTATTTTTTAAATGATAAACATTTATTTTATTATTTGTCAGCCTACTCAGTCATATATTAGATAGGCTAGGGAAGTTTAACATTAAAATTATCATCCAGAATCAGCACATAAGGCTGTTTAAAATGGGTATCCAGTGAAAACACCGTAAAGCACCTTGGGAGGTACTTTTTATCCAATGTAAATTGTAATATACAATGTAAAAACTGTATGAAACTTTATCATGTATTTGCCTTTAGATCATAAAAACTGAGGTTATTTTCAATAGACTATGTAGAGTCTTACATATAGTTGGTGCTAAATAAAAGCTTGTTGAAGGAATTGAAGCCATCCTCACAGAATTAAGAATTCTGGGCAGAAATGTAGTTATAATTAAGCTTTAACCAGGCTGCACTTTGACCCACTTCCTTGTAACTAAACATCACATAACCTTAGATTCTGACCATTTGCATCCCCATTGTTCCTGTAGATAGAAATTCTAATGTTAGAACCATGAGGCTTTTGTTTAAGAATTGCTTAAACGGATCCTGAATTACTGTGGAACTGCTAACGCCAACCAATTTAAAGACTCCCACAGACAAACCAAATGAGCATGAGAGTACAGTTTCTTTCTCTCCCTGTCCTGGGACTTCACCCTGTACTCTTCAACTAATCAACAATCTCTATGCTTTGGCTCACTCCAAAACTCTTAAAAACCCTCGCCCCAGAGTCCCCGGGAAGATGGATTTGGGGTTTTCTCTTTTCTCCTCATTTGTTGGCCTTACCATTAAACCTCTGTCTCTGTTGCAACCTGGTGCCTCTGGGTATTGACTTGCTGTGAACATCCAGGCAATGAACCTATTACAGCTACAGAATGAATACACAAATAAATGCATATGTGATGCCCCACTTGTATACATAAATAAGCCAGCGGAGAAAACCAAACACCACATGTTCTCACTCATAAATGGAAGTTGAACAATGAGAACATGTGGACACAGGGAGGGGAGCATCACACACCGGGGCCTGTCGGGGAGTGAGGGACTAGGGGAGGGATAACATTAAGGAGAAATACCTAATGTAGATGATGGGTTGATGGGTGCAGCAAACCACCATGGCACGTGTATGCCTATGTTACAAATCTGCACGTTCTGCACATGTATCTCAGAACTTAAAGTATAATAATAAAAAATAAAAATTACACTGCAACTTGTCAAAAAAGTTATACTTGTTGCTCTGTTTATTTGAAACGTGAAATTGCAGCCTGACGTGATTTCTTTAAAATCCCATGTTACTTGCAAATAAATGAAATATTTCAAAATGAGTACACTTAGCAGAAACTTAGTAGTGTATGTATAACTTCAGGAGATCAATAAGTGCAAGTCAGTAACTAAAATGACCATATTCTTACCAACCAAGGTCATAGCGTCGTGTGTTTACGGTGTTTTTAAAGATTTCAAAATGCCGGGCTAATGTGATTATATGTGATATTATTGTTGTCTTTTTGTACAAAGTGAGTCATCTCAAGTTGAGTAACTTGTTCTGAGTAAGATAATGACTCACTGAGAAAGCCTGAAATACCATCTAAATGGCTTCTATTAGAGCCCACTGCTGTCTGTGGACTGTTTTATCAGTGTGATTTATTTACAGGTCTGCTTCTAAATTGCGTATTTGTTCCATCATTTTGAAGAAGAGTTGCATTTCATTAAGAATATGTACATAGTGAAAAAACAATGACATATTTTAGCAACTAGAATTCGCAATGAATTTAATTCTAAAGAAGAGTAGTATGCAGAATTTTTTTCCTGAAAAAGCTTGATGCTCATGTTTTTACAGTCTATAAAGTTAAAATATCTATTCTGAGTTTTGCAAACAATTTATTGCATGTGTGTAAAGCATTGCATTTATTTATAATTCTGCTATATTATGCTAATTTAAGAAATAAACCCTAAAATCATGCATGACAATTCCCAAGAATGCTAAGCTTTTTTTGAGACGGAGTCTCACTCTGTCGCCCAGGCTGGAATGCAGTGGTGCGATCTCAGCTCACTGCAAGCTCTGCCTCCCGGGTTCACACCATTCTCCCGCCTCAGCCTCCCAAGTAGCTGGGACTACAGGTGCCCGCCACCACGCCCGGATAATTTTCTGTATTTTTAGTAGAGACAGGGTTTCTCTGTGTTAGCCAGGATGGTCTCAATCTCCTGACCTCATGATCTGCCCGCTTCGGCCTCCCAAAGTTCTGGGATTATAGGCGTGAGCCACTGCTCCCAGCCCCAGTTTTTCTTAATTTATTTTATATACTCTGTATTTAGTTGTAGAATCCTCCCCTTCAATTTGAGCAGCTACATTAATATTAGCATTTTAGACAGGCACCGTGGTTTGCACCTTTCATCAGGCATCTGACATTTGACTAAAATGGCAGTAGTCTGAGGTGGGAGGATCACTTGAGCCCAGGAATTTGAGGCTGCAGTGAGCTATGAGCACACCATTGCACTACAGCCTGGGTGACAGAGAGCGACCCCATCTCTGAAGAAAGCACATCTTATAGTTTCAAAGTGCTTTATGGCTTGTTAAGCTCCTTCACAGAAGTTGGCTTATTTGATGCTCACAACTTGTGATAGAGGGAAGATAAATATTATTCCCCCCTCCCCATATGTTGGGTGAGAAAAGTGCACTTTTTTTTTTTACAAAAGTGGAATAATTTAGGATTGTGCATGAAGGGAAGAAAAAGAATAAATATGTCTGGGGGAAATATGTAAACCAGTTCATTTCTTTAGTTGTAGAGAGACTTTTTTTCTTTGCATAATAATAGCAGGTAATATTTAGTGCTTACTATATGCCAAGTGTGAATTGACCCATAGAATTCTCATAATAGGGCGTGAAGCAGGTATCCTTTTTTGCCTTGATTTTAGGGAACAGAGAACTATGGAACAGAGAGGTAAGTAAAACCATTAGAAAGTGCCAGAGCTGGGACCCAAACTCAGGCCTTTGAACTGTGCTTTTAACCTCTATGCTCAGTGGTGTACTGGTGTAAAACAGTTTTCTGGGAAATACATTTTAAAAGCCCAAGTTCCATTTGTGTAAATACTCCCATCATGGCCAATTTCAAGCTGCCCATGGTTTAATAGCCAGCTTGGAAAATTCCTGAATATTTACTGATCAGTGATTAAGAGCCAGCTTGCCCTAGGACACCTTTGACGATCCTACATGGCCTCTCTGCGCCTGTGGACAGTATCATCTGAAGAAAGAATATTCAATTATTATTTTAAAATTGACTATTGAGTTAATATTTACTTACAATGAAATATATTCGTTTTAAATGTGCAGTTTGAAGAGCCTTGCTAAATGGACCCATCACCACAGTCAAGATACGGAACACTTCCATCGGTCCCAAAGGTTCTCAGGTGCCCCTTCCAGGTTAACCAGTTAATTCTCACTCCTCCCACACCTTTCAGCTCAGGTGACCACTGAGCTTATTTCTGTCACTATAGATGAGATTTTATCTTTCTGAAAGTTTCATATAAATGGAATCATACAGTATGTATTCTTTTGTGTCTGGTTTCTTTAGCTCAGCACAATCTTGGATTCAGTTCCAAGATTTAAGAAACATTTACTACCCCATAAAAAAATCATTTACTCAGCTATATGATTAAGAATTTCATTTTCATTTGATATTTGAGTATGTTTTTAAAGCCTGAGTAGTTATTGATTGGCTGGTTTTCTTAACTCTAAATAATTGCTAACTTTCTTTTTCACTTTATGCCTTGTAGAACTGCCTCCTTACTGGTGAACTTTTTGGAAACTAATTATTAGTTAAATAAGACAATTTTAATTTGCTAAGTTGATCGTTGTAAAAGGTTTGCTTTTTTTCTTCTTTCTTGTTTTAAAAGATAAACCTTCTAGTATCAATACATCTCAAGTGGCTTGAACACACAGGCTTAGCTTATTTTTATTTTATTTTATTTTATTTTTTGAGACGGAATCTTGCTCTGTTGCCCAGGCTGGAGTGCAGTGGTGTGATCTTGGCTCACTGCAACCTCCGCCTCCTGGGTTCAAGCTATTCTCCTGCCTCAGCCTCCCTAGTAGCTGGGACTACAGGCGCACGCCACCACTCCTGGCTAATTTTTGTATTTTTAGTAGAGATAGGGTTTCGCCATGTTAGCCAGGCTGGTCTCGAACTCCTGACCTCAAGTGACCCACCTGCCTTGGCCTCCCAAAGTGCTGGGATTACAGGCATGAGCCACCGCGCCCAGCCAGGTTAGTTTATTTTAAAGTTCATTTCTTGAGACTCCAGAAGATGGCACTCTTACAAAGCCTAAAGAAATAAAGCTTTGGCTTTGTTTTTCTACGTGGTTGTTTTTCTAGGTGGTTCCTTCCTGCTGTGACCCATTTGCAAAGCCATTTGTTTGGGAGAATAACATTTATTTTTTTTTCTGATTATCAGAGTCATATATGCTGTTTGTTAAACATTTTAATAAAGGTATTCTTCAAACCCCTTGCTAATCCCCAAGAGATAACTACTATAACAGTTCAGTATATATACAGTATTTTCCAGACCTTCCACTAGCTTTTACACACAACATATGCATATCAAAGTAAAAATTTAAATTTGTAAAATTTTAGATTTTAGGATAATCATAAACAATGTACTTGTCTTTTGCTATAGGATTCTTTATTCAGTTTTTTTTTCTTAGGAGTTCTTTTCTTTAAAGACAGACCTTCCACTTCTGCAATTCATTACTTGCCGAGTCCAAAGGGACCTCTCACATCTGTGTTGAATTAGGGCTTGTGGCCTAGTGAATGAGGGATAGACTCTCATGATAAGGATGCTGCTATGGTCTGAAAGTTTTTGTCCCCCCATATTTGTATGTTGAGACCTAATCACCAATGACCCAGTATTAGGAGGTGGGGTTTTCGAGAGTGGATTAGGTCATGAGGGTGGAGCCCTGGCGAAGGGGATTATTGTCCTTATAAATGAGGCCCTGGGGCATTGCTTTGTCCCTTCTGCCATGTGAGGATATATCGAGAAGCTGTGTATGATCCAGAAAGCGGGTCCTTATCAGACAGTGAAGCTGCCTCCAGAACTGTGAGAAATAAGTTTCTCTCATTTTTAAGCCACGCGGTCCGAGGTATTTTGTTCTAGCCGCCCGAAGGGACTGATAGATGCTGTGCTAGTTGCATTTCTTGTCAGTGAGAACAGGGCAAAGTGAAGTTACATAATAAGAAATGTAATGCTTCCTTTGCCAAGTGAAGACTTATAGGATATTTTGGCCAAGATAGTATCAGAAAAGGACTATTATTTGGGTCTTGCTGGCTGTGCCATGAAATCCTAGCCATTGGAACTTCAATGGGAAATTTTGTGAAATCACGAATTTTTTTCAGATAGTTTTTTCCCCCACGATATAACCCTGCCGGTAGCTGACTTCCCCAAGAGCATATAGTCCAGGAGACCAAGGAAGAACTGAAAGGCCTTTGTGATCTATCTTTGGAGGTCATATACTGTCACTTCTTCAATAAATCTGCTCCTCGTTCATTGTGAGAAGGAACTACACAAGGGAATGAAGACCAGGAGGCAGGGATCACTGGCACCAACCTGGAGGCTGCCACAAGTCACCAATATGTGGGTGCTATTTAAAACCATGGGATTGGCTGGGTGCGGTGGCTCACACCTGTAATCCCAGCACTTTGGGAGGCCGAGGCGGGCAGATCATGAGGTCAAGAGATGGAGACCATCCTGGCCAACATGGCAAAACCCTGTCTCTACCAAAATTACAAAAATTAGCTGGGCGTGGTGGTGTATGCCTATAGCCCCAGCTACTCAGGAGGCTGAGGCAGAAGAATCGCTTGAACCTGGGAGGTGGAGGTTGCAGTGAGCCAAGATTACACCATTGTACTCCAGCCTGGGCAACAGAGCGAGACTCCCTCTCAAACAAACAAACAAAACCCATGGGATAAGATCAGGGAGGAGAGGCTGGGGAGGGATCAGATGAGGTTACCTGGGGAGGGAGTATAGAGAAAAGACAAGAGGATTGAGCCAACATTCAGTCACAGAAGTCTGAGAAAAAGCTGCCTACAGAGTGATGGCTCTGGGAGCTTTGTGGTAAAAAATTTCCAAGAGAAGGGAATGCTGAGAAACTATGGTACTAGCTAATAAATGACCCTTGCATTTATACTTGTGCAAAATCCTTTCCCCTTTGAGTCTCACACCATTCTTATGTAGTTGTAAGGAAAACAGATGTTATTTAAAGCAGTAACTATTTGCAGACACTTTTGAGCACCAGGGAAGTAGAATCCTTTATTTATTACTTGGGGGCTGTGGACCTTGTTCAGAGGCCTTGATAAAATCCTTTTGAGTCTGAAAGGTAAAGGTTACCCTAGGATGTGTGCTGGAAGGTGAAGGCTAGACAAAGAGAGCTGAGCGTATAATAAAGTGAGATGAGTGGAGGATCTGAAACCATTAAAAATATTTTTTTCTTTTCTTTTTTTTGAGACAGGGTCTTACTCTGTTGCCCAGGCTGGAGTGCAGTGGCACGATAACAGCTCACTGCATTCTTGACCTTCCCAGGCTCAGGTAATCCTTCCACCTCAGCCTCCCAAGTAGCTGGGACTACAGGTGTGCACCCCCACACCCGACTAATTTTTTTTTATTTTTTAAATTTTTTTTGTAGAGACAGAGTTTTACCATGTTGTCCAGGCTGGTCTTGAATTCCTGGGCCCAAGCAATCTGCCCATATTGGCCTCCCAAAGTGCTGGGATTACAGACGTGAGCCACTGCATCTGGCCATATAAATGATATTAAAAGGAAAAGCTGCATACTGAAGCAAATCAGCTTAAGTTGGCTGACTAGCCATTGGCCTTTGGACTCAGCTCTGGAATTCCTCTTGTCTAACACAACTCCTCCCTCTCCCTTCTGCTTCTTTGACACTCCTTATTCACCATGTCTCCTTGTTTCTTCATCCCACTTTGGTTTCATACAGTAAATAATAATAAGACACAAATATTGAGTACTTTCTAGGTGCCAATAGTTTCCAGGTTCCTAGTGCTTTAGGTACACGACCTCATTTCATCTTCACAAAACCCGTGCCATGAAGCAGGTGCAGTCATTGCTATCATTTCCACTTTAAGAAACTGAGGAACACAGAGGTTAAATTACTTGTTATTAAGTAGCAGAGCCGGAAATTGAACCCAGTGTGATGTTAGAGGCCAGGCTCTTAATCATTGAATTTTGCCCATTTTCCTTTTAGGGTTTTGAATTTGGCAACCCATGTTGAACCACCATCTACTCAGGCTGAGACTTTGGCTGCCTTTTTCCCTAATGCAGAACATGATTTTTGTTACTGACTTGTGGGTCTGACCTGCCCCAGTGGGGACCCCACCCTGGGCCTCACTGCTGCCAGCTAGGAGAAAGGAGAGCAGAACCATGTTTGTTCACACCCTCTGTCTTTTCACATGTATTTGCCCTGTTGCCTTTCTCCCTCGTCTACCTGGATGATTTCTTTATGTAGCATTTCATTGCCCCTCCTGGAAAATTGTTCACTTCTTCCATGTGTCCTTCGAAGTTCTGTTTGTTTTCTTTTTTTTGCTTTTTTTTTTTTTGAGACAGAGTCTCACTCTATTGCCATGCTGGAGTGCAGTGGTGCAATCTTGGCTCACTGCAACCTTCGCCTCCCGGGTTCAAGTGATTCGCCTGCCTCAGCCTCCTGAGTAGCTGGGATTACAGCCACCTGCAACTGCACCCGGCTAATTTTTGTATTTTTAGTTAAGATGGGGTTTCACCATGTTGGCCAGGATGGTCTTGATCTCTTGAGCTCATGATCTGCCCGCCTCAGCCTCCCAAAGTGCTGGGATTACGGGCGTGAGCCATGGTGCCCAGCCCTTTGAACTTCTATTCAACAGATCTCACTGTATCAACATTCTTGGTAGGTGTTTATCTCTGCCCTCAACCATGAGCTCCTCAAGGCAAGGACCATATCATATTCATCACTGAGCCTCCAACCTGGCACACTGTAGGGGCTCAGCGTTTCTTGACTGCATGAATGATGGTGCTAGAAAATGAACAGGACAACTCTCAACTGCTGTAGTAGACAATATAATTTTGCTACAACCTTGATGAGCTTACATAAAAAGGCCAGAACTTCTAAAAGAATCTTCTTTTAGCTTAATCCTCAAACCCTGACATCTTCATCCCAGTTTTATCTACATTATCATTATTATCATTATTAATGTTGTGTAGAGATGGGGGTCTCTCTATGTTGTCCAGGCTGGTCTTGAACTCCGGGCCTCAAGCAATCATCTTGCCTCTCAGCCTCCCAAAGTGCTGGGATTATAGGTGTGAGTCATTACTCCCAGCCTCTATTTTATTAGTAGTATTTCAAAAACTTCTCTCTATGCTCTTGACATTCTTGTTGGAATCAAGGCATACATTTCACATTATTACCATTCATCTTTTATTACAATTAACTCTATTAAAACAATACTACTTGATTAAAGCTCTATGATTAAAAAATATTCCGGGTTACCAGAAGAAAGTTCGTTAAAAGACTACTCCAGGTCCAGAAGGATATAAGGTAATTTTGATTTGTTACAAAGACCAACATGACCAAAATGACTTGTGACTGAATATTGTTTCAGAAGGGCAAAAAGGATTCAATGTGAATAGGGAATCCAAAGAAAATGGAACAGACAAAAATAGGGATTGAAGTAATACAGCATGTTACTCTGAAAGGAATAATTTCTACTTGTAAATTTCTTGTTCCTAAGGAACCAATCATGGGGCAGATCTTGTGAAATTTTACATTAGTTCTTCAATTTCCTGAACTTGAGATGAGACCACCTCACCATTCACCATCTCCTGCACAACTGTCTTGATTTTTCGGGTTTTGGTTGGGTCTAAAGATAAAAATGGAATAAGGGGGCAAGAGTTAGTGTTTCAAATATTAATCCAACACTGGTTGTTTAATGTAGGCTTCTAAATTAAGCATTGGTTGATACAATCCATCTAATTAAACTTTCAAAAGTAAATTTTACTTCTCAAAAATGTGTTTTAGCCAATGACAATGAAATGTATTCAGTGTTGCCTTGTACATATATGAAAACTTTTTTTAAGAAAACATTTCAAAGGTGGTTATGGTGATCATAATACCTTGCAGCAGAGTAGGTTTTTTCCCTTCTGCTTTGCCATTTTTTTTATTTTTTAATTTTAATTTTAATTTTCTTAAAGACAGGGTCTGGCTCTGTTGCCCAGGTAGGAATGCAGTGGCATGATCATAGCTCACTATAACCTCTAACTCCCGGGCTCAAGCGGTCCTCCTGCCTCAGCCTCCAGAGTAGCCGAGATCACAGGTATACACCACCACACCCAGCTATTTTTTTTCTTAAGTTTTTTGTAGAGATGGGGTCTCGCTATTTGCCCAGGTGGGTCACGAACTCCTGGCCTCAAGCGATCCTCCCACCTCAGGTTCCCGAAGCTATGAGGTTACAGGCATGAGCCACCATGCCCAGGCCCCCAAAAGTTTTAATATGGTATAGACTACTCATTTTGTGCAGGAATGCATAAATGTTTTTCCTTGGCTCAGAATATAAATATGCTTTAAATTAAAATTAATAATAATGCAGTAGTCAATGAGGTCTTACAGGTTTTGCATTAATAAATGTGATTCCGACTTATTCTAAGTGATTCTAGGGTTTCTGCATACCTTTAGAGGAATCAGTTGACTGTGCTTGTGATTTGGAGTCTGTCACAAATAAACTTTCCTCCAAACCATCACTGTAAGAAAACAAAGGAGATGACCTCAAAAAGTGAAACAACCTGGCTTTTAATGGAAGATCTGGTCTGAGAAATTAGATTTCCCAATTTGTAGGCCTGAGTTCTTCCAACTAGTGCAGACTCTGATCACTTTTGGAAAGCTTGTTAGAGTAGGTGGTTCAGGTGGCTACTATGTGTCCTTCTTATCATCAGGTCTTTGATATCAGAAATTGAGTAAGTGACTTTTATAGTACAGGGAGTACTCATTTACAAACTGTTTCTGACCGTGGTGCCTTTGTTCTTTGCAGCATTTTATGAATTATCAAGTAAGATAATGGGTGAAAACACTTTGCAAAGTGTAGAGCATTTAGTAAATCCCAGGCATATCTTTACTAGACTTGTGTTTGTTTGTTTGCTTTTCTGTCAACTAAAACCCCATTCCTTCTATTTCTGCTGCCCACTCTTGGTCAGCCCCTGAAGGTGTTTACAGCCTCCGTTGTCTGCTCACCCTTGGGCCTCCCCGTCCAGCAGGCGGCGGTAGGTCTCAATCTCCAGCTCCAGGCGGGCCTTGACATTCAGCAGCCGCTGGTGGTCCACGTTCTGGCGCTCTGCGTCCGCGCGCACCTGGAGCAGCTGTGCCTCCAGGTTGCTGATGAGCTGCTGCACCTGGGACAGCTGCGCGCAGTAATCGCCCTCGGCTTCGGCCAAGGAGTCCTCCAGGGATTTCTTCTGCACGTGGGAGGGAAATGGCATAGAAATAACGATGGAGGGGACCGAAAAGAGGAGGGTAGCCAACGGCTAATGTAATTTGGATGCAGCATTTTCTTTGGAAGTCCAAAGGATGCTACGTCTGTTTGCGCACGAGCCTACCATGGCGAGCTGGGACTGTAGCTCGATCTCCAGGTTCTGAAAGGCGCGACGCAGGTCGGTGACCTCGCTCTTGCTGGACTGAAGCTGCTCGGTGTTGGTGCTAATCTCCTTACGGAGCTCCCCGCTCTGCAACAGCAAAGACAGCCAGGGGGCTCGAGCGCTGAGCTCGTTCGCAGGCCTTTCTGTGAATGTATCAAAGCCTTTGTTGTTTGTGTTACCTTTTCAATGAACCAGGCTTCAGCGTCCTTCCGATTCTGCTCAGCGATGGTTTCATACTGCGCCCGCATATCATTGAGGAGCCTGGTGAGGTCCACTCCGGGGGCAGCGTCCATTTCTACGCTGACCTCGCCTGGGCCGCCCACCCGGAAGCTTTGGAGCTCCTGGGGACAGCATGTGAGAGAGAGGGGCACAGGGGTCCATTGTGACTTTCGTGGGCCCTGGATACTTTTGTCCTCTTGGGCCCCTTCCTACACACACACACACACACACACACACACACACACACACTTAAAAATTCTATCTTATGACTGTTGGTATAAAGACAAATATATTAATGTAATACATTAAAACTTTTTTAACCTCAAAATTCATATTTTTCTTCTGATATTACAAGAACTTAAGACATATTCATGGGTCCCTGAAATTACCACAGACCCTGGGAGCAGTGCCTGCTGTGCCTAATGGGTAAGTTGGCTCTGCTTCTTGAGGGACCACGACCTTCACGTGAAAGGAGGCCTGGCGTACACTCACTGGGGTTTTCACCTACAGCTGCCAAACCGAGGGCTGCAGACAGTACCTGGGCTTGCACGCTGTTTGTGCCACAATCATCGAAAATCTAGTAGAAACTTCCTATTGCCAGCATCCCTTCCCTACCTAGCCTCCAATATGCACCATGGCACCTCAGAGTTTTCTGGTGTGCATTATGCTAAGTATAACCAGTTTCTCTGACATATAAAACATTATATATTATTGGTAGACTTTTGTTTTAACTTTTAAAATACTCAGTCTTTTTAAAATCACTGAATTAGGACTGTTAGCATTCCTATTGTCATTGCCTTATAATGAAAATGACAAAATCAGAAAGTGCCTCAAATTTGTTGAGCCTTAGCAGGAACCACCATCACTACTACCAACACACACACATCACACACACACATACCACACACATCACACAGAAATCTAAAACAAATGGCCATTTTAACAGGGAGACAATGTATTCTCCATACTTGTCCTGACTCCAGATTTCTAAATTTGAAATTGTAATTTTTGGGTCTGGGAGAAAAAAAAAAGTAGCTGAGTGAGGCTGCCCTGTCTGACTCACATCCTCGTGGTTCTTCTTCATGTAGGCCAGCTCCTCGTTCAGGCTCTCGATCTGCATCTCCAGGTCGGTCCTGGTCAGGGTCAGCTCGTCCAGCACCCGGCGCAGGCCATTGATGTCGGCCTCTACGCCCTGGCGCAGGGCCAGTTCATTCTCATACCTGAAAACCAAGTGCAAAGCAGTTGAGGGAATCAACACAACCATTTGAACAAGGCCACTGATCTTCAGGGCTATTTCTTGCTTAAATCTGTGCACCTACTTAATAATGGCAGCATTGTAGTGTATGATGCAGTTTTTGCTGTTGTGTTTTTCCTTTCCTTTTTTCCCACCATTGTTTACTGTTCAGTTGGGGAGGAGAAGAAAAGTGAATAAATTATAAGGCAATACTTTCCTACCAGCGATGAATCCCAATACCACAGCATCCCAGGGAATAATTTTCCCTTTGGCTGGCTGCCGTGGCTGTAAATAGCAGCAGCCCCTCTCTAAGTGGAATTTCTAAAAGCCGTTGAAAATAAGTTACTCTTTTTGCTTAACGTTCTTCATGATTTAACTTAAAACACTGATACTTCTTTAGTGGCTTTGACTAAGATTTTACAGGTTCAGAACCATGGCCATTGCAACTTCCTGTGTAGAAATTTTGTGAAGCAAAAAGGAAATTAGTATTTCTTACCTATATCTGGGAGAGTTGAGCATGGAAAAGGAGGAAGGAATATAAAAATTAGTACATGGTTAATCTTTCCATTGTATGTGTCATCAGGAAAACAATGGTTGATACATTGAAAATTGAGGTTTAGAGGCGGGTGGATCATGAGGTCAGGAGTTTGAGACCAGCCTGGCCAAGATAGTGAAACCCCGTCTCTACTAAAAATACAATAATTAGCTGGGCACGGTGGCAGCCGCCTGTAATCCCAGCTACTCGGGAGGCTGAGGCAGGAGAATCACTTGAACCTGGGAGGCAGGGGTTGCAGTGAGCCGAGATCGCGTCACTGCACTCCAGCCTGGGTGACAGAGCGAGACTCCATCTCAAAAACAAAAAACAAAAAACAAAAAAAGAAAATTGAGGTTTAGGACACTGGTAGGATTATGGTGTCAGTCACATCATGAGTTGAGTCAATAGCACACTACAAATATCGTGATCCATAGCCCTGGGTTTAAGTAACTTATAATTTAAGGACATTTAATCTGAATTGCATTAGATTCTAATTACTTTCTAGAACACCCTATGTGAATTTACCAAAACAGTAAATATATGGAGTATGTGAACTTCAGAAGATTTTATATCAATGAAGGCAGGACAGTAGGACAGAAGACATGGTGGGACACGCCCATGATCTTCAGTTTATTCGACTCACTTCATCCTGAAGTCCTCAGCAGCTAGTCTCGCATTGTCAATCTGCAAGAGGAGCTGGGCATTTCCAATGCTGGCTGAAATGATCTGGCAAAAGAGAGGGACACACACAAGATTGAAGCCCTAAAAGACTAGTATTATACAAATATATTTTTGACACAAAGGTGAAAATGGTGATATTAAATGCTGTTTTATTTAGAGTTTAAGACAGTTTCATTTTTCTAAGACAATATCTGTATAAAATAATATTGAGAAGTAAAGAAATGCAGATTTCCTACAGAAAGATAATGGAAATACAATCATTTCTTAGTAAATGATAAAGTGGAGTGAAACAACCTGGGATGAGAAAATTGCTGCAAGTACAGCTAAATTGGAAAATATCAAAGTTGTAGGTGATTATCACTGTAAAACATTGTAATGGTAAAAAGGAAAAAAAAAATTCCCAAAGCGCCTCCAAAAGAGATCTTACCTTATTCCTGAGGTCTTCAATCAGTGGATAATATTTGCTGTAATCGCTCTGTGAAGCATCTGCAGTCCCAGTTCCTCGTGTTTCATACCATTCTCGAATTTTATTTTCTAGCTCAGTATTAGCCTCTTCTAGAGCTCGCACCTTATCCAGGTAGGAAGCTAATCTATCATTAAGATTTTGCATAGTTTCTTTTTCTGATCCAGAAAGAAGGCCTCCATCATTGCCCGAGAGAATACCTAGAGAGCCACCTCCTGGGCTGCCCCCAAATCCCATCCCCAGCCCTCCAAAGCTACCTCCACCCAGGGCTCTCCCATAACCAGCACCCAGTCCTCCTGCCATGGAACTTCCGGAGCCACCCCCAAAGCCGGAACTAGAACCAAACATGGAAGCAGCAGAAAAGCCTCCCCCACAGCTGGCTCCAAAGCCAAAGGCACTTCCCCCATAACCACTTCCAACACTGGAAGCAGACATGCCCCTGGGTCTGCCTATCACACTCTGCGAGGAGAGCCGCCGGGACAGTCCGGGGGTGCGCACTGAGAGTGACATGGTGTTGTTGGAGAGATCCATGGCCTGGGGAAGGTGGCCACAACTGGAGAGGAAGTTGTGCCAGCAAGCCAGAAAGCTAAACTTATATAGGCTGCAAGATGGGTGTCGCAGTTGAAAAGTTCACTTTCTCCACTCAAAATTGGATCCTCCCCCCAGGTTTTTGGCCAGCTCAACAAGTGAATGATTTATGTATAATGAAAATTCATTGATACAGAAATAATCGAATAATCATTTCCATTAAATATTTGTTATATGAAAAAGAAAGCTGGGTGGAGTAGAGTCTGCTTGTCATAAGGAATTTTTCTTCTCCAAATTAGTCTGTTGCCTGTATTCCCAGCACTGCCTAGCGTCTTGTTCACAGTAGGAAGATAATGAGCGATTGCTGAATGGATACGTTAAATACTTCTTCCTAAACCTTATGCTTTTTTAAGTTCTTCCCTGATCTTTTCTGTTTGTTTCCTTTGGAAAATCCAGTGTAAACCATTTGTTTCCTTTGGAAAAACCAATCCAATGTAAAATCCAGTCATGATCAAGTATACCTTTTAGTGGAATACAGCTTCAGAAGCAGCTGTGAAATGCACTGGTGAAAGGTGGAGAATAAATATATTTTCCAGATGGATACTAGAATTTGCATTTTCAAGGATTTTAAAACCTTGGCTTTAGGATGTTGCATGTTTCTTTTCCCTCTTATTCTTCAACTTGGAAAAGTACTATTTTTGAGTACAGTTGTTTATAGTAGAGTTTATTATAGTTGTTTTAGCAGTTTTACCTTGTCTGATTGCTCACTGCTCTACACTCAGCATTTACTATGTTTATTCCTTCAACAGATATTGCCTGTAATGGTTGCTCAATAAATGTGTTGACTAGTTGAATGGATTGTGTAAACACTTCAGATTTTGTTGCCATTATCAATAAGGAGAAAGTGGAAACACAGTTCAAATTAAGAAATGATTAAAACCCCAAGTTTAAGAGGCTAGTGAACCATTTCAGTTGACTGCTATGATGAAAAAGGATAAATTTTACAATATAGAATAAATTAAATGTTATATTTTAAACTTTGTTGTGAAAACTTTGCAAAGCGTGCTTCAAGGAATTATATCCAGTATCTTTAATTTTTAAGACATAAAGTTCTTATACTTTCTTGTTTGGTATATTATTTATCTTTGAAATTGATATGGCTTATATATTGAACATGAGAACTAACGTTCTTACAGGAAATGCATTAACTTGAAAGAAGCCTGCTTTCAGAGAGAGTTGTAGATACCTGGAAACCGAGTAGTACAATTCCAGGGTGGTGGAATTCCCTTAGGAATTTAAATTGTGAGCATTTTGATTGGATAAGAAGGAATAAGGATTTTTCTTTTACATGTTTTCTTTGAGATGATGGCCCAATTCTCTACATGTCTCATTGCAAAATAGTTCTATAGTTTTTTTTTAAATATAGCTCTCTATGTATTTATAGTAGGAAATTTAGAAGATGCAGAAAACATAAAGAAGATGTATGTATATATGAGTATTTTATATACATTTTTGAACATAATTGATTCAATATAAGATTTTATAATCTGCTTTTCTCTTAAGATTATATACTTATCTATCACTTGAACTTTAATAATTGGGTACAGAACATGGATTGTGGATTCTTCGAAATCCTTTGTTGGATTCAGATTTCTAAATTCAGTTTGCTCTGTATTTGATGATAGGAAATAAAATTTCTGGGTGTAAATAACAGTTTTTTTGCAAAGATGTTTATACTGAATTTTATTAATAAGGTATACACTGACTGTGTGTGCTATAGACATATATGTATTTTGACTAGAATGGATTTATTGAAATAAAATACATTAAAATCATTGTAATGATACATTTCCTACCTCGTGGGAAACAGGGCCTTCATTTCTCCATCAGGGACCTCTGTTTGCTTATAGATGGCCACTAAAACTCCTTTTCAATTTGGTATATTTGGATTCTGCGTTTTATTTTATTCTAAGGAAAAGTTTTAAAAATATCACAAGTATTCTAGATTTCTAAAATAAAATTGAATTCTTATTTGATTTAATAATACATACCTTTCATAAAAAGGAAGATTTTTATTTTTATTTATTTACCACTACTGGATTTTTTTTAAAAAATTTCAACTTTAATTTTAGATTCAGGAGGTACATGTGCAGGTTTGTTACGTGTGTATATTTCATGATGCTGAGGTTTGGGGTACGACTCATCTCATCACCCAGGTAGTAAGCATAGTACCCAATAGTTGTTTAACCTTTGCTCCCCACAGTAATTCCCAGTGTCTATTGTTGGCATTCTATATGTCCATGAGTGCCCAATGTTTAATTCCCAAAAAGGAGGCTTTCTATACATTTTAAAGTGGAGATTGAATCTATCTGGTAAAGATTAATTTCTCAGCAAAATTATTGGATACCTGTGAGATCATTGAGATGTTACTTACTTAATACAAACAATCAACCATAAAAATTAGCAAATATGTGGCTATTGTTTAAGGTTTTTCCATAAGCATATGCAATACTTTTTGTTTCTCTTACTAAAACAATAACCTGATTTTTTTGGACACTTCAATAGCAGAGATAATATGTGAAGTAAGCCTGTAACTGTTACACAACTTGAATTATGTCAAAATGATGTGGTCTTTTTGAAAATTAAATCAAGAATTTCAACCAAGCCAACATGAAAGTATTCAAGTACTAGGTCTGCTGTTACCTCCATTCTTCAATGTCTAGTCCATTTGCCCAGTGTCTTGGACAAAGTCAGCATTCAATATATGCTTATTGATTTCTCTCTTGATAAATCAAGCTGCTGGGCCATTAATGTGTGTTATGTATGAGGAAATTTTTCCAAAATCAAAAAAGAGTGTATCAATATAAAGGCAAGCTACAAAGTATAATAATTTAAGTATTCGTGGATTCACAATGTAGACACATTCAGATGTTACTCTCATTCTAATGTACACATGCATGCACACACACACACCCAGAAACATGCACTCAGATGTCTTTGCTTGGTGCCAGTGTGCAGGTGCTCCCTGCAGAGGGATCTTCTGCAGCCCCTGCTGCTCCACCTTCCCTGGGAGCCCTTTCTCCTGAGAATGCTTCTTTCGCTGGCCTTTATCTCATTGGAGTTAGTCTCAATGGTTAGCACTTGTTTTGCCTTGTAGAGTACAGACTGACTCCTGAGGAATTCCAGACCTGTAGCCTAGATTCCCCGTAGTTTACTGCTGCCTCCTGTCCACCTGCATATCCAGATATTATCTCCCTGATTACAGCCTCCCCGAAGCTGAGGTTCTTCCATTGTGAAGAGTCCTGAGCCAGAACTAGCAGTGCCCACTGGGGATTAGGGGACAGATGCCGAGGGGTCACACCTGAAGCCCATGGCAAACCTCCATAAGGAATACCTGGGATCAATTCTGGCAAATGGAAGGACTGTTTTGACTTTTTATTAAAAAAAAAAAAAAAAGCCACTTTCCCAGGGACACAAATGATGAACCCGTGGTGAAATCCAATTACAACTTCCTTTTATATTATTACATAAGGGACAAATGTGAAGGGACATATTTCTCCCCAACCTAAACTCGTCACAAAGAGCAAGCAAGTGGGATTTCTAAATAAAGGGGGTTTAAGCAAGAGATTTGCAGAAATCACACATTTGCTATAGATGTGGAAAGAATGTAGCAACCTAAGGCAGTCTCAGCTTGAGAGAAGCCATGATCCATTTGTTTAATTTCTTGAGAGAATGAAAATCTGGTCAGTGGAAATGCCAGTGATTTTAGCCCCATATGGAGGTTTTTACCAAGGATTCCTTAAATCTATATTATAAGCATTTTGACTGAGCTGGTCTTGTTTGAATTATCAGTTATTATGTACTTACTACTTTTTGGACACTGGGCCAGCTGAATTACAGACATTATTTTTTAACCTTCACGGCAAGCTCTTAAAGTGGTACTGGTTTTATTTGTTTGTTTGTTTGAAACAAGGTCTTGCTTGGTTGCCCTCACTCCGGCTGGAGTGCAGTGGTGTGATCATAGCTCTCTGAAACCTTGAACTCCTGAGCTTAAGCAATCCTCCTGCCTCAGCCTCCCAAGTAGCTAGGACTACAGGTGGGCACCACAACACTGGCTATTTTTTTTTTTTTAATTTTTTTGTAGAGATGGAGTCTTGTTATATCGCGTAAGCTGGTCTTGAACTTTAGGCCTCAAGTGATCCTTCTGCCTTGGCCTCCCAAAGCACTGGGATTACGGGCATGAGCCACCTCAAGGCGCCCAGCTTCAGGTGGTACTTTTATCCTATTTTACAGATGAGCAATCTGAGAGTCCAGATGTTAAGTGATTTATTTACGCCCATGCAGCTGGGAGGAGGCAGAGATAGGATTCGGGCCTGCAGTGCCTTCTATAGATACCACAACCTTGCTGCTGGCGGTGACAATAAAAAGGGCAGAGGATACTCTGACATCCCCTAGCTATGACACCTGACACTAGGCTTCTGCCCTGCACATCTAACAGGAGGTGCTCTTTTTTTTTTCTTTTCTTTTAAGCTTTCTCCTTGAATTTCTCAGTGTATGGGCTGAGACCTAGAGAATGACTTTTCATGGCTTATAAGCAACAACATGACACATGAAATTCTGTAAACACACAGGCAAATGCGGTTTTCATTTTAGCTTTGACCTGTAACTACATCTCCAGAGATCTTATAAAGCACAAGTTAAACTTGCACTCCCCACACAAGAACTTGATGTTATGGTTGTTAACTATTATTCACTCCCAAGTGTCCCCCAAGACAGAGAGATTCCATTTTACTGCCATAGAAATGAAAACAGAAGCAAATAAAATGTCAAAAGAAATGTGCCAAGTTCAAAATTGTACCTCAGTGATTTGATCACATAATACGGGAATATGATTAAGTTGAATTTTTGAACTTGGAATTGATTTTGTGCTGAAAGGTACACTTTCCAACTCTAATGCCTATGGTAAAATTTAAATAATATTGCTCAATCTCTAAAAATTATGTTTATATATTATTTGTTTATGTTTCTATACATATAACATATTATCCTAGACTAAGCTTGTTAGGTAGGTACTACATCTAATTTATTTTTTATCCTGAGTCCTAGCCTAGTGTTTCGCTGAACTTTATCACTGCACTCCTTGAATGATTTCATTTGAAAGAAGTTAAGTCTTAATGTGTTTGAATGTGTCATTTGAAATTCATTTCATTTGAAAATGACTGTGCCCTAATTTACTGGTATGCTTTGACCAATATTTATTCTGAATTCAGTTATGAATGGGGAGCAACTTCAGAAGTTGAAAAGGGAAATATTTCTTCTTCAGTGGCTTTTTTTTTTTTAAGTGGGAGGCTAAGTTAAATAATCAAGACTCTGCTTTAGAGGTTTTAGAAGTGAAAATAATTTTCTTTGACAGCCACATTAATGTATAAGGCAGTGGTGATGTAAAAAACAATAAACAATCTTGGGCTTGTTGGCAGAGTGATTGCATAAGTTGAGGCAGAGAGGAAAATGATTATAGCCAGGGCAAACTGTTCAAAAGAATTATATCTTCCATTTTTGTAGAGTTTAGGAAATGTTCAAAATAGAGAAAATTAGTTATGTGGTTTTTACAAGTCTTTAGATTTTTATTGAGTAAATCATACCCTCATCTTTTCATGTCAGGTTGGTTTCTGTCCTGGTCTTTGCAGGGTTTTCTACCTGAGTTTTTTCCCGTAAGACAGACCTGTCATTTTCTGCAACTCGCTGATCCCTTGATCTGTAACATCTTTCACTTTGGATAACATTATAAAATCCTGTGAGTGACTGAGAGAATTTTGGGTTGCCTACATTTTATGTATTGTGCTTTTGAGATGAGGGTTAAACAAGGACCCTAAGGGGTATGAGTGAGATTGACTTCTGGGCTCCAGAGATCAATGGTTCTTGAAAGCAGGGGAGAATTTTGAAAGTGGTAGGAGACAGGAAGATGATAAAATAATACCCTGATGAGAGGAATCTTGGAAATGAGCCTAGGGGAGAGAAAACAGAGATGTTTGAAAGAGAATTCAAAAATAAAAATCACTACTAATGCTTTAAGTTGGAATTGTTACTTGGGGGTCTAATCAGGTACCTGAGGCTGATCCTGATGCATGTGGATGAGAACAGAGTGTCTGAGGAGGTCACTGGCCATGTTTTGATTTTGTATCACTCCATGTCATTCTCCTTTTTAGATGATTCAGAACTCTGGGTAGAAATAATCTCCAGAGCTCAGAAAAAATAGTTATTTCCATCCTAACCTCACCTCTAGGGGCTCTCTCTGAGTTTGATAGCTTCACTTCTGCACTGACAATTTCATATAAAATGAAAAAATACATTGATGATAATTCTAATGTGTGATAAAGACTTCTCTCTGGATCTGTTTACCTGTCAGAAATAGGATTATGTCATTCTAGTTCTTAGCTCATATCAGAAATATAGATAGATACAAAGATTAATGCTTCACTTTCACACAGTAACTGCTGGCAGAACTGGAGGTAGAACTCCACCATCTGGTCCACATGTATGTAGCTCTCACTCACTTCTTTGAAAGATTGCTTGGAAGAAACTAGAGACAGACCAAAGAAGCAAGAGGAAGAAAAAATCTTCATTTTTCTGATCTAAAAATAACAATTCTACTTCTTTTAACAGGTAGTTAAAAGAGGACCATCCTAAATTAAGAATAACAATCCTACCTCTTTTAACACAGTGTCATCATTGCCATATAACAGTGGTCAGGCCTAATCAGTTACAAACCCATCTGCATAGGTTTCTTATTAATCAGATTCACAGTCTGGTATTTGCATGTCAAAGTTTCAGACTATTCTGGAATGTGTCTCAGTAGGTGAAAAAGAATTCACTTTTAAATATTCTTAACATCTTTAAATGCAACTTACTAGCTAGCGTGACTTGGAAGAAAATTAAGAAAAAAATGAGTGAAATCTTTTCACTTTGGAAAAGAAGGCAATGAGAATAGGTGAGAATACCTTTTCTGACAAAAGTTGTACTGAATCAAGTCATGTGTGATGTTAGCCAGCAAAGCTGGACATTTGCCACAATTGGCTGTTGTGTCTGGCTGATGAAAATGACAATTAGAAAACAACAAAATAACTGCGGATAGGCAAGTGCCTATTTCAACTGTGAATCATGTATTGCTTTGTTATGTAATTAGTTGCTTATGAGGGTGTCCTGGTTTTAGAGAAACAGCGCTGAGGTTCAGTCTCGCTCTACTACTTGGTAACTGCTTGACTTTGGGAAAGTCTTTATCTCATGTCTTCATATGAGTCCTCATTTATCCTCATATGTAAAGTGGGGGTAACATAATAAGGTTGAACCTTATTATATATGCTATATAATAGCATATAAAATTGCTATTTCTGAAAGTCAGAAATTATCATATATTGGAAAGCTTTAAAAAAATCTTTATTCTTTCAATTTAAAATAATGAATCAAGTGCCTGCTATGTGTTAGATATTATATTACATCTTAGGAATTCAAAGTGGTACCATTCACATCCTCAAAAATTCCCAACTCTTAGAAATTATCATATATTGGCAAGTTCATATGATTCAACCTAATAGCTTCTACCTCACAGGATTATTGTGAGAATTAAATGAGAAATGCATGAAATGTTTGGCACACAGGCTCATAGTAAGTGCTCAATAAATGGTGGATATTATTATTCTTAAATGAATCATGTAATTATTTTCTATATAATAATCAAACTCAATCCCACTTATTTGCAACTTCTGTATCAAGTTTTAAGTCCAATCTATTTACTGGAATACAATGATTTAGCACACATTGATTTTTCCCATAAACATTCATATGCAATGATTGCTCACTAAAATGCAAAAAGGGTGAGGATACAATATGTGTTTTTATTGTTTTTGGATTTGGCTTCTTTCACTTAGCATGTTTTCGAAGTTCATCTCTGTTATAGCATGTATCAGTACTTCATTCCTTTTTATTGACGAATAAGATTCTATTGTGTGGATATATTACATTTTGTTTATCCATTCATCGGTTGATGGACACTTGAGGTGTTTCGCTTTGGGGCTTTTATGAGTAATGCTGCTATGAACATTTGTGTATAAAAGGACACATCGTATTAACCTATTTATATGAAATGTCCAGAGTAGGCAAATCCGTAGAGACAGGAAGTAGATTAGTGGTTGTTAGGGGCTGGGAGGAAGGGAAAAGGCGGTGACTACTAATAGGTACAAGATTTCCTTTTGGGGTGATGAAGTGTTCTAAAACTAGATAGTGGTGATGGTTGCAAAACATTGTAAGCATACTGAAGACCACTGAATTGTACGTTTTGTAAGGGTGAATTTCATGGTGTGTGAATTATATCTCAATAAATCTGTTATTAAAAAAATGAGAGACATTTCATTAAAAATATATGTTCACCATATAAAGAAAGAGAGGACCTGATAGTATATGCAGCTTATTATCAAAAGGAGACACATTTTGCCTTGAGAAGGGTTTCAGTAATGTTGTTTTTAATCTATTTCCATTTTAAGTATAGTGTACTTCACTCTTATTCTGCTCAGCATTTGTGATTGAATTTGACTCTCAAATTATTCAAAAAGCTGTGTTGAGTTTTAAAAGGCAGTGGAAGCAATGGGAAAAAGCAGATATAGCTCAAAGGTTGTAGAGTTGTACTGATGCTGAAAAATCAATAAGATTAACCCAGAAATTGGCTCAATAAGAAACCAGGGACTCCCAAAGGGGGTTTTACAATTCAGAAACAGGAAAAAATTAGAAAGTGGTTTATTTGCAATTTACATGGATTCCTCTACTTTGTGAGGTTTAGTATAATTGAAATGTATTGCAATTTTCAGGAACATTACCTACAAATTGATATTAGGTGGTCTACAGCTTGTAATTGATGTGCTTCATGATAAAGATGGCAGTAATGATGTTTTAAATATTCTAGTGCTCACTGGATTTCATTTTTGCAGGCAATTTGCAGCTCCTCTGAGTAAAACATTTATATTCAATTACAGAGTCTGATAAATAGGATTCCCGCCACCCCACCCCTTCTAATCACTGCAGAGTATTAATAGTGCTTTCTTATGGCTGATTTCTTGCAGGGAGCAAAGATAAGATTATAGCCAAATTTCTTTCAAAACCTCAGCAGCATCTCCTTCTGGTAGCTATTTAGATATTTTCTTCCACCTCTTTGACTTCAGATGACACGACCTTGCCATCCACTACTTCTTGCACGACTGTCTTAATCTTCCTGGTTTTCTTTATATCTGAATTCATATTAAACATTAAATGTTAATTCAGGCACATGACTCTGCTGATTTATAATATTCAACTTTAAATTATTATTCTTTTTACTTATTTCCTTCTTTTAGAAAAATATGTTAAACCCATCCTCTTTCTCAAAAAATCTTAAGTCCATTTTATAAATAGATGCAGAAAATGTGCTTCTCCCCAAATTTACAAATGTCCTACTCTTAAAAATTCAAGAAATAAATTATCTTGAATTTAAGTGGAATTCAAATTTTGTCTTGTTTTTCCTTTTCAGGATGTCAGGATGTTTCAAGATAGCAATAGCACAGGCCAAGAAAATCACCCCATTCTGAGGAGTGTGCCCAAGTTCCCATGTGGAGGGTTTCTTTATGCCATGTACAAGATTTTTAGAATCCCTGGTGTCATATCTGCTCCCTTGAGAATTGGCCTTTGCTATGGTTTGAATGTGTTCCCTGGAGTTCATGTGTGGAAAACTTAATCCCCAATGTAACAGTGTTGGGAGGTGCGGCCTAGTAAAAGGTGATTAGATGATGAGGGCTCTTCTCTCATGGATGGATTAATGTGGTTACCATGATAATGGGTTAGTTATTGTGAGAGTGGGCTAGTTCTAAAAGAAAGATTAGCCTCCTCTTGCTCTCTGGTTCTCATGGACACTCTTTTGCACTTCTACTTTCTGCCATGGGATGACACAGCAAGAAGGCCCTTACAAGATGCCGGCACCTTGATATTGGACTTTCTGGCCTCCAGAACTGTGAGCCAAGTAAACGTCTATTGTTTGTAAATTATCCAGTCTCAGGTATTCTGTCACAGCAGCAGAAAACAGACTAAAACAGCCTCACTTTACTTTTTATCAGTGGCATGTAGTTAATAGAAAGCAGCTGAATGTCATAGAAAATGTGCAAAAATTTAGAACTTACCTCTCTCTTCCAGGGTGCTTAACTGATATTCTGTAGTTCTGTTTTTTTTTTTAATGAAAAGAAGAAAAAAGAAACAGAAAAAAGCATTATTGCTGTTTTGAAAATGGAATGCACTCCTGTCTTTTATATTTCAAAGTCCAAGTGAATGTGTTATTGCTTTCATATATCTTTCCCTTTTACATTGCTTTTATTGCAAACTTGAGCATTTTACTTTTTAACTTGAAAAATACATAGATTTAAAACTGACCAGTTTAATATATGCTAAGAAGTTCCTCTAATTAAAATAACAAAATTACAATGGAAGTTTAAATCTTGTGTTCTCTTGTTGATATTCTTAGGTATGGTATCTGAAGACAGTTGCTGCTGCCACACTTATGATTCTCAGACTGGCTCCCGTGGACCTCAGCAGCTTATTGTCTAATTCATGAGCTCTCAATTAGAATTTCCAAAAGGTTATTATGCCTTCAATTATATATTAATGATGAAAATTAATATCAGCATAATCTATATCATTTGGAGAATTATCTCCAAATGATCATGTGGTAGAACTCAGTCCTACCACATGATCTCAAGGCTGTACTTGATATTTTGGGCGTGTGTGTATTTTTTGGTATATTTTCGTTTTGTTGTTCGTGGTGAGGCATGTGTGAGTATAATTGCTTCTGTCCTAGGGATTGCATTGGTGCTGGGTAATGAGTGACAGGGACATTAAAATAGAAGTGCATACAGATATTGACACCTATTCCTTGATTCTAAGAGCCTTACTTTACGTCTTCTCCTTCCAGAAGGCGGCGGTAAGTAGCAATTTCCTGTTCAAGTCGAGTCTTTATGTCAAGAAGGATATGGTATTCGTTGTTCTGGCGTTCCATGTTACTCCGAATCTGCATCAGTTGGGCCTCCAGAGAGCTCAACAGCGACTGGAGGTTGGCTAACTGGCTGCTGTAACGGGCCTTGGTCTCCTCTAGAGTGTGCTCCAAAGACTCTTTCTATGAGCACAAGAAAAATAGGGCACTTCTTATGTGAGGACTTGATTCAAGAGATGGGTTAATTTTAATTTCCTTTGAGAAGGGTCTCTGCAGTTCATCACTGTGGGCATGGTGTATATTTCTAGCTCCATCTCCCACTCTTCCCAACTAGGCAACCTCAGCCAGCCAGCTAGGATCATTAGCTCTTGGGGTTTTTCTTTGCTTGTAGCTTTGCACCTACTGTTCTTTCAGTGCGGCGCATTGTAGCATTGTTCTCAGTACTTGCTTCCCCACTGTGTGAAGATGTTATACCTCTCACTCCTTCATCAGACCTGGCCATGTGATCTGTGGCATTTCTCAATTGCAGGATTAGATTCCTTTAATCCATTGACACCTGGCTGGGTCATGTGACTCTCTTTGGTTAATAAAATGCAGGTCAAACTGACAAATGCCTTTTCTTTTTCTTTTTTTTTTTGGGACGGAGTCTTGCTCTGTCGCCCAGGCTGGAGTGCAGTAATGTGATCGCAGCTCACTGCAACCTCTGCCTCCTGGGTTCAAGCGATTCTCCTGCCTCAACCTCCCAAGTAGCTGGGATTACAGGCACACACCACCATGCCCAGCTTATTTTTGTATCTTTAGTAGAGATGGGGTTTCACCATATTGGCCAGCTGGTCTCAACCTCCTGACCTCAAATGATCCTCCTGCCTTGGCCTCCCAAAGGACAAATGCCTTTTCTAAGGAGAAGCTTTAAGAGCTATCAAGTGGACCAACCATTGCTCTTTTCTTTCTGCCAGGACACTGGCATGTCCTAGGTAGGGCCTACCCCTTTAGCCTTGCCCTTGGAAAGGAAATGTCACGGTGGATGTAGTATCATGGCTGCAGGCCACTGTGGTTTGAGGGATTCTGCTTACCACAACATAATTTGTCATGGGCTTGCTGATTTGCTTGGCCTGGAATGTCTCTAGTCCATTCTCCATCTTAAAATTTTATCTTAGATTTTGAGATCTGGTATAATGGACACATACAGGGGAATAGCAGACATGGGGGCCTAACAGAGGGTGGAGGGTAGGAGGAGGGAGAGGATCAGGAAAAATAACCAATGGGTATTAGGTTTAATACCTGAGTGATGAAATAACCTGTACAACAAATCCCCATGACACAAGTTTAACTACATCATAAATCTGCACATGTACTCCTGAACTTAAAAGTTACAAGAAGATCTGGTTTAAATGCCACTTTCCCTGTGAAATCTTCCAGATTTACTCTTTCCTCTGCATTCATGCAGTACATTGCCCTTTCCTCGATTTCTCTCTGTCCTTTAATTATAATCAGTTGTTCGGCCTGTTTCCCTGCCAGTTCTGCAAGGGGAAGGGTTATTTCTTGTAGGTCTTTGCATTTCTATAGTTCCTAACAGAGGACCTTGGTAAACACATACTAGATTGAGAAAGAGAAGTTAGATATGCTTTACCATGCTGAGATGGGACTGGAGTTCTATCTCAAGGCTCTGGGAGGTGCGTCTCAGCTCCGTTAGTTGAACCTCAGTTCCTTTTAATTCTTCAGTATTCACTGTGACCTGTTGCTGCAGAACTGCAGTCTACAGTGCCAAGAGTGAAAAAAAAATAGTTGAGGGGTGGAAATAAGAAAGAAAAGACAGAAAGAGAAAGGAAGAATGAACAAATGAAAAAGAAAATGAGTTATCTGTTTCTGGAGGAAAGCATCTACACGTTTGCTCACCCTTTAGAATTGTGTGGTTACCTGTCTCTCAAACTGTTCTTTGGCCTCTTGAAGGTTCTTCTGGGCCATGACTTCATACTTCTGCCTCATTTCATTCATGATGACGCCAAGGTTCAGGCCTGGAGCAGCATCAACCTCCACATTGACAGTGTTGCCCAGATGCTTGTGTAGGCCATCGACTTCCTATGAAAGTGAAATTTCTGATTGATTTTAGTCTGAAGCACATTCTCAGATAAGGCTGGGCAGAAAAGACATAAGGAGTCTCATGACCTCTTTCATTGGGAATAAGTAAAAAAGATATAAAATAATAACTTGTGTTGGGCTTATTGTGGTCCAGGTGCTGCTCTAAGTCATTTAACTTACAACAACATTATGAAAAGAAGGTAGGGCTTGTATCATTATTGTCATCGTCATCATCTCTGTCACTATCACCACCAACTCTTCCCCCTTCTCCTGTTTCTCCCGCTCCTCCTATTATTAGTATTATATAGAACCATTCCATTGTTTCCAATACCACTTCTGAATATTTTCTCACCTCCTGATGCTCCTTTTTGAGGAGAGCTAGGTCTTTATTCAGTTCTTCAATTTGAATCTCCAAATCTGTTTTATGTAGGGTTAGGTCATCAAAGACCTTATTCAGGCCTTGGAGATCAGCTTCCACTGTTAGACGTATTCCTCTCTCAGTCTCATACCTGTGAATTAATTAGTGTACAGAGATAACTGGTCCTTCTGAAGCCATTATAAGGAGAGAATCTAATATAATGGGATAGGTTTTTAAATGTGGCTTATGAGGAGATCAATTTCAATACTTTATAATGTCTGCCTTTACACAATCATGAAATTTACATAAGAACCTAGGAGTCAGAAAATGTGCTCAATAATATAATCTCTATAATTTGGGGTGACTGGTAAAAAGGCAATCTGAAATAATTTTGAACACTTCTAAATTCTAGAATTTATCTTATAAGAAATTAAATTGTGTTAATTATTGTGTTGGCAAAGGGTTCTTATTATTGATATTAAATAATGGTTAGTTTTACTTAATGAATGTACATGATCGATTTATTTTTATTACTTTGTGAACAGAGACATCCAAAGTGAATTATCTCAAACAGCTCTACATCCTCCTCTACAATCTTACATACACACTGTGTGTGTGTGTGTGTGTGTGTGTGTGTGTGTGTATTTGAGACAGGGTCCCACTCTGTCACTCAGGCTGGAGTACAATGGTGTGATCATGGCTCACTGCAGCCTCAACCTTTGGGGCTCAAGCAATCCTCTCACCTCAGCCTCCCAAGTAGCTGGGACAGCAGATGTATGCCACCATGCCCAGCTAATTTTTTTTGTATTTTTGTATAGAGATGTGGTTTTGCCACGTTGCCCAAGCTGTTCTCAAACTCCAGGACTCAAGTGAGCCTCCTGCCTCAGCCTCTCAAAGTGCTGGGATTACAGGCGTTAGCCATCATGCATGCCCTGCCCAGTTTCCTAAAATATCCAACTTTAAAAAATGACACTGCAATGTGACACTCAGTGCTAGGTAAAATTGGAAGTAATGCACCTTTACTGCTTTCATCTTTGGATTTGATTTCCTATTTCCTTCTTGTTAATCCCTTGGAGCATTAAAAGGCTACCCTTCTAACCACAAAGGGCTTTTTGGTGTTAATGCATTGTACAAATTCAGGATGAAGAGGCCTTAGTGTGGAAGCTGTTTGCAAGGAACAGGTCTGGTCACATGTGGTGTGATGACTACAAAGAAAGTGAACACAATTTTTACTTTCTTTTTCTTTTCTTTCTTTCTTCCTTTTTTTTTTTGAGACAAGGTCTCAGTCTGTTGCCCAGGTTGCAGTGCAATGGCACGATCTCAGCTCACTGAAACCTCCGCCTCCCAGGTTCAAGCGATTCTCCTGCCTCAGCCTCCGGAGTAGCTGGGATTACAGACATACGGCATCACGCCCAGCTAATTATTATAGATTGGTCCTGGTTCTTTGGTTGGCCAGACCATCCTGTAAAACACTGGCAAGCCAGAAATCATCAAGAGTCACCCCTGGAACTTGGGTCATACACTTGCAGGCACTTGAATGAACGTGGAGAATTACTTGGAGAATCACCAAGGGTAGACACAAGACTCTCTTTAGATAACAGAAAGGCACTTAGGGAGAAGGAGAATTGTAAATTACTTTGTTATTACTCCAAAGGGCAGAATTAGGTTTAGATACCAGGTTACTAAAAAAAAATTTAGCAACCAGTAATAACCAAGGAGAATAGTAGTTACTGGAGGTGTTTAGTTACATGCCGGGGGATCAAGAAAGAGAAGGCCATCCCTGAGTGCTGGGTTAGCTTCATACATGTAGCTTCTAACCTCCTTTAGGCTTCAGGATTCTGGACATTGAACCGTGCTTCCTTTATCAACAATGATATGGAAAGCTGAGTATCTGGAAGGACTACTAAAGGAATTCTTTTTCAGAAACTTTTGCCACGTATTAGGGAACCTACTTCAGTCTGAAGTCCTCAGCAGCCAGTTTAGCATTATCAATTTGCAGGACACACCGAGCATTTTGCAGTTGAGCATCCTTAATCTGGAAAATACATGAGAAAGAATGACATTTTCTTTTTTATTTATTTATTTATTTATTTATTTATTTATTTATTGAGACAGAATCTTGCTCTGTTGCCCAGACTGGAGTGCAATGGTACGATCTCGGCTCACTGTAACCTCTGCCTCCCAGGTTCAAGCAATTATCCTGCCTCAGCCTCCCGAGTAGCTGGGGTTACAGGCATCCGCCACCATGCCCGGCTAATTTTTGCATTTTTAGTAGAGACAGCATTTTGCCATGTTGGCCAGGCTGGTCTTGAAGTTCTGACCTCAGGTGATCTGCCTGCCTCGGCCTCCCAAAGTGCTGGGATTACAGGCGTGAGCCACCGTGCCCGGCCAAGAATGACATTTTCAACTGGATAGGAGTTTACAAGGATTTAGTTTATCCCCAGCTACAGTGACTATTATGTCAAAAATGATGTTCATTTCAAGTATTTCTACATGAAAATATATAGAAAAAATAATGACATAGTTATTTAACATAACAGAGTCATAAAATGCAACTCTAGATGCCCCAGGGTTTGGTCTACTTTCTTGTGATTTTACAGAAGGATAATTTAACTCAACTTGAGTCATCACACCTTATTGAGTGCCTTGCCTTTGATGTTTCTACTTAGGACATTTCTTTTAGCCCCTGTGGTCTGGTGAACTCCCATTCCTCCCTCATGTCTCAGGTTCGACAACATTGCTTCATAGGAGCCTTCACAGATGCTCTCAAAACTGAACTGGATGATCTGCCTGTGCTCTCATTATCCCTCTGTGTGCTGGTCCCTCTGTCCATCCCTGTATCCTCATAAATCATATTGTGTCCACCATAATATTCCTCAGTCCCCAGCATGGTGCCCAGCACCTAGTTAGTGTTCATTCAGTATTGGCTGAATGAAAGAACATGATGCATGAAAGAACGAAATGCATGATGGAGGCATATAGATGAAAAATCTACTTGCAGAAGATGTTACAATGACATTTCTCTTTCAATGGACCCAGTTTTGGAGAGGGCTGCTTCCTATGGTTGGGACTGTCCAGCTCAATGGGACGGATGGCCTGTGCCTGTGTATTTCAGATGAACCAAACTAGAGTCAGAAACACGAGACAGGTGTGGTTCGAACATTTTTAGTGAGAGCTTGCGAAGGATGAACTTTATTCCGGAAGGGCTATTTAAATGCCATTGCTTCACATGCCCATAGTTTCTAAAATTCCAAAGTAACTTCCCATGGAGTCCGAATCAAATTGCCCTGATGTTTAGTACAACTCAAGAAAAACAGACTTGCTGGTAAGTAAATGCGCTTTGCTCTAAAGGAGTATGAATCTTAACACAAATTACAGTGAACACTTTTCTTAATTAGATAAGAACTTTAATTTGAAGCAAGTGCTCTGTGTCATATCTGAAATTTTCAATTAGGAGCAAAGTCTTCTGCTTTTATTCCATGAAACTGATAAAATACAGAGCTCCACCCTTTTTTTGATGACATAGGAGGAGGTTGTGATATGATTGTAATAAACATGAATTGGGGGCAATAGAACATTTTATTACTGTAGAAGTAGTTTCTGAACTGCTTGATGCTGATGGTCATGTTATTAAACAGGGCACTTAAAAATCCAGGCATCATTAAGACCCATATTCCTGCCACACTGTTTCCACCCAGAATCACTTTGCTATTTAAATCTGCAGTACAGTATTCTAATAGTCATATTATAACATTTACTTAAATAAAAGGAGAAAAGTCTTTGAATTTACTGGGGTTTCAAAACTTGATAAGGACTAGGTGAAAAACTAAGAGAGATTTATCACGTAATTAATTTTTAGCTCTTTTCAGAAAGATTGTTCACTATACATTTAGCCCTGATGTGATAAGCTGTGACAAAGATTCATTTTATTCCGGAGGATAAAATGTTCATATTTTGTATGTAATTGTGTTAAACATTAAAAATAGCATGATTTAAGGTCATCCTGTTGTACAGTCAGGTACTCCAGCACTAAAGGTAGATGAAAGAATTTTTATAGATGTAACATTTTAGCCTAATTTGCTTTACAAAGTCCATTTGGACCTACCTAACATAGATAACCTCTTGATTTATCTTGAAGCTAAACACAGAGTAGGAAACACAAGCATCATCTCTCACCTGACTTCGCAGCTCTTCAATTTGTCTGTAATATGCACTGTAGTCGCGACCAGCCCTCGGGGCGTTGGTTTCGTACCACTGCTTGATTTGCACTTCAAGTTTGGAGTTGGACTGCTCCAGGGTCCGCACCTTTTCTAGGTAGCTCGCTAGACGGTCATTTAGGTTCTGCATGGCCATTTTCTCATTGCCAACAAACAGGTCCCCGCCGCCTGTGAGATCGCTCCCATAGTTCACCGTGTGTCTGGAGTTGGAGATGCGGATGCCCCGGCCTCCAGCACCCCCATAAACGCTGGGTGTCGTCCCGAGGCGCTGCATGCCCACTGTACTGACTACAGGGGCCTGCAAGGAGGAGCTCAGGCTTCTGTGGAAGCTTCTGCGACTGAAATCCATTGGAGATTCCAGGAGGGAGCACCTGTAGCTTCAGGATGGTTGGGGCAGAGTGTGTCTCATGGAGGGTGTTGAGCTAGCCTTTTATGAAGTCCACAGGCAAGAAACTCCTCCTCTGCTGACATGTCACTAGGATTGGCACCACAGTCCACCTTGCCTTACTTCCACGCCCCCCGCTTTGTATAGCAATATGTTAATATGCTTAATTCAATTCCAGAAAATACCACTAGAGGCATTTCTTGGAGGCTTTTATCAGGGGCAACTTTTTTTTTTTTTTAATTAAACAGGTAATAAAAGGAAACAGGAAAGTGTATTCTTTTAGCCCATGCGCCTGCCTTGGCAGGTTTTTTTCATCCTAACATACACACAAAGAATATTTACAATCCTCATGTATAATTTAGGTATCTAAAAAGGCAGATGTGCCTACATAACTGAAAGTCACAATGGAGATAAAGGACAATGTTTGATTTGTATTGAGGAGTTGCTCTTCAGAACCTCTGTTTCATGCTTTGCTTGTGTTTGGCTTTTAAGTTTATTGTGTTTTGGACATCTTATTTTATAAGACTATTAAAATATTTTGTACAAACACAAAACCTCGAATCCCTAAACCAGGAATGAAACCATTGTACATTTGGAGATGTAGTTTGGGGATGTGAATTAAATGAATTTAGCTGAGTGATGGATTAGATGATTTGGGAGGTTATTTTCTTTCTATTTCTAATGTTCTATGACTAAATATTGCATTTTAGGTTTCCAGTCACCACCTGGCTTCAAGTCCTGTTACCAAGACACTTAGAATAAATCACACAGTGCTTTGTACCTGGCATGGTATCAGGATGGGTCTCCTCTTTTGTATGAGGCCAGCTTAACACCCACCATGAGACAGACTCTGCCCCATCCATCCTGAAGCTACTTACAGGTGCTCCTTCTAAAGTCCCCAGTGGATTTCAGTTGCAGAAGCTTCCATGGAAGCCTGATCTTCCTTGTATGCCCCCATAATCACAGCGAGAGTGGCTGTTTATATAGGAAGGGGTGCAGGCGGGGACTTGGGACTACACTCAGCTTCCAGGGTTGGGCTGGAGGCAGCTGCTTGTGTGTGGACCTCTAGACACATGGGCATGATCTCATCGGTGGGAATCTGATTGTAAGCAACCAATAAATGCCTGAGTCACTTGCTTCCCTTCATTCAAACCCCCTGGCTGAGAATTCACACTTCCCATGAAGCATGTAAATCACTTCCTTAGTTAATTAGATAATCACTAATTAATATAATTAGATAATCAGTTAATCACTTCCAAGTTAATTAGAAGGGATTGGAAAAGTCACTAAAAACATCTAATTAATTGTCATCCTGATACTTTAATGGAATTGAGATTTGTATATAATTAAGCAAGCAAGTAAATGCAAAAAAAATTGGAATTTAATTGTCTTATTTTAGTGGCTTATTTGTTGTTGCTGTTGTTCTGAAAGCCAGTCACTTAAAAAAAATTTTTTTTGAGTTTTTAGAAACCAGTGGCTTTTTTACTTTTGAGTTTAAATTTCTTTTACACACAACTTTCTTCTAAAATAAGGTCAGATCATATTATTTCTCTCTTATAAACAGTATACTTTAAAATAATACATTGTGTTTGATTTTATCTTAGTTATATCACAGAAATAAAAATTGAGATAAAATGGAATCTATTTTATGCATTTTATGGTATATGTGTGGGCAGCTCTTATATTTTTATCCATTCATGTATTCATCAGCCAATACTGAGTACTCACCACCAATGACTGGACTGGTAGCAAGAAGACCTTGCTAACTTATTAGAGTTATAAATTACTTTGTTAATAGATGTCACAGCTAAACTCTGTAGCAGAGAAGAACTTTTTATAAACACATGAACTATGTTCTTTATACATGTATTCAAAGATGAATTGTTTTTGGTGTTGATTAATGGGGTAGGAGGTTGTTAGATTAAAGTCATTGGAAAATTATACTATTTAAATTACACAAGTTTTATAGTAAGTTGGTCTCAGCTAAGAGTTTCATATGCTAACACATGATCAAGGTGTGTAGAAGCATTATAAAATCAATAGTTAGCTTTATAATTAGAAAAGAACATGAATGCAGTTGTTAAACATGATGATTTTTGTTCTCTTTTGTAGCACAATTCTTCCTTATGGCTGGACCTATTTATATCAAAGAGTTGAAAATCCCATTTTTAGTTATTTTCCATTTTATTTTTATTTTGAGACAGGGTCTCACTGTGTGACCCAGGCTGGAGTGCAGTGACACAATCACAGCTCACTGCAGCCTTGACCTCCCAGGCTCAAGTGATCCTCCTGCTTCAGCCTCTCAAGTAGCTGGGACTACAGGCACACACGCCATGCTTACATAATTTTTATTTATTTATTTTTGGTAGAAACAGGGTCCCACTATGTTGCCCAGGCTGGACTCAAACTCCTGAGCTCAAGTGATCCTCCCACCCCACCCTCCCAAAATGATGGGATTACAGGTGTGAGCCCCTGTGTCCAGCCGTTTTTTTTTTTTTTTTTTTTTTTTTTGAGACGGAGTCTTGCTCTGTCACCAGGCTGGAGTGCAGTGGCATGATCTCAGCTCACTGCAACCTCCCCCTCCCCGGTTCACACAATTCTCCTGCCTCAGCCTCCCTAGTAGCTGGGATTACAGGTGGGCACCACCACGCCGAGCTGATTTTTGTATTTTTAGTAGAGATGGGGTTTCACCACGTTGGCCAGCCTGATCTTGATCCCTTGACCTTGTGATCTGCCTGCCTCAGCCTCCCAAAGTGCTGGCATTACAGGCGTGAGCCACTGCACCCGGCCCAGCCAATTTTTTTCTTTTTTTTGAGAAATAACTTTGTCTATATCTTATTCCAGAAATCTTTGGCTAGTTTTGGTAAGTTTTTGAGGTTTTAAATTTAAACTAAAATATGATACAATAGTGTCATCATTATGAGGTATAGTCATTCAATCTACCAATTTGTTGGAGTAGAAAAAATTCTACTGGAAAGCCTCCCACCTGTTTATATAAGGGCAGGAGAATTTGCTGGCTTCTCTATATCACTGAGTTTTGTACTTTTGTAGATTATTCGATCTTATAATGTGACCACAGGAAATCAAGTGAGTTTTTCACAGCAATTCATTTTTCTGAGTTATATCTCGAGGACTGAGTAAAGATCCTATTGACCCTTGTTCATACACAAAGTCATGAATTTAGAGACCCTGGTATTTCAGGCTGTTGGGTGACTGCAGCTGTAAATAAATACTTATTAGATCCCAACTTCCTTGTAGCTAGTAGGAGATACATTTTGACTTCTGAGACACTCTACTGAGAGTGTTAATGATTAATATTAAGTATGGCCAGTAGTTGGGAAGGCTATTATAAGCACTACAGTTTTCAGAGGGCTTTCAACTTTTTTCTTTTTTTTTGTATTCTACCATGACCAAGCTATTGCAATCACATATGATAGACATAGAACCTGCAGTCTCTGGAGTGGCATCTTGTTCAGACAGGGAGAAGGAGGGTGGAAGTATGGATGAAGGAAGTTTTGCCCTGAGTTATTTGTTGAAGCGAGGAGATGGGTACAAGGAGGTTGATGTATAGTAAACTTACATCATTGTATTCTGCACAGTTAATCAGTCATATTTAGGTTTTTGTTTGTACTTATTTGGTAATTCTCAGCTGTGTTTTGATGAGTTGGATGGATTTATTTATTGTCTCATAGTGGCTATAGAATGATTGGATGAAGAATATAAATATAAATTGTTTTAGAAAATAAAACAAACTTAAAATTGGAGCAAGTACCAAGCAGATCTGAAATACAAACCAGAGGAAATAAATAATGCCGTTAAAATTACAAGTTCAGTGGATGGATCCAGGAACAGATTAAGCCAGGATTATTGAACAAAATGTAGCTCTGAGGAAAATTTCCAGAATGCAGCTAAGTGACGAAGGAGGAAGTCAAGAAGGCATGAAGGCTATAATTAGAAGGTCTAAATATGTCTAATCAGAGTTCCAGAAGAAGACACAAGAGAATAAGAAAACATTCAACAAAATAAAAAGTGAGAATTTTATAGAATTCTTTAAAAAAAACCCAAGTTCTCAGATTAAGGAGACCTAATGAATTCCAGGCAAAAGGAATAAAAATAAATCACTACACACATTGAGGCAGAAAACCAGATAATTACAAGCAGATAGAGAATAAATCACCAACAAAGGAATGGTGGTTAGACTGATGACTGACTCCTCAAAAGCAACAATGGACACTGGAAATGGAATAGAATCTTCAATGTGCTGGGAGGAAATAACTGCCATTCCGGAATTTTCTGACTCGGTAACATTATATTTGAAGAAGGGTAAAATAAAGCCATTTTCAACATTTAAAAAACTGAATTTGCCATCAACTTCTAAGTTTTCACTAAGAGCAATCTGAAAGAATGTGTTTTAAGCAGAAGGAAGATGATTCCAGATGAAAGTTCTGAGATGCATAAAAGAATTAAAATAATGAACAAATAGAGTGCTAAGCATGCGACCAAATGTAAATGTAAAGACAAGTATTGGCTATAAAATAATATATCTATTGAGAAGAAAAAACAATATGGAATTAAAGTAGATGAGGGCTGGAAGGGGATGAATGGAGTTAAATTGTTCTAAATTGCGGGACTGTTTAGGAAAACAGCAAACATACAGATTAACTTTAGATATTGACAGGTTAAGAATGCATATTATATTTTCCACACAGGGACACATGGCGGAGAACAACACACACTGGCACCTGTGGTTGGGGGGAAAGCATCAGGAAGAATAGCTAATGGACGCTAGGCTTAATACCTGGGTGTTGGGATGATCTGTGCAGTAAACCACCGTGGCACATGTTTACCTATGTAACAAAACTGCACATCCTGCACATTTACCCCTGAACTTAAAATAAAAGTTGAAGAAAAAAAAGAATGCATATTATGTTTTCTAATTTTATGGTTTTGCCTTTCACATGATGGCTCTTACAATGATCTGGAAATAAGCCAGTGAATTAGCACAAAGAGCTCAGAAACAGATCTGTTGCCTATAGAAACTAATTTTGTACGGCTTGGGCATTTCAAATCAATGAGGAAAGAAATGGAGTATCCCATATTTAACAAATGGCAGTTGTATTTCTGTCTAAGGCAAAATTTACCTAAAATATAAGAAAATGAATTCCAGATTCATTAAAGATAAAAATGTGAAAAGTTAAAAACTATACAACATTTAGAAGAAAACACAGAATAATATCTCTAGGAATTAGAGTAAAGGAGTATTTTTAAACAAGACACAAAAAGTGAAAACTGTGAAGTACAAAATTGATACTGATTTAGCAATTTTTATTCATTAAAATATACCATAATTATAATGAAAAAAGCCTCAAACAGGGAGCAGATATTTAGAAGTCATGTAACTGACAAGCAATTAGTTTCCAGAATATGGAAAATTCCTACAAATCAATAAGAAAAAGAAAAGCATCCCAGTGAGAAAGTGGGCAAAATATGAATAGATTTGCAGAGAAGAGGAAAGCTGAATGGCCCATTCCACATCTGCCAATCGGAAAAATTTAAAAAGTTGGACGATAGCAAGGTGGCCGAGGGGAATTCCAGTCCATTCATGTTAGCTGTATAAGTAGGTACAATCACTTTGTAAAATAGTTTGAGATTATCTTAGAAGGCTGAACATTCATATAGCCATCACTCAGCAAACAATTCCTAGGTGTACACTTCAGAGAAACTCTTGTAAATATTGAACGATAGACATGTACAAGAATATTCACAGAAGCATTGTTCATATTAACAACACACACACGTACTAACATACACACACACAACAGAAAACTGGAAACAACTCAAATGTTAAGAGTAGAATGAATAAATGCGTTGATACATGTTCGTACAGTGGGATGCTATGCAACAGCTAAAAATGGATAAATTAGCTGGGCGCTGTGGCTCATGCCTGTAATCCCAGCACTTTGGGAGCCTGAGTTGGGTAGATCACTTGAGGCGAGGAGTTCGAGACCAGCCTGGCCAATATGGTGAAACCCCGTCTCTACTAAAAATACAAAAATTAGCTGGGTATAGTGGTGGGCGCCTGTGATCCCAGCTATTCGGGAAGCTGAGGCAGGAGAATCGCTTGAACCCAGGAGGTGGAGGTTGCAGTGAGCCGAGATCATGCTACTGCACTCCAGCCTGGGCAAAAGAGCCAGGCTCTGCCTAAAAAAAAAAATAAAAAAAAATAAAAAATAAAAATAAAAAAAAGATAAATTACATTATTGACATGGATAAATATTAAAAAACATAATGCTGAAAAAAGACAACAGAATCCATCCAGATTTTATTGATATATAGTATAAAAACAGGCAAAACGAAATAATGTATGCTTAAGAGATATACATATAGATAATGTAGATTGCAAATGATGGTCACAGATTCCTCCTGTCTCTGATGCACACTCCTTTGCAAGTCCTTTCAGAGTCTGAGGGGCATCTAGACCATTTCCAATTTTTGAAGCTCCTGGTATATTAAACAATTGAAAAAAATTTAAAGTGTTTATATTTCCTTTACATTACCATTTGCAACACAAAATCTCATAATACAATAAACCTGTACCAATCACAAGATTTATTTAAAAAATACTAACTTATTTTAGTGTACTATAGGCTACGTGGTCCAGTGTGGGGGCATAGTTTCAACGGATGAGATGGATATCTTAATCGTGATCCTCCTGCGTCGGCTTCCCAAAATGTTGTGAGTACAAGTGTGAGCCACTGTGCCTAGCCAAGATGGATATAATCTTTTCATCCCAGAGGTGACGTTTGAAACCAGATAGGGCTGCATTTGGATTTAACATCCTAAATCTCTGACTGGGAAGCCACAGGCTCAACGGTCCTCTTCACCCCTGCAATTGGCTCCGTATCCGTGTTATTTTGCCCATGTCCAGTGTTATGCCAAGGACAAGTGAGTACTTATTTTACACAAGCTTGACTAAGAGAGAGCCCAACTGAATTCCTCCCAAAACAGAAGAATAATTTGTCACCAAGACTAATTCTAGTTCCTACCTCTAGAATCATAGTAAAGAAGTTACTGACAATTTAAAAATAATATTAGCACCTGTTTCTAGCCATCATTAGTTCATGAACGTTGAGGTCCAGTCTCAAACACCTACCTAAAAATGCAAATCTGATTATTTCACTTCTGTAAAAAACTGACAACAGTATGTAGTCAAGTCCAATATACAGCTCTCAAAGATCTAGCTCCTGCCTACCTTTTTAGACCCCCTGGTCACCCCTCCATGCCTCAGATGGCACACTCCAGTAACACACACCACTGATTCCTCCATTCCATGCTTCTGTATACTCCATCCCCTTCTCTTCTTCTGCATGTCATCTCTTCCAGGAAGCCATCCCTGTGCTCTCAAATTCCTTCCCTCCAGGATGACCAACTGTCCTGGTTTGCCCAGGACACAGAGCTTTCTGCAATGTGAGACTTTCAGAGTTAAAACTGGGACAGTCAGTCCCAGGACAGTTGGTCACCCCGTTCATCTCTCCTGTGCATGTCTCTCTTTCTTGGGTATAGTGTGTGCATGGGCTTTGGCCCTGATTCCTTTGTGGAATGAGTGGGTGTGGGACATGGGGAATAGGATGAGATGAGAATGACTGGGTGGTGATAGTGGTACCCCATGGCAAGGGGGACACTGGGACAGGACTGGGAGATGGTTTGGGAGATGGTTTACTTAACATAATGACCTCCAGTTCCATCCATGTTGTTGCAAATGACAGAATCTCATTGCAAAGGGAAACATGGTGTGTTTGTGGAAATGCCAAGTTTGTAGCACTTGTGTCAGATTTAGGTGGAGGAGACCTGGATGAAGAGGAAGACTGTTGAGTATTCTGATTTGGAGACCAGGCTGGGAGTGCATAATAAGGTACTGATAAGGTACGTAGGAAAGGTTTTCTCCAGTATTATTGATTTTTTTTTTTTTGAGACAGAATCTTGCGCTGTTGCCCAGGCCAGAGTGCAATGGCATGATCTTGGCCCACTGCAACCTCCGCCTCCTGGATTCAAGCGATTCTTCTGCCTCAGCTTCCCAAGTAGCTGGGATTACAGGCACCTGCCACCATGCCCATCTAAGTTTTATATATATATATATTTTTTTTGAGATGGAGTTTTGCTCTTGTTGCCCAGGCTGGAGTGCAATGGTGCAATCTCGGCTCACTGCAACCTCTGCCTCCCAGGTTCAAGCGATTCTCCTACCTCAGCCTCCTGAGTAGCTGGGATTACAGGTATGTGCCACCATACCCGGCTAATTTTTTGTATATTTAGTAGAGACGGGGTTTCTCCATGGTGGTCAGGCTGGTCTCAAACTCCTGACCTCAGGTGATCTGCCCAGCTCCGCCTCCCAAAGTGCTGGGATTACAGGTGTGAGCCACCACGCCTGGCCTAATTTTTGTATTTTTTAGTAGAGATGGGGTTTCACCATGTTGGTCAGTCTCGAACTCCTGACCTCAGGTGATCCACCTACCTCGGCCTCCCAAAGTGCTGGTATTACAAGTGTGAGCCACCATGCCCGGTGCCAGTCTTGATGATTCTTATGTTTATCCCTCATATATAAATTACCACCATGATTCTAGTTCACTCAGTCTTCCAAAACTCCAGAGTCAAATCTGCACAGACAGACCACAGGAAACAGCATCTCCTGGGAGAGGCTGCCATCTTGCATAGCCCTTGCTGCTGCCTGGAGGCTTCTTCTCTCTAAACTGCTGCATTATCACATCATTGAGCGTTTCATTCATTGTGATAACTGAAGACTGTAGAATTTATGGTGCTTGTGAAAGCTCTAGAAAATATTGCCTAGCTATAGGCTATAATATTGTTAGCTAACTAAATGGTAATAACCAATTAGCATTGAACTTTTTTAGACTATGTTCTAAGGGAGAAATCATCAGTGATTTAATTTTCTGATATGCTTTTATGTTACTTGGACAACCCAAACTTACTATTTTTGAAAACAAGTAAGCAAGTGACAAATCACTCACCATGTGTTTTTATTTTTCATGAGGCTTGTTTCTAAATACAAAGAACCATATAGGCTATCATATCTGAAAGAGCCCTTGAAAGTCATGTAGGCCATCCTCATTTTACAAATGAAAAGCTGAGGCATATGCAGATTAATGACTTGCCTATAGCAACGGTACAAATATAGAAAGTTGAGATTAAGCTACATAATATTTGCTCTGCAAATTGATTTTTAGTGCTTTTGCATGACCCAGGAAAACTGTCTTGGCAACAACATCCTGATGTATAAACAAAACTCTCATCAACGAAATTACTGCTTAAAAGGTGAATATAAGGTCTATACTCAATACATTTTTGTTTCTACCTGGGGCTAGAGACCTCCTCTTTCAATATGGTCCTTCCCGTGCTACTAATCACACAAAATTGAAACAGGTGCTCTAAGATACGGCGGCGATCATTGGCTCCAGAATGCTCCTAGAGCAAGGCACGATGTATATGGATGCATCAGACTAGATGAAGAGATGTATTATTAATTCGTTTTTCAGAATGCAAACGGCAGATGTGTTCACATTTCTGCTCGGTGGGGTATTTCATTACTTTTTAATGTGCACACACTTAAGTAAAAAGGGAAAAACAAACCATACAAAGCATCCGACTGGTTAAAAGAGAAGCTTCATATTGAAAATTTGTTGCAGAGTACAGGATTGAGCTTGAAATGGAGGGATGGAAAGAGAGAGGGAAAGAACGCTTTTCCCAACACCTAATTTTGCAAGGAAGAGTTGTATTAATAAACAGGTTTTAGGAAAACTGCCTGTAAAGATTAACATCTTCTGGGCTGGGCGTGGTGGCTCACACCTGTAATCCCAGCACTTCGGGAGGCTGAGGTGAGCGGATTGCTTGAGCCCAGGAGTTCAAAACCAGCCTGGGCAACATGGTGAAACCCCATCTTTACAAAAAATACAGAATTTAGCCAGGCATGGTAGTGCGCGCCTGTGATCCCATTTACTCGCAAGGCTGAGGTGAGAGGATCCCTTGAGCCTGGCAAATTGAGGCTGCAGTGAGCGGTGATCACGTCACTGCACTCCAGCCTGAGCAACAGAGCAAGACACTGTCTCCAAACAAACAAACAGACACAAACAAACAAACAAACGAACATCAACGTCTTCTGAGTCAGGCAGTTGGCAAAAGATGAAATGAAGTTTTGACAACTGGTTTTTAAAAACAGAAACGTATCTGGGCAAATTAAACTATTTATGATTTGCTGAGTGCCTCCTGGGTGGTCAGACACTGCTCTGGAGGAGCTTGTGGTCTGGCAGAGGAAATGCTAACAAGGGCATGTATGAAAGGAGGAAGCAAAAGTCCTTAGAAAGTGCTGTGAAAAATCAGGAGGAGGTGAGGCTGAAAGCTGAAGAAGCCAGGAAGGCTTTCTAGAGGGGTGGCTTTCAGAGCAAGATGTGCAACCTCTCCCTAGGATCTGGAGTCCTAGAGCAGGTGGGGAAGAGCAGGGCACTTACTCACCCCCAGACCTTTCCTGGAGGTGTGATCTGGGCTTGGATGGGAAGCACCGGCATGTGAAAGGCCCTGAGGCAGGGAAATGAGCAGAGGTGGGCTGGAAAGGAACCACTGAGTAGAGAAGGGAGGAAAGGAGGCTATAAAGGTCACATTCATTCCATCTCTTCGTGTCTTAACTCTGAAAGAGTCAGAGAACTCCAAATAAAGACCGCTCACATTTTAACGTGGTTGGTAAGGAAGATGAGGGTCTGTGGGATGTGGGAGCAGAACAGTGAGAAAACATCTGAAAGCCACCCTGCTAGGAAGCCTTCCCCGGTTTCTTCGGCTTTCAGCCTCACTTCCTCCTGATTTTTCACAGCACTTCCCAGGGATTCTTGCTTGCTCCTTTCCTATGGGCCCTTGTTAGTACTTCTTCTGCCGGACCCCAGGGAACTCTGAAGATAAATAATTGCAGGCTGGGCGCAGTGGTTCACGCCTGTAAGCCGAGGTGGGAGGATTGCTTGAATCCAGTTCAAGACCAGCCCTGTAAACATAGTGAGACTCCTTCTCTACAAAACATTAAAAAAAAAAAAAAATAGCAGGGTGCGGTGGCACGCACTTGTAGTTCCAGCTACTTTGGAGGCTGAAGTGGGAGGATTGCTTGAGCCCAGAAGGTCGAGGCTGCAGTGAGTGGTGACTGTGTCACTGAACTCCAGTCTGGGGAACAGAGCAAGAATCTGTCTCTAAAAAATCAACAAAAATAATTGCATGAGTCAGGTCAATCTGCAGGCTTAGGGGGCCAGGTGATATGTTCATTGCGTAGTTGGAAAATAGCATGTGATAAGGTAATCAGTCCGGGGATAGTCCAGTTTGGGGTGTCAGAGGGTCAGGAGGAACAGCTCCACTGTGAGGAGCCCCATTTAACCTGATTTAGAAAAGGGAAGGCAGAGAAGCATCAGCGTTGAAACAGGGTTCCCTAGTGACCACAACCGTTGTAGACAGTACACCTTTTTGTGGTTTAGGGTTTTATTCCTGTAATATGTTTCGTAGCCTTATAAATCCGGGGCTTTACACCTTGCTGGGGACTTACTAGGTGTCAATGGAGATGTGGTTTATTAATTGTATTCTTTTTTAAGAATAAGTTGCTCCTATTTGGCTTTCACAATGCAGCTAATATTTTTGATGCCTCAGGTTCTATGAAGGCCTCATTGTTTGGCGTTTTCTACTTTTTTAAGCAATGAAAATGTGGAAAAGCCTGGAGCAATTTCTTATGCGTTTGACACATATGTTGAGGGATATTAAATAATTGCTGCCCAGAGTAAAATATAACAGGTTTTTATGGCCAACCCTTATGTTGACAGAGTGTACAGGCTGGTAGCTATGTATACTTTTTCAAAATAAATGCATCTCTGTGAAATGAGCTATCATCTGAAAGCATGGAGTAATTAAGGAGCAATATATTTGTTCCAAGGAACTGACATTAATGTTGACACACGATGTTTCTAGGCAATTTGATCTATACCAATAATTCACTTTCTTCCCTACAGCAGGACTCATTTTGTTCCTAAGTCATTGGAGGCTGTATTAGAGATTTATCTGGTGGCTTTTTAAAAGCACATTATTTACTACAGTGTGTGTTGAGCCACCATTTATGTTTATTGATCGTAATAAGTATGGCATTCAACCAGAATTTGGATTCAGGTTTTTAATATCTAATTTAGATTCTTTCCCTTGATTACACTGACATAGGGCCTTAGCATTGTTAAAACTGAAAAACTATACAGCAAATTTGACCCTAGATACAATGATCAATCAATCGAAGAGCAAAAATGGAAACCAGTTATTCTGGCTGGTCACAATCTCGTATTAAAATGACTGATCTGGGCCTGGCACAGTGGCTCATGCCTGTAATCCCAGCACTTTGGGAGGCTGAGGTGGGTGAATCACCTGAGGTCAGGAGTTCAAGACCAGCCTGGCCAACATGGCGAAACCCGGTCTCTACTAAAAATACAAAAATTATCTCGGTGTGATGGTGGGCATCTGTAACCCCAGCTACTCAGGAGGCTGAGGCAGGAGAATCGCTTGAACTTGGGAGGCAGAGGTTGCAGTGAGCCAAGATTGCGCCAGTGCACTCCAGCCTGGGCAAGAAGAGCGAAATTCTGTCTCAAAAAAAAAAGAAAAAAGACTGAGGTTTGTTATAATGATTATGATCATTTTGTCTTTGCCTTTTTATTTCTTAGTATCCCAGAAATTATCCAACCAACATTTTTGATGTGGAAATGTGAATGAAATCTCTTTTGGTAGAACTACAAGAAAGATTTTAAAGGTCGTATTTTTTCAGTTTTATCAACATGGACTTAGTAAGTAGCATAACGTCATCAGACTGATCTGGTTCAACTTTTATGTTACAGAGTTGTGAGTTGTTGTGAGTTGTTTTTCAGTTCCATGGACCCCCTGAGCATGCCCAGATGAACCAAGTGTGCAGGAACCTAAGTGCTTGGACTAAGGAGTGGGGACTGAATTAAGAAGCGGACACCCCATGGCAGGGTCCAGTCAGATCATGCCTCCCAGCATCACCTCATTGCAGGATCAGATCATCCTCATTACCCTATGGTTATGAAACCTGACCTAGCCTCAAGCTCAGGGAGACAGATTTGAGCATTTCCTTCAGTTTCCTTGTCAGTCTACTCACAATAAACCTTTCTCACTGCCAAAACCCAGTGCTTTGGTGCTTGACTTAACTTTGCCTGAGGGCAAACGGACCTGGTTTGGTTTGGTGACAGTAGTTTGTGTGTTATTTTAAAGCATTGGTGTTTTAAAATTGTACTGAGATATTAATATACAGAGGTAATAATCCCCAAAGTAAAACTATCATCATAAAACCTTTTTGGGATGGAATAGCTCTTTTTTTTTGAGACAGAATCTCGCTTTTGTTGCCCAGGCTGGAGTGCAGCGGTGTGATCTCGGCTCACTACAGCCTCCACCTCCCAAGTTCAAGTGATTCTTTTGCCTCAGCCTCCCGAGTAGCTGGAATCACAGGTGCGCACCACCATGCCCTGTTAAATTTTGTATTTTTAGTAGAGATGGGGTTTCACTATATTGGCCAGGCTGGTCTTGAACTAACCTCAAGTGATCCACCTGCCTTGGCCTCCCAAAGTGCTGAATTGCAGGTGTGAGCCACCGCACCCAGCCTGGAACAGCTCTTTTAATGAGAAAAGAATAAAGTCAATTTGAAAAAAAAAAAAAAAAAAGGCTTCAAACCCGAGCCTGATTCAAACATTTTAAATCTGTCTTTTAAAGACCATTCCAAAACTTATGCTTTTATCATAAAACAATTCATTGGTAATTTATTTTGGATTATTCTTCTGTATTTCTCCTTGTAAGTGTATTTGCCCAGTGTGTTACTCTGACATGCCCCATGTTAGTAGCTGAACCGTTATTAACTATTGATCTATACCAATAATTCGTTTTGTTCCCTACTGCAGGGCTCATTTTGTTACTACATCATGTGAGGCTTTCTTAGAGATGTACCCAGTGGCTTTTTAAAAGCACACATTTTACTACCATGTGCGTCTGGTTACAATTTATGTGTGTGTATGTATGTGTGGGTATATATTACCTATATGCAGTGTATGTATATATACACATATATATGTATATATGTGTTCACAACATTCTGATGTAAAGGATATGTCAGATTTCTATGTTCCTTGATTTAGAGAAAAAAGGTTGATGACTTATTTTTTCCATTTTCTAATTTATTGGGAAATACGATATACATACATTTAACAACAGACCAAAGGAAAAAATGAAAGAATGCCTCCATCCTGGTGTGCATATTCATGTGCTATTCAAAACCACCCCACTTCACTTTTTCCTCTTTTTTCCACTGATGATTCTGAGCACTCTGCTAATGTTATAGATACCCAGGATTGAAAACACAGACTTTAGAGATCTGGACTTGAATCCTATTTCTGCTACTTGCTTGGGCATGGTTCATAACCTCTCTGAGCCTCACTTTCCTCATATGGAAAGTGGAAGACCATAATAATGGCCAGCATGGTGGTGGTGTGAGGATTAAATGAAATGCCATATCTGAAGTGCAGGTACAGCACCTGGCATGTAGGAAGCACCCAGTGAGGTGTAGCTTCTTAGTGGCAGCCGTGATCATAGTAGAAGTACTGTAATTGTAAACTTGGTGGTGGTGGCAAGGAAAAGGCCACTAACATTTACCCTTCAGTATGCACTGAGCTAGTAGCATTGTGTCATGGATGCTCACTGAGCCTGTGCAGCTAGTACAAGGTAAGCTGAAGGACAACCCGGAGGAAAATATAATTGAGAAAACACATGACTACTTTCAAACATTTACAGTGACCCAGAAGTATAAGTGGGAGGAGCCATGAATGATTTACATAGAGGATCCACATCTCAGATATTTATGGATTACTTAAGATAATAGACTGTGTACTGGGCATTGAGGACAGAAAGATGGATAAGACAAGGTCCTGTCTTCCAGTCTTTCCCACTCCTCTGTGTGTGTGTGTGTGTGTGTGTGTGTGTGTGTTTGTGTGTGTGTGTCTGTATTGGGGTGGTGAGAGCCAGAGAAGAAAACCTGATGGATGAGACCATAAGAGATGAACTCACCTCCCTGGGTGATGTCCGGGGCTGGTTCCGTGCTTTTGCCCCAAGGAGTTCATATTGAAATGGAGAGGATGGATAACTCAAGCTCCACCTGACCTCCTAGAAGAGTGCTGTCCAGTACTGAGCCACATAGGTAATTTTAAATTTTCTACTAGCCAAATTAAAAAAGTAGAAACAGGTGAAATTAATTTTAATAATATCCTTTGTTTAACCCAATATATCCAAAACATAGACTCAATATACAATTCTTAATGGGATATTTATTTTATTTTTTGAATTACATCTTTGAAAAGTGGTGTGCATTTTACACTCAGAGTATATCTCTATTTAGACAAGCCACATTTCGAGGACTCAATAGGTACCTGTGGTTAGTGTCTACCTTAAGGGACAGGGTAGTTCTAGAGCTCTGCTACTCAAAGTATGGTCCTTGGCCTCACAGTTTCACAGTGTAGATATGCCCTCTGTCCCTTCCACTCCTCCTAAATTGGAATTTGCATTGTAACAAGATCCATGGTGAGCCCTCAGAGTTTGAGAGGGGCTGTCTGATGACTTGAAAATCTCATTTGAGGAAACTGCACACCCTCCCTTCTAGTCATATTTGTGCAGTACATTTCCTCATCATAGATTAGGTAAACCATCTTATCATAGTCGGACCAAAGGTAGAGTTCAGTTTAGCCCTTGTTGGAACCAGTGGGATCTAGTTGGGTTTTTCTTAGTCGGAAGGTTGAGCTATTTGGCAGAAAATGAAGGAGAGACAGGACAAAGATGAGATACGAGTGTTTATTCAACCACAGAACAAATGACATCACCATTGTCATTGGAGCTCTTCTTTTCTGACATATGTTTTGAAAGGGAGAAAGGAGTGAAGAAGGGAAGAGAGTGAGAGCTTCCAAATTCATGGGGTTTTCGTTATGTCAGAGTTCTTCCCCTAGGGTTAGCCTCATGAGCACGTGAGCTTGGAAGGGCCTGGCACTTGGATTAATGCTCTGCTGTTGCAGTGTTGAAATTCTTGACAATTGGGTCCGGCATGCCTGCTTTATACCGAGCCCTGAAAATTATGTAGCTTGTCCTGCCTCCCCTAAATGTCCACTTACTATCCACCTGCAGGTGTAAGAGTCACACTGGATTAGGTAGGTTTTGGGAGGCATTTTCTCTTTATGTGTGTGTATGTATGTGTGGGTATATATTATATATGTGGTGGGTGTATATATACACATATGTATGTATATATGTGTTCACAACATTATGATATAAAGGATATGTGCTGGGCCAGGTACGGTGGCTCACGCCTGTAATCCCAGCACTTTCGGAGGCTGAGGCGGGCGGATCACGAGGTCAGGAGTTCGAGATCAGCCTGACCAACATGGTGAAACCCCATCTCTACTAAAAATACAAAAATTAGCCAAATGTGGTAGCACGTGCCTGTATTCCCAACTACTTGGAAGGCTGAGGTAGGAGAATTGCTTGAGGTGGAGGTTGCTGTGAGCGAAGATCAAGCCACTGCACTCCAGCCTGGGCAACAGGGAGAGACTCCATCTCAAAAAAAAAAAAAAAAAAGGGATATGTCCCGGATCAGCTGGATCAGGTAGGTTTGGGAGGTGTTTTCTCTTTCACTTCCCCATCACCACAATCTCTTTATAGCTTAAGAAATAAAAAAGAGATAACACAGGCCTTTGGGAGAATCGAGATCAATAATGCATTAGATAATGGTGTTCTGAGGCAGGATTTCAATGAAAGGCTAAGTGCTGTAACTATGTAACAAAACACCAGCACAGGACAAAGAGTAGGTTTCTCAATCAACAAGGATAAACAGCCCCACCCTCCCAACCTTGTCTCCAGGTTTACAATTATCTGCAGTGTTTGAATAGAGCTCAGAGATCTCTGGGCAGTGACAATGAGTCAGCTGGGCCCATTCATGTTGGAAGTTTTATATGGGTGAAAGTTAAAAATGTTAACTTGTTTCTATGTTGTAAAAATGTTAAACAAAGAATAAAAGTATATTCTCAAGATGACTCATGAGGAAAAAAGAAAGTATATTAGTAGTTTCAGAGCTCAGACCTGAATCAAATGCCTGAATCAAATCAAAAACTACTCAAAGCTTTGAGACCTAAGAAAGTCACTTTCTTTTAATACTAATGGACTTGGTATAATTTGTAATGCCTGCAGCTCAGAGTTTAGGCGGAGAGTCAGCCACATTGGCTTCACCTGGGGGCTGATTACAGATCTCAGGCCACCCCCACACCCCACACCCATCGCCACCACTGACCTGCTGAATAAGGATCTGTATTTTATCAAGATCTACAGGTGATCTGTGTGCCTATTAGAGTTTAAGAAGTGCTGTAATGTTGCACTCAGCAACTACTTATCTTGGCGGTGGTGGGAAGGGAGGAGGGAAATCTAACCCCTTCACAGGTGCATCAACTTAGTGCCTAAGACTTCTTGAAGCATTATGGGAAAGCGAGGGTTCTCAAAGTGTGGGCTTCAGACTGGCAGCATCAGCAGCACCCAGGAGCTTGTGGCAGTGCAAATTCCCAGACTCTGATTATCTGGCTCAGAAACTCTGGGAGTGGGACCCCACAATCTGTGGCTCCATCTTAGCAAGTCTTTCCAGTGCTTCGGATGCATGGTAAAGTTGGAGAACCATGGCTGTAAAGTATCAGTAGTCGAGGAGCAGGAAGATATTTCCACTGGTTGTACATTTTAGTTTAGAATGCTTGATCTTGTCAAGCGGAGCCCCACATTGAATCACATGTTTCATAAGGCAGTAATTCTAACTTTGAAAGAAGTCACGATGCTCTGACTAATTTGAAATTTATTTTTATTTCTGAGGGAGATTTGGACATGGAAAGGGATGGCAAGAAGTGAAATGGTTGAAAAAATAAAGAGTATGACATGATCTGGCAATTATTAACCTGGGGAAGTGAAGAGTGAAAGAAGAAGCAATCGAGCCACATGTTATCTCTGTAAATGGTGAAGTGACTCACCCTAGGGCTCACCAGGAACAGGAAGATGTCGTTTCTTTCTTGCCTCCAAGTGGCAAGCAGGGACTGTGTGTCCTTCATTCATAGCTGCTTGAGAATCAATTACAATAGGTGGGATGCTGTGATAGCCAATAGGGTTCAGAAATCAAGACACAGTCCATGATTCCGAGGAGGCGGCAGCCTAGCCGGAGACGGTGACTAATCGGGAATTATATATAATGTTCACGAAAAGATTTGTGGATATAGAGGAAGGATCCCCAAGTAAAGCTGGGTGGGAGGGAGTCATTGAAGTTTTCCTGAAAGTGCAGAGTTTGAGGGAGAGTCCAAGCTGGAAAAGCACAGGGACATGGAGGTGGCCCACGCATCCCTAAAGTGCAGCGATGAGTAACTGGTGGATAAGTCACAGCCCATAAATCTCAGAATTCATCCATTCACTCCACAAATATTTACTCAGTACCTGCTGAGGGCCTGGCACTGTTCTAGGCCATGAGGATACTTCCGTGAGCAAGACAAACACAAATTCCTGCTGACAAGGCTTCATTCTAGCAAAGGGATATAAACCCCATACAGATAATATATATGTAAATTATAAGACAATGTGATGTAATCACACTGGAAAGGTAGAGAAATGGCAACCGGAGGTGTGAGATGGTGTAAGAATCCTGTGATGCCATCTTCTACAATGGGGATTTAGGTCTTTAATGTCTTCTTTTTTTTTTTTTTTTTTTTTTTGAGACGGAGTCTCGCTCTGTCGCCCAGGCTGGAGTGCGGTGGCGTGATCTCGGCTCACTGCAAGCTCCACCTCCTGGGTTCACGCCATTCTCCTGCCTCAGCCTCCCGAGTAGCTGGGACTACAGGTGCCCATCACCTCGCCCGGCTAATTTTTTTTTGTATATTTAGTAGAGACGGGGCTTCACCGTGTTAGCCAGGATGGTCTCCAACTCCTGACCTCGTGATCCGCCCACCTCGGCCTCCCAAAGTGCTGGGATTACAGGCGTGAGCCACCGTGCCCGGTCTTTAACGTCTTAAGTTGATAAAACAAGAAATAGCAGTGTAAGCATATTCCTTAGAGATATGCAGGTTAATACCAGAAACAATAGCTAAAAGATTTCAGAGAGAAACATTCAGGAGTGGGGACACCAGGGGCTGCTATTTTTTACTATGAACCTTGTATAGTATATGATGTATTCATTCATTCACTCACGCATTCATTCATGAATTCACAAGTCTGTGTGAATATCAGTGTGTGCAAGGTTTTGTTGCAGATGCTGGGGATACAGTAGTTAAAAAAACACAAACGTTTCTGCCCTGGCGGAACTTAGATTCAGGGGTGGGAGCTAGAGGTGAAGGGAGTAGGTCAGAGGAGAAAAAGGAAGGGTGGGGAGGGCTGGGAAAGTTGCCCTTGTGTGTAGAGAGATGAGAATGGGCCTCCCTGTGAGAGTGGTATTTGAATGACAGCAGGAAGAAAAGAGCCATATGGCAGCTCAGGTGCAAAGGTCTATAGCAGTTTAGGTGTGAGTGTGGGTGGAGCAGTGGGGATGTGGGGGTGCTCAGGGATGGAAGGGAGGGTGGTGGAAAGGACCTCAGCAATTCGGAGGTGAATGGTGAGGGATGTGGATGCCATCATCCAGCAAGGAACCTGCCTTTTACTCTGTGATATGAGAAGCCACCGAACTTTGGCGATGGAGTAATTCCTTATATCTTTAAAAAGAGGCACAAAGACCACACCTCATAAATACTGACATCATATTAACAGAATAGATAATACACCACTTTTTCAAATGTATCTTTTTTTCTTTTAATCGCTGAGAGGGAAAAGTAGTATCAGTGGCAGCACACACACACACACACACACACACACACGGAAGAAATGGAAATAAAAGCTAAAGAACAAACTAGTAATGATTCGGAGTGAGACCCCTAACACCTCCCGAATGGGGGCAAGAAGCTCAGGACTCTGGTAGCCCAGGCAGAGTCTGAGTAACTGGCGTTGCCTCTCTTCATGCATCTACCTGATCCACCTGTCCTTCTACCCACCCCTCTGATCCCTAGGAATTCTGAGAGCCTGGTATCACCCAGGTACAAGATGAAGAAGTCTATTGTCCCCTAGAGGGTAAATGGCAAGAGGTGCAGTTTAGGAGGATTCTCAGTCTGGGAGGAGAAGCTAGCTGAGAGCTTGCCACAGATGTAAGCAGGAACGCCCGGCTGAAGTGGGAACGAGGCAGAGGCTGGAAGACACAGCAGAGTGCTGTGCAACAGATGCCGCCTGGCAGACATGGTGCTCTCATCACAAGAGACTGTTATTTGGTACTGAAGTAGCCTTCACATTCCATAGAAAAATGTCTTTCTATTTTTTATATTATACTTTAAGTTCTGGGGTACAGGTGCAGAACATCCAGGTTTGTTACATAGGTATTGATGCGCCATGGTGGTTTGCTGCACGCATCAGCCTGTCATCTACATTAGATATTTGTCCTAATGCTCTCCTCCCACAGCCCTCCACGCCCCGACAGTCCCCAGTATGTGATGCGCCTCCCACCCCCCGTGTCCATGTGTTCTCACTGTTCAACCCCAACTTATGAGAGAGAACACACGGTGTCTGGTTTTCTGTCCTTGTGTTAGTTTGCTGAGAATGATGCTTTCCAGCATCATCTATGTCCCTGCAAAGGACATGAACTCATCCTTTTTTATGACGGCATAGTATTCCATTGTGTATCTGTGCCACATTTTCTTTATCTGGTCTATCATTGATGGGCAATTGGGTTGGTTCCAAGTCTTTGTTATTGTGAACAGTGCTGCAATAAACATATGTCTGCATATGTCTTTATAGCAGAATGATTTATAATCCTTTGAGTATATACCTAGTAATGGGATTGCTGAGTCAAATGGTATTTCTGGTTGTAGATCTTTGAGGAATCGCCACACTGTCTTCCACAATGGTTGAACTAATTTACACTCCCACCAACAGTATAAAAGCGTTCCTAAGAAAAATGCCTTTCAATCCTTTACCTTATTCCATGATCACCAATTTTCTGATACCTAATTCAGTGTGCAGGCACATTGATTCCAAGACAGGTTCATGGTATAATGGCAAAACAACAGCAAGACAACTTCCATTGTAAATGAACGGGGGCTTCTTGTTCCTTGGGTTTAGCTGGCTCCATTCCCTTAGCTCCTGACCAACCTTGGTAAAATAAAATTTCTAAACCTTGAAGCTTGAGGACTGGACCTTTACCAACAAATGTGTGTTGAAGAGTGAGCATGGGAGGTGCAGTGAGTGTAGGGGCTCACCTGGAAATACTCCGCTCCTCCTAAGCATTGCTCCAGCGTGGCACCCACAGCCACAGAAGGAAGCACAGCACAGGAGATCCATCAGGGTGTCCCATGAAATGCTGCATCCGAAGCATGGGCCAAAATATCTAGACCTCAATGAAGAGCTATAAAGGGGTGTTAGGGGATACAGCATCTAACATAGAAAGCACGCTGTCCATGGTTATTAAGTGAATGCATGGATGAACAGGAGGAGTCCAAATTATCTGTTTTAAAGAGGAAGACATTTCTTTGTGTTTTTAATCCTTCTTGTTTTTATGGTGTCTACTACCAATTAAAATGTATTGTGCCATGTTTCTTAATTAAAATAAGAAATTTGATTGCATGTTTCTGTTGGTAAATGATCATACAAGAATCATTCATGTCAGCTTTGTTCTGGGAATGAACACAGGATATGGGGTCAAGATACGTGGGGTAACTCTGTTACCAAGACCTTTAAGGAAATAGTATTATTGAATAGAAAATGGAACATTTGGGCTCTGAAGTCTTATTTCATGACATTTAAAGTGTTTATTTAGCTCTGGCTTCCTCTGCTGGAAGATTGACTTTCTTATTTGCTCCTGTAACGGATGGATATGCTGTGTGGCTGTAGAGCTCCTTCCCTCCCTCCCTCCTTTCCTTCCTTCCTTCCTTCCTTCCTTCCTTCCTTCCTTCCTTCCTTCCTTCCTCCCTCCCTCCCTCCCTCCCTGCTTGCCTTTCTCTTTCTTTCTTTCTCTCTCTCTCTTTCTTTATTCTTCCTTCCCCCCTCCCTCTCTGTCTCCCTTCCCTTTTCTTTTCTTTTTTCTTTCCTTTCCTTTCCTGTTTTCCTTCCTTCCCTCTTTCATTCCTTTCTTTCCATCCCTAGTTTTCTTTTCTTTTCTTTTCTTTTTTTTTTTTTTTTTGAGGCAGAGTCTCACTCTTGTCCCCCAGGCTGGAGTGCAGTGGTGCAATCTTGGCTCACTGCAAGCTCCACCTCCCGGGTTCACGCCATTCTCCTGCCTCAGCCTCCCGAGTAGCTGCGACTACAGGCGCCCACCACCAGACCTGGCTAATTTTTTGTATTTTTAGTAGAGATGGGGTTTCACCGTGTTAGCCAGGATGGTCTCGATCTCCTGACATCGTGACCTGCCCGCCTCAGCCTCCCAAAGTGCTGGGATTACAGGTGTGAGCCACTGTGCCCAGCCTCTATCCCCAGTTTTATATTGAATTATAATTAGATTCAAAAGAAACCTTTCAGCCAGTGGTCCTCATCCTTAAACTGCATATTGGAATCTCCTGGGAGACGTAATGTTGTAGGCTAAGGATATAATTCAGGCTATTACTGAATTATAAAGCGTGCTGTGTTCATATCCTGGAGGATGGAATTGGGTCACAGTGTTTTCAAGTCTGAAAAATCAGATGCCATAGTTCTTTGTGTTTTTAAGTTAGAGTCCATTGCCTTAAGTCCTCATGGGCATTTTAAGAAATAGATCAAAGTATTTGATGAGCTCAGGGTATGGGCACCCATACTTTCTCCTCGCTTTATCCTTCAAATTAGTCTACTTAGAATTTGCTTTTAAATTTCTGCCTAATTTTAAAAAGACAATTGTGGGACTGAGTTGCTGTCCTACCCTTTTTCTTTAATTGTTATTTGACTTCAGACTCTTCCTATAACTCATGTGTGTGTGGGTGACACTCCTCTGAAAAATGGGCCAACAGAAGGGCTTATTATTTGGGCCACTGTGGTCATGAAACCCAGGTTCACATTGATTTTATTGCAAAATTTAGATACATGCACCAGTCCACATGTTAATTTGCTTAGTATTCTTACCTTTTAAAATGTTTTTGCTTCTCAGACCCTTGTGATTTCAAGTCAGAAGTCCCTGACCTCTTAATGCTTGTTTTTTTTTTGTTTTTTTTGACACAGTCTGCATCTATCCCAGCCTCAGTCCTCAACTTCCACTGCTCTGTGTAGCATAATCCCCATGCAGTCCCACAGTTACAGTCAACAGGGCCTTTCCTCCATCTATTAGCAAACATTCCTGTTCTTAGAGCCTCAGAGAGTGAGGCAATGACAGGATCACGATTTTAACATTTCCCCTTTCCTGAAGCTTCTTTATTGGGACACTGGTGTTAAAAAGGAAAAAAAAAAACAGCTTAATTAAAAATTTTTATGTATCATGTGGAGCAGGGTTGCCTAAATGAGAAAAAGATACTTGAAATCCCAGCCTCTATTTTCATCAGTCAGAGGAATTCAGAGGAGGCTCAGGAAAATTGTGAGGACAGAGGGCTGTGTCCTGAGTCCCTAGCCTACAATCCCTGTGTCCATCAGTCAAGGAGGGCAGCCTCATCACAGCTGCAGGCTCTCCTGCATATCTTTGTCAATTGTCGACCGACTAATTCTATTCAGGTTGCCTTTTGTAGGGGTCAGCAGAGTAGGATCCTGGCAATTTCATATGATTAAAACTATTTTGAACAAGACCCTTGGCTAGGATCTGTTTCAAACGATGAAGAAAGTTCTTTTTTCATTGTTACAGGAATTGTGTTTAATGAGATGTAGAAGGCTGTAGTGTAAAACTTTTTTTTAAATGGGGTTAGGAGGTTTAAGGGAGATAATTGAAAACCTGGTTATCTCTTGTTTTAGTAGTGGTTCTTTGCTGCTGTACATGTAACACAAACTACTTGAATTTCAAGATGCTACCATCCCTTGGGCATGAATTATGAATGTTTGATATTCCTTGATTCCATCACAGGACTTGTATGGTTGATCTTTGTCCAACCCGAGCCTTGGATCAGGAAAAAGGATGAGTTCGGGTTTATGTTGCCCTATAGCCAGCAGGGGGTGTTCGTGGCCTTCCTATTCCAAAAGGCCGCAGCACCCTCTCCCAGGCTCCGGGTGAAACTGGTTTGTGAGTCACCATTACCATCCTTCTTTCTCTGTTCAAATTGGCATTTTACCAAGAACAGCATTACTTCTGAGTGAGCAACAGCTGACCAATTATCTTGAAAAATATTTGGGAAGCTATACAATTTTAAAAGTGAAAAGCAAAATATATCTTCTATTTTTAACTTGTTCCCTAAACATGAATTACCTGGGGGAAAAGCAGATGCTTTTCAATCTTTTAAATGATTGCACCTATTCTAAACCATCCAGGTGTTTTTGAAATGACCCACAGTCATCTTTAATAGCATGCGAAGGGGCCAAGGCCCTCTCAACTTTAGATTTAATAGCCTGCCCCCTTCAATTGTCAGAGATATTGACAGAGATAGGCCTGACTGTTCTGCTGTAATTTCAACTCATTTTCTCCTGCTCTAATATCTATAGTACGGGATGGACTTTTTTTTTTTCTTTTCTGTAGAGGCCAGGTCATAAATATTTAGGCTGTGTGGGCTGGAGAGACTGTTGCAACTACTCAACTCTGCTGTCCTTGTGCAAGAGCAGCTGTAGACAATATGCAAACAAACGTTCATGACTGTGTCCTAATAAACTTTATTTGTAATTTGGCCACGCCCTATCTTATTGATAGCCCTCCAAAACGTCAGTATCTTCCATATATCTGTTATTTTATGTTGTTTATAAACTCAAACTCTTCTCCGATTAAGAGGAAAATAATCGAATCTGAAAGTCCCTCAGGTTCAACTCCTTTCCCAATGCCTGGTCCCCCTTATAACACTCTTGACAAGCATCTTTGCCCACTGCTCGGAACTCTCATGCTTTGTGTCTTCCCTGCAACACAAGCAGTGGCCCCGAAGAGCAGACAGCGTGATACAAATGCACAGAAGTTTTTAAGGAGATAGCACAACAATTTAGAAACTAAGGCTGCTGGAATGATGAGCTTTTAATCTTTTCATTCATCGCAGGGTTTAATCCATATTTGAAAAGAAAGATGCCACAGTATAAAGCTGACAGGCACTGACTGGCCTGAAATATCTCAGGAAAATCTGGTTTCAGATTTTTCTAGGAGTTGATCCAAGAACATTTTTCTTTCTGCCTTTTGATCTGTTGAAAGATCCACAAGATACTTGGATGCCTTGAAGACATAAATGCCAGTACAGAAATAAACTCTGACGAGTTGTCTTGTAAAGGGAGCCAGCTCTTAGAGAAGGGATCATTGTAAGGGTAGGAACTGAAACTTTTTTGTCTACTACCTGACATTCTCAAACCCTTCTTTCCTTTGTACTTTTTCTGTGAACAGATGGTTTCGTCCAGCTTGGAGTGGGTTTAGGGGAGACTGAGAAAACAAGACGGCTGCCTGCAGTTTTAGTCTCTCTTTACCCATCTTAAACTTTTTCTTCCCCTCTCCATTTTTGAGAGCAAGAGGTTACATGCTCCCTTTCCTCCTGTAGAAGAAACATTTAGCTGGGGCTGACACAATGGCGAGGACATGAGAAATGACCACAGGAGAAGCCCTGGAGGCAGAAGACTAGGTCTTTGCCCCTTTTACAGTGAGATAGTTTTATATAAATATCAGAGGTTACTGGAGGCACCCAAACAAAATTGAGGACAGGAAGCAAATATCTGAGAGGCTCCCAAACCTCGATGTACTGTGGGACCCAAACGAGCACGTGAATCCCTTCTAGATATCCTTTGGATCCTTTAAGAGTAGCACAGGCGGGGCGCGACGTTTCACGGCTGTAATCCCAACACTTTGGGAGGCCGAGGCGGGCGGATCACGGGGTCAAGAGATCGAGACCATCCTGGCCTACGTGGTGAAACCCCGTCTCTACTAAAGATACAAAAATTAGCTAGGCATGGTGTCATGTGCCTGTAGTCCCAGCTACTCGGGAGGCTGAGGCAGGAGAATTGCTTGAACCTGGGAGGCAGAGGTTGCAGCGAGCCGAGATCGTGACACTGCACTCCAGCCTGGCGACAGAGCGAAACTCTGTCTCAAACAAACAAATAAATAAATAAATAAAGAGTAGCAGATACCACTTATAAAGTTTTATTATAAAGAATTATTGGAGTTGGCTATGAATTCTCCTCCTTACTCACGTCTGGTGGGGCAAAACGGGGAGGATCAGATACTATGAAGACAAAGATACTGGAAATAGATCAAAGCCTTGAATTCCCAGCCCCAGACTCTACCCACCATGATCCCTACCTGCAGGGGTCTGGGTTCCTCTTGCCCAGCCTGCTCAATCTCTGACCCCCTAGCATGGGTCTCTGGCTTGCTCAGAGGTGCAGGCTCCCAGCTCCCCTTCTCCAGTCGCCTGAAGACTCAGTGGTTCCTCTCTGAAGGATGTAGTTTTAACCTTTGTTTGCTGTAAAAACATATAGCAGGCAAGTGCTTGTCACAAGGGGACTTATTTCTTCCTTCTGCTTCATGTGATGGGGAGGGTCCGGCTGTGGATATCTGCTGTGCTAAGACAGCCACAGTGTGGTCTAAGACAGAGCCTGGTCTTGGCCACTCTGATATCTGGCTGACTGAGAGACAGTGTGGATGGGTGGAAGAGGGCAGTCTTGCATGCTGTCATCTCCTCCCTAGGGCCCTATTGACCTTTGGTGGATCCACACTTGAGGTGTGGACAGAGGAGAGAGACAGAGAATGCCTTGTCTCCTGTAGAAAGGCCTCTTCTGGAAACTTCCAAGCACCTAACATTGTAGGAGGAGAATAGGAGACTGAGAGAGAAATATAAAAAGCCATGTTCCCACAGTAAGCTCTCCTACCACTGGCTCAGCCTCCTGTCCATTTGGGAATGATTAGAGATGCTACCTCCTTCCTCAGGGCTGCCAACTACAAGTGCGCAGCCTCCCCCAACTCTTAGCACTGTAGCCAGGTGTAGTTATAAATAAACGTTGGGGTGACTTATCCTTGTGTGATGTGTGTAAGTTAGCCCTTTCTTTGATTAACTATAAATACGTAAATTAGATATTCCCTGGTTTCCCCAAACACTGGTAGTAGTGAATTTTCTTGGAATGCCCTTCTTTGGTCTGCTGGCTGATTATTATTTTCAGACGACACTAATGACGGCCCAGGTGTGATGTCTACAAAGCCCCACATTAAGGCGCTTGCGTAGCAAACCTGCCATTCAGGTAATGACGGCCGCCCTCTGGAAAAACAAGCTGAGACCATACCGGGGAAGGCCTTGGATACTTGAGAAGGGTGTGAGGCCAGTCACAGGAGTTGACTCGGTGGAACGGGGCATAAGAGTTACGGGTGGCTTTATGAAGCTTTTGTTGAGTGTGGGAGGGTGGAAAGAGCTTTACTGAAGAGACATGTTTTCTGTTTCCCAGTTCAAATCAATTTCCTTATCATGATACAAGCAAGGGTAATAATTATTAGGATTATTTACCATGATTATGGGTGACAGGAATTGCAGTTGGGCAAAGGGACTCTTTTGTATATTGTAATTTCCTTCCCTAAAGTTCTAGCTTCCTTATTTTGTCTTCCTAATAGTGACTCACACCGCAGTAGGCAGGAAGCAGGTATTTAATGACCACTTCTTCACTGGTTCTTTATTCCAACTCCATTCATTCCAATACAAATTTCTTGAAAACAAAGAATAATGACATCCATAACACAAATGAAAGCAGCCTGTCTAAGCTGATTTAATTTAGTATGGAATAGGACGCAATTTCACAGTTAGAGTTATTGTTGTTTATTTTTTTTTATTATTTTTTTTTTTTCAGATGGAGTCTCTCTCTGTCGCCCAGGCTGGAGTGCAGTGGCGCAATCTCGGCTCACTGCAAGCTCCGCCTCCCGGGTTCACGCCACTCTCCTGCCTCAGCCTCCCGAATAGCTGGGACTACAGGCACCCGCCACCATGCCTGGCTAATTTTTTGTATTTTTAGTAGAGACGGGGTTTCACCGGGTTAGCCTGGATGGTCTCCATCTCCTGACCTCGTGATCCACCCGCCTCGGCCTCCCAAAGTGCTGGGATTACAGGCATGAGCCACTGCGTCTGGCTGTTGTTTTTATTCTTAAAACTTCAGCCATCATTTGGTTCACTGAAGAAAGAAATGGCCCTTGAAGAGAATTTAGAAAGATTTTTATAAGTGAATACTCACTTATACATAAATATAGACGTATATTTTTTAGTGCTAGTTAGCTAACACAATAGACAATCCTGGACAAGTGTTTTCCATCCTCTCCTGTGAATCTGATTTGTGAACCTCTCATAGCTTTTACTACGCATGGAGTCCAGGAAAAATTTGGGACAAAGTGATCGATCTTAATTTCTAGACTTCATTCTGTCTTCTGTTCTTGGTGAGAACCTAAGAAACATCTTCCTTCCAGGCCTGACTTAGTGCTCTTGCAGGTTTAGCTTGCTTGGAGCAAGACTGTGCTAGTGGGATTCTAACGATGCCACCTTTCCTGCTGTGTTGTTTATCCTGTTCAGTTGATAGAGGACCTATTGAGACTGGTTTATAGACACGACACTCACTGTGGGGAATGCATCGAATTGCTAATTGATCAAAATCACCCATAATCTTGCGACTCGTGGATCAGCAGCCTTAGCATCCTCTGGGAGCTTGTTAGATGTCCAAAATCTTGGGCCTCAACCCAGAACAATTAGATCAGAATCTGCATTTTAACAAGATCCCCATATGATAAGTATGCACATTAAGATTTCGGAAGCACTGACATATAAGGCTTGGGACTGGGTGGTGACCTGAAACTACTGCTTCCTAGGGTGCTGGGGATGATACATGAACATTTTCACAATATTTTTTTTGTGATGAATCTCTGGATAAAATATTCTCAGCTGATGACTGTTGATGGTATTGGGTGTATCTGTGGCCTGTCCATTATTACTACCCTGTCTTTGTCTTTCTTGTCCTATCATATTCTGTGAGTGTGTGGGGAAAGAAAATTTTGATAGAAAACAGGAGTGAGTGTGGAGTCTAACTGGACAGGTTGGGGTCTGAGGTCCTCCAGGTTTGGAACTTGCTAAACTCTCTCAGGGAAGCAATCATCGTCCCTGATGCTGATTCGTTTTAGGCTAAAACAAGTTAAGAACACACCTCTGTATGAAAGCAGTGGATGCTTTGAGGTTTGATTAATGAGAAGGTAGCTTTTGGTTATAAAAACCTGTCCTCTGGTCCTGAGTGTCTATTTCTGACTCATGGATCTTGTCAGAACAAGATCCAGGTAAATGATGTCAAACTACCAATTGCCTCTGAAAAATATGAGTTCTGATTTTCAAATAGAAAATCCAGATTTCTCATACCTGGGCTCTTACCTTAGATAAAAGCCATCAGCAAGGGCTCATCAAAATGTGTTGCCCATATTCAGATTTTACATAACTCTCTAGCAAGCACTTTTGACTTGTGTGGCACAAAGAGTAAATATACTGGGTACAAATTCTGTTTCCACCATTTTATAGCTGTATGACCACAGGCAAGTTAATGCAGTCCATTTGAGCCTCAGTTTCCCCAATCATAAAATAAAGATAATGATATGCCACAAGGTTTTGATAAATGTTAAATGAGATTGTGAATGTAAAGCTCAGTCAAGGATAGTTGTTATTTAAAAAACTTCTGGTACATGTGTGTGTATGTCAATGCATACATGCTATGCTGCGTATGCATACCATGGAATTAGCAAAAATTGACTTGTAGTTTCTATTAGATGACTCATAATTTTATTAGATGAATTCCCATTTAAATTTCAATGGGAAGTTTGGGTGAGTAGGACAACCCATGTACTGAAATAGTTACACACACACACAAAGTTCAAGGTAAAACTTCTGAGTATGATTAGATCATCAGATCGTTAGGTATGTGAGAAGCACTGTCTTTTCCTTTTTGCATGATCTCACCTCCAGTATATTTTAGAAACTCTCTAACTCTCTTCAGAGAGATGGTGACACGTAGATGTTGTAATAGAATAGATGAGATGGGAATGAGTCACACATGGGAATGAAAGTAGGCCTATAGTCATTCGGAAAACCAATGTTGTTACCATAGGGAAATAACCAACAAAATACTTCAGGTGATATGTAAACACCAAAAATCTGAAAAGTATTTATTGATTAAAAGCTGTAGAAAAGTATAGCATTTAGAGTATAGCATTGTGAATAATCATGGCTAGAATAAATGAATTATACTCTTAATGACTTTTAAATATTATGACTAGAAGCTACGTAATAATTATGATCACCTTAATTTGTAAATGACTTATAGTTTCTTGGTGAGGGAGAACATTGCTTAACTATGTTGAAAAGAGATCTCCTTTCAGTGAAACTGTTGGTTTGTGTGGTATTGGAGGCATAAATATTTGTAGAGAAATTGTTAATGTCCCTGGAATGAGGAACTAAAAGAGAGTCAAAAGGAATTGAAACTCAACGAGAAGAAAAAGAATTTCCTTGGGCATCCCAGCATGCTTAAGTGAGGAGCAGGGGATGCCCTGACTTCAGGTTGGAGCTACACTGCTTGGTCCCACTTGGGAAGGAGCAGAGAGGAGAGCTGTGAACATCATGTGCAATGGCTTTACTCTTTACCATCTCTGAAGAGGGTAGACCTTTGCTTTTCTCTTGAAAGTTTTGATGTCATCTATTGTTATTAGACCAGGACTTTCATTAGAGGTCCATGTCAGTGTTAAAATGACTAGTATGCTGGTCAAAAGTTTGGTGGGATGCAAATGAACTAGTTCGCCTTAAATCAGCTATTGTCACTGAGCAAATAACAGAGTCTTCTGTTTAAAATACTCTGTTTCACTTGCCTATTGCGGCATGAAAAATGACCCCAAAACTCACTGGCTTAAAACAACCACCATTGTATTTGTTCACAATTATTTTGTGGGACAGAATTTTGGATTCAGAATAGCAGGGATGGCCTGTCTCTGCTCTGTGATGCCTGGGGGCAGTGGCATTGTCTTGAATGGCTGGAAACTGGCTGGAATGGCTTGACTCAGTCATATGCCTGGAGCCTCAGTTACAGCTGTTGCCTGGAGCTTCAGTTATGGCTGTTGCCTGGATTCCTCAGCTTTCCTTGGTGTGGGCTCTCCAAGAGGCTAGCTTAGACTTCCTCACAGTATGGTGTCTCAGGGTAATTGAACTTCTCACATGGTAGCTGGCTGCCTATAGGGCATTCCAAGAGAATAACTCCCAATGTGAAAGCATTTAGTAAGCCTCTGCTTGTGTCAAGCTTGTTGATGTTCCATTGGCCAAATCAAGTCTCATGACCAAGCCCAGCGTCAATGTGGGAGGCAGTAGAGAAAGGCCTGACTGCTGGAGGCATGGATGCATTGGGGCCACCAATATGTACAGCATACCCAGAAAATAAAACCATTATTTAAATGAGAAATTTAAATGCACATTTATAAATTTTTAAATTTACCATTATAAATAATGATATTATTTACTATCTGTTTTCTGTTGTGCAAGACCAAATAGGTATATGTGAAACTATGGTACAAATTGCTTCATGTCCATGAAGGGTATGCTTAGAAATATGTTATTTTATCCCAAAGAAATGGCACGCTATATTATTTCACACAAAGTAAACTATTCAAAATCTCTAAGCTAGGCCGAGTGTGGTGGCTCATGCCTGTAATCCCAGCACTTTGGGAAGCCAAGGTGGGTGGGTCACTTGAGCCCAGGAGTTCAAGACCAGCCTAGGCAACATGGCGAAACCCTGTCTCTACAAAAAATACAAAAATTAGCCAGGCATGATGGTGTGTGTCTGTAGTCATAGCTACTTGGGAGGGTGAGGTGGGAAGATGGCTTGAGCCTGCAAGGTTGAGGCTGCAGTGAGCTGAGATCATGCCCCTGCCCTCCAGCCTGGGTGACAGAATGAGGGAGGCCCTGTTTAAAAAAAAAAAAAAAAAAAAGGAAAAGGAGAAGAAGAAGTCTCTTCTTAGCACTAAATATCTAAATGTAGTCTGTGTTAAGTAACCCACTTACAGCTATCTGTAAAGAAAAATCTAATCTTTCGTACATACCTCTGGCTTACTTTTTTCTTATAATTATGGACATTTTTTCATATTGGTTCCAGCTTAGAGAGTGCATAAGTTATTTTGGCTTTTCAGTAGTTCATACATTTATAATTGTTATTTTTAATTTGCTATGAATTAAAAAATATGGTATGTTTTCTTCAATTCTGATGTTTTTATATGTTGAAGATGCTGGAATGGATAGGAATGAGACCTGAGTCCCAGGAGGGCTTGGATAACTTTTCTAGTCTTTTGATTCCTTATCTCTCACATAAGAAGTTTCAATCAGTTGATTTCTATGTTTACTTTTAATGCTGATATTTTTGATTTCAAATTACATGTAATGCCCTAATTAACTATTTAGAGAAATATAAAATGTGCATTTGGGAAATACTAAAATAATCTGATATTTCTTTAAGGAAAAAAATTGCTTCTTTATTCCTTAAATTAATTTTTTAGTCACTTGGCTTAGAGATGTTTTCTTGATGGGTCTCTTATTTGCATACATTACTATTTTACTTTGCTTTGACAAAAATCTAAGAGGTAAAAGAAATGAGGAGTCTAAAATAACACACAAATTTCCATAAGAGAAACTTACTACAGGAACCTAACACTTTGGAAAAATATTTGATTAAGTACCTGGAAGAATTTTGCTAGACTTAGGTGGAAGTATGCTTGCAGAATTTTGTAAAATACTTTTCTGATTTCCTTGTCTTTTTTTTCCAGACAGATCTTGCTGTGTTGCTCAGCTGAAGTATGGTGTTGTGATCAAAACTCACTGCAGCCTGGAACTCCTGGGCTCAAGACATCCTCCTGCCTTGGCTCCCGAGTAGCTGGGACCACAGGTGCAAGCCTCTGCACTGGTGAATTTTTAAACTTTTTATATAGACGAAGTCTCATTATGTTGCCTAGGCTAGTCTCAAACTCCTGGCCTCAAGTGAACCTCCTGCCTCAGCCTCCCAAAGTGCTGGGACCGCAGGTGCGTGCCACTGTGCCTGGCCACTAAAATACTTTTGTAAGTGAAGTATTTGTCTCAATTCTAAGTTTTAATTCAGCTGTATTTCCTGGAAGCAGTTCTCTACAATTCTGTAAAATGAAACTCTAATCACTAGTGCTTGGGGATTACGTCCTTTTTTTTTCATTAGTTGTCATTAATTCCTGTTGGGAGTATTGAAAAATTAGTAATATGGGAAACATACAAACAGATCAAAAAAGCACTCATCTGAAGGTACCAGTGTAAGTTCACAAACTTGGCTGTACATTATAATTATTTGGGACTCTTTAAAACAAATTGATGGCTGGGTCCCAACCTCCACAAGTACTTTTTTTTTTTTTTTTTTTTTTTTTTTAATACAGAGTCTGGCTCTGTTGCTCAGGCTAGAGTGCAGTGGCACAATCTTGCAGTCGCGGCTCACTGCAACCTCTGCCTCCTGGGTTTAAGTGAGTTTCATGCCTCAGCCTCCTGAGTAGCTGGGATTACAGATGCCCACCACCACACCGGGTAATTTTTGTATTTTTGGTGGAGATGGGGTTTCATATTGGCCAGGCTGGTCTCATGCTCCTGATCTCAAGTGATCCGCCCACTTCAGCCTCCCAAAGTGTTGGGATTACAGGCGTGAGCCATCATGCCCGGCCAAAAGTCTTGATTTAATTATTCTAGAGTGTGGCCTGGCATTAGAATTTTCTCACCCCCTCCAGGTGATCCTGATGTGAGCCAAGTTTGAGAACCCCTGCACTAAAGAAACGTCCTCGGGTCTCCTTCTGTTCCCCACCTTTTGCTGCCAGAATTCGAGTCCTTACTCCTTGCTAGACTTTATGACCTCTTCCCTCCACATACTGTTGCTACATTCCTTTAATAATGAATTTTTATGTTTAGTTCCCGATTTACACATCATCAGCAGGGTAGGTGTGTAAAAATAATAGTGAAGACATGAGTCTATAAAGGTGTGCATTTGATTGGATTAACAGTATTAGATGGATCTATCTATCCACTCCACCATTTTATGACACTGTGGGCAAATATGTTAACATAAATCCTAAATTCCAAAGTGATACATTATACTTCTCCGGATTAGCCATCGGTTTGTTTAGTTGGATTTTGGGTTATAGAATGATAATTGCTATTTATTCAAAGTGTTTCTGGAATGAAAACAATAGAACTTATTGCCACCTCCTTTATGTGGGTTGGGTGTATGTTGGTCAAATTCAAATACAAACAAAATCTTCTTTGGTTGGTAATTCACCTGAATGCATAGGCATTAATTGGTTTGTAATGGGCATTTTGAAACATTTTTACGCTGATTTAAGTGTGGGGGAAGATTATTCTGTGTTACCTAGAGCCCAAAATCATGCAATTGTCTCTTTATTCAGGCAAATGGTTTCATTTCTCTCTTCTTTCCTCTCCTTAGTGAAACAGAGGCAATTTATTGATAGGGTGATCAGCCACCCCAGTTTGCCTGGGACTAATGAGTTTCTGGGCACACTGGGATGAATTGGTCACCTTAATTGATACAGCGAAAATTAATAAGACTTTAAAGATATTTTAGGTCCTTGCATGAAAAATTATTCATATGTTATGATTTACATTACCAAATCATATATAAACTATGATTGTAAATGGAAGGTTTGTGATTGTTTTCTGGATTTGGTATTACAACTTTCTTTTCAGCTTGTCATATTATTTTTAGATATTCCTCAAAATATTTTTCTAGCAGTATTAAAAAATTCACCTTGAGAAAAATAGCATATTTTATGCACATTTTCTAGATTTCAGGAAACAGATAATGTCCAAAACAGCAGAATTAGTTGGTGCTAAAATAGAGAAAAAAAATCATTTTTAGATCTGCTTGGAGACTATAATAACTAGTAACATAAAGAAGTTCTCTTAGTAAAATGAAATAGAAAAAGAGAACCTAATAAAGTCTAATATGAATCCATTCTTGACCCAAATAACAACAAAAGTCACCATATACGGCCAGGTGTGGTGGCTGACGCCTGTAATCCCAGCACTTTGGGAGGCCCAGGTGGGTGGATCACCTGAAGTCAGGAGTGCGAGACCAGCCTGACCAACATGGTGAAACCCGGTCTCTACTAAAAAATACAAAAATTAGATGCGCACAGTGGTGGGCGCCTGTAATCCCACCTACTTGGGAGGCTGAGGCAGTAGAATTGCTTCAGCCCGAAAGGCGGAGGTTGCAGTGAACTGAGATGGCACCATTGCACTCCAGCTTGGGTGATAGAGCAAGACTCCGTCTCAAAAAAAAAAGTCACCACATACAAATGCTGCACAAAGAAAACTTAGTGAAGATGTTTGTGTACTGGTTATTTTTGAGTCTCTTTGAAATAGTAAAGATAAATTATTAATTTTACATCAGAGAGTTAATGTATTTAGTTAAACCAATAGTACACTTTTGCTAGGGTGTGGTTATTCTGTTTTTATTTTTTTTCTTTTTTCTTTTTCTTTTCTTTTTTTTTTTTTTTGGCATTAAAGATCAGAAACACCAATTGTTGCCTTAAAGGGAAGATGAATCCAATTTTAACAGATGCTCAGTTCAGGAAATATCAAAAGCTACCCTTTACAAAGGAGTATTAAACATAGAGACAAAAAAATATGCAGGGCATTGCCAATGTATCAGATGACAATGGGACTAAATCACACCCATTTTTGGTTTAACAGCTGTTAAATGAGTCAAGAGACCTGGATCTAGATCCAGCTGCACCGATCCAGTGAGTGTCTGGGTAAATGCCTTCACTGCTCTGGGCCTCTGTTGATTTGTCTGTAAAATGGGAGATTTTGACTATCCTGTGTCTACAGTCTCTTAAATTGTTAATATCCTATAATTCCATGTGCAGTATTCTGACGATGTCTTAGTGGATATGTGGATTTCCCCCTTCCTTTTCTCCAGCAGTGCTCCTCTGCAGCAACCTCAGAACAGTGGCCCACACTCCTAGAATTTGAGAAAATGGCATCTTCTTCAGAGGACAGAGGTTCGTAGTCTCAGTGGTTTATTCACCTGCTACAGCTCAGCATGTGATGTGGTTTTGCTGTGTCCCCACCCAATTGTCATCTTGAATTGCAGCTCCCATAATTCCTATGTGTTGTGGGAGGGACCTGGTGGGAGGTAATTGAATCATGAGGGTCTTTCCCGTGTGCTGGTCTCCTGATAGTGAATAAGTCTCACAAGATCTGATGTTTTTTTTTTTTTTTTTTTTTTTTTGAGACAGAGTCTCACTCTTGTCACCCAGGCTGGAGTGCAGTGGTGCGATCTTGGCTCACTGCAACCTAAGCCTCCTGGGTTCAAGCAATTCTCCTGTCTCAGCCTCCCAGGTAGCTGGCATTACAAGCACCCACCACCATGCCCAGCTAATTTTTCGATTTTAGTAGAGACGGGGTTTCACCATATTGGCCAGGCTGGTCTCGAACTCCTGACCTCAGGTGATCCACCCACCTCGGCCTCCCAAAGTGCTGGGATTACAGGCGTGAGCCACTGTGCCTGGCCGAGATCTGATGGTTTTATAAAGAGGAGTTCCCCTGCACAAGCACTCTTGCCTGCTGCCATGTAAGACGTGTCTTGCTTCCCCTTTGCCCTCCATCATGATTGTGAGGCCTCCCCAGCCATGTCCACATGTGAGTCAATTAAACCTCATTCCTTTATAAATTACCCAGTCTCGGGTATGTCTTTATACCCGAGCATGAGAACAGACTAATATGGCATGATACTCTGGATCCTAGTATTTGCAATTTGAATTTTGGATGAGTTACTTCCCCTTTTAGAGCCATAGTATCTGTCTGTAATGAGAATTTTTTTCCCTTAATCTCCTTTTCTAGCTTAGAGTAGCCTAAAAGAGAGTTACTCTTTTAGGCCTTTCAGCTTTTTTCCTTTTTAAAAGTGAGATAGCATACTTTTTGGTCATCTCACACTCCCAGTGAGGCTTTCTGGGCCTCCCTTTCTCTGTTTCCTCCCTTCCCTTCCTACTGGCAGAAGTGTGGATTGTGGAGAGCCTCATGACCCATGACTCATGCCTAGGTTGCCTGGCTACAGGGTGACAATTCTGCCCAGTGTCTGGCTGCCGTGAACATGTCTGATGTCTGGAGATTTCTCTGGATCTTCCATGGACGATGTTCTGAGAACCCCTTGTTAGGATGAAACCCTGAGGTGCTGTCTTGCCTTATGATATTAAAAAAAGACACGATGCAGCTAGTGCGGAGTTTTATTGGCTACAAAATAGATGCAAAATGATGAGAATCTGAAGGCTGCAGTAGGAAAGTAGAGCTTTACCCTCATAAACTCGCACTTTGATTAGAAAAGTGCAATATATTAAGAGCATTATGAGAAGTCTGGTGAGACTGTTACAGAAAAAAAAAATAAAAGTTTCTGAGTCTGATAATTCCAAGGGTATCTTTTAGAACTCACTCACTGGTGTCTGTGCAAGGACTTTCCTTGGGGGAAAATAGATTTTACAACAGGCGGAAACTTTCATTGGTCTCATGCGTGCTTTTGGATTTCATTCACTTGACAAAGAACTAATCTTCCGTTGATGGTCTCCTGGGTTATGGCCTTGATCTTTGGAGTTGCAGACACTGAGAAAAAGAGCATGGAAGATGTCACTGCCATGCTTCTTCCACCATCTGAACTGTACTCATTTTCATTTCTCTGCTGTCAGCCCCTGAAGGCTCTCAGTGCCTTCCAAATGATCACTAAGCAATGAGGTGGGCTCTGCTGCTGGGAAAAGGGATTTCCCAAAGGAGGGATTTTCTCCCACTCTCCAGGAAATGAGGATCTCTGAACAGTGTCACCTTCTGGAGGTGAAGACCTTCATCATAGGTGTGCCTCATATGGAACCTAGTCTCTGACCACAAGCACTTGAGGAGTTCTTTCTCTGCCTGTGGGCTTTGTAGCACTGCACAGATTCCTTGAGCTTACAGAGCACTTAGTGCTATTCAGGGTACCTCATTTTAAAGTCTAGAAAGCATGCCACATGAGGAATGGGTGAGAAGCCAAGGATGCTTACCATGGCTGTTTTCAAATATATAACTTATTTGAATAAGTGCCTGTTGAAACATCAATAAAGCAATTCTAGACCATAGGGAAGAATTGAAATCATTAATAAATTTACAAGGGAGAATTTTGTTAAATTAAAACCTCTCCATTGGGACCATCCCATCAAGTATGGGTTCCCCATCCTAAGACATGTGTGAAGAGAGTCTCAAAGACCCTTGTCTTATTTTGTAGATGGGTAGCAGTGAGACCAGCTGTCCTGTGATGATTACTCCAACTGATTCTTTGAATCTCCAATGCCTTAGAATAGGTTTATCACAAACTAATCAGAAAGTGCCACTTGTCCCAGACTACAGTCTCCTGCAACTTTTCTGTGAGATATTAAAGGTAATCTGAGAAAGCATGTTTCCAGGTCAAAGATGTTTGGGAATACTGGGCTAAACAAAGTTAAACTTTTGTTGTTTCTACCTCTTTCTTGTTCCTTTTCTCCTTCAAAGCAGTACCTGTTCCATCTTTAATACACTGAACTGCAACAGGACTGTCCAAGAAGAGGATCATGGCACACAGTATTTCTAACCTTATCTGGCCATAGAACACAGTGTTCGTAATACACTATTCAAATCTCATGGAACACGAGTGTTCAACAGAATCATCTGAGAAATGAAATCATGAAATCATTGCCTCTTAGTTTTCTAGGGGTTTAGTAAACTGACTCCATTACTTAATAGAGACATAATACTATTAATTATCATTTTAATTTTCTTTACTGCTTGCTTTTACCTATATTGAGGACAATAATGAGAGCTTACATCATTTTGTATTAGCTAATTTGTTCATTGAAGATTCCTGACCCAGGACATTTTGAACCCAGGACATTTGGGAGTACATTAAGGATTATGACTACTACAAAATGGATAACCATGCTAATTCCTTAAAAACAGAGATTCAAACAATGAAGGAAATTTTTTACCTTTCATGCTCGACTTTGATTCTTCCCGTGTCCTATAAAAGTGATAAAGGTTAAAGCTCACTTTAGTATTAGCAACAATCATAACAACTTCTCAGGATGAACTAACTTCCTTCGCTTGCTTGTAAATCCTCTGCTCTTTAATGAGGATAATTGTCTGAGCTTAGTAGTCTCAAGGTCATGGGTTCACGGGAGAACCCGTCTGGATACAGAAGGCATTGGGTACCGCCTCCTGCTAACCCTGGAGTCAGGGGAAGTCCACCAACCATCCCCTCCTTTCAGCTGCAAGCTTGGTTTTCTCTAGGATCCCTGCCAGGGTCTGGGTCTCAAGCCTGAGACCCCTGAGCTTCTCAGGCTGTTCAAAGTTTGGTCTAGTGATGTTTTATTTATGTATTTTTATAAAACTTCTATCCCTTCCTTTCGGATCATAGAATATATATGCCCTTTATATGGCCAGCTGTTGTTATTTCCTGGGGTGGCCAGAAATATCAGATTGAAAGTCTAGACATCTCTAGCTCATATGCATCTTTTTTTTTTTTTCTCTTTTGCTGGTGGACTAACACATTCCCCCTGCCTTCTTTTTTTTGGAGCCAAAATTGTGTGCATTCCTACTGGGAAACACAGTGGCCAAATCCTTTTGAATTGTTTCCTTCTAGAGACTTTAACTCTTCTGACTGCAAATCTTAGTGTCCTGTGAGTATTAGTTGATTAATTATACTTGCTGCTTAGTGAAATACAGCCAGCTATAGGTATCTTCTGGAGTAGCTCAACACAACTTTTCTCTTGCTAGAGTGACTCTTGCTAACAGAACCCAAAGATGCACACATATACCCACAGGAGCTGGAGGTCCCTCGCATGCTCCTCTCGTGCCAGCCTTTGCCTTACCCTTCACTCTCTCCCTCCAGGAGCCGTCGGTACGTGGTGATTTCCTTCTCCAGGTGGGTTTTGATGCCCAGCAGCACTTGGTATTCATTGTTCTGCCGCTCCAGTTCATGGCGTAGCTGCGTCAGTTCCTCCTCATAGTGGGAGATGATCTCTTGCATGTCCTGGAGCTTGCAGGAGTACCGAGACTGGGTCTCGGATAACATGTTTTCCAAAGCAGATTTCTGAAAGAGGAAATGATCTTCTGTTAATTAACTGATGGCTTGATTGAGTCAATAACAGGTGATTGTTGAGTACTTAGCAGATGTCGACCAGTTGGCTAGGTGTCTTGGTAGCTGCTGAGGACACCAAGATGAGAAGTAGGCTGACTTACAGGTTTGGGACTTGGGCAGTCAGGAGTTGAGCAGTGTTAGGACTTTTGAAGTCCATTGCCTTGCTCTGAACTGTTGTTTAACTCCTTTCATTTTATCTTTGACCTGATTGAAAACTCCCAAAGAGCGACAGCAACTGGGACTGCTATCTCTTTGTATCTTCGGAGAAGGGTCTCAATTAGGGATGCCAGATAAAATAGAGAACATCTAGTTAAATTTGAATTTCAGATGAGTAATGAGTAATTTTTTAGTGTAACTATGTCCAAAATATTGCTCCAGTATTGCATGGGACATGCAAAAAAAATTGCTTTTTATTTGAAATTCCAACTAAACTGAGTATTCTATATTTTAATTTGGTAAATCTGGCAACCCTAGTCTCAAGCAATGCTTTTTGATTATGACGATGGTAAAAAAAAAAAATGTCATTTTTTGAGGAAATTCTAACAGCTGCCAAATGAAGTTTCTGGGCTAGAATATGGAGGATTGAGTTCAAGTCCCAGTTCTGTTTGCATGTAACACCTGCTTTTCTGAAGCGCATAATTTTAACCTTAAAGAGAATCTCCTAACTGTGCTGGATACTCTCCCTTTATCGTGGCTGCTAATTTTCAGGGGGCCGTTCATGCTGCCTGGCGGTTAAAGCACATTTCCCTGGTCAGCCAGTCTCCTACTCTCCCAGGAGGTTATTTTGTTCCCTCTCCTCTGTCCTTGCCATCCTTCCTCGGAGTCCATGGCCTCGCTTCCTAATTTTGTTGATGAAATGAAAGCAATCGGGAGAGACCGCCCACTGCTCCCTACATTGCTCCCAGGCACATACTTGAATCTGCATCTGGGTGCTGGCTTCCCTCTGTTCTTTTGTGTGAGCTGTCTGTGCTCCAGTCATCTCGGCAGTTGCCCGCCTTCTTGCGTTATCAATATTCTCTCTGGATTATTCCCACCAGCTTTCAAATAGAATAATTTTTCCTACCTTAAAATATATCTTTCTTAAACCCATATCTACCTTCAGCTATCATCCAATTTCTCTGCTCTCCTTCAGCTACAGCAAAGCTCCTCAAAGAGTTGTCTATGCCTGCTGTTCCTCTTGAGACCCCTCCAAGGTAGCCTACAAAGCCCTACACTGTCTGGTTCTGTTGGGACTCCGCGGCCTCACCCTGTCTTCCTCCCTCTTCCCCTCCCTTCCCCTCCTCTTCTCTCCTTTCTTCTTCCCTTCATTCACTCACTGTAGCCACATGGACTTCCCTGCTGCTCCTCCAACTCATCAGACACACTTGTGCCTTGTCGCTTTTGCACTTGCTGTTCCCTCCTCTTGGAACACATCCCATCACCACATCAAGCACCTCCTTACCTCTTTGCTCACTGCCACTCTAACAGGAAAACCTTTCCTGACCACCTTGTTTAAGATAGCAGCTCTTCACCCTGGTGCATCTGCCCTCCTCCTCTGCTTCATCTCTGTAGCAATTTTCTCCATCTAACATATATTTTGATGATTTGCACATTTATTATCTGTCACTCCTACTAGAATATAAACTCCTTCATTAAAAAATCCTCAGTGCTAAGGATTGGTGTCAGATAGTAGAATGCATGAAAATGGGTATACATGCCTCGCCTGTTTCACAGGGCCATTGTGAAATACTGTATGTTAAAACGTTTTGAAAGTTGCACTATAATTATTTTTGTACTCATGATCTCTACGTGCACATTTGCAGTGTCTGTTCACCATCACGGATGCATAAAACACAGCAGTCATTTACCCAAGTGCACCTGCAACATAAATGAACAAATCATTGCCTCTCAAGACTGAGGGTAGAATCGCACTTGGCAATTATATGGATGAATGATTAGAAGACTCAATAGGGTATACTGGGAATCAAATGATAGACCTTCATAAATTTTGAATGCTTATGACCATGCTAAGCATTTTTCTAAACTGTGAAGATGATAGAAATGACTTGGACACAAGAACTTAGAGTTTTCTGGGTGATAAGACATATACATAAATGAATAGGGCAGTGCTTTGGAGTTAGCCAGGCCTGGATCTGCCACCTACCATGTTGGCACTGGAATTTCTCTACATTGGGGTTTGAGGGGGGTAGCCTGGTTGTAAGTGGAGAGGGCACTGATAGAAATTATGGGGGTCTAGAATCCCCCTTCCTCCAAATAAATCATATGGTTTCATCACCAGTTACTTACTAGCTGTGTGACCTTGGCCAATTTATTTTACTGTTGGAGTTTTGGTTTCCTCATCTCTAAAATGGGGACACTAAGACCTATCTGGGAAGGTTACTGTAAGGATTAATGACATTTAATATCATGAACTACTTAGCACAATGCCTGGCACCATCGGGACACTCAATACATGGTAGCCCTTTATTATGGTTCTCATCATAAACAATTTGGATGGAAAGTGGAAAGTGAGAGTTGTCCCAAGGGAGTTGAGGGTCAGGGCCTGGGAGAGAGGTCTCAGAAGGCTTCGTGAAGGAGGTGGTGTGGGATTCACGGTTTTCCTAGCCTTGACTCACCGTGCTGTACTGTGTCTGCAGGTCAATCTCCAGGGCCTGGAATGTGCGCTTCAGTTCGTGGATGTCACCTTGTCTGCTCTGCACAGTGGCTGGACTGGCTGCCTCCTGGGACATGGCTGCAGACTGTGGGACCAAGCAAGGCAAAGGCGTCAGCATTGGGACCTCATGGAAATGCAACCTTTGGGAAGTTTGTGCATCTTTCTTTTACCTGTTCTTTATACCAAGTGTCCAAGTCTCGATGCTTCTTCTTTATTATAAGCTCATATTCTTGTCTCATATCCTCCAGGACCTTAATCAGATCTTCCCTGGGACCTGTATCCACCTTCACATTGACATTGAAGTCACTTGGCACATGATGCTTCTCCATTTCCTATTTAATAACAGAGAAAGGAAATGAACCGGCTTTGACAATCAGAAGGCTGGATTGCCATGTTGATTGGCAGTGGTAAATAGATCTTTTAAACATTCCGATTATGTGGTTGCTCCCACTGTCACTGGTTTGGTTTCTCAAATATTACTTACTTGTTGGTGATAAAACATTGTATACTTTTTTCTCTAATAATTTTATAAAATAAAGAATATCTTTGAGACCAACCTGACCAGCATGGAGAAACCCTGTCTCTACTAAAAATACAAAAAATTAACTGGGTGTGGTTGTACACACCTTTAATCCCAGCTACTTGGGAGGCTGAGGCAGGAGAATCGCTTGAACCTGCGAGGTGGAGGCTGCAGTGAGCCGAGATTGCGCCACTGCACTCCAGCCTGGGTGACAGAGTGAGACCCTGTCTCCAAAAAAAAAAAAAAAAAAAAAAAGAATATCATAAGGCAGGTAATCAAATAGCCTCCATGATTACTGACTTGATCCGTGGTTGAAAATATTTCAGAAAGAATTATGCTTCCATAGTGTGCAAAGTCCTGTTCAGCAGATGTGGATTGGTGAAGTGACAACATAGTTAAGCAGCTGAACCTTACAGGCTATAGGCCAAAGCTTTTGGGAAGCAGTTCAAGAGGCAAACAGCAGAAAGAAGGTGTAGAGGCTTTCAAAATCTCATCAATGCCTTGTGACACTGTAGGGCTGACGCCCATAGGATTTCATGAAAACCAAGCAGCCACAGGAAAGGTTTAATTAACAATCATTGTCTAACCAGCTATTCAGAAACTGAGCTCTTTGATGTTGAGAAGCAATTTTGTTTTCCTAAAATGGGAACTGTTTTTCTATCATTTTATCAGAGTCTTGAGGACTTGTGATGGATGGTAACTCTAAAAGTCAGTTAAATGCTTCTGGAAATTAGGATTCTTTATTTTTGCCCCACATCACACTTATCTTGGTTGGTAGCAGACTCTCTTCATTATATTGTCCCCTAACTTGCTGAACATTGGGCCAGTGATGGAAGTCCAGTCTCACGCATTGATTCTTATAGTAACATTAACAAGCACATCTAGGTAAACATTGTGTATTAACAAAACTGTTGACCAATTCATCATTAATTATGATTGCATTTTGGTTGTTGTATTTGACATGTGACTAGCTAACCTTGAAATTAGAAACATTAGATATTTGTATGTTTTTCTAAAGACTATTTAGGGTGAAGGACAAGGGGATTGGCATCCAGGTGGTGGTTTCTTCTGTAGCTGTCGAATCAGCCTGAGATGTGCAGGCTAAGAGCTGTGCTTATTAGCAGGTGTTCCTGGGGAGTTGTACCTGCTCATGGTGCTTCTTCATGAGAATGAGCTCTTTCCTCATTCCTTCCACCTCCTGTTCTAGGTCTGTTGTGACAATGGTCAGGTTGTCTAAGGTCCTTCGGAGGCCCTCGACTTCAATTTCCAAGTCTTTCTTAAAGGAGTGTTCATTTTCATACCTTTGGTGAGAAGGAAGAGAAGAGTGCACTCATTGTTGGAAGGCCATGGTTTTTGAAAGGATTCATTTTCATTTAGAGGTGAATCTTTTACTTTTTAGGTTTAAAGAGAGCAAATGAATACATATAGGATGTCTTTTTTATGCCAGTTTCATGCTACACTTCTCCATGATGGTGACTCAATGTCAACTTTTAAATTGAGTAGGGAGAATAGGATAATAAACAGTCATATACCCATTATCTATATTTAGCAACCATGAATGTTTTGCCATATTTGCTTCATCTATTTCATTGCTGAAGTATTTTAAAGCAGATTATAGATGTGATGACATTTTAAGACTAAATACTTCAGGATGCATCTTTTAAGAAAAATATATTTTAAAATAAACAGGCCGGGCACGGTGGCTCACACCTGTAATCCCAGTACTTTGGGAGGCTGAGGCGGGCGGATCACGAGGCCAAGAGATTGAGACCATCCTGGCCAACATGGTGAAACCCTGTTGCTACTAAAAATGCAAAAATTAGCTGGGCATGGTGGTGTGCACCTATAGTCCCAGCTACTTGGGAGGCTGAGGCAGGAGAATCGCTTGAACCTGGAAGGCAGAGGTTGCAGTGAGCCGAGATCACGCCACTACACTACAGCCTGGCAACAGAGCAAGACTCCGTCTCAAAAATAAACAAATAAATAAATAAATAAATAAATAAATAAAATAAACATAACACTACACCTAAACATTAATAACAACCCTTTAATATCATCTAATTCTTGATTCATATTCAAACTTCCCCATACTATAATGTGCTTTATATCTGATTTGTTTAAACTAAGGTTCATTCAAGTAACACACAGTGCATTTGCCGTTGCTATGCCTTTTCATTATAAGATTTTAGATGCGGGTAATGGCAAGATGAGTTTTCCTTTTTTTTTTTTTTTTTGAGATGGAGTCTCACTCTGTTGCCAGGCTGGAGTGTTAGTGGCGTGATCTTGGCTCACTGCAACCTCCACCTCCTGGGTTCAAGTGATTCTCCTGCCTCAGCCTCCCGAGTAGCTGGGACTACAGGCGTGTGCCACCATGCCCAGCTAATTTTTGTATTTTTAGTAGAGATGGGGTTTCACCATGTTGGCCAGGATGGTCTCGATCTCTTGACCTCGTGATCCGCCCGCCTTGGCCTCCCAAAGTGCTGGGATTACAGGTGTGAGCCACCGCGCCCCGCCGAGTTTTCCTTTTGTAAAGCAAACAAACAAAAACCCGAACAACCCTGTGAAGAAGGAACTTACTTGAGGTTGAAGTCATCCACTGCCATCCTGGCATTGTCAATGAGAAGAATAATCTGAGCATTGGTCATCTTACCATCCACTATCTGTAAAACATGCACAAAAGCACAAAAGGTTATCTCACTTGGACACACCCACACATGACCGCTGCATGTCTGTCCTCTAGCTTCCTGAATATTTGACTTGTTAGTACAGACAACTTCTTGTTCTGGCAGTGGAACAATGAATAACCGAATCAGTAAATGCTTAGTGAGCACATACTAGGTGCAAAGCAGAATGATTTTAAAATAAGAATATGATCTGCAGTCAGTGTTACTGCCTTTTTTCTTTTTATGTTGAGTTTTGACAGGCTTGGATTGATGCAACTGCTGAAAGAATGATATAGGAAGGGGAAGGACAGTAATTGTTCAAAATGCCCTCTAACTTTTTAGGTTATGGACATGTCATAGCATTTTGCTTAATTAAGCTCATCCACAGCTGAAGATGTTAAAAGGACTTTAGGTTCTGATCCTTTTCTTATTGTATTAGGTTGGTGAAAAAGTGATTTTTGCCATTACTTTTAATTAGTTCAGCCCTCCAAAAATACAAAAATTATTATTTCAGGTGAACATAATTCTTACTTGTGATAGCAATCATGTTTCTAATCAGTGTTACTGAGCAACGCTAACACTAATATTCAATGTATTTTGTAATAGTCATCACAGAACACATTTTTTTTTTGCCCGAAGTGACTGTAACTTGAAGGTGTGTTTATGTCATTGCAACTTATTCTGTGATGAGAATGTGCTCATTGTAGCTATTAAAATATTAACTGAAATAATTCCTTACCATCTAAGGAAAATGCTTAAGAAGCTTCAGTAGTGGTAAAGCCTCCAGTTAAAGACTTTCACTAGATGTTCGTATAATTTTTTTTTTACTTTGAAAAGAAAAATAGTATTGAAAGCACTTACTCGAGCAAGTGTGTATACATTTATGATTTGTAAACACTTGTAGGTATGTTATAGTCAGAGAAATAGCACACATTTGATGTATGTCACTGTCTTTAGGGTAGAAGATGTCTCGTTGTCAAAAGTGTAATAATGCTTTTACGCCAAGTGTTGTGCTGGACTAGAAACTTAGAGCTTTTCTTTGGTTCTGGCTCTGTTCTTGACCATCCATGTGGATGCATCAGGCTGCATCACTCTACTCTCCAGGCCTCAGTTTCATCCATTGTCAAATAAGGAGTCTGTACTAGAGACAGAGGACCTTAGAGGTCTTAGCTCTAAGTTTCTGTAATTTAGTTGGAGTCAGAGAATCCTGGGTAATTCCCATTATATTTACATAGCTCATTCCTTTATTTAGAAAGCATTTTCTTAGGACAAAGCTATACTTCAGTACAAAGGCACCTTTTAAAAGTCTGGTCCTATTTAAAGCTCCACTGATCCCATGGAATTTGGTATCATGAATGCACAATAGCAGGATTTAGAGATGGCATGAATGCTGGGTCTGGAACTCAAAGAGCAGGGCCTGGGATCCTGCTCCGCGCTTACTGGCTGGGTGAGATTGGCTGAGTGAGCTTGGCTGAGTCTCAGTTTATTCATCCATAAAATAGCAATAACAATAGTTACTTCATCAAAGAGTTATGAGAATTAGAAGAGAGTATGTCAAATAATGTCAAATAGCATATTATCGGCATATTATAGACAGTGAAAAATTGGTCGAAACTGAATTTGTTCAGAAAAAAGTAAATAATACACCTTTCTTTTTAAAAATCTAGCACTTTTATAGATTCAGTGACTACACTGTGAACATCCCCAGGTTCTATATGCTGAGATGCCTGCTCAGACTTTTGCTGTTCATGGTGGGACATAGCCAGGCTGGCTGCTCCTGCCTCATTCTTTTTCCTCTTGTGGGATTCCAAATGGTACTATGGCCCCTTCCCTTGCTATAAAGAAGGACACTTTTAGATATTTCCTTGTCTCCTCTCCACAGTGCTGCTTAGGGGCATTCTTACCAATACTTCTCCCTCCAGACCCCTTATTCTTTGCATTATGTAAGCTCCTGCAAAATGAAAAGTAGCTCTATCCCAAAGAGCCTGGGGGCCATTGTGGGGTAACCCTTACTTACTTGTGCACTGAGGTTTTCTATTTGACACACACTATGAGGTGTTAATCTACATCCAGAGAATCAGAAAATCAAAAATACTGTCTATGGGCTTATTTAGCTTTTCTGGGTTAAATTGGTAATTTATCCATTGCAAAGTCCACCTCAAGTGTCTGATTCCCCCAGCTATCATTCTCATAGCACACAAATGTGAATTCTGAAATGTGCTTGATATAGAGCACGTTTAAAACTATTTCCCATTATTCAGGCTTACTTAGTACAGAATTATGATATAACCATCATTTCTGACACAATCTTCATGGTAATAAGTGGATGAAGATGGGTTGAGAAACGATATATGAGGCATAGGTTTTTTACTGAGTGTTGTAATTAATCACCCAGATTCTCCTGAAGGCCCTCAGTTCATTCTTTTAAAAGCAAGTTGGCATATTCTTGCAGCATTGTTGCTTCAGGATGTTTGATCTACTAGGGAGAGGAAAACAGAATGTTTGACTGTAAACAAAAATGCCAAATATAGTCCGATTGAGAATCATTCAAGGTGTTTTATTTATGATACTCCTATGACTGTGTCCAATTCTGGATTTCAAAAGGATTGAATTAATTTTTAAGCTCAACTTGTTATCAACCTTTTGAGTGATATTTAATATACCTAAAGTGAGGGTACGGGAGAACTGTATCCACTCAGAGCATTTCACCAAGGTCCAGGAAGGATAAGCCCCAGGTAATTGTGGGACCTCCTTGCACCTCTGTTTTCTCATCTTCAAATGAGGGAGGTTGGGGTAGATAGACAACCTCAACTTTAAAGAGTTTCTTTCTTCAAGTGTAGAGAAAACACAATGTTAGAGGTAAAAATCCAGAAAAGAGTGAAATTCAAAGCCAAAGAAGTTTCCTATTCAATCTCAGAACCCAGAATTCCAGGTCATCTGAAGGGTGGGCAGGTTGCTCCCCACACCCCCCATTGCACCTACTCACTTTTCTCAATTCTGTTCCAAAGGATTTAGACAATGATTAGGTCTCAGTCTCCTTATCTGTAAGTTGAGAATACAAATACCTGCTCCACACAGTTGTGAGGATTAAATGAGACAATGTGTATGAAGTATGTGATGTGTGGTTAATGATGCAAGTATAATGCATTATCTTTATTCATACTAAGTGTCATTTTTATATGAGGTGGGCTAGGCAGCACTACACTGTAGTGAAATTTATGAGGCTACTGGAAACAGACCTGAGTTAGAATCCCACCTCTGCTTCTTGCTGATGGCTTTGGATGGCTATTTCACTTTTTTCCAAGCTTCCATTTCCTTACAGGGTTCTTGCAGAATCAAATAAAATAATATGGAACATTTCCATCATTGCAGAAAACTCTTGGATAGTGTTGACATGTGTATTAAATATCCAGCAGGATGCCTAGGTACATAATAAGTGCTCAGTAAACATTTCCCTCTCTTTCCTCCCTTTCTTTTTTTTAAATCTCTTCCGCGAGCTCATAAATTATTTGACTGGTTCTAACCTTGTATTTCTTTTGGGAGTCATGGTCTCCCTTTGCTCTCCATTTGCAAAAATCTTCAATTCCTCCTTTCTACAACCAAAGCAACTTTATTAAACAAAAAAACATGATGAGGACTGTTGAGTCACCTTGTTTTTTTTTTTTTTTCATAAAGACAACCATGCACTATATAGTTAAGGTAATTACAGTCAGTTATTAGGTTGATTATTCAATAATTAGGGTTCATTACAAGGACAGATTTATATTATCTTGACTGGTCCTTCCTACATTCAAGCAAGGATGACTGAGCATTGTGAAATAATATATATAAATATTGGAAACTTGTGATACCCTTTCTAGGGGAGGTTAAATCATGGTCTTACAGGGAATTTTCTGGGACTGCTTTATATAAGAGGGGAGTTAGATAGCTTTAAAACATAACCTATGAGATGATTGGATTCCTTCTACTTCTAGCTAATGTTATGAGACATCCCAGAAGGTATTTGCTTAGCTTTTTTGAGGTTTGGTTAAAGAGTTCGGTTTTTTTTGAACAAGGTCTTTATAGCCATCTCAACTCTCAGATTCTAAAAATTATGCTCATTTTATTATTATTGGTTCTAGCAATATGCCATTGTCAGAACTGTGAGCAACTTTACTGCAAGCAACCCACAAACGGAAATATCTAGGGATGTCATGATGACCTATATGCTGGTGTGGTGACAACTTTTAGGCATAATCTTCAAAATAGTGTAACAGCCTTTTGTCGATGGATAACCACATTGTTCAAAAAAGTTTGAGGTGGAGCAGAACTGAGGTAATGAGAAAGTAAACACTCTCTTATGCCTGGTGCACTGAGCATGCAGCATGAACACCAGCCCTTATCATTTCTATGACATCGTTGGGTCATAAGTGACATTAAACAGCAGCTGGTTGCCTCACATTTTAAAGATGTTTTTGGTCTGTGAGAAATCAGTAGTCTCATTTTTGAAACAGTCTGTAGCACTTCTATCATTTTTGCTGCCTTCTTTTTCTACATTATCCATGGACAGTAGACTAATTAAACAAAACAGACGTTTCCCACTCCAAATTTAAGATATAATAAGAAAACATCCCCCAAAACCTTTGTGCACAATTACTTCAAGCGCTGATGCCATTTTCCTGGAAATTGTCTTCTGGACTCATTTTTCCTCCCGAGGGTCCCCTGGCAAAGCAGCCCCATCTGGATCTCCAGGGTCACCCAGCATCTTACCTGCTCCTGCAGGTGTGTGATGTTTTCCTCATACTGGGAATAATCTTTCTTACTGCCAGGATCTCTCTGCTGGTGCCATTTCAGGATGCGGCTTTCCAGCTTCATGTTGGCCTCCTCCAGGGCGCGAACCTTCTCCAGGTAGGAGGCCAGGCGGTCGTTGAGATTCTGCATGGTGGCCTTCCCATTTCCGCCTAGTAGGGGGCTGCTTCTTCCAGAACCCCAAGACCCTCCAGGGGGTGGGCAGCTCCGCGTGGTGAAGGACAGGGAGATGCGGGCTCCCCCCGCACCGCCATGGACGGTGGGAGCCCTGGGGAAGCTCCTGGGCCGGCCCCAGCCACCTCCGGCGCCATGGAAGGAGGCCGAGGGGGTCTGGCTGAAGCTGTGTCCGGAGTTCATGGTCCCATCTGTGTTTGGGACGGGGCTGAGCTCTGCTCCACTCCCTGGCACCGCAGAACTGAGCCGCCCCAGACTGCCCTGGATGGTTTTATGGCCTTTGCTGTGGGAGTTCCCTTCTCTGACAATTGTACCAACAAGATTGTATCATTGTGCAACTTGTGTTTCCTCTTGGTCAATCCCAAAGTGCCCCTGGGCCTTCGCACACTGTTGTTGTTTAGAGCCACATCAATATGACAGTTTGCTTCCTCCCTTCCCCTGGTAACCCGGAGGTGTGGCCCACGACATCAGGCGGGTATTGGGCTCAGGTATCTTTCTAATCTTGCCGTGAAGTTTTTCCATTGTTCATTTACCTGGAATGGGTTAGGTTAAAGTCCACCCAAAAGAAAGCATATTCGATGTAGTATAGATTTCCTTAAAAAAAACCAAAAACCAAAACCAAAACAAAACAACAACAACAGCAACAAAAAACCAGACATTAAACAACAGAGATACACACACCTTTTTCCACCCCCAATAAGCCCCACCTCTAAAGGGAGGGTGAGCGAGCCTGGAGAAGGGAAAGCCAGCTCAGAACAGGATCTCAGGTCCCAGAATAAAGCTTGCTGTGCTGAGGCAGCCGAGAAGGTGGTGAATATCTGATGCCTTTGTGGCAGTCACTGTTTGAAGGAAAGTACTTTCAAAGGACTCGCTCTTAAGAACAAACCCTCAATTATAGATGTAATTAATTAATGAATGACCGAACCTTCCACTTCCAGGGTGCCTTTCATCCCAGCACACCTCAAAACCAAACAACCCTGGCCTGCGCTCAGGATTTCCCTTGGCCCTGGGGGAGGAATGTAGCCGTTGTTAGCAGCCCCGGACCCCGGCTGAGCCTGCCACGGCTGGGCTCTGTGTGTCTGTGACCTGCAGAGGGACGATGGAAAACAGGAAACCTGCCATGGGCTGTCAAATGTGGTTGATGAATCTTATATTTCATCTGCCAAGGTAAAGGTTAGGAATGAATAAAGAAGCAGTCTGGGGGCGGGAGCCACGTGCTAGTTACTGGCAGTTGGATTTAAAGGGGACTTACAAATAAAATATCAGCGCAGGAAGGGCTTCTGGCCTTTCTGGTTCCAAGCCACTAATTGGACAGATGAGGAAAGCTGAGGCCTATGGTGGTGGGGAGGTTAGTGGCAGAGCCAGGGCTAGATTCTTTCTCCACATAGCACTGTTATCTTGGGTTGAATCTTGACAGGTCCTGTACCACACTTCTCTTTCATAATAATAGGACTTGCCAATTGGTGTAGCTCTTTTATATTCTTTATTGAATCCTCACAACTCTTTATGTATCCAGGCAAGGGTTGTTGTCTTCATTTTGCAGACAAAGAATCAGGGTCTCATAGGGATGAATGATCCAGAGCTGATTCGCATGTACAGTGTAATTGAGCACATGAATTCATAGGTGACACTGCCCGAGTCTGTGCTGTCCTCCCTGCCTGGAAAGTCACTCACCCCTACCTCTTCTATAGTTCAAGGGCTACCTCCTTCAACAATCATTTTCTGAATTCTCCTGCATGAGTTGGGTGACCCTCTAGGAGGAAACTGCCTCTTCTGGATGCCGAGGTCCTCCAGAGGGGCAGACACCTTGGCATCCCACCTCATGGTGGAAGCTGGGAGCCCCTAGCCAGGCGCAGCCACCTCCTGTGCCTGGGATGAAGTCCACTCCGTTCTTTCACTCCATTATACTGCATTTGCCACACCCTTCTGAGACCGCAGGCTTCTTGAAAGCAGAGTTTATGTCTTCCATTTTTGAGCACCAAAGTCTGGTTTCTTGGTGGTATTTTGCAAATGTATGTTGACTCAATCATAAACTTTTTAGAGTCAGGATTTTAACACAGGTCTCCTGATGCCATCAACTTCTGCTCCTTTTAGGACTGTGAGTTATAGAACTAGAAAGTAGGAAAACGCCTCTCCTGGGTATAGATTAACCATCCATGAAGGCCAATCTTTTCCAATTACAAATAAAGCCACCCAAAAGCACACCAGCTCTGCTCCTCCCAGTCTTACAACAAAACCTTATCAGGGAAGAGTCTCTGAATATTTTTTATTTCACTGTGCACGAGCTGGAAAAATGAGCCTCCAAGCCTCAGGGAAGCTTGGAGAGTGCTTAGAAAGAGTGCCGACAGTCACTTACATCTCAGATATGAGAAAAAGACAAAAGAGACAAGTGATAAAAATAGAGCAAATGAGGGAACTAGAGAGACTTGTTTGGCGAGTGGTGGCAACCAGTGTTCTGTGGATGTGGACGGTTCCTGGTCATCAAAGTTATGGTCAGCTCTGGTTCCTGTTCGCCTGGACCCAGACTTACCAAGGAAGAAAACATTTACCTTTAGCATGTGCAAGGGCCGGGCTGCACTGCCTTTTTCTAAATTCTCTCACCAGAATCTACAATGAAATTAATGCTTCTCTAATTATTTCAGGCATGTCTGAGTGGCAGTGACTTATCAACCCCATAGATTTGGCCACTGTCTCATTTTATGTCCATGTGTGGGAGTTTTGATTTATAGGACTTATCCTTGAGCAAAAGATTTCTTGTGTCATAGCAGGACCAGGGCCAGGAAAAACTGGTGGTGAGATCTGAGAGCACTGGGGAGAAATAGTCTCTTCTAGTACTGTTATATGATGGTTTCCCATAACTTCTTTTTTTTTTTTTCTCAAGATGGAGTTTTGCTCTGTCACCCAGGCTGGAGTGCAATGGCGCAATCTTGACTCACTGCAACCTCCGCCTCCTGGGTTCAAGCGATTCTCCTGCCTCAGCCTCCCGAGTAGCTAGGATTACAGGTGCGCACCACCATGCCCAGCTAATTTTTTGTATTTTTAGTAGAGACGGGGTTTCACCATGTTGGCCAGGCTGGTCTTGAACTCCTGACCTCATGATCTGCCTGCCTTGGCCTCCCAAAGTGCTGGGATTACAGGCATGAGCCACCCTGCCCAGCCAATTTTCCATAACTTCTTTTTTTTTTTTTTGAGACAGAGTCTCGCCCTGTCGCCCAGGCTGGAGTGCAGTGATGTGATCGTGGCTCACTGCAACCTCCACCTCCCGGGTTCAAGCGATTCTTCTGCCTCAGCCTCCCGAGTAGCCGGGACCACAGGTGCGTGCCACCACGCCCGGCTAATCTTTGTAGTTTTTAGTAGAGACGGGGTTTTACCATGTTGGCCAGGCAGATCTTGAACTTCTGACTTTGTGATCCACCCACCTCGGCCTCCCAAAGTGCTGGGATTATAGGCATGAGCCACCGCACCCGGCCCTGGTTTTCCATAACTTCTAATGTGTAGAGTTCCATTGGATTTTAAAAGAAATGATGCTTTTTTAAAAGCATCATTTTAAAAGCATTAAAAGAAATGATACATGCTTATTATACAAAATCAAGTGATACATGATGGTACAGGAAAAAATATTTAAAAATTCTACCACACACACACAACGTTTGGTGACATTTGGTGAACATCCTTTCAGATACTATGTGTATGTATTGGAAGACAAAAGAATGGCTAGAATAATTGGAAAAATGGGCTCCTGCGACTTATTCCATTTTAGAAAAACTTAAGTCAATTAACACATTTTAATTGGCAAATAAGGAACTAAAATGAATTCACTTTAGTGACATAGTTTTTCTAGAATTTAAAAACGTTCATCACATTCTTTTAAATTTTACATTTTTAAGAAGGATAAAATGGCCTGTAAATGCCAGGATTTTTGGAATCGCAGGACTGGAAAGAAAAGCAACGCTGAGCCACTTGTTGCAGATTTTTGCTTTTAGGGAGGACAACGGCAGAGTGCTGAGCTTGTTTTTGAAGTATTCTTAAAGAACGCGAGGGATGAAGCCTCCAACTGCTTCCTCAGTAAATGGCCAACATTTACTGATCCTTTTGGTTCACAAGCATTTCACTTGCAATATGGTTTCAGGATTTCTTTTGGTATTTCTGTAGAGTGCAAATTGTTCAGAATCAAAATCATTCTGCTTTGCATGATTTTCTGGCTGAAACATTTGTAGTTTTCACATTTGATTCATCTTTCTGATGAACTCAGTTGTCGTCTTGAAAGGGAGTGGGTACTTTGTAAGACAGCTCAGCTGTTGAGTGAATGCATGGGGTTGCATGTGGGTGTGTTGGGGTCAGAAGGGAGCCCTGTCAGAAGGTAGCTGTCATGAACTGGGTACACCGTCTGTTTGTGTGCCTTTTCAAGACAACCATTCCATTAATGAAGCATTTTATAGGCACCCGTTCTTTATAGTAGAGAAAGATGGCCAAAATGACTCTCAAATACATTTTTACTACACATGATATTTCAGCACAGATGAGTAGTAGGTCTTCAGGCAAAATTGCTATGCTATTATCCTATGAGTTGGAAGGTTACATAAGAAGATTAGACATTTATAGAAATAAAACATGCCCATTAAAAGTGGGCAAAGGACATGAACAGACACTATATACAGATACTATTTGTAAGCGACTCAAGTTGGCTGTTGTTTTCTTCCTCATTTGAAATACTGTATTGAAGACTTCATAACTCACATCATCTCTCTGTTGGCCCCTTTTTCCTGGACAAATAGAAATATGAGAAAACGGTCTGAGGATCATGCTGTAACAAAGTGTTTTATATCAGCTTTACTTGACCACTCATGCTTATGCCCTTGTAGCATCTTATCCATTGGGAAAATGTTCCCAGCTGAAAACAGTCAATTGCAGCTGCAATTTTAAACATGGAATGCAATAGATAGACTTTAAGAAGTTAGTAAAATCTCTAAAACTATATGCAAAAATTTCTCTGCATGCTTATATGCTTGCTTTTCTGAGGAATAGAAGCTTTTATTAACTGTTGTATTTAAAAATTTCAATTAGGCCGGGCTTGGTGGTTCATGCCTGTAATCCCAGCACTTTAGGGAGGCCGAAGCAGGTGGATTGATCACCTAAGGGTATGAGTTCAAGACCAGCTTGGCCAACATGGTGAAATCCCCGTCTCTACCAAAAATACAAAAAATTTGCTGGACATGGTGGCGTGCACCTGTAATCCCAGCTACTCTGGAGGCTGAGGCAGGAGAATTGCTTGAGCCTAGGAGGCAGAGGTTGGAGTGAGCTGAGATCACACCATTGCACTCCAGCCTGGGTGACAAGAGTGAATCTCCATCTCAAAAGAAATTTTTTTAAATTAATTATTATTTGTTGAGACAGGGTCTCACTTTGTTGCCTGAGCTGTGGGCAGTGGTGCAATCATGGTTCACTACAGCCTCAACCTCCTGGCTCAAGTGATCTTCCTGCCTCCACCTCCCCAGTAGCTGGGACTTACAGGCGTGCATCACCACACCAGGCAAATTCTTTTTTTAATGTTTTGTAGAGACGAGGCCTTGCTACGTTGCTTAGGCTGGTCTCAAACTCCTGGGCTCATGCAATTCTCCTATCTTAGCATCTCGAAGAGGTAAGATAAAAGGCATGAGCCACTTCACCTGGCCTCATTAACTTTTCAAAGGAGTATATAAGTTTAAAAAGTCAGGATCCAGTGATGTAAAACTTTAGTTTCCTTCCCTGTTGCCATTGAGCTCCTCCTTCTCCCTTTCTCCTCCCCCTCCTTCTCCTTCTTCTCCTTCTTCCTCTTCCTCCTCCACCTCCTCCTCTTCTTCTTCTCCTCTTCCTCCTGCTTCTCCTCTTCCTCCCCCCCTCCCCTCCTCCCCTTCCTCCTCCCCTCCTCCCTCTCTTCCCCCTCCTCCCCGCCTCCTCCTCCCCCTCCTCCTCCCCCTCCTCCTCCTCCTCCCCCTCCTCCTCCTCCCCCTCCTCCTCCTCTTTCTTCTTCTTTTTCTTTCTCTTCTTCTTCCTCCTCCTCCCCAGTCGTCATCTTCTTCTTCCTTTTCTTCTTCTCCTTCCTCCTCTTCTCCTTCTCCCTCCTCCTCCTTCTTCCTTCTTCCTTCTCTTCTTCTTCTTCTTATCCTCCTCCTCCTTCATCTTCCTCCTCCTCCTCTTCTTCTCCTCCTCCTTATCCTTCCTCCTCCCCCCTCCTCTTCTTCTTCTTCTTCTCCTTCTCCTTCTTCTTCCTCTTCTTCTTCCTCCTCCTCCCCCCTCGTCGTCATCTTCTTCTTCTTCCTTTTCTTCTTCTCCTTTCTCTTCTCCTTCTCCCTCCTCCTCCTTCTTCTTCCTTTTCTTCGTCTTCTTCTCCTTCCTCCTCTTCTCCTTCTCCCTCCTCCTCCTTCTTCCTTCTTCCTTCTCTTCTTCTTCTTCTTCTCCTCCTTCTCCTTCCTCCTCTTCCTCCTCCTCTTCCTCTTCCTCTTCTTCTTTCTTCCTTTTTTACTTTGCCATAGAGACAATACTTTAGGTTCACTAAAATTTTTGCAGTTGTGGGATATTGATTCAAGCACCTGCTCATTTAAAGTGGTTGGCTATATTTAAAATGTTTTTATTGCTTTTTATCTCATACCCCCAAACTGTGCATTTCATCTCCAATTTCATTATTGGTTGAATTCCACAGCCACAAATCATATGACTTAAAATCTTCTAACTTAGTTATTAATTTTATTGAAGATTTCCTTTAGGGGTACTCTGGTTTTATAAATAGACTAATATGACACAATTCCTACTTAAAAACTATTTTAAATTTTTATTTTAATAGTTTTTGGGAAACAGGTGGTTTTCAATTACATTAATGAATTTTTTTGTTTGCAGATGATGCAATCTATTTTTTTAAATTATTATATTTTAAGTTCTGGGTTACATATGCAGGTTTGTTACATAGGTAAACATGTGCCAGGTGGTTTGCTGCACCTATCAACCCATCACTTAGGTATTAAGCCCAGCATGCAATAGGTCTTTTCCCTACTGCTCTCCCCACCCGCCCTCCCCTGAAAGGCCTCTGTGTGTGTTGTTCCCCTCTCTGTGTCCAGATGTTCTCATGGTTCTGCTCCCACTTATAAGTGATAACATGTGGTGTTTGATTTTCTGTTCCTGTGTTAGTTTGCTGAAGATAATGGCTTCCAGCTTCATCCATGTCCCTGCAAAGGACATGATGTTGTTCCTTTTTATGGCTGTATGGTATTCCATGATGTGTATGTACCACATTTTCTTTATCCAGTGTATTATTGATGGGCATTTGGGTTGATTCCATGTCTCTGCTATTGTGAGTAGTAGCTGCAATGAACATACATGTGCATATATCTTTATAATAGAATGATTTAATATTTTTTTGGCAGGCCACCAGGTCTGTTGGGGTGATATCCAGTAGCAGGATTGCTGGGTCAGATGGTCTTTCCAGTTCTAAATCTTTGAGGAATTGCCACACTGTCTACCACAATGGTTGAACTAATTTACATTCCCACCAACAATGTAAAAGCATTCCCATTTCTCCACAACCTCACCAGTATCTGTTGTTTCTTGACTTTTTAATAATCACCATTCTGACTGGTGTGAGTTGGTATCTTGTGGTTTTGATTTGCATTTACCTAATTATCAGTGATGTTGAGCCTTTTTTCATATGATAGGTTCTTTAGTGGTGATTTCTGAGATTTTGGTGCACCCATCACCAGAGCAGTGTACACTGTACTCAATGTGCAGTCTTTTATCCCTCACTCCCTCCCACTCCTACCTTTAAAGATCCTTCAGCCTCTAGATCCAACAGTTTAGTTTTATTTTGTTTGGCCTTTCAGTATTCTGTCAAATGACACAACCTATTATGTGAGGGTCTGCTCTGGGGTGCTTAGGAGCAGTTACTGATCTTTACCCATTTATACCTAGAATTCAGAGTTGCCAGTGCTCAGGAGACAAAGCAATTTAGCACCATCACCAGTAGAGAAAACCTGGTTGTCAAGATCTTTTCACATAGCTGCGATGAAGTCATCATCATCTGAGTGACATACTTATCATTCAGTACCTTGGTATAAGCCTGAGAAGAATGGGTTGGCCTAGCCCATCATACTGGTAGTTGATCCTCATTTATCATTATCACCTTCAGAGAAGGAGGGCACCTCCTCCCTCCTTCCAGCTTCCTTCCTTTTCCAGCTGACACCAAACCTTTCTGAGGAGGCAAGTGATGTTTCAGCTAGATAACTTCTTTCAAAGGACTGCCAGAACACTCTGACTTAAGCCTGGTTTTAGAAAGATCCTTAAATCCTTTTGCACTGCCTCTGTGCAAAAGGCCTGTGCAGTGATTTCATTCCCTTAACACAACAGCAGGAAAAACAGATCCCTGCAAATGGGTGGGAAGTGCTGTTGCAAAGCTGAAACGACTTCACTCTTCTTTTTCTCCTTATGATTATCTTAATCTGATGGACATGATAGGTAATCAAATAAATCCTTTACACAAAGACCGTTGTTGTTAGTGATCCTGGAATTAACCTGCGTGTTAGCTTTAGTCCTCGCTGGGCGTTACTTTCTTTTGCCTTAGGAGGAGATGTTTTGAGTTAGCTGTGGTGTTGGTAGCTGAAACATCATCTCATGCAATTTGCTGAAGTCTTGTCCTTATAGGTTTTACCTTTAGCTCAGTGTGGTTCATGTTGCGGCAGGGCAAGGGTATGCAAGGCTGTTGGAAGGTCCTTGCTCCCAGCATTCTTCCCCACTTGATAGTTGTTGCTGCCTGAAACTCAATCATGTATTTGTTTGGTTCACTCAAATATTGCTGCTTCTTCTTCGTTTTTCTTTCTTTCTTTTTTTTCTTTTTCTTGAGACAGAGTCTTGATCTGTTGCCCAGGCTGGAGTGCACTGGCGCCATCTCAGCTCACTGCAGTCTCCACCCCCCAGGTTCAAGCCTCCCGAGCAGCTGGGATTACAGGCGCCCACCACCATGCCCTGCTATTTTTTGTATTTTTTGTAGAGATGGGGTTTCACCATGTTGGCCAGGCTGGTCTCAAACTCCTGACCTTGAAAGATCTGCTTGGCTCAGCTTCCCAAAGTGTTGAGATTACAGGCGCGAGCCACTGCATGCGGCCAATGTTGCTTCTTATTCAGAAACAAACCTTAATACATTGTTCACACAAAAAACCCATTGTTTGCCTTTTCATTCATTGAACAAGTATTTACTGAATGCCTACCCTGTGTGGAGCAGAGAAGGTGAGGAGGAGGGCAGGGTGAGAGGACGCTGGTGGCGCACAGGACACAGGGTCGTTCTGGGCTTTCTCAGCTCTGCTGAGTATTTTGATCTTCAACACAAGAGATGTGGAAAATGAAGATTTTAAGCAGGGGAGTACTGCACTGTGATCTTCAAAAAGATCACCCTAGCTGTCTCATGGAGAATGAATGAGGGTGAGAGTGAAGTGGTGGGGATGGCCAGGAAGGGACTGCCCCTGTCCAGAGGAGAGACAATGGAAGTTTGCTTGTTAATTTTGATTGACTTAGTAAGATATTCAGGGATATTAGAGTAAGAGCACAGCATTAACTACTTTTCTGCCGTGAGAAAGAAGACATAATAATAGTCAATAATAAATTGACTATTATTATGTCAATAAATTGACCCTGTGGTGTGTATATGCTGCATTTGTTATTCGAGAGGATTGCATAATAGACACGGTGTCTATTATGGTACCTTAAACTGTATATGTTTGATATGTGTCCTATTCAGTAGGCTTTTAGACAGGGAGTAATCATATGTTTTGCCAAAATATTTTTTTGTTCAAGGCTCTCAACTTGCTTTATGGACAAGTAACTACCACGATGGACTTTTTCTTATGGATGTAAGAACTAAGGCAGTGAAAGGAGGAAGACTTGCCTAAGGTTGTGCAGTGAGTTAATGGCAAAGGGGCCCTAGAGCCCACTCCCTACATGGCTGCTGGTTCGTATTTCACCCATGTGCTTACAGAGACTTTACCCATGTGTACAGTGTCTTCTCACATTTACTTCTAGGTTTCTCCCTTCTATATGCGTGAATGCTGTTCTCATTACCTATTTTACTGCTCGTAGATTACTAATCACGACTCGATTTTTAGTTTGCGATACAGGTTTTTCTTTTCCCTTCCCTCCTTTCTTTTGGTTTGGAATATTTGCTTTTCAAAGCTCTGTTATTCTAACTAAAACTTTTTTTTTTTTAATTTTTGAAGATCTTCTTGATGGTGACATTTTCTGCATCTTTGTTGCAGTTTGGACTAGTGGGAAGGATTTTGGGCTAGGGGTTTAAAGTCCACGCTCTACCGTTAACCCACCCACCTAGCAACATTAACCTCTCTGGTCTCAAAGTTCTTACCATGAAAATGAGACTGCCAATAATTTTCCTTGTAGTTTAGAGGGTTGTTGTGGGGAGCAAGTGAGTTAATGTACATACATAAGCTTTGTGATCTACATGTAATATATATACATTAGCTATGTAATAGGTGTGTACTTTACATACATGAGCCACATAATTGGTATGTAACAAACATACTTGAACTATGTAATTTTCAAGCAATGTACACACATGATACATGTAATCTGTATGTAATATACATACAGAAGCTATGTAATAGGTCTGTAGGGTACACATACAAGCTTTGTAATCTGTAGACTGCTGTGCAGAGATGAGGGCAGAGGAGGAGAATGATTAAAAAACACCCGTATTCCACCCTGAAGTCAGGATCCCACAAGTCTGGACAGAGGGGAGACCGATGAAGTTGTCAGGAAGTCACAAGGGCTAGATGAAAAAGTCTAGCCTAAAAGCTATAATTCTGTCCCCAGGTGAACTTAAGGAGAAACAGGAACTTCAGGAGTTTACATTTTATAAACTTAGTCCATGTAAAGCTCAGTCTAGATTTATGCTGATGAATACCCTGGTTACCAGCTGTCAGTTCACATCCCAATTCTGCCATTGCTACCCAGTTCTTCAGTCTTTAATTTCCACAGCTGTGAACTGAGATTAATACTCAGCCCTGATTGATGGGGTTGTTGTGGAAACGAAAGGAGATAATCTATGCATTATACATTAAAAAGTACTCAGTGATACTATTATGAAAATGTGTCTGTGTGTGTTTGTGTGTGTATGTGTGAGTGTGTTAGAATACTCTATTTTAGCTAGGTGAAATAAGCCTATATCTATGTTCTGGTTTTGGATACTTTTGCTGAGAAGTCATATATATTTTTATAGAGTGTTCTAAACTTACAGAATTTATTTTAATATGCTTTGTGGCTTTTAAAATCTCACTTTTCTATATAAATTATATCCTAAACATAATCCCCAATTTTTTGTTTTGCTATATTTTATTCTTACTATTATCATGTTATCTGTTTAAAGTTATTTTAGGGCAGGCACTCTTTCCACCCTAGCAGTGAACTCATAGTTCTTCCCTAGGAAGGCTTGAGTTTCCAAATACAGGTAAAAGCCATTTCCAAATGCCTTTGGTTAGGTCCCACTCTGGTCTTTTCCTTCTAGCTCTGTCAATTAGGGAATAAATTATTGCAAAGTGTATATTGGTTAAAAAAAAAAAGGAGGAAGAGGCAGTTTTTCATGACGGTTAAAAGTGCAGGATTTGGAGTCCCATGGTCCTGGGTGTGAATCCTGGCTGTGGCACTAACTATCTGTGTGACTGGCTGTGAACCTCTCGTGCCTCACTTTCTTCATCTGCAAAATGGGTAGTTGTATAGCAAATGCACATAGAGAACACTTAACACTTTGGCACATTGGAAGCACTCAGTAAATGTTAATTGTTATTATTGTTGCTCTAAAGAGATGACCCCACAAGGTTATGGAGTATGTTTACATCTTCAAACTATTAGTTAAGATATAGCCTTAAACATATGCTCTCCTTATGTCAGAATGTTCCCTGAGGGTTGAAGTACAACCGGGAAGCTTGATTGGTTCGTGAATTTAAACACTCGTGACTTTATTGCTTACTCCAGTTTTGGTTTTGGGGTTTTAGAGAGATAATACATGGGCTGTCTCTTTTCCCCTCCCTCTCTCTGTTTCCTTTGGTGTGGGAGGAAGAATAATGGTCCCCGAAGGATGCCCAGGTCCTAATACCCAGAGCCTGTGAATAGCTGATGTTACTTGGCAAAAAGGTAATTAAAGTCACAAGTAGAATTAAGGTTGCTAATCAGCTGGCCTTAAAATAGGGAGAGTATCCTGAATTATTCAGGTGGGCCCAAGATAATCATAATGTCTTTAAAAGTGGAAGAGGGGCTGGGCACGGTGGCTCACGCTTGTAATCTCAGCACTTTAGGAGGCCGAGGTGGGTGGATCACGAGGTCAAGGGTTCGAGACCAGCCTGACCAACATGGTGAAACCCTGTCTCTACTAAACGAACGAACAAACAAACAAACAAAAAACCCCACAAAAATTAGCTGGGCATGGTGGCACATGCCTGCATGCCTGCATGCCTGCACACCTGTAATCCCAGCTACTCCGGAGGCTGAGGCAGGAGAATGGCTTGAACCTGGGAGGTGGAGGTTGCAGTGAGCCAAGATCGCGTCACTGCACTCCAGCCTGGGTGACAGAGCAAGACTCCGTCTCAAAAAAAAAAAAAAAAAGGTGGAAGAGGGAAGTAGAAGATTCAGTCAGTGTTGGCGAAGGAGATGTGATGAAGGCAGAGTTAAGGGTGACGAGATGGCTGATGGTGAAGATGGAAATGGTGGACAAGCCCAGGAATGTGAGCAGCCTCTGAAAGCTGGAAAAGTTTGGCAATAAAACAAATCCCCCCCAGGACCTCCAACACTTTGATTTTAGTACACTGAGTCCCAAGTCAGATTTCTGAAATAGAGAACAGTAAGATAGTACATTCGTGTTTTGTGTTATTTTGAGCCATGAAATGCATGTCACTTTGTTACAGTGGCAGTAGAACATCGTAGTGTCTGTGTGTTTGTGGGGGAAACATCCAGTAGGAACTCTGGTGATGGATTTTTGCTGAAGATTTGCCAGGTCTGTCCTGCAGACCCTGGCCGAGCGTCGGATGAAGGGAGTACTGACAACACAGGCGTGCAGTGTAAGAGCAGCTAGGGGTCTGCCGGCACTTAGGGCCAAAGAAGAGAGCAGCTGCGAACAGCTGAAGCTGCTTGCTTTTATTCAGTACAGACATAATGCCGAAAGCCTGGAGCAAACACAATCTGCGGGTAATTAACATTATTGTTCCCCTTTTCAGGGAGCAGTCATGTGCACAGATTATCAAAGGTCGGTTTCTGGACAACCTAAGTAAACAAGCCTGTTTACGATAAATTCCCCTACACCTCCTTGTACCTACTCCTTGCCCTCTGCCTCAGGATCAGAGAACAGCTGCCTTCAGCTTATTCTCCCCTGAAGCTATGCAGAGCCTTCTGAACTTTCAGAAGGTTTGCATCCTTTCCCTATAGTTTCTCCCACCACTCTGACCAATCTCCTACAAAGATTAAATCAAGGTGAATAGAATGTGTTTTCCATGTGATTTATAAAACATATTTTCCATACACATACTTAGTCTAGATCTTTAATTATTAGCGTAACAGCAAAGATGGTTATAGTTACTATATTTCATAAACCCTAAAAAGGCAAATTATAGGTGGATTTTTAAATTTTCAAATTAATATATATGATATACCTCAGAAAATTATAGAATTTAAATCACATTTAATTAAACATTTTACAAATAATTTTTACGGAGAAGCATAAAATTACATAAAAGGAAGGCTGTTCCTGAAGATCCACGGCACGTGGGAACCATCATTAGGGCAAATGTGAATATGTGTCTTTTATTTACAACCAAAGCCTATTTCCCTCCTGATCTCACCCTTTGTCCACAGCTCGTCTTTCATCCTTAATTATTATTTACTACATAGTCTTTGTGTCATTACTACAAAGAGACGGTGCTGTAACTGGGACGCTGGACACGGTCCCTGCAATCTTAGTCCCACTGTACATTCTGTTCCATGTAAGTGAGCTCCAAATGACCTCTTGGTTCTTCTTACTCTGCAGCCACAAAAACATATCCATTTTGCTCCTTTCTCTTTCTTATTTTGTCTATTTCTCCCAGTGCCTCTCCTGAATACACTAATATAGCATCTTCTGTTTTTTTCTGAACCCAACACGTTTGATTTCATTTCTGATTACCATCCCTCTAATTATAATTTGTAGCCTTTCTTAAAAGGGACCCTGTGGGGGTGGGGGGGGGCAGTGGGTGTGGTTGCTCACACCTGTAATCCCAGCACTTTGGGAGGCCAAGGCAGGTGGATCATCTGAGGTCAGGAGTTCGAGACCAGCCTGACCAACGTGGAGAAACTCTGTCTCTACTAAAAAAAAAAAAAAAAACCACAATTGTCTGGGCATGGTGGCGCATGCCTGTAATCCTAGCTACTTGGGAGGCCAAGGCAGGAGAATCACTTGAACCCAGGAGGTGGAGGTTGCGGTGAGCCGAGATCGTGCCATTGCACTCCAGCCTGGGCAACACGAGCAAAACTCTGTCTCAAAAAAAAAAAAAGAAAAAAAATGGAATCCTGGGGGTGGACTTTGGATATTTCATCCTATCAGCCTTGTGTCCTGTTACTCTTGGGATGGGTCAAAACCAGGAAGTCCCCTGCAGCTTTGGCAGCCCACAATTGCTGATGAAGCCACAAATTGTTGGAAACATGAATATCCGGCATTCATTGTTTTGAGCCTATGCTCGCCATGAATATGAACTAGTTAGAAATGAGACCTACACTTTCCCAATGCTTCTCCATTCAAGACCTCTTGGCTTTATATCTAGTAGAGCAGGGCTATACTGTGCCAATCTTCTAGCAATAAACTTCACACAAATCCAACAGCCTAATTGTTGTGGTTAGAATGAGAAGAGATGAAGATGCTGTTGAGTTAGGTCATCTGGTCTCCAAAGCAGAACTTCACAAGGTGATACTTTCTTGTGAAGTCACAGTGGTCTATGTCTGTTCTTAGGCTGGTGGGTTATTAGTGCACCAGAACCAAAGGGATTCTCAGGAGCTGACTCAGAGTAACCTGACTTTTAAGTGCCAGATGAAAGAGACAGAATGCAAACTTATTAATTTAACATTGAAAGATGATCCATTTTGCAACCACAGAGTTCCCAACTGCAAATCAATGCACCTTCTTTGTTGTACCTAAGAATTAGAGAAACCAAATTGTAATATGAAGGCTTTTGTCAAAAATGGAACTAGAAGAGGGATATGGGGTCTTGAGGAATGAGGTTGAAAAACTGCCTCAAGTCCACACGTGCTTAGATGGTGTTCATGAGTTCAGTGTTGCCCCTTCCTGGATTGGGCTGGACACTGTTGTGTTGTGTTTTTAGGGCTCACTTTCTCTTTTTAAAATATTTTCTTAACCACTTGAACCACCAGGGATATGGCTCACCTTCTTTAGACCTCCAAGACAAGCATTATTTCTTTAATTCTTTATAGCTTTCATTAGGCTACATGTATGACATTTTCAAACTTGAGTAATTATTTAATTGATTGGGCATTTGGAATAGAGGATTTGAGTTTGTTCAGATTTTGACTTTAACATTTACTAGCTGTGACACTGAGCAAATTACTTAACTTCTGTAAGCCTTAGTTCACTTGTTAGTAATGTGGTAATAACCATAGTATGGTAGGGCCATTGTGAGAATTGAGTGAGATAATTCATGTAAAGCATGTAGCACAATGTCTAGAGGCATAATATTTAATCAGTTTTTAATTGAATGAAAGAAGCATTACTCTTTCTACTTTTTGGCCCTAGGAGACACTGTGGCTTCTGTGCATCTGTGATTACTTTTATTATGTGTTGGCGGTGGAGAAGCCTTCCAGCTGTTTTCTCCATTGACACCATAACCTGACTCCAGGAAACATCAGGGCCACAAGAGACAAGGGTAACAGATATTGTACTAGGAGAAGGGCCATCAGTCCTCTCTGAATTGCCCTGTCATTTCAGTTGTCCACAAAAGTGATCCTGTTACAGGGATGACTTCAAACTGTTCTCCCTTCTCCTCCAGGGCTATCTTCTTCCTACTGGCCGCAAAGATTGTGAAGGTTGATACATGATGGAGAGGTCCTTTACAACTGAGCTCCCTAACATTCTGGAAAACAGAAGAGTTGGACCTTTATGTGGTTTTTACTTTGGGTCAGGTGTGACTCAGCTTTCTTTTAAAAAGAAAGGTTCTATCCTTAATATAGCACTTTCATTAGTTATCAGAATGGCTTTGCATGACTATGCCATTGTCATTTGGCTCAAGTGAAATAATTCATTAGCTCTCATGTGATTGTTTTGCCAACTGAAGTAAGCTTCACGAAGCAGTATAATGCAATCCTACTAACAAGGTTACTGGGTGCCAGGCATGCTCTAGGAGCTTTGCATGCATTAATTAATGATGTCATCTCAGCCCTATGAAGTAGATGCTATTAATAGCCCCATTTTAAAGATGAGGAAATAGAGAGATTAAGTAACTTGCCCAAGATCTCATGGTATGTGGCAGGGCTGGGAATCAGAGACCCAGCTGGTCTAGATTCAAGTATGTGTTATTAATCAGTACATGATTCTGCTTTTTAAACAAAGGTGGCCAAAGTTCTTTTCTAGGTTTTTCTAATACCTTTAAAAGGGTGCTTGTTCTGAGATTTCATCCTAGTCTCCTTTCCCCACTGAACTTAACAGAGTCCTCTTACATGGGTAGTAATTTTATTTACCTTCCACTGTGAGACTTCTCCCTGCAACCAGAGTCTATGCTGGGAGTGGGGAAGGGGGTGTTTCTTAGAAAGTGGCAGTGAAGGAAGAGAACACAGTTATTTTTTTCCGGTCAATGGAAAATGAGCTGACAGACATTTATCCTCCACAGAAGTGCAGAGAGAAGACCTTTTTACTCTTACATACAGTTGATGGGTAGTTCTTTATGACCAGCTACCCATGTTTAGAGATGTTCAGCCCAAAGCATGGTCTCTCTCTAGGTCTTCTGGGTCAGTAGAGTTAGGCAGTTTCTTTAAGGGCCACAGATACCAAATGGGTGGATACAACCCTTTCCAGGAAACTCTTGAGCACTAGCGTGCCCAGTGGCCCTCCATAACGAGCTGTAATATCGGAAATTTTTGCTTCTGGATTAGCAGAAAGGCCTTTTTGATTCTTTTTTGTTTCTGTTTTTTTTGTTTGTTTGTTTTTGGAGAAGGAAAAAGAGAAAGGAGTCCCAAACTTGCTCTCCTCCTGAAAAAAGTAAGAGATCTTACTGTCTGAGATGTTTTCTCCAGGTACGACTAGTATGTCCGCCTTGACTATTGGGTTGTTCCAGAGAGAGAGAAAGAGGGGGGGGGGTGAGAGAGAGAAAGAGAGAGAGAGAGAGAGAGAGAGAGAGGATCAAGAAAACATATTCAGAAATTTTGCTATTGTGATGCCTTCTTAAGATGTTTAGAAACATTGATATACATTTTTTCCCATGTGCATGTAAGTGGTAGCCTGTGGCTCAAAAGCATCACCTAGGAAAGCTCTCCAAATATGATGTTTAACCTGAAAGGATAATTACAGCAAACCTTTCAATGTTGCCAAACAGGGTTGTTCCCATTTGAACTGGGTGCGTGGGTTGTTCCCATGAAACTTGTGAATCATTCATGAACACACTGATCAGATATTTCTAGCCAGCCCAATACCCAGAGGATTCATTTCCTATAAAAGACATTTGATCACAGTGTTGAAACAATGTATTCAAGGTTTGCTTGCCCTGAGACTAACCCAAGTCTGTGTCACGGATGCTGATTGCCTCAGCCTAGAAATTCTTCCTAACCTAATAATGACCTATTCTCTTCTCTTTGGGGACACTTTCCTTTTCTCTTGAATTTTAATGTTTCCCCCCTTCTCTCATTTAAAGTGGATGTTTGCTTTTAAAATGTGTTTTCATTATAAAAACTTTAATTTTAAATCAAAATGGACAGAAATAGGATAAACTTACTCAGGTAAGGGATCCGTTTCTGTCTAGAGTAAGATACTTTTCTTCATTGTTTGAAAAATGGAAATTATGGGAATTAATAACAACATAGAGTCATTATCTTCTAAAGACATGAAGATCTCACTGATACCATCCAATTGCCTTTAAAAGACACTGGCAAAGTGGGGTGGGGGGGGTTGGAAGACTTTTTTTGGTGTCAGTTCTTATTTACAGAGGTAGAAAGCTAGACATGATAAGTAATGTCAGAGCTTGTAAGAGAAACTAAGGACGTAAGCTTTGAAGAGTCCATGGTGACTGCCCAGAGTCTAAGCACAGAGAAGCCAAATGGTACTTCTGAGAGTTAGAGCCTGAGGTCACTGTCTTGGGGTCCAGTGTTCTTCACATTAGGCCTCAGTCCACACCTGTTCACTACAGATGTGCCTGGGAACGAGGAGAGTGAGGAGCAGAAGACGGGGAACAAGGAGAGTGAGGAGCAGAAGAAAGAGCACTGGTCCTCTTTTCGACCCACGTACCATGGACCAGTTACTGTTCTTTCTGTGCCCCAGATTCTCCATCTCTCACATTAAAAATGCTATTAGCTGCCATCCAATACCTTCCGCATTCAAAAATCCACATATTCTCTGCATTTCTGGATGAGGGATAAAGACTCCTTGGATGATTCTCACTGGAAGCTGTGATGAGCTGGAGAAGGGTGCTTTGAAGAGTTGAAAAGCAAGCTGTTGCTACTACAGATTATTTCTGTTCTTGTATCAGGTGCTATTTGACCTTTCTAAGGAAATAAAAGTACTGATAATTCAATCCCATTATTGTGCGGCATGGATGAGTCAGTTAAATTTTCTGCCCAGCAGTTTCCTCATCTGTGAAATGGGGCTATTAATAATATCTACTTCATGATGGGGTTGTGAGGATTAAATGAGTTGATGATATTTATTAAATTATTGGTCATTATTGATTAACTCCATTTTATAAACAGGCGAATAGACACGAAGGAGGGGGGAATCTGCATGTGTGGTTGTCTATCAAGCTATGCCCAAATCTAAAAGCCTCAAATAAGTCATCAAGTCATTCAGATCTTTAAGCCAAAAGCCCCCATCAGTGATAAAGCAGTGGCTTTTAATTCAGTGCACACACTTCAGCTGAGACTTTTGTTAAAATTTGGATTCCCAGGTCCCACAGCTGGAGATGCAGATACAGGAGGTCTGGGGTAAGGCCCAGGAATCTGAATGATACAGACTCCCCTATTAATGCAATTGCAGGTGGCTTCTGGGTCACACTGGAGAAGTTTTGGCGGGACGTCAGGTAAGGGGTTACCACTAACTGAACTCTGGAGGAAAAGTTTCTGGGTAGTCTCTTCTGATCAGCAATTGCTGGAATTGGCTCTGGGAAGTAAGGATGCAAAGGGTGTGGGCTGTGTGATGGGGGCAGGTGATGGGGGACAGTTAAGGGGTGAGAGGCAAGGAGAAAGGGGGAAGCGTGGTTACTTACCTCTGTGTTTGGAAGAGTTTAAACTAGCTATGACATGAAGTGGAGTCAACAAGAAGAAAGGAAAAAAATCTAGAAAAAATATATCTAAAATATCTCCCTTTTTAAGAAATATAATTATGGACCCTCAGAGTGAGAAGCAGAGATATAGGATTTGACCTCAGGCTCTGGACACCATGCTGTGTTTCCTGATTCATGGTTGTCTTTCGAACTGTGCTAAAATTACACTTTCCCTCCCCACGAGCCCCTTTTCTGCTCTAGCTGCTGACTTATGCTGAACTGTCATAAAACCTTAAATTTCCTCCTGTGGCTGTGTAGGATACTTATTTAGCCTCCTAGTAAAAATCCAGTCTCCTTATTGCCTTTAAAAGTTTTGACCACATGCATACAACCAGCAAATGGTTTTACATTCTCTTATACGAAGAAGACACTTAAAAAAAAAAACAAAACTGCAAGCCTTCGAGTGGCTAACTCCCCTCTTTACTGTGCAGCTTATAATCATATATTTTTTAAAACCATGAATGGCATGGGGGATATTTTGCTCTCCATAGGAGGAAGGCATCCTACTTCTAGGATAAACTGAAAATGGCACTGCTGCATCAGTTCAATCTTAGCTTGAGTCCAGTGAGATTCCTCAACCCTAATTTTGTAGCTCGGAGCAGATTTTAGTGTGGATGATATATATCAAGGTCCACCTGGGCCCAGCACTGAACCAGAAAGAAAGGAAGAAGGTATTGATGGAAACGACATGTGTCTAGGTTTAAATATAGGGAATAGGAATGCCCTTCTGCAAAGCACCTTACAGTTTATGAGACCCTTTCACCATTATTATTCCATTTTATCCTTGCAGCCGTGTGGTAGGCAGGGCTTATATTGTTATATCCTATTTACTCGAGGTCATACATGCCCAGGCTGGATTGAGACTCCGTCCCAAGGTTTCTGAATCCCAGTTCCATGCTCTTTCCACATTTTCATCCTGCAGCCTGAGATAGTACGCAGTTAACTACTGACCGGAGGTACTCTGCCCACTCAGATGAGAGAGAAATTATTGATTTAAAAGAGGTCATTCTGGGAGTTCTGCATTCCACTTGCCTAGTGTAAGTTGCTACTTGTCTGGAGGAAGTAAATCATCAAGCTGTAAGTTACACAATGCATGTGTCTTTGATGTGGGCATCAGGCATTATTGACTCATTGATATGCGATACATACCCTAAGAACTGAAAAATGCTTTATTGAGTAGAATTGTGGGCCTGATCACAGGAAATCATGTTTTTTTTTCTCCTAAAAGTTAAACACTATTAAAACTCCAAAATCATGACTGGATAACTAAATTCATGAAGAAAGAATTTTAAAATGAGATAATTACAAAAATAGGTCTAGGGCTGTAGCTAAAAGCAAAACTTACATAAAAATTACATTGGGTGGTGCTTTTCAGCATTCAAAGCAGTGTCACATAAACAATTTCATTTGATCATCACAACAACCCTGTGAAGTAGGCATGATCCTCATTTAACAAACACAGAAATTAAATTTGATGAAGTCTAAATGTTTTCCCCAAGGTCACAGCTGGGAAATGCAGGTGTAGGACTTCAGGCCTTTTGACTACCCATCTGTGTTTGATTTTGAATTATTTCTTAAAACCTCTGGCAATGTCCAATGATTATTGTCAGGAATGACTTACATATTCTGAGACTATCCTGTAAGAAGCTGTGATGATGGCTGGTATATAAATGATGCCTTCTCACATTGGGACTGCCTTGCACTTACAAGCAGCAATTATTCACTATTGCTTTTCTGCAAAATGTGTGGATATTATGTCCATTTACTCTGATGGATAGATTGAAGCAGGAATCTAAGCTATGTTTTTCTTTGTCACTCTTCACAGGGAGGGGAAGAAGGGTTATTTCTTGAGAATTCCAGCTAAATGTTCCTTGTCAAACAATCAGAACAAACTCCCATTCCCTAAAGAATAGAAAGAGAAATAGCAAATGTTTAATGAAAAGACCCATGCTATTTCTTCAAAGTGTTCTAGATTCACTCCCCACAACTTATCTGATTCTCAAATAAAATATTTGGAGAGCCTAATAGGTCACAAAGTTTTGGAGACCATGGACATTTAAAAAAATATCTTTGGAAAGGTAAAGTATGTTAGTATAGATAAATCATAATTAAGACAGCAGAGTTTAATAGGATCCATACTCGTGACTATCTACACAAGTGAATTAAATATTAAAGATCTTTTCCCCTATTTATACTGTTCCCATATATGTTTCTTTCTGTATCCAAAGACATTTAGAAGGGAAGGTTGTAGCTTTTCACCTTCAGGTGCCGGTGGCCAAAAACAACCCTAAACTTGTCTGACTGGCTCTAAGGAGGAATGTCGGTAAACAAGGCCTGAGTAAACAAGAGAGAGACCTGCCCATCAATCACCTGGGTAGTCAAGCAATGTAGGCCATCTTCCTGGGTGCTTACAAATCAGTTCCCATCCCTCAGATAAATGCAAAACATCCTTCCAGAGAAATGTAATTTATTATCATGTTAGCAGTGGTGAGTTAGGGAAGGAGCAGAATAAAAGATATTCTACCTAGCAATGGGGACCCGCTGTAGTAGTAAGAAACTAAGTACCTTAAGGGACTGGGGAGTTTTCTTAAACCTCTCTGGCAGGAGCATGTATTGGCCTCTGTTTCATAAATGTGGGTCATTTTCATCACCTTGGGATGTTAGACTTTGGCAGGTCTGATGATGAAACAAGGCTGCACATGCTCGTAAGAAGAAATGACCTTCCCATCCTTAATCTCCTTGGTGATGGTGCAAATTTTAACCAGTATCCGGGACAGGGGTCCGCAGGCACTGCAGTGCTCCTTTAAGCTGCAGGGGGATGAGGATGTGCAAGCTGGGGCCGTGCTTTCTATGGCTCCGGACTTACAAGATGTCCAAGGGGAAGGCTCACATTTGGTGGCACGTGGGTAACAGGGACGCCTAAGGAAAAAAAACACAATTTTAGCTGTGATTGAGGGAAGGCGATGATGGTCATGGAGAAAAATGATTGTGGCTAATTTTTTTAACACGTGTTGCTCAAGACAAGTACATACTTCTAAATGCTTATTCATTTATTTTGTACTGTAGTTACTGGAAGAAAAAGAATCAGATTAAATCCATTGGAAATCAGCATCCTAGGTTTAGAAGTATTCGATTATGTAAGTTTCCATTAGTCAATACCATCACATTGTGGAAAGAATACTGCACTAGCAGTCAAAAGACTGAGGCAGAGACCAGCTCTGTCCTTTACCAGCTGGTGACCTCAGCTAAGTCATTTAACGCACTCAACCTTTAGTTTTTCATCTGCAGAATGGATATAATGGAAACTAAACCCACAGGATCAACAGTGATAAGGAACAAGTTGAGGGCATTATTATCCGAGGAATGGAAATTAACCAGATATTTTTCTCATTGAGGAGTTAGTCATACTAATAGTGGTGGCCTGAACCCCAGCTATGAAAGAGTCCTCACTGTGTCATCAGGAAGCTTCAAAGTGCCTTCTGGCTGTCTATGCATAGTTTTTAGAGAACTGAAGTAAAAAGCAGTTCATAGTAAACACTCTTTTTATAAACATAATCTTTCTTTGATGATTCGAGGTATTTTGGTATATGATCACAGCTCCTAAAGGTGACAGCATTGATGACCATTGTGCTCACATAATGTGGTCATGCCAATTAAAAGAATGCTGTGAAGAGTTCACTGATTATTTTCGGGAAGTAGGTCTCCTTTGCAATTGTAACTAAGTCTCTGGGGTTTTAGTTTGGACTGAGTTGCTTCAAAGAACTCATCCTCCATATATGTTTACTTATGGGTTGGTTAGCTTCTTATTGCTTACAAAAATTATAACTTTTATTTTTTAAAAAAGATGCTAAAACATACATGTGTACATGCTTCTGTTGGCCTCAAGGACTAGTGGCTAGATAGGGTTAGGGGTTTCAGCCTGAGCAGAATGTTCCTCCAAAGGAGCCTGGGTTGTTTTGTACAAGCTCATGAAAATCAGACGTTCATCTCAGTGGGGAAACATCTGTAATGGTCACCAGGAATATTCATCTATGGGGAAATAATTTTTTCTCTAGTAATTTTTAAAACTCTAAGAAGGTAAGCAACCTATAAGAAATTAACCTGGCCCATGGGCTCTTCAGAACAGCTCAGGTCAGCCAATGCCTCAAATTTGGATAAGGTTACAATTGCAAGTCTTCCTCATGGCACAGCTTGAGAGGGTGTGTGGATGCCTCTGTCCAAGCTCCCCATCACTGGCAAGAAGGTCAAACAAAGCACTTGACCCCTGTTGCCAGTGGCAGTACATATATCTGCGTTCATTTACACTTTTTTGTCATAGAAGTTGCTGTTATTTTACATACTTGCCATCCGAGCTCTCCAGAAGGCTGCGGTATGTGGTAATCTCACATTCCAGCCGGGACTTGACGTCCAGCAGGATCTCGTATTCTTGGTTCTGTCTTTCCAGGGCACACCGGATCTCTGCCAGCTGAGCTTCCAGGTTATCAATCAGACTCTGGATCTGGGTCAGCAAGGCCGTGTAGCGAGCCTCTGTCTCCGTTAGGATGCACTCTTGGGAATCTCTCTACCATGGAGAAGGATAGTAGGATTTATAATGACTCCTTTAAGCCCAGGTCACCTGTGACCTGTATCATTTAAAAAAAATGGTTTCTTTGTGACACTACTGATAGATCTCCAAGCACTTTATTTATTGTTTCCTAATCAAATAAATCCAAAACCCAAATGATCAACTATGCTAAAATCTGCTTTCCTTTATCTCTTCCCTCTTTCTCTCTTTCTCTTTTTGCTTCTCTGTAAGTATTTGTTTCACTTTCTCTTTCTTGACCAACCAATAGTCTCGCACCACACTTTCCTACTTAGGAGAGAAAAAATAATAACTTAATGCACACCCAGGCATTAAAAATGCATTACTGGCTGGGCGCAGTGGCTCACGCCTATAATCCCAGCACTTTGGGAGGCCCAGGTGGGTGGATCACAAGGTCAGGAGTTCAAGACCAGCCTGGCCAAGATGGTGAAACCCCGTCTCTACTAAAAATACAAAAAATTAGCTGGGTGTTCTGGTGGGCACCTGTAATCCCAGCTACTTGGGAGGCTAAGGCAGAGAATTGCTTGAACCCGGGAGGTGGAGGTTGCAGTGACCCGAGATCGTGCCACTGCTGTCCAGTCTGGGCGACAGAGTGAGACTCCATCTCAAAAAGAAAAAAAAAAAAAAGCATTACCATGGCACTTCATTCAGTGAGTGTTCGTGTCTTAAAAAAGGAAGGAAGCAATGTTTTACCATATACAATTTATCCACCAGATCAATTCCTTTATATGTAAAATATGAAAGTTGAAACTGATGAGTAAATTTCATTCCTGCTCTATCATTCTGTAAGTCTATGGATAATGATGGGATTTTAGGTTTTAATAGCCTATTATTTGCATGATTATCCCAATTTTTATAGATGAGAAAACTGAGGTTCAAGTGGTTCAATATGTTGTCCAAGGTCACATGACTAGCTGGTGACAAAACCAGTGTGGGGCAAGGTCTTCCCAAAAGCCTTCACATCAGAGCATGTAAGCAATTCTCTACTTCAGAGAGGCATTATCATGAGACAGAATGATACTGGCTTTGGAATCTAAACTCTGGCTCAGACTCTTATTTCTTTTGTGACTTTGGATGAGTTTCTTAATGTCTCAGGATCTCAGTGTCTCTATAAAATAGGTGGGCTGAAACTTACCTTGGATTTGCTTGGGAAAATCACTTTAGCTCTTGGAGCCTCATCTGTAACATTCGTTAATAATTATGCCACCCCCCCTCTTAGGATTGCTTTATAAATCTCATGTGATAGCTTGTAAAAATGCTTTGCATATAATAAAATGCTCTCCCAGTGTTTCCCAAAGTGTACTTCATGAATCATTAATACCATGAGATGTTCTAAAAAAAGTGGGGGGATCCACAGTCAAATAAGTTTTGGAATGCTGAATACCATATACCCCCTTCCTGGAGATTCATGGTGTATATTAGCTTATTAATGGCTCACAGGAAGGCACCCTGTTTAACCTTGGTTTAGTGCAGCGTTTCGTAGACTTATTTGGCCACAAAGCTCTTTTTCAGCCATAGACGCTTTAACAAATGAGGAACTATTGTTCTGAAAGACACAGTTTGGGAAATACTGCAGCACACAGGTGTAAGGGACTGTTTCCATCTTTGCTGAGCTAGGCTTGGTCAGCTTGCTCAGTACCATTCGATGCTGGGCCTGCAGTTCAACCTCCAGAGTGTTCACACTGCGTCTCAGTTCTATGATCTCCTTTTGGCAGCATTGCTGCTGTTGAGAGCTGGTCACCACTTGTTGATTCAGCTCCTCTATCTGAAACACACAGCCAGAGACTGAGAATATTATGGGAGGAAAACATGACTTTGATTAAAGGGCCCTAGAAATGCAGCATCAGCTTATTGTTTTTGACTTTTCTATATCCCCCACCTGCGTGTTGAACCACTGTTCCACATCTTTGCGGTTTGTCTCCATGATGGGCTCATATTGACATCTCATTTCTTGTAGAACCTGGTTTAGGTCAGCAGAAGGGGCAGCAGTCACTTCAATGTCAAGTCTCTCCCCAAGCTGACACTGTAAAGAATTGATTTCCTAAGGAAAGAAAAAGACTGTGAAGTCACTTGGTGAACAGATAACCCCTTTGTGTTCTTGTTTCACTCTAACTGCTACGATTTAGCTTAATTGTGTCTAAAATATAGCCCACAACAAAGGAATACATGATTTACAGGTGTTATTGAGATGCTATAAAATGATTTAAGACTCTTTCAGGTAGGACTGTGTGTTTAAATGTGTGCAAAATTAAAAAAAAATGAGTAGCAAGACCAGAGTTCCAAAAAATTTAGATCATTTCCAGGGCTGGATAATGGGTGAAACAGGATAAAGGTGGAATTGATCATGAGAGATTATAGTCTCTATGGTGCAAATACGGGATTGTGCCAATATTGACTTGCACCAATATTGACTTGTACCAATGGGAGGTGGCAGAAGCCTGTATAGGGATGCCTACAAACATGGGAAGACTGTAAGGACAGAAAAATTGGGTTCCTTCTTGTAGAAAAGCTGGAGGGGATGTTGGAGGCCTTTCTTCCCCTTATGGCTCCAGATATTGTGTTGGAGCCAGTGGATTTGAAATACTACCTTGAACCAGTGCTAGTAGCAGTAGGTATTTTCAGGGCTAAACCAGAGTAGTACGTAGCAGTGGTTTGGCTCTGTGTCCCCACCCAAATCTCATCTCGAATTGTAATTCCCATAATTCCCATGTGTCAAGGGAGGGACCTAGTGGGAGGAGATTGGATCATGGGGGTGGTGTCCCCCATGCTGTTCTTAGGATAGTGAGTGAGTTCTCACAAGATCTGATAGTTTTATAAAGGGCTCTTCCCCCTTTGGTCTCTCTCTGTCTCCTGCTGCCAAGTGAGATGTGCCTGCTTCCCCTTAAGCCATGATTGTAAGTTTCCTGAGGCCTCCCCAGCCATGTGGAACTGTGACTCAGTTACACTTCTGTCCTTTATAAATTACCTACTCTCAGTTATTTCTTTATAGCAGTGTGAGAACGAACTAATACAAGCGGGCACACCCTTTGTCAGGTGCAACTCAAAGGAACTGATGCTACTTTTAGGGACTTAGCTTGTGATTACTCTATTGGTCTTTGTCTCACCTCTTTGTGGTTGTTCTTGAGGCAAAGGAGCTCCTCTTTCAGAGACTGGACTTGTGCCTCTAGGTCGGCCTTGCCCAGGGTCAGCACATTCAGGATCTGCTTGAGGCCATTGGCATCTGACTCTACCAGCTGGCGTAGAGACACCTCAGCTTCGTATCTTTAAAAACCAGATGGGAAAAGAGAGACATCTGAAAGGAGATGATGCAAACCAAGCCAAGCAGAACTCTCATCTGCATTTTGCTCTGGGCACCTCACTTAGTGTATTTCTATTAGAAGTTTTATTCTCTTTGGAGGTGAAACCATTTGATATAGATCATAACTTAATTATTATTCCCAAATTAGTTTGCTAGGGGGATCTACATTGCTGTTCTTTGAGATATGGGAATTTATTGTCCTTCCTCTGCCCCTAGTGGCAATGCAATGTAAGTGAAGAAAGCACTGGATTAGGGCTCAGAAAACATGTGTCCAAGTTTCGGTTTTGACTTGTGCTAGTTATGCTTACCTTTGGGTGAGTAACTTAGCCTCACTAAGCCACAGATTTCTCACCTTAAAGAGAGTAACAATATATTAGTCCTATCTATTTTACTGAACTATTGTGTAGGTAATCAAATGGGTTCACAAGTTAGAAACTATAGGTACTGTATACATGTGAGCAGTTATTAATCTTAATCATTCATTGAATTTGAAAGTCTTTTCTGGGCTTGTGCCAACATCATCTGGGGCAAGAGGGTTAGTAGACATGGGGACAATTTTGTTGAGGGCATCTCGGTCAGACTCAGGGTGAGCTCTGTCATTGATGACGGTGTTGGGTGGGCTTACTTGGCTCTCAAGTCATCTGCAGTCAGTTTGGTGTTGTCAATTTGCGAGACCAGTCTGGAATTCTCGGCCTTGGTACACAAGATCTAGAATTAAGAGATTGTACACACAAATGAAGCAAACACCAAGATTTCCTTCTTTAAGAACCAAGGGGTTTGTGTGTGTGTCAAGTAACAGGGGAAGGCTAAGTAGACTTTTTATTAATCTTCATAGCTATGCTCACAAAGCTTGGAAAACTTCAGAAAGTCAGATTTCCTGTTATTTTCCTAAAAGATCAGCAAAAAGTACTTAACTAGAAACTTTTAAGTATTTTTTTTGTTGTTGTTGTTAAAAAATCCAGGCTGAGAGCAGTGGCTCACCCATGTAATATCAGCACTTGGGAGGCTGAGGCGGGCGGATCACGAGGTCAAGAGATCAAGACCATCCTGGCCAACATGGTGAAACCCTGTCTCTACTAAAAAATACAAAAATTGGCCGGGCGCAGTGGCTCACGCCTGTAATCCCAGCACTTTGGGAGGCCGAGGCGGGTAGATCACGAGGTCAGGAGATCAAGACCATCCTGGCTAACACGGTGAAACCCCGTCTCTACTAAAAATATAAAAAAAAAAAAAATTAGCTGGGCGTGGTGGCGGGCGCCTGTAGTCCCAGCTACTTGGGAGGCTGAGGCAGGAGAATGGCATGAACCCAGGAAGCGGAGCTAGCAGTGAGCCGAGATCGCGCCACTGCACTGCAGCCTGGGAGACAGAGCGAGACTCCGTCTCAAAAAAAAAAAAAAATACAAAAATTATCTGGGTGTGGTGGTGCGTGCCTGTAGACCCAGCTACTAGAGAGGCAGAGGAGGGAGAATCGCTTGAACCTGGGAGCTGGAGGTTGCAGTGAGCAGAGATCGCGCCATTGCACTCCAGCCTGGTGACAGAGTGAGACTCCATCTCAATAAATACATAAATAAATAAATAAAAAATAAAATAAAATCCATCCTAAATTTATATAAATACCATGATCCACTAGAATGTCAACTCCATGAGGGCAGGGACTTTTTAAAGGTCACCAATATTTTCCCAGAATCTAGAACAATGTTTGGCCCAATGTTGTTGCTGCTCAGTAAACATTTGTTGAATGAATAAAACTGAATAAATCCAGATATGTAGTAGCAGAATACGTCTGTGCATAACAAACTTAGGTTTGGTGTAGAAACAAACCAAGCAATGTGGAGATGATAACATAAGCATAAAAGGAGAAAAAGGTGGTGATGGTTGAAAAATGGATAAAAACTAAATTGCTTAGAAACTCATTAAAGCAAAATTTATTTTCTCTGATCTCTGTTTCCCTATTTTTATTTAAAAAATGGCAACAACTTGCTGTTAACATCTTTTGGTCCTGAGTCATCTAGTTATAATGGTAGAGTGTATTTCTGGAGAAAGGAAACACCATGAGACTCTTCTTTTTGTTTCTGATTTTTAAAGACATAGTCTCACTTTTGTCTGGGCTGGAGTGCAGTGGCAGGATCTTGGCTCATGGCAGCCTCAACCTCTTGGGCTCAAGTGATCCTCCCACCTCAGCCTCCCAAGTAGCTGGGACCACAGGCATGTGCCACCACGCCCATCTAATTTTTTTTTGTGTGTGTATGTGTGTGTGTGTGTGTGTGTGTGTAAGGATGGAATTTCATCATGTTGCCCAGGATGGTCTAGAACTCCTGGGCTCAAGTGATCTGTCTGCCTCAGCCTCCCAAAGTGTTAGGATTACAGGTGTGCATCACTGCGCCTGACCAGAAATACTATCAGACTCTGAATGCTGCCTCAAGATGACAATTTCACTCAAGAAATTTTTCTATTCTTCAAAAAAATTTTCAGCATCAACTGAACAAAAAATATTAAAGTTTAGCAAATAACTGTTGCTTGGAAACCATTAATTCACAACACGATTAAACAGGTTCTTAGGAATCTTACCTTCTGCTGGAGCTCCTCAATGGTAGTGTAGTAAGACAGGTAATCAGGACATAGAACAGGGAGCTCTTTGTTACTTTCTTCCTGGATTTTAGATTCCAGTTCAGCATTCTCTCGTTCTAGCATTCGCACCTTTTGCAGGTAGTTAGCAAGGCGCTCGTTCAAGATTTGCATGGTCTCCTTCTCATTACTGTTGATGCCTTCACCATACCAGCTGCAGTCATCCAGAGAAAAACGGGCATTGAAGTTGTTCATTAGGTAGATGGGCTTGCGACAAAAGCGAGGAGTGGGTTGGCAGCCCTGGTCCCAGGGAATTCTGAGAACGTGGCCAGCTGGTTGACAGTTGTTGACTGTAAGGCCACCAGGATGGCAGCCGTTGTTAGAAGAGATGGTACTAACATTTGTAATCCTAGAGCAGTTTTGACATGGGGTTGAAGGAGAATTGGTTGTTGTACAGCCCTTGGTGTCCATAGTATGTGTCTGGCTTTAGTTTGTTCCAGGTCTGTGGTCACCAGGATGAAAAGCTCAAGCCACCTCCACAGAGTCTGAATTCCAAGGCTCTTGGTGTTTTCCTCTTTGAAGTGCTTATATAGCCTCTCTTCTACGTGGTGTCACACAGGTGGGATGTTTTCCTTTCTCAGGTTTATATCAAATCCTGTAGGAACATCTTATTAGTCTGCTTTTTACTTGCTTAAGAAGAGTTATTTGTCTCATAAACATGTGCATTTAGGCTGTTAGTAAGTTATTACCCATCATAACTACTACTTGTCTATTGGACCCAGAGCTTCAAATTATGTCTTCAAAAGGAACTGTCCTAACAGCATCCATTATTAAGCAGGTGTGAGTATACTAAGTTCATTACATTCTTGTTGACCTCTCCACTTGGCACTGAGCTTAACCAGGAATGAGTTCATCCTTCTTTTCCTTTCTTCTCTAGAAAAGGGAAACTATTAATGTTTAATAATTATTGGTAAACTTAGAAATCAGAAGTCAATATTTTAGTTTGTTCTGCCCAAATGGTTTCCCCATTTTCAGTGTCAGGACAATGTGAGTATGAATTAAAATGTTAGTCTTTTAAAAGTCTTGTTTTAAAGATAATTGCTAGATTTATGTTTTAGCTTTCCATAAAATGTAATAACATAAAATAAAATATAAATAAAATATGAAATAAAATAAAAGCCATGGGGAAAAGGTAGGGTTTGATTGCTAATAAGAAATTTCTTGGAAAAGAGACTAGCTCTCTTTTGGTTTTCCAAAGTCCACATTTTATAACATTTTTAGTGCTTGGTGTTTGCTTGTGGTATTACATTAGATAAAAATGTATCACAGTGTTGGTTTATACTGGATGTTTAAATAGGATTCATTGAAAGGGGTGTGTTTTCTTTCTGAGGAATACTTACTCAGCATTTTCTTCAGAAAGTTACTTGCTGCTAATCCTTTATGGAGGCTCTAGGGGAACATCATTTTCTTGCCTTTTCCAGCTTCTACAGGCTGTCCACATCCTCAGCTAGTGGCCCCTTTTCATCCTTTTTTTTTTTTCTTGAATTATGAGATTTTTTGTACTTTGAGTTCTGGGATACATGTGCAGAACGTGCAGGTTTGCTACATAGGTATACAAGTGCCATGGTGGTTTGCTGTACCCATCAACCTGTCATCTACATTAGGTATTTCTCCTAATGCTATCCCACCCCTAGCCCCTCACCCCCTCACAGTCCCCGGTGTGATGTTCCCCTCCCTGTGTCCATGTGTGCTCATTGTTCAACTCCCACTTATGAGTGAGAACATGCAGTGTTTGGTTTTCTGTTCCTGTGTGAGTTTGCTGAGAATGATGGTTTCCAGCTTTATTCATGTCCCTGCAAAGGACATGAACTAATCCTTTATTATGGCTGTATAGTATTCCATGGTGTATATGTGCCACATTTTCTTTATCCAGTCCATCATTGATGGGCATTTGGGTTGGTTCCATGTCTTTGCTATTGTGAATAGTGCTGCAATAAACATACATGTGCATGTGTCTTTATAGTAGAATGATTTATAATCCTTTGGGTATGTATCAAGTAATAGGATTGCTGGGTCAAACTGTATTTATGGTTCTTGATCCTTAAGAAATTGCCACACTGTCTTCTGCATTGGTTGAACTAATTTACACTCCCACCAACTGTGTAAAAGTGTTCCAATTTCTCTCCATCCTCTCCAGCATCTGTTGTTTCCTGACTTTTTAATGATTGTCATTCTAACTGGTGTGAGATGGTATCTCATTGTGGTTTGATTTGCATTTCTCTAGTGACCAGTGATGATGAGCTTTTTTCATATGTTTGTTGGCCACATAAATGTCTTCTTTTGAGAAGTGTCTTTCTATATCCTTAGCCCATTTTTTTGATGGGGTTGTTTGTTTTTTCTTGTAAATTTGTTTAAGTTCCTTGTAGATTCTGTATATTAGCCCTTTGTCAGATGGACAGATTGCAAAAATTTTCTCCCATTCTGTAGGAGGCTGAGGCAGAAGAATTACTTGAACCCAGGAGTTCAAGTTCAGGTGGGCAACACAGTGCGATTTCATTTTTAATAAAATAAAATAAAATACAAAATAAAAGCCATGGGGAAAAGGTAGACCGTTATATGTATTATATGTACTTTGGGGACAATTTTGTATTCCCTTTGGTGTGGGGGCAGGGAATGTTGAAACCATACTTCATCCTTTACAGTGGGACGAATTACAAGTAGATCAAAGATTGAGATATGAAAAATAAATAATAAATATGCCCAAAAGGATAATTATTTTATAAATTTGGAGTCAGAAGACTTTTCCAATGATGACTCAAAATTAAGAAGCCGTAAAAAACTGTTAGATTTGACTCCATAAAATAACAGTGTTTGAACTTGTGCTTGGGTGAAAAATACAACCTGTAAAACCAGAAGACAAGATGACAAACTGGGAAACAATATTACAATTACACTCTAGACAGTGACCAAAAGGAAAATACAAAAGGCACTTAAAATAAGAAAAAATGCTCAATGTCACTCATGAAAAGAGAAATGTAAATTTAAATTATACTGAGATATTTTAGTTTTCCACCTATCAAACTGAAAAAAATCAAAGTTTGATAACAGATACATTCACTGCCTATAGCACTCTCATTGCTTGTGGCAATGAAATGTAAATTCATGCAAGTTACTATAATGCTACTACAATTAAAACAGTGTGATATTGGCATAAGGGTTGGAAAGTAGATCAATGAGAAAGAATATAGAGTTTAGAAATAGACTCACATATATGTGGTCAATTGATTTCTGACAAAGATCCCAAAGCAAGTCAATGAGAAAAGGAAAGCTTTTTCAATACTGTTTTTTCAATACTGTTCAATACTTGTCGCTGAATCAAGTGGATACTTGTATAGCCAAAATGAATACATCTTGATCTCTACCTCACGCTACGTATAAAACTTAATTCAGGTTGGATTAAACACTTAATTGTGAAGATTTCAAGTCTAAAGTTTTTAGAAGAAAACTCAGAAGATTATATTCATAACCTTCTGCCATGAGAAGACTTCTAAGCTCATGGAGGACACTATAATAAATAGATTAGACTTCATCAAAATGAAAACCTTTTGTTGATCAGATAAATAGCTAAGAAAGTGAAAAGGCAAGCTACAGCCTGGGTTAAAATATTCTCTCTCTCTCTTCATACACCCACCCCCCAACGCACACATTAGAACACATACATACACAACGTCATATCTTTTGTAACAATGGGAATATATTCTGAGAAATTCACCTTTAGTGATTTTGTTGTTGTGTAAACATCACAGTGGACTTCATGAACCTGGATGGTATAGCCTATAACACACTTAGGCTATATGGTATAGTCTATTGCTCATAGGCTGTAAACCTGCACAGCATGTTACTGTACTGAATACAGTAGGCAACTGTAACACAATGGTAAGTATTTGTTATCTGGAAACACATTTAAACATAGAAAAGGTACAATAAAAATATGACATTATAGTTTTTTGGGACAGCTTTTGTATGTGTATGTTCCATCATTGTTGACTGAAATGTCATTATGTGGCACATGACTCTATAAATAAATATGTGTATAAAAATAAATAAACACATATTTATTTATACAGTAATATACTATCTCTCTCTCTCTCTCTCTCTCTCTCTGACAAAGGACCTCCCCCAAGGACCTAGCAATTTCATGGTTAGGTATATGTCCAAGAGAGATGAATGTATATATTTTATACACACAATAATATTTGCACAAGAATGCTTATAGCAGCTATATTCTTAATAGCACTAAAATAAAAATAACTGCTCATAAACAGAATAATGGACAACAAACTGTGACATGTTTATGTAATGGAGTAGTATGCAACAACAATAAAGAATGAACTGCCGGTACTCATGACACCATGGAAAAATCTCAAAAACATATTGAGCTGAAGAAGTCAGGCACAAAACAGTACGAACAGTATGACTACATTTATATTAACTTCAAGAACAGGCAAAACTCATCTTTGACATGGTTAGAGATAAGAGTAGTGGTTGTCTCTGTCAGAGAGATGTACTGGCTGGAAAGCAACAAGAAAGAATTTCTAAGGTTGATGTTCTACATTTTGAAATGCTATTCTGTATCTTGATCTGGGTGTTGATTACACAAATTCATGTGCTTTCAAACTCCATGAAGCTGCCTACTTTTATTTTTATTTTTAGACACAGGGTCTCACTCTATTGCCCAGGCTGGAGTTTAGTAGCATGATCATAGCTCACTGAAGCCTTGAATTACTGGGCTCAAGTTGTCTTCCCACCTCAGCTTCCCAAGTAGCTGGGACTACAGGCACATGCCACCATGCCTGGCTAATTTAAAAAAATTTTTTTAGAGATGGGGCCTCATTATGTTGCCCAGGCTGGCATAAACTCCTAACCTCAACTGATCCTCCCACCTTGGCCTCCCAAAGCACTGGGATTACAAGCGTGAGCCACTGTGCCCAGCCTGACCTGCGCACTTTCAATTGATGCATCTTATTGTCTGAAAATTGTATCTCAATAAAGTGGAGTTAACATAAAAAGTTAAGATTTGATACAACTGTGCAGCTGCATGAATGTTCACTACTTTATCTATATACTTAAATTACAAATGGATCAAAGATTCAAATGTGAAAAGTGAAAATCATAAATGTACTAAAATAAAATATAGGAGAATACTTTTACAAATTCAGATGAGGAAGGCCTTTGTAACAGTGACTTGAAATTAAGAACCTGTAAAAAATACGATAAATTTGACTTCATAAAATAGCAGTGTTTGAAATAGTCCATTAGTTTGAAAATGTATGAAAAATACTGAAAGTAAATAAATCAAGAGGTTAGCAGTGAAATTCTTTGCATTTTATAGTTACTGATGAATATTATTTTCTTGTTTTTATTCCACAAATTCCACAAATTGAATGTATCTCTTTTAGAATCATTAGAAAAATTGTCTGCAAAACTGTTTCTGCTTCGTTAGTTTCTTAGACTTTTTTTCTGCCTCCATACCTTTCTAATAATTTTTATTCTTTTCCTCTTGTGTCTCACATGCAGAGTTGTTCCTTCCTTGGCTGATTCCCTTTTGATTTCTTCAGGGCCACATTTCATCCATTATGCTCCCCCTTTTCTTGCCTCTTTCATGTCTTCTTTACTACTGGATCATTTTTTCTTTCCCTATAAGCACATCTGTTAACTGATCCTACAATGTCTGACCCGTAACCATGAGGCACTTCTTCCATGAAGGTGGCTTCTGCCTTCTTTTCATTACCAAACCTTTTGACAGAATAGTGGGTACTTATTGTCTTTATTTTTCTACCACCAGGTCATTTGTTAACTTTTGTCAATCTGGCTAGCCTGTAAATTACTTTACCACATTCTCCACTTTGGAGATCTTCTTTATCTACCTTCATATAGCTCCATTGCTGGTGCAGAAATGTTCAACCTTCCTACAGACAGAGCAAGGCTCAAATTCTTGTTTGCCTGGCAACCAAGACCCTCCACAATATTGACCCAGCTGACTTTATCTCATATTCCAGGACCCCCGACCCACTCTATACATTCTAGCCCAACTGCATCCTTTGCTATTCCCCAAGCTCTTCCTGCCCTGTTCCCCCACTGCACATTTATTGTGGGGGTTCCCTCTACCTTTCTTCATCTGTGTGTTTCAAGGCTGTTCTGGAAGAGACTCGGGCTCACGCATATCTGGTTCTCCTCTCCTTTTGGGCACATGGGAGGCTTACCCTCTCTTGCCCCTTTGCAGTTAGGCAGGGTATTACCAAGGCTTTGTTTTCTGGTTCAAGATCTTTGGGCTGTCTCTTCCCTGCCCCAGGCACTGAGAAGGCAGCTGTTCTAGAAGTGCTTCTCTCTTCTCTTTTCTTTTTTTGAGTGTCATTTTGGAGAATCTCAGCTGTAAAAACTCAAGTCCACACTGCCTGGAAGATCGAATCTGGAAGTGATAGAAAGTTCTCTTGACAGCTTTGCCCCTGTCTTTCTGAGAAAGGGGTTGTGCACAACATAGGAAGAATGGGCACTGGGGCCAGCCTGAGACCAGTAGCTGAGTGATAGGAAGGCCTTATCTGCCTCTGTAGAGCCAGTGAGGAATCCATGAATTGTAAATATTAAATTTACATAGATTAAATATTTAAAATATTAAATCTAATATTGTAAATATTAGATTTCTGAATCGTGGGCACTTTTTTTTTTTTTTTTTTGAGACGGAGTCTCACTCTGTCGCCCAGGCTGGAGTGCAGTGGCGCGATCTCAGCTTACTGCAACCTCCACCTCCTGGGTTCAAGCAATTCTCCTGCCTCAGCCTCCCAAGTAGCTGGGATTACATGCGTGCACCACTATGCCTGGTTAATTTTTGTATTTTTAGTGGAGACGGGGTTTCACCATGTTGGCCAGGCTGGTCTCAAACTCCTGACCTCATGATCTGCCTGCCTCAGCCTCCCAAAGTGCTGGGGTTAGAGGTGTGTGCCACCGCACCTGGCCACATATATGTTTTCTTCACATGGGTGGTGCAATCAAAATATGGAACTATTCAATCACCACAGAGCTTTCCTTTGTCCTATGCCTAATTTGTTCTCCATTCTTATAATTGTGTCATTTCAAGAATGTTATATACATAGAATTATCAAATATATGGCCCTTTGAATTGCCCTTTTTCACTCGGCATGATGGCCTTGAGATCTTTAGGACATTTCTGTGATCTCTAGTTTTTGGCTATTACAAACAAAGCTGCTATGAACAATTGTGCATCTCTTCAATCCTTTTACTTTCAACCTACCTATATTGTTATATTTAGCTTTTTGCAGAATGTATCGTACAGTTGGATCATGCTTTTTTATCCACTCTGCCAAGATCTGTCTTTTTTCTATGTCTTTAGACTCTTTCCACTTGCTGTAATTTTCTATATTTAGCCTGTATTGTATTTATTGTATTCTGTTTGTTCATTCTGTTTTTTGTTTGTTTCTCTGTATTCTTTTTCCTGCCTTTCTGTGGGTTACTTGAATATGCTTTAGAGTTCCATTTTGATTTATCTATAGTGTTTTTTAGTATACCTATTGGCATAGCTTTTTAAATAGTTGCTCTGGGTATTTCATGCTGTATGCATAGCTTACCATAGTCTACCAGTGTTAACGTTTTATCAGTTTAAGTGAAGTGTGGAAAACTCGCCTTTGTTTATATTCCTTTACTCGCCTCCATTTTAATATAATTGTCTTAAATATTTTCTACACATATATTGAGAACCACATCAGACAGTGTTATACTTCTTGCCTCAACCATGAAACATAATTTAGAAAACTCAGGAGGAGAAAGAAATTTATTTAAATTAATCATATATTAATTTTTTATTATATTTTTTCCTGTCTGATCTTCCAAGTTTCCTTATTTTATAGTTTTGTTTGTGTTTAGGGAATTTTCTTTAGTCATTGTTTTAGGTTGGTTTGCTGGCCACATCTTTTAAGTTTCCTTCATCTGAGAATGTCTTGATTTCTCTTTGGTTTTCTGAACGATATTTTCAAAGGGTATATAAATCTGGGTTGACAGTTTCTTTCTCTCTTTCTTTCTTTCTTTCTTTCTTCCTTCCTTCCTTTCCTTCTTCTTTTCCTTCCTTCCTTCCCTCCCTCCCTTCCTTCATTCCTTCCTTCCTTTCCTTCTTCTTTTCCTTCCTTCCTTCCCTTCCTCCCTCCCTCCCTCCTTCCTTCGTTCCGTCCCTCCCTCCCTCCTTTCTTTTCTTCTTTTCTTTTCTCTTTTCTTTTTCCTTCTTTCTTTCCTTCCTTCCTTCTCTTCTCTTCTTTCTCTTTCTTTCTTTCTCTCTCTCTCTTTGTTTCTCTTTCCTTTCCTTCCCTCCCTCCCTCTCTCCCTCCCTTCCTTCCTTTTTCTTTTTTGTCTTGCTCTGTCACCCAGGCTGGAGTGCAGTGGCACGATCTCTGCTCACTGCAACCTCCGCCTCCCGGGTTCAAGCAATTCTCCTGCCTCAGTCTCCCGAGTAGCTGGGATTACAGGTGCCCGCCACCGCACCCAGCAAATTTTTGTATTTTCAGTAGAGATGGGGTTTCACCATGTTGGCCAGGATGGTCTCGATCTCTTGACCTTGTAATCCATCCTCCTTGGCCTCCCAAAGTGCTGGGATTACAGGTGTGAGTCACCACGCCTGGCCGACAGTTTTTTTTTTTCTTTTAGCATTTGAAAACTATTGTATTACTTCATATTGGCTTCCATGGTTTATGGTGACATACCTGCCATCAATTAAATTGTTTTCTTCTATTGGTAAGGTGTCATTTCTCTCTCACTGCTTTCATAATTTTTTTTGTCTTTAGCTTTCAAAAGTTTGAATATGATATTTCCTGGTGTAGATTTCTTAGGGTTTATCATTTTTGGGGTTTGCTTGGTTTCTGGAATCTGTAGGTTTTTGTCTTTTGCCATATTTGTAAATTTTCAGTGTTTATTCCTTCAAATGTTTTTGGCTTCACTTTTTCTCCTCCCTTACAGAACTCCACTGACATGAATGTTAGATCGTTTGATATAGCCCCAAAATTCCCTGAGACTCTATCTTTTTAACACTATTTTTTTTCCGTTTTTCAGGTCGGATGATGTCTATTATTGTATCATCAAATTCCCTGATGTTTTCCTCTCTGGCCTGCATTCTGCTGTTAAGCCCATCTCCATTGAGGTTTCTATTTTGGTTCTATGGTATGTTTCAGTTCTGAAATTTCCACTGGAGTCTTTCCATCTTCTTCATTGAGTCTTCTCTATTTTTGCATTTGTTGTAAGAGTTTATTGAAGCATTGCTTACTGAAGCATTTTTATGATGACTATTTAAAAATCATTGTCAATAAGTAAAATAGTGTAACTGGATGTTTGTAACACCAAAGATACATGCTTGAGGGGATGGACACCCCATTCTCCATGTGATTATTACACATTGCATGCCTGTGTCAAATCATCTCATGTACCCCATAAATATATACATCTATGTACCCAGAAAAATAACAAATAAAAAGTTAAAAACCCTTGTCAGTTAATTCTAACGTCTTTTTCCTCTTGATGTTTGAATTTGTTGATCATCTTTTTTCCTGTAAGTTGAGATTTTATGATCCTTGGTATAAAGAGCAATTGTTGATTGAAACCTGGACATTGGGGCATTATGTTATGAGATTCAGGATACTGTTTAATCTTATGTTCTAGCAGGTCTCCTCTGACACTGTTTTGGCAGGGGAAGGGGGACACTGCTTCATTCCTACCAGGTGGGAGTAGAAATACAGGTTCTCTCCACTTTGCCCCTATTGACACCCAAGGGGAGAGCCCCCCTCATCACTGCTGGGAGGGAGGATTTTAGACTCCTTACCTGGCCTCTGCTGATACCACCCTGGCCAGGAGGGGCAGGAATATCTTGTTATTGCTCCCATGCAGCTTCCACTGACACTGCATGGGGGTGGCCTTGGTACTGCTGGAGGAGGGAAAGAGTTCTGACTGTCCAGTAGGACTCTTGTGACACTAACCCCAGAGGAGAAAAGAAGAGCCTCACTGCAGCCTGTAGAGTTAAGTCCAGGCTTCCCGTGTGGTCTCCACTGATACCATGATGGTGGGACAGGGAGTGCTTCCATGTCTCATAGTAGGAATGAAAGTCCTGGATCTCTCACTTAGCCTTCCCTGATTCCACCCCAGTGGTGAAGTTTGAGTGCCTTATTACAGCCTGGGAAGGATAGAAGTCTGGACTCCCCACCTGGCCTTTCCTTGTGTGGATATGGGTGGGTGAAATGATATTTTCTGTGGTGTTTGGCTGAGTTGAGTGGTTATTGTCTAAAGGTTTTCCGCCTTTCTAGGCTGCCTCTTTTCTGGTTCTTTAAGCAGAGCAAGCTCTTTCTGTTTGTTTGTTTGTTTGTTTTGTCTGCACCTGTTGGTGTTTCTGGTTGTTGGTTTCTCCAGCTCCCCCTCTGGGATATATGAGATAAAAAGCTAATCCAGGGAGCTCACCACAGTGTCACTCCTGGAGTCTCAACATCTTTAGGTGGTTTGGCTTCTTCTTCTACCTTTCAGAGTCCTCTTATGTTTATTTGATATGTAATTTCCAGGGTTTTTAGGAGGAGGAATATGGAAATATACATCATTCTGGAAGTTCTCTACCTTGTTTTTTAAATATATGAGAATAATTATTCTTATAACCTAAATGTCCAATAACAGATCAATGTACCTTATGGTACATTATGCAACCAGTAAAATGATGGCTACAGGCTGGGTGCAGTGGCTCACACCTGTAATCCCAGCACTTTGGGAGGCTGAAGCTGGTGGATCACAAGGTCAAGAGATTGAGACCATCCTGGCTAACACGGTGAAACCCTGTCTCTACTAAAAAAAAAAAAAAATTAGCCTGGTGTGGTGGCAGACACCTGTAGTCCCAGCTACTTGGGAGGCTGAGGCAGGAGAATCGCTTGAACCCAGGAGGCAGAGGTTGCAGTGAGCCCAGATAGTGTGACTACACTCCAGCCTGGGTGACACAGCAAGACTCTGTCTCAAAAAAAAAATAAAAAATAAAAAAAGTGATGGCTACAATACAATCTTATGTTTTTATTAGAATTAAAAATGCTTAGATGACATAAATGAAAGAAAGTTTACACAAGTGTGTGCATATGTTAGTATGATTATAGCTGTGTGGAAAAATCTATTATAAGAAAGAAAACTGGAAGAAAGTACCCCAAAATATTGACTATGGCTGTTTGGAAGATGAAATCATAAGTGACCTTTTCCCTTTTAATGAGCCAAATTTAAAAAAAGAGAATCTAGTACTTTTATAATCAAAAAATACATTTTATCATATTTTATTCCTAATATTTTTCCTCAGAAAGATACACACAACTATTTTCTAAGATATATGACATTTCTCATGGGTTCATTAATTTATTTGTATTTGAGGAGTTAAAAAATATTTTCAGCCTGGGTTTATGTACATTGAAACTATGGTTATGGGTTTAGATGATTTCCTTGCCATAAAATGAATATTCTATCAACAGTAATCAGCCATAGAGCTATATTTACCACGCTAAAGGAATAAAACACGTTTTATTTGGAGATGAGCAAGAATGCTTTATGGGCTTCCAGTATACCACAAATAAGCCGGAAGGAGAGGAAATAGTAAAGCAGAAAGACTGAGGATACCTGGAGGGCAATTCCAGGATATGAGAGCCTCCTGGATTTGTGCTTCCGGTTTGGATGTCCCTGGTTGAAGCCCCATCTCCTTTCTAGGATGCTGCTGGCTTTGATTCCTCTACCTGCTGTCCTTAACATTCACAAGCAGCAGTTTTCAACAGTGCAGATGACATAGGCTGAGCATGGCTCACAAGTGTTGCTCGAGGTGCATGTGGTCGAACATGGGCTACAGGAAAGCCTGGGGAAAAATCGATTTTCAACCAAGATTAACAAGGGAATGTTGATAAAATGGCAACTCAGAAAAACCGTGTCAAAATTTGCCCTACAAATTATGTTCTGAAAAAAACTCTGCACAATAGCATTGACTGAAGCCTGTTTCTTCTCTGCACCCAGAATTGCCACTTCATGTTCACTGTAGCAGTGGCAGTTGAATAGTATTTTATATTTTTTCTTGATTTTGCAAATGTTATCTTAGGCCTATTCCTGATTTTCCTTTAGTGGAAAACAGGAACAAAGGGAGATGCCAGCATGAAATGTTACACTAATAATTAATCTGCCTTTAGAATATTTTAAAAATATCTCTAGTGTCATGTTCTTAACCTCAGCCACTTTTCAGCACTTTTTTAAGAAGATCCCTAAACACACTGGGGAGGTCTGAACTTGTCCAGACTTTGGGGAAACAGGATTCTTTTACATCAGCCTCTTTGTGACTCTGGGGGATTTCATGAGTAACTGTGGAACTTGCCTGCTGTCCTCGCTGTCCAGCAGGCCCCAGTACGTGTTGATCTCACCCTCCAGCCGGGCCTTCACGTCCAGGAGCACCTGGTACTCCTGGTTCTGTCGCTCCAGGTCGCAGCGGATCTCGGCCAGCTGGTTCTCCAGGTTATCGATCAGACACTGAATTTGGGCCAGCTGGGAGCTGTACTGGGCCTCGGTTTCTGCCACGGTGCATTCCAGAGATTCTGTCTGCGGGAGGAAACATTGTCCAAAGGACCATGAAGTGCAGTCTCTCGGGCCAGAGTGCCTACTTTCAAATTCCTGCTTACCCTTTTCTAGCTATGTGACCACTGGCAAATTATTTAGCTTCTGTGAGTCTCAGTTTTATTCTCTGTATAGTGGAGAATACAAAGTATCTGTTTCATTAGACGGTTGTGAAGATTAAGAGTTAATATGCGGGCTGGGCGCGGTGGCTCAGGCCTGTAATCCCAGCACTTTGGGAGGCCGAGGCGGGCGGATCACAAGGTCAGAAGATCGAGACCATCCTGGCTAACACGGTGAAACCCCGTCTCTACTAAAAATATAAAAAATTAGCTGGGTACGGTGGTGGACGCCTGTAGTCCCAGCTACTCAGGAGAATGGTGTGAACCCGGGAGGCAAAGCTTGCAGTAAGTCAAGATCATGCCATTGCACTCCAGCCTGGGCGACAGAGGGAGACTCCGTCCAAAAAAAAAAAAAAAGAGTTAATGTGCGTAAAGCATTTAGAACAGTGCCAGCCATACTGCCACTGTTCTACGTGTCAACTATCACTACCACCACTATGACTACAGCAATACATGACATATTTGTGAAGCTTAAGGACTATCCACAACATATGAGAGGAAAGATTGAGTTTGGGCTCTTGGCAGGGAGGGGTAGTATAGTGCTATTAAGAGAAGAGGCTCTGGATACCAGAGGCTGGGACTGGCATATGTGTGGTAAGGGGATGAAGAGAGGTTGGTTAATGGGTGCAAACATACAGTTAGACAGAAAGAATATGTTTTCATGTTGGACAGCAGAGAAGTGTGACTACAGTTAACAACAATACACTGTGCATTTCAAAATAGCTAGATGGGAGGACTTGAAATGCTCCCAACACATAGAAATGATAAATACTTGAGGTGATGGATGCTCTAAATATCCTGACTTGATCATTACACATTCTATGCATGTAACAAAATATCACATCTACGTAAAAAAAATTTACGCATATTATATATCAATAAAAATAAATTTAAAAAGAGAGAGAGAAGAGACTCTGGGATTCAACTGGCTGAACTCAGCTTCCAAGTTTGCCTCTTAGAATTGCATCCTTTGCAAGTTACTTAATCTGAGTCTCAGTTTTCCTTATCTGTGTCATGGGATAAAGGTATCTATCCGGTAAAGTTACTGTGAGCCTTAAATCAGCATAGTGCCTCTCACAGGATGAATGCTCAGCTATTGTTCTTCTAGGTGTTCTCCGCAGGGCCTAATGACATGCACACAGTGGTGCTTGACCAGAACTGGTTCATGTCATCTTGAACGCATGGTGTTCCTGTTGCTTGAGTGGGGGGTGGTGCAGTGAAGGATAAGGTTGAAGTGTAGATCCTGGGAAACTGTAGGATGAAATGTTTGAAAATGATTCTTTGTTTTAGATATAACAGTGAGCCTGGAAAACTGGCCTGAATCAAATGAGAATTAAAACCTGCCAGAATGCTTAAGCGACCATGGCCCGGAGGTTTCTCTCCAGCTCTGCTTCTCCCTCCCTGTCTCTGGAGGCTGCTGCAGCATCAGACTCAAGCCCAGGAGTGAAGGTAAGGCATCTTAGAGGACAAGCTGTGGACCTGTCACTTCTGCTTCTATTAATAGCTGGGTAAACGGCAGTACTCGGGAAAGGCAAGGAAATGTGATCCTCGGATATGGAAGAGGGCTTAACATCTCAGGGCCTGACTTATCAGTGACACAACGGACACTGCCTTTGCCTCACGCACCAGGCTTTGCTGTGCTTGGAGCTCAATTTCCAGAGCACTGGCTGTGCGTTTCAGTTCCAAGATCTCCATCTGGCAGCCCTGCAGCTGCTCCGCGCTGGACAGTTGCTGCTGATTCAGCTCTTCTGTCTGAAACACAGACACCATTAGAGAATTCAAAAAAGGCAGAAGTCTGTAAGCCTGACATTTTTTCAATCTGGGTACTGACCTGAACAGCCAACCATTCTTCAGCTTCTCTGCGATTGTTGGCAAGCACCGTTTCACACTGACAGCGCATCTCATCCAGGACCCTGTTGAGGTCAAGGGTGGGGGCAGTGTCCAGCTCCACACTGAGGCGGTCGCCAAGCTGTTCACGAAGCAAGTTGACTTCCTGAAAGTGGGATGGTGTAAAGAATGTCACAGAATGGTGGGGAAAAATCCATTTGACATCCAATGGCATTCTACTTCTGTTTTTTGGAGCAGTGGGTAAAAGTGTGAGATTTTGATTCAGATTGCCTGGGCTGAATCTCTTTTCACCACTTAGAAGGGCCTCAGTTTCTTCGTCTGTAAAATGGACATAATAATTGGACATTTTTCCAGAAAGTTATTGTGAGATCTAGAAGAGTCAATCTACACATAATTAACTTATAAAAGTTAATTATGACACATAGTAAGGTGTCAATAAATGTTAGCTATGATTGTCATCAACAAACGTTCAAAGAGCAAATGTACTTTGTTACATCATTCAGCTTTTCATTTTCTAGCTTTATCAATATATCAGTGGCTGTATATTTTATGATTTTTAGAAGTTTATAAATGCGGAATATTTAAAAACACTGGTCCAGATAGTGCACAGTCTTTATCCCTTTTTTGAAATGGACTTCACAGTCTGTTCCTCAGCCTGATTTTCATACCCTGTGGACTGGAGCTAGGGGTGGCATAAAGCCTCCAAAGGAAGCCATTTGTGAAGTTACCTCCTCCACAAAGGCAAGGGCAGGAGAAGAGTTTGATTCCTTCCTCTGGCGCTGTCTAGGGGTTATTTCACACCTTAAATCAGAGACACACTGGAATGATCAGGTTGAATAGTAATAATGCCTCGAGTAGTTTTTGTTTGTTTGTTTGTTTGTTTGTTTTTTGAGATGGAGTCTCGCCCTGTCACCCAGGCTGGAGTGCAGTGGTAAGATCTCGGCTCACTGCAACCTCCGCCTCCTGAGTTCAAGTGATTCTCCTGCCTCAGCCTCCCGAGTAGCTAGGACTACAGGCGCCTGCCACCATGCCCAGCTAATTTTTGTATTTTTAGTAGAGATGAGGTTTCATCATATTGGTCAGGCTGGTCTCGAACTCCTGACCTTGTGATCCTCCTGCCTCAGCCTCCCAAAGTGCTTGGATTACAGGTGTGAGCCACCATGCCTGGCCCTGCCTCAAGTAGTTTTATTCCAGCTTAAACAACATCTGCCCAAATTCGATTTACAAACATCAACAGATCATCTGTCAATGTAAGTACGTTACTCTCGGAGTCCTTCAGCGGAGTTGCCACTTTCCTTACCTCTTCATGGTTTTTCTTAAGGCAAAGGAGATCTTCCTTCAGAGACTCCACATGGGCCTCCAGATCAGATTTGCACAGGGTCAGTTCCTCCAGGATCCCATGCAGGCTGCTGATGTCAGCCTCTAACAGCTGGCGAAGGGACAGTTCACTCTCGTACCTTTCACAGCAAAAGAGAAATCCAACGCTTACTTTGCTGAACGCTGTGCAAAGTGTGGGGATACATGGAGGATCGACACACGGACTTCAGGAAGCCATGTGCATAATTTCTCTTAATTCCTAAGTAATGATAAATTCAAGCTTTTAAAACATTCTTAACTTTAAAATATTATATAGAGAATATTTGTGTGTGTGTGTGTGTGTGAGAGAGAGAGATTGAGAGAGAGAGAGCCATAAGTTATTTTCAAATTAAAATTAAAGCCGGGCGTGGTGGCTCATGCCTGTAATCCCAGCACTTTGGGAGGCCAAGGCGGGCAGATCACCTGAGGTCAGGAGTTCGAGACCAACCTGGCCCACATGGTGAAACCCTGTCTCTACTAAAAATACAAAAATTAGCTAGGTGTGGCGGTGCACGCCTGCCTGTAATCCCGGCTACTCAGGAGGCTGAGGCAGGAGAACCACTTGAACCCAGGAGGCAGAGGTTGCAGTGAGCTGAGATAGCACCATTGAGCTCTAGCCTGGGTGACAAGAGTGAAACTCCATCTCAAAATAAATAAATAAAATAAAATTAAATTAAACTTACTTTGACTTAAAGTCATCAGTGGCCAGTTTGCAGTTGTCAAGCTGTACAGCAAGTCTAGAATTCTCTGCTTTCGTGCATAAGATCTGGGAAGCAAGTCATTATGTGATAAATGATTCTTTGAGAGAAACCTAAGTAAACTTCTATCCAACAGCTATGCCATTAGCTATCTTTTGAAAGTCTTTATAAGAAAGTATAAAATCACCCTCAGCCTGCTTTTTTTTATTAACCTTGTCACTTCATGAAGAAAAAAAGCAGAGCCAATTTAGAAACAAAATAATGAAATAAAAAGGTTTAGTTTTTTAATAACATAAGACATTTTGCAACATTCTCAGGCAGTTGAACACCATTAATGTTTTCTCCATCAGTAGTTTGTATTATGAGTATATCCTCTCCCATAATAATAGAAATTCATGGAGAGAAGAAAATGATTACTAGGTAGTTAAAAAGATGGCATTTCATGATCTGTGTTCAGATAATGTAAATGTTCAGTGTCACGTACAAAAGCGATTTTGGATATAATACAGTTTTTCTGCATTCTATAGATGATGAAGGAAAAGTCTACAGGCAAGTTACTTTATTATAGTCACTCAGTAATCAGGGGTAGCTCTGGGGCTGATGCTGAGGTTTTCTGACTTTCAGTCCGGTGCTCTCCCCTATGTATCACTAACTCTTAGAATTTTCCTTTCCCTTGGTTTCCTTCTGTAAAACAGCCCCTTCTAGTAGAAAGATAAAGCAAACCATAGATCAGGAAGGTGGAGCACTAGGGCAACAGGACACAGACCTTTTGTTGGAGATCTTCAATGGTGTTGAAGTAACGCTGATAATCCGGGCACACCATTGGGATATCCTGTTCACATTGTTCTTGGATCCTGGATTCCAGCTCTGCGTTGGTCTCCTCCAGGCTGCGCACCTTCTCCAGATAGCTGGCGAGTCTGTCATTCAGGAACTGCATCGTCTCCTTCTCATTGCTAGTGAACACCCCATCCTCACACCAGGCACAGTTCCCCACCAAGCAGGGACTATTACAACTCCCAGTAAAGTAGCATGGCAGGAGGCAACCAGTCAGCCCGCGAGACCTGGATAGGAAGCTTGGAGTCTGACATCGGGATGTAGCACAGGTACCGGGGAGACAAGCTGTTTCCACGGAGCAGCTTGAGGCAGGTGCACAACCGGAAGCCGTGCCACAGGACTCAGGAGAGCAGTGTGTGGAGGAGCAGTCAGAAGTCATCCTTCCAGAAGCAAAGACAGAGACTGGCTGCAAAACTTCAGTTGCCTTGACTCCAAAACTCTCCTCTCCTGAGAGTTTTATAACCCCCCAAAATGGGTGTTTACAGACTGCACCGGATGTTTTCTTTATCACTGATGGTGCCAGTTTTCGTACAAACATCTCATTAGAGTTGTTTATTTACTGAGGAAGAGTTTTATGCCTCATAAAATAGGGATAACTTTAGGTTACCAAAGCAGGACCCACACCATTTCCATGTGCAAGACAAAACACTTATTTCAGAAAATCGTCATAGGAAGCATTGTGCTTTTGACAGAATAATAAAAGAAAGAGAAAATTTGGCCAATGAATAATTATAGATACAACTCATTACAAATCAGGAAAATAATATGTCCACAGATTTTGATTCTGTGGATTGATTGCTTGTGTCCCCTTTTAAAATTAGTATTACAGCTCACAAAATGACAATTATTTGTTTGTGCCACCACCATAAAAATGGTCAGTGTGATTAGTAATCTTTCAATGCTTTTTGTGATCTCAGAGCATGTGCTGATAAAGACTGGAGGAGTGAGCTATATATTGGGTTTAAAGTGTGTGTGTGTGTGCAAACCATGTCTACCTGCGTACAAATGGAAAAGTCACTTTACATAACTGATAGGAATAACTTGTTTTTCTGCAGGCTAAAATATAAATTGGTTAGAGCTGGAATTATGATCTTTGATTTCCTGAAACTTGCCTTCTCCACATTTCTCATTGCTTATTGTTAGATAAGTTATACTATTTTACCTGTATTCCTAATAAGAGTGAAATATAAATTCTAAGTTATAACCTTTTAGTCCCTTGGGAATTCCTTAATGATTATACTTCAGAGTAGGGGCAAGGAACCCACAGGAATCTTTTCTTCTGAGATGTAGAGCCTGTTTTCTCCTATTTATTTATTTATGAAGGCCTGAATTTCATGAAAATTGAAAATACTGGAACTTGGAAAATAAAATTCTATTTAGGTTCCAAATCAGTAATTCCACTGGATGAAATCTCTGGTGCCAAATCTGACAGACAGGAACTTGAGATACGTAATTTTTTTGAATTATCTCTTGGATTTCACCTCCATTGTGAAGGATAATCTATTTCACTTTGCTTGGTTTTAGTCGTTACATTTATTTCATTTTCAAAGGTGCATAGAGAAAATTGTCTCTAGAATTTTTAAGAACATTATAGGAAAAAAACAGATTAATCTGAAAAAGTTAAAAAATTTTTGATCCAGAATAAACTTATTTTTTCTCCTAATCTTGAGTGCTACTTCCTAGGTACCTGATAGTAGAAACCAAACCAAACCAAACCAGAAGAACATATGTAAGTGAGTTAAAATAGTCTCTTAGGATTTATTACTCCCTGGGCAGAGCTGGGTTTGAATTTAGTGATTCTCTTTACACATCAACACTTATGCAAAAAGTTCTTAGAGTGTCTCATGGTATATTGACGCTGCTCTGCAACAAATATGAGTTCAAGGATTCAAAAACACTTCTGAAAAATTACAAATCTCTGAAAGAAAATTATCTTTTCACAGTAACCTAATGAGTCAAAAGAAAAATATCTGTGAAGAAAACCCATGTTTTGGTTGTCCATCACAGGCTCCAGTTAGCTAAAATGCAGTCATGTAAGTGCAGGTAAAATAAGAAATATTTCCTTCTGTCTGGAACTAATTTCTAATTGTAAATTATTTGTTACTGGTTATTGTCCTGCAGGTAGGACTATTTATTTTGGTCTTGATTAATTAGGTAGTGTTGTATAATGATCTATAGCTATAGTCTCCATCGTAGAATATAGAAATCACCCAGAATTCATTTCTGTGGAGTCCTCCTTAGGGAAAAGAAGTCAGGCTGGCAGGACCAGAGGAAAGCAAGTTAGTGGGTGCAGCGCACCAGTATGGCACATGTATACATATATAACTAACCTGCACAATGTGATAAATAAATAAAAAAAACCAAAAAACAAAAAACAAAGAAAGAAAGCAGGTAATGTATAAGACTCACCTTCTTCATGGTCCAGGACACATAGCCCTCCTGCACAATATTCCTGCACCCAGCTATCACCAGACCTTCAGCTGATAGAAAAATGTAACTTAGCTCACTGCAACCTTAGTGTTATCAGTACCACACAAACCCTCTTCAGCACACAGTACAAGCACCATCCTGTAAAATCTCCAGCACGCCTTTGTCTCCTTGCAGACAGCCCCTTCTCTGCTGTGCTGCCCATTGCTTCCTTGCAACGTATTTTCATACGTTCTCTAATATATCTGCCTTTCTTTACCTACAACTATCTTGATAAATTCTTCTTACCCCCATGCCACCAGCCCCAGATAGTTGCTAATCACCCGTGACAATTTCTATAGCATATCATCACCAGAAGAAAGGAACATTGGGAATAGAGAAAAAGAAATAGACATCATGAAAGGCCATGATAAAAAAAAAAACCGACAACAACACGGTAGTTTATTTTGCATAATACTATGCTCTTACCTTACAACATCCACCTAGGCTGCCAGAATCATTTTCCTAAAATACAAACCTGCTTTTTGTCGCCTTCCACTTATGGAATGCAAACTTTCTACCTTGGCAAATATGACCTTCCCTAACCTGGTGCCAATTTACCTTTCTGGGCTCACTTCCTGATGTTCTGTCTCACAAACCCTAAGCTCCAGCCATCCTTCAAGCTTCGTAGGTACTATTTTCTTGGTCAAATGCTCTTCTGCTATTCGTTTCCTGGATGAACTCACATGTCAAGACTCAGCTGAAACGTCGTTCAACTGCCTCATGTGGAGATGTGGCTCCTCCCAGAGCACTTTGCACGCATCTCTGCTATAGCAGTTGTCTTGTTGCTTTTAACATTTGTGCGACAGGTTATAAGAGTTTACATGAGGCCTTAAGAAATTTGGCTCAGGGCCAGAGCTAGTATCCACGTGCAGCAACTTGGTTGATTTTCACTGTTTTGGGCAACAACCTAAATAACTTTTAACAGTGCCTGGGAATGTTCAAGGGTCAGCTCGGGTTCAAGCTGCAGGGGAAACACACAGCTGGCTGGGCCACAGGGTGGTCAAGGTAATCTGTTTCCCAAGGCAAAGAAGGAAGTGGAGGGATGATCTGGGTGACCCTACAACATGATCAATCATATTGAATAACTTGGTCACTCTACATTATCCTTTATGTAAATTGTTTTATTCAGTTAGTTGATAGGATTAGCAAATGGATTTCCACCCCCATCTATGTTCTTGAGAAATATTTCCTGTAAATTTCTTTTCTTCTAATGATCTTGTTAGGTTTTGGTATCAAGTTACATACTGGGTTCACAATATGACTTAGCTCTGCGTCCCCACCCAAACTTCATCTCAAATTATAAACCCCAAATCCCCACGTGTTAGGGGAGGGACCTGGATGATTGGATCATGGGGGCAGTTTCCCGTATACTGTTCTTGTGATAGTGAGTTCGTTCTCAGGAAATCTAATGGTTTTGTAAGTGTGTGACAGTTCCTCCTTCCCACGCTCTCTCTCACCTGCCCCCATGTAAGAAGTGCCTGCTTCCCCTTCCACCATTATTGTAAGTTTCCTGAGGCCTCCCCAGCCATGTGGAACTGGGACTCAATTACACCTCCTTCCTTTATAAATTATCCAGTCTCAGATATTTCTTTATAACAGTGTGAGAATGGAGTAATACTGTTCATAAATTAAATTGGGAAATGTTTCCTCTTTATTTCATGAAATTCTGTAAGATTAGTGTTATTTATTCCTTAAATGTTTGATGGAGTCCAGTGAGGCCACCTCTTCCAGGAGTCTCCCATGTGAAAAAGTTGTGTTTTGTTTTTAACTAGGAAAAAAAATGTCTGGGCGCGGTGGCTCAAGCCTGTAATCCCAGCACTTTGGGAGGCCCAGGCAGGCAGATCACTTAAGGGCAGGAGGTTGAGACCAGCCTGGCTAATATGCTGAAGGCTTGTCTCTACTAAAAATACAAAAATTAGTTGGGCATAGTGGCGAACACCTGTAGTCCTAGCTTTTCGGGAGGCTGAGGCATGAGAATTGCTGAAACCTGGAAGGCAGATGTTGCGGTGAGCCGAGATCACACCATTGCACTCCAGCTTGGGTGAGAGTGAGACTCCATTTCAAACACACACACACACACACACACACACACACACACACACACACACATGCACACACACACGCAAATATATGTATATTTGCTGACCTCTACATCAAATTGCTTACCTCTACTTATAGAAACCTCACAATGCTATTCAGTTGTTCTATTTCATTTTGTGTGAAAGTTGCATTTTTCAAGGAGTTTGTTCACTTCACCTAAGTTGCAAAAATACTGAAATAAAGTTGTTCATAATAATCCTTATCATGAATTTTAGTATCTGCAGTGTCTATAAATTCTCACTATTTAATTCCAGATATTGGTAATTTGTGTTTTATCTCATGCTTCCCCCATCAATCTGGCTTGATGTTCATCAGATTAATACTAATGTATTGTTTATTTCAAGGTTGCTGAAAGAGTAGATTTTTGATGTTCTCACCATAAAACAATGATCAGGTGCTTAGGTGATGGATATGTTACTTAGCTTGATTTATCTTTCCACAATGCATACATAAATCAAAACACCACATTGTACCCCACAAATATACATATACACAATTATTATTTGCCAACTAAAAAATAACTAAATAGAAGTACTTTATGAATCCTTTCAAAGAATCAAATTTTAGCTTCATTAATTTCCTCGTTTTCTATTCATTGATTTCTGATATTATGTTTATTATTTATTTCTTTCTCCTTACTTTGAATTTTAATTGTTCTTTTTCTATTTAGTTGAAATGAAAACTTAAGTGATTGATGAAGAGATAAATGAAGGTGATAAAGATGTAAATCTTATTTTCTAATATAATCATTTGCTGTATATTTTCTACTAATCCAATGCTGTATGTATCCCATAAATTTTTAAAATCTTTTGTTTTCATTATCATTCAGCTCATAATATTTCTTAAGCTGTATTGGTATTTATTATTTGATCCATAGGTTATTAGAACTGTGTTGTTTGATTTTCAAATATTTGGTGATTTTTCTAAGTATCTGATTGATTTCTCATTTAATTCCATTGTGGTCAGATAACATATTTTGTTAGATTTTGGAATTTATGGAGACAAATTTAATGGCCCAGAATATAGTCTATTTTGGTGAGAGTTCCTTATGCATTTGAAAAGAATGTATATTCTGCAATTGTAGGGGGTAACATTCTGTAAATGTAACTGAGTAAAATTGTTTGATACTATTATTCAAATCTTCTTTCTCCTTGGTAATTTTCTTATCTGTTTGTTCTCTCAGATCCTGACAGGGGATATTAAAATCACCAAATGTGATTTTGGATTCATCTATTTCTCTCTTGACTTCTGTGATTTTTTGCCTTATTTATTTTGAAGCTCTGTTATTGGGTCATATTTTTAAGGATTATAGGACCACCTGATGAATTTTCCCTTTTTCATTATGAAATATCACCTTAAAATTATCTAATATTTAAGTGACCAAACTTCTTTCTTATCATTACTATTTGCGTGGTATGTCTTTTTTTCAGACTACATAATTCAATTTTCTTGTGCTTTTATATTTAAAGTGAATCACTTTAAAACAGCATAGTGCTGGGTTTTCTTTTTAAATCCAATCTGACATCCTCTGACTTTTTATTGGAGTGCTTACTTTATATTTAATGTAATTATTGATATGGTTGGTTTAAAATCTACCATCTTGCTATTTGTTTTTTATTTCCATGTGTTTTTTGCTTCCTTTCCCTTTTATTTCTCATCTTATTTTGGGCCAATCAAACATTCTACTTTATTTTCTATACTAGCTTTATAAGTATATATCTTTTAATGGTTTTTCTAAAGGGTGGGGTAGTTCTCTCAGGATTATGATATGCATCTTTACATTTTTGTACTCCACTTGGAATTAATACTGTAGCACTTTATGTAAAATACGAGAACCTTACCACAGTAGGGTTCTTTTTGCCCCTTTCTGTTCTTTGTGCTATTATTGTCAAATTGCTTACTTCTACATATAGAAACCCTACAATGCCATTGCTTTTGCTTTAAATCATTGTCTTTTAGAATATCGAGAAAAGGAAAAAGAGAAAGTCTCATATTTTATCCATGTATTTACCATTTTCAGTGTTTTTTTCCTTCCTGAAGGTCTGAGACTTCATTTTGTATAATTACTCTTAAAATTTTTTTATTGTGGCAAAATACAAGTAACATAAAATTTACTATTTTAACTATTTTTAAGTGTACAATCCAGTGGTATTAAGTACATTCAAATGTTGTGTGGGCATCACCACCGTCCTTCTCCATAACTCTTTTCACCTTTTAAAACTGAAACTCTGTTCCCTTTAAACAACTGCCCATGAAGCCCGCCCTTGTGTCCTGGCAACCATTGTTCTGCTTTTCATCTCTATGATTTTTTTACTACTTTTAACTACCTCATATAAGTGAAAGCATATAAGTGAATAGTATCTTTTTGTGCTGGCTTACTTCACTTAGCACAACATCTTCAAGGTTAATTCATGTTGTGGCATGTGTCAGAAAGTCCTTCCCTTTTAGGGCTGAATAATATTCCATTGTATGGATGTACCATATTTTGATTATCCATCCGTCTATCAATGAGCACTTGTTTGTTTTCATATTTTAGCTATTGCAATTATTGCTGCTATGAACGCAAGTATACAAATGTCTTTTAGCGACCCTGCTTTCAATTCTTTTGGGTATATACCCAGAAGTGGAAGCGCAAGATCATAAGGCAATTCTACATTTAATTTTTTGAGGAAGTGCTATATTGTTTTTCACAGTCACTGTACAATTTTACCTTCCTACCAGCAATGCTTGAGGGTTCCAATTTCTCTCTCTCTCTCTCTCTATATATATATAATGTATATATTATATATTTTACATATATATGTGTGTATATATATATAAGGGGTTTTGTTTTGTTTTTTGTTTTTTGAGACGGAATCTTGCTCTGTCACCCAGGCTGTAGTGCAGTGGTGCCATCTTGGCCCAGTGCAGCCTCTGCCTCCTGGGTTCAAGTGATTCTCTTGCTTCAGCCTCCCAAGTAGCTGGGATTACAGGAGCCCACCACCACGCCCAGCTAATTTTTGTATTTTTAGTAGAGACGGGATTTCACCATGTTGGCTGGGCTGGTCTCAAATTCCTGACCTCAAGTGATCCACCTGCCTTGGCCTCCCAAAGTGCTGGGATTATAGGCATAAGCCACCACACCTGGCTGTTTTGTTTTTTGTATTTATTTATTTATTTATTTATTTATTTTATGGCAGCCATCCTAATGGGTGGGAGGTAGTATCTCATTGTAGTTTTGATTTGCACTTTGCTAATGATTAGTGAGTGATGCTGAGTACCTTTGCCTGTGCTGATTGGCTATTTGTATATCTTCTTTGAAGAAAGTCTATTCAAGTTCTCTGTCCATTTCTGAACTGGTTTGTTTGTTTTTTGTCTTTGAGGTAAAATTACTCTTAAACCAAAAGGACTTCCTTATTGTTTCTTATAGTGTAGATCTTCAGGCACTTAAAAAAGAAGTCAGCTTTATTCACCTAAAAGTGTTTTTATTTTTTCTTTAATTTTGAAGGTTGTTTTTGCAGACTGTAGTGTTCACAATTTTTTTTCCTTTAGGACCTTTTAAATGAGGTTTGATTTTCCTCTGACATCCATTTTACCTAAAAAGAAGTCAGACATCCATTTTTTCTTTGCTGCCTTCTATTTGATTTGTTTTTTTTTCTTAATTGGTATTCAGCAGTTTGACTATGATATGTGTAGGTGGTGTGTGTGTGTGTGTGTGTATTGCAATTATCCTGCTAAGTGTTTATTGAGACTCTTGAATATATGGGTTAATAAAATGTCACCAAATTTCGAAAATTTTTGCTTTTATTCCCTCCCAAATTTTTATTTCCTATTCTTTAACTCCTCTCATTCTGAGACTCCAATTTCATCCTCATTTCACCACTTGGTACTTTCCCACAGGCTTCTTAGTTTCTTCAATTTCTTTTTCAATCCTTTTTTCTACCCTGGCTAGGCTGGAACCTCAAAGTCTGTTAATAGTGAATGACCTCTGGTATCTCCACTCAGCTTCTAATCACCCAGCAGCCACTCTTTGCTATGCCTGATGGAATTTCAGCCAGCGTATTTGCAACTGTGCCTTCTGTAAGTACTTGAGAACTTTTACACAGTCTTCTTTACTTACCTACGTATATCTTCTTCCTCTCCAGAATAACTTTCCAAACCCCATTTAGATATAGCTACTCGTGTTGCAAACATGACCTGTGTAGAGCAAGAAGAACAGAGTATTTCCATCTTGAACTCTCTTCTCCTTCTCGGCTCCTAGGCTCAATTGGTGACATAACTCCACTGTCTAGTCTTTCTTTGATATTTTCTTTTCCTCCATATCCCTTTGATGACTAGCTGCAGTCAATTCCTCTTTGACTATGTCTTTCCCACTTTACCCCCATGACAACAGTCTTCATTGTTCTCAATTTTATGATCCCACAGCACTTTACTAATACTGCTGGTAGAACACATCTTTTTTTATTATAACACAGCAACTGGCATTCGATAATTATTAACCGTAGGAAGAAACAAATGGATGTTGTGTTTGTATTTGCTTCACCTGCCAGATGGTTAGCTTATTTTCAGCAGAGACAATAAAACACAGGACACACAATAGACATTTAATAAATCTTAGTTGAATAAATAATGACATTATTATATTTTTTTCATAAATAGATCATGTCACCTGGATTAGTTTATATATTTTGTCATATTTGGTGTTTGGGTAATGTTCAGTATTTCTCAACCTGTCTGAAACCATTTTTTGGGAGGACAAGTCAGGAAAAGTCTACTTTCAAATATGCCGATGTACTAGACCATCTTACATGCAAGGATGTTTAATTTTCTTAAAACAGCAAGAACAGCAAAATTAAGAAATTTTTGTCCATACTGCCACCATTTTCAGTTTCACTAATGTTTCCAGTTTTTCTTTAAATGCCAATGTTCAGAGTTAAGAAACGCATTTAATGAATGAACAGAAATAAACAGAAGTAATTGTAGACACTTGTGCTATGCCAGAGATGTAAAATTTATTAGGATAATCATGAAGAACTTCCTTAATTTTCAGAAAGATACCACCCAAGACTGAAAACAGAATTCCCAAACCACCCACAGAAAGAGACACTTTAATATGAAGGAATCGAACAGCTTCAGGAAGCTATAGGCATCCACTGATTCAAACTGCAGTTGGTTATAGCTGAATGGTCATTGAAAGTTTCTTGGTCTCTTTTTTTTTGCAGGGGGTGATTGTGGTAGTACCATCCTTGTTCCAATTTCTAAAGCAGAGTACATTAGTTGTAGGTACTGAGATAGGTGAATGCTAAAGCTTCTATGTTGACTTTTTCAATCTCAGGCACTGAGCAAAGTAGCCATCCATTAGCAGCCTCTTGGGAGGCAGGGCTCACAGCAGGGCTGAGTGAAGGTGGTGAGGTTGAGGGTCTCCAGGCCTGGAGTTGGCTGGCAGGAGTTGAGCAGGAAGCAGGTGGGCACGCAGGGCTGAGGAATGTGGCAGGGTGGGGGACAGTTGTCACAGCAGGTGGGCTCCAGTAACCAAACTGTGTGTGGGCAGGTGCTGGGCAGGCAGACTCCACAGCGGCAGGATTTGTCAGAGGAGCAGATGGTGGTGGCAGGCCCGGTGGGGACACTGCAGCCTCGAGAGGCACAGCAATCCATGGCTATTAGAGTCTGTGGTATTTATGGGTTTGATTGAAAAGAAGGATAAGGCTTCTGAGGTGTGAATATCTCTCCTTTCTCTGGGGCTCTTATGTACCCTCTCCACTGGGAGTTGGTCCAGCCAAGAGGCTTCTTTCCTGGTTCTTGTTTATGTTAGTGTACCCATTATTCTTTAATTTGTTTGACATTTAGACTCTGTAAAGAGTCCCCATTTTCCTAATTAACTTTTATTTGAGTTCGTTGCTAAATCTGAACTGATTACCCTTGCTATTTGTCACTGGAACACAAGCTTTATGAGGTATCACCAAAGCCTTCTGTTATTATATTTTCAACACCAGCCCTGCTGGGGAATATTGCATGACAGTGAGTCTGTAATATGTGGGCCTGCTCTCCAGTGCTGCTTTATTTTTAATCTGTCACTTTATCTATACCAATTTGTCTGATAAAGTATTCTTGTTTTAAAGAGTTGAACTTAATTTTACTTTCTTTTAGCTTTGAGGCTTTTGAAGATCAAAATTACATTAACATGAAGAAATATGCCATTAAGAAATATGGAAAAACTTTAAAAAACGCTTATTATTCTAGTTTTTTACTACAAAATATTTTGTATACATTGTTTATCATTACATTACATTACTGGAATCATATTGTGCATAGGTTCTGAAACTTGCCTTTGTGTGTGTGCATATATATTATATATATATATAATTATCTTATATTTTAAAGGATATTTGATAGTGTTACTTTTAATATTTCTTAGCATTTATTATATAATTGCACTTCTATGTTACTTTAAAATTTTATATTATTATGCATTGAGGTTATTTTCCACTTTTCTCTACAATAATTTTGGCAACAGAGCACCTCTGTATGTAAATCTTTGTGCATATTTTTGATTATTTCAGAAACAGAATTAATTATTTGGTAGAATTATAGGGGCAAATGTTAATTTCCAGTATTTTTAAGGCCTTTCATATCATTGCCATACTGTTTTTCAGAATGGTTCTATTTACCTACTTTTTTTTTCAAATTATCTATTTCCACCAGATGTGTTTGATTAAGAATTCCCATTTCGTATACCTTTGACAGATACTTTATTTTAAAGGTGTTTTCCAATTTCATTGGTGAAAAACACAATTTTATGATTGTTGTGTCTGTATTTCTTTTATAACCAGCTAGGTTGAAATATTCCTTCATATGCATATTGGCCATCTGTCTTCTATTGAGAGTTGGCTTGCTTTGTTTCCTTCACTGCTAATTGTGGGCAAATTGAATTTTTAGCTTCTGTCTATATAGACTAAATAAAATAATAACTTAAGAATACAAAACTAAAATTCAAGTAAAATTATTACCAAAGGAAACTTATGAGCCTGAGCTAGATTAATCTGTTGACATTTGATTTCATTCTCTCTCTCTCTTTTTTTTCTTTTTTTTTTTGCAAGGTATTGCATTTTTTCCTGAAATCAAATGTAGCTGTGGTAGGAAAGACCTGGTTCTAGTACCAGTACGCTATTTAGACTGCAGGCATAGTTCAGTGTTTAAGAGGGAGCACAAGGTGGGCTTGTGGCCAATATCATTTATACACCTCGAACCATTTCCGCTCAGCTTGGTCTCATGCTTCTTGCAAGCCATGGTTCTTCTCACATTCTTCATACCTCCTCTTTTAGGCACACCTGTTGAGTGGTGCATTGTGGTGTGCATGTTTGTATGTTTTGGGAATGGGGACGTGTAGTCAAGAGGACCACCTGAGGAGTCAGAATAGCTCTTGACTGTTCCCGGTGCTGCTGGTTATCTTCCTCGTTATGGTAAGTAATTCACTTTTAGGAGCTTCATCCTTTTTCTCTGCGAAATCAGGGTAATAGCATGCATATTCCTCCACTTAGAAGATTATTGTGAGGTTCACATGTGATAAAAAGGGTGAAAGCTCATGGACAACCATATAATGCTATGCAAAAATAAATTATTATCATGATTGAAACAAATTACAGATGAAATTCAAGGCAAGGTAAAGATAAAAGAAACATAGTCAAAAGAAGAAAAGAAAATGAGATGAAGGTAAGTAAGAGAGCAACCTTACAGGAAAGAGCAAACATTTATATTAGTTTATACAAATAAATAAATAAATAAATAATCACATCTACGATTAGAGAAAGTGGTTGGCATATAAATTAACAAACCTAAAAATTTGAAAAGCTCCCTATGGCTCTGATTGAAAGGGAGAATTCATGATATCTTCTGGTTCCTGGACTTTCCCCAGATTTATCTTTGTATGAATGCCTGCCGAAGTGTGCACCCTTTTACTTAGAACTGATTAGTATTTCACTTATTATTTAAAAAGTAATTCAACAGACATTTACTGAGCAGTTACTATGTGCTAGTCACTGTGATAAATGTTGGATTTATAGCAATAAACAAGATAGGCACCATCCTTGCCCTCATGAAGTTTACAGTTTGGTGGAAGAATTTTTCATACACATAACATATTATTATAAGCTGCTGCTATTATACATTATAATAGGAAAGAAAAAGAGTAAAAGACAAAAAATAAAAGAAAAAATTATTTTGAGGGAAACATTACAAAGGAAACATGGCTTGCAGACCCTCAGGATTAGAATTTCATGGCAGAAAGCTATCAGCTTCTTACCTGGGATACAATATTACTTTGAGTTCACCATAAAAGCTTAGAGCAACTATTACTGTTTATGCAGCACATTGTGTTTCTCTAATCATAAATAAGACAAGGTTACAGATTACAAACAGTTGTAATGCAACAAGTTTATTATAATAAGCTCTTCTCTTTTATTGACAAGACTTGCAGCACTTTATTAAAATGTATTTTCTCTGCAGTGGTCTAAGAGACCTGAGAATTACTCTCCTTTGTTTATAAATGATGACAGTGATTCATAGAGAGGTGAGATGATTTGCCTTAGATGGTTCGGGAGCCAGTGTGTTAAAAACTAAATATAGGACCTATTGGGATTGAGCTACCTTTTATGTGGTTAGAAATGGAAGTTTAAACTATGTGTCAGAGATACTAAGCATTTTATTTTTAAAAACAACGCGTATCTTTTTTCTTTAAGTGAATGTAGGAAAAACATGGTGATTCTTGATGAGATGGTAGATTTTCGGGGTGCTAAAAATCTAGACACACACACACATACGCACACGCACACTCACACATCCAAGAAGTCCAGTTTTAATTATATCTTTCTATAGTCAATGGAGGGATCTGGGACAGTGCAGATGTAAATCAAAGATTAATAATGAAAAGAGACAGAAGCAAAACATGATTATATTGGTCTCTTGCTTGAAATATTTCATTGCTTCAAAGTTTCAGTCCAAACCCCTTTGCTTTGAGGAGCCCCTTATGTCTGGGTCTTTGCATTTCTGTCTTCTCTGCCTCACCCTCTTCAATGCATTGTTCATCCAGTCATTCCCAACTACCTCCTGTGGCTTAAAGACACCAACCTTTCCGCTGCCTCCATGATTTATTAAGCTGCTATTCTGTCTGGAACAACTGTTCCCTACCTCTCCTGCTGCCTATTCATCTTTTAAAGCTTAGACTGGATAGCTCAGAGGCTTTCCGTAGCTATTTCTCACCTTTGACACTGAATCACCAAATCAGGGTTTTAGTTATTCTTTCTGTATGCTTGCATGCCATGCTGCTCACCTCCCAGTCACAGCAGAATCCCTCAGCATTGCAATTATTATTATGATAACTTGTCTTTCTTCTTCACTAGATTTGGGAGAGACTTGAGGGCACTTGAGACTTGAGGTAATAGCATTTCTTTTATCTTTTTACTCCTGGCATCAATATGATGCCTGACATAGGGCAAACACTCAGGAAATATGGACAAATGAATGAGTGAATGGACTAGATCTCTTGTTGACAATATCCTCTGTAGTGTCCCATAGACTCCATGGCTGCTAAGTTCTGTTCATTTAAGGTTGAGCTGTAAAAAGCCTATGGAATCCCGTGAGAAATTTCTCTCTCAAGACACTAACAGGTACATTGAGGACATTTTAAAACAAGTTTGTTAAAAAGCATTTGCTTCTCCCCTTCCTTGTCCTACTCTGTTTCTTGCATGTCTTCTTGTGGTTTTATTTCAATGCATTTTCAGATTTTGACTTGTGTCTTTATATATGTATTGTGTATAGATATACATACACACATATATTTATATGTGTTACATAAATGTATTGGATGTATTATATATATAATATATACTTGTTCTCTCTAGGCTTGGAAAAGAAAAATCTTCATGAGATAAAATTAAGTAGGTTGATAAAATTAAGTAACGAATTAAAGCATACGTAATCAGAGTTTTAGCTCTCAACCTGAGACACCTGAAAAGTATTGGCATTCTATTGATTACTGTGGTAGAACATCTGTGCTGAGTATGGTGGCAAATAAAGGTATGTCCCTGGTGCCTTGTTACTAGAGTTGACCACTTTGAGTTCTCTCTAAGAGAAAATGAAGTTGAAATAGGTACACCTTCAAAATGCCCAGATTTTAGAATTGAATACTTGCCAATTTTAATCTATGAACCAATGTACTCTTTTTCTATTATAATCCGATGTGGATTTTGTTAAAGAATCTTACATGTTTTATTTCTCTTGCATATTTTGGGTTTATTTCATAACTGTGCTCATTAAGCTTCTGGTTTCATTAGTATTGAAGGTTCTATGATGTGGTAGGAAAAATTGGGCTTTAGAGTCAGACATACAAGAGGCTGAATTCTGATTTTCTAAGTAATTAACTTTATGACTTTCAGAATGTTGAATAACGCTTAAAACTTCATTTTTTCTTATCCATTAGTGCTGTTTTAAGGACTAAATCAATAATTTACTGGTGAAGAGTAGATAAATAAATGTTGGTTCACACCAAAATTGCACTTGTCTGAGGAAGAAGAGAGAAGAGAAGGCAAACATGAAAGAGAACCTGTTAAAAGTTAGCAAGCCATGTTAGTAGTAGCAAGAATGTTAGTCATTCTGCCAATAGAGTCTTCTTTAAAAGATTAAAATAATCATCCTGTTTTTACCTTTTTAAAATGGAAGAAATATACCCAAAACTAACATAAACAAATGACACATCTTGCCAGAGAAATATAGTTTATTGGAAAACCCACCAAGAAATTTTCTTCTATGAAAATACCCAGTACAAGAAACAAGAGCCAGGAAGCAATATGATCAAGAACATGTAATCTGAGGTCTTAAAGATTGAAACAGTATTTTGCTAATAAAACTCATTCACCTGCCCACAGGAACCAAATGGTTTTTCAGCTAAATAACCATAAAAAATACTTTTCTTTTTTTCCCCCATTAAAACCAAAGGTAAGTTCTTCATATCTGGGTCATCTGGTCTACCTTAACATCTGGCAAACTACTGAGGCAAGTGAATACTGAAGGGACAGCTTCTGGATTCTTCGTTGTCGGGCACTGAGCAAAGTAGCCATCCATCAGCAGCCTCTTGGGAGGCAGGGCTCACAGCAGGGCTGAGTGAAGGTGGTGAGGTTGAGGGTCTCCAGGCCCGGAGTTGGCTGGCAGGAGTTGAGCAGGAAGCAGGTGGGCACGCAGGGCTGAGGAATGTGGCAGGGTGGGGGACAGTTGTCACAGCAGATGGGCTCCAGTAACCAAACTGTGTGTGGGCAGGTGCTGGGCAGGCAGACTCCACAGCGGCAGGATTTGTCGGAGGAGCAGATGGTGGTGGCAGGCCCAGTGGGGACACTGCAGCTGCGAGAGGCACAGCAATCCATGGCAATGGGCGTCTGGTTAGCTTTCAGTTTCTTAGATGAGGATTCTGAGGTACAAATGTCTCCTCTTTTGTTAGGGCTCTTATATACCCTCCCAAGTGGGCATTGGTCCAACTGGAAGCCTTCCTGTTTTGTTTATGGCACCCTTTTTCACTGAGATTCTCTAATCAGTTTGTCATTTACATGTCCATTAAGAGTTCCCGCTCTTATTAAGTTAATCATATTTTTGACTCATTGACTTGTCATTTTTGTCACAAGATCATCACATTTTGTCTTCACAGGTTTCTGGCATGCCAAACCTTATATGACTTTTATGGGTAATCAATCCAAGTGACAATTCAGCTGTAATTTTGGAGGCCAAACTCTTCTTGTTTTTCCCTCTTAATTTAAAATACTATGGATAATGTGATTTCTAATGACTAATTTCAGAATGAGTAACTCAAATGATGAACTGGACCATTTTCAACTCAATAAAGTCAACAAGAATATGGCTATTTACAGATGAATGTTTCATGTGACTACAGGCATCTCGGACATGTTTGCATTATTTAGTGATATTATAATTCAGGTTCTATTGAGCAAGCAAAGTGGTAGAATGGTACAGGATGAAGAAACTCCTTTTTATTATTTTTATTAAATCTGTAGTGAATTTCTCAATGTTGTATTATTCTATGGATTTTTTTTTTCTAAAATAGTCTCTATTCTCAAAGTTATGCCAATCTTGTGGTGAATCAAAGTATAAATTCATTGGAAGGAAGGATCCACACAGTGGCCATTCTTTGTTGAATATACCACTAAAAGAAAACCACCTCAGCCTTGATTCATTTTCACATGAATGGTGTACATACTTTAAAATAAGATGAAATAAGAATTAAAAGGAGAAACCACAAGAGTCACAGAACAATCATGGATTTTGGCAGGGAATCTGACTCAATGCAATTTAGAACTATGGCATTCATAAAAATCACTTTTTCACTGACTTACTCCCTACTTTGCATGTTTATTTGTTTTCATACCTTGGATCTTGAACTAGATTGAAATTCCTTTGAGGTATGCCTTAAACAACATTATTTACTTAAGTCAGCCAGAGATTGAACTAGATAATATCAAATGTGTAATATTCTAGATTCCAACATCTTCCTACACCTGTCCATGATCAGCACAAATCCTTTCAGATAATATTGTATAATTTAAATTACATACTCGTTATGTGGCAATTTGTTGACTTAACAGAAAGCAAAGATTCCGGGTAGGTTGTTTCTGAGGGGACATTACCAAAAACCAGTACGATCTACTTAAAAGAGAAGAAAGCTGGCTAAAATCAGTGGAAAATATCAAATGTCATTGGTAGGTAAGCCTTATACGTTATACGTTAAAACAACCAGTTTATCTTTTTCTTTAACAACAAAAATATGTGGTACATATATGCCATAGAATACTATGCAGCCATAAAAAATAAGGAGCTCCTATCCTTTGAAGAAACATGGATGGAGCTGGAGGCTATTATCTTTAGTAACTAATGCAGAAACAGAAAACCGAATACTGCATGTTCTCACTTATAAGTGGTAGCTAAATGATGAGAACGCATGGACACATAGAGGGGAATAACAGATGCTAGAACCTATCAGAGGGTGGAAGGTGGGAGGAGGGACAGGATCAGGAAAAATAACTGGTAGGTACTAGGCTTAATACGTGGGTGATGAGATAATCTGTACAACAAACCCCCATGACACCAGCTTACCTATGTAACAAACCTGCACAGGTACCCCTGAACTTAAAAGTTAAAAACAAAAAAACAGAAAACAGCTTCAAATCATTTTTATTAGCAGGAATTTACAACAAATGCCAAGGGTGTCGAACATCATACTGTTACCAGATGGTGCCATGCAGTTCCAGGCTTTTGGTGTCCCAAAGAATTGGACGAGACACCCACAGCAAAACAAAGAAACAAAAGTGTATTAAGCACAGTATTACACTCTAAGAGGGGGAGAGCAAACCAGCCTCTGTGAGATGAGATCAGCCCCCAGCTTGGTGCAGTTTGCGTCTTTGTGTGTGTGTGTGTGTGTGTATGTGTGTGTGTGTGTCCCTTCCCAAGGCTGCCTAATCTCTAGCCAGTGTTTGCCTCTTTGATTGACAGGTGTGTTGCTTAGTTACTTTGGCCCCTGTGTGCTTGCGCACCACCTCCAGCCCATAATTTTAAGTACATACATGATATGCAGTCCATATGCATAAGCCTGAATGAGCTGATTTTCATACAAGGTCATGTTAAGGATACGTTTTCTCTTTAATGCACATGCTTATCCATGAAGAGTTGCCCCTTACTGGTTTGGTCCTTATCTTGCCGGCCATGGGGGCCTTGCTTTCTTCTCTATCTTACTTTTTGTTTTGGCTGGAGTGCAGTGGCATTCTCTGCTCACTGCAGCCTCTACTTTCTGGGATCAAGTGATTCTCCTACCTCAGACTCCCAAGTAGCAGCTGGGATTACAGGTGCCCGCCACCACACCCAGCTAAGTTTTGTATTTTTTGTAGAGAGGGGTGTTTCTCCATGTTGGCCAGGCTGGTCTTGAACTCCTGATCTCAAGTGATCCACCTGCTTCGGCCTCCCAAAATGCCAGGATTACAGCATGAGCCACCGCGCCTGGTCTAACTTCTGCTTCTTATCTTGCTTCTTGCTTACCTGCCCCTTCACCTTGCTTCTGGTCTCTGCTTTTATTCACTCCACCCTTTATCCAAGTTTTAATTCCCTTTGCTAGTCTCCTGCCTCAATACCTGCACTTTACCACTGAAGAACAGATAAGCAAATTCAAGTGGCTTTCCCAGTATATTATAAAATTCAAAGTTAATGAACTAGTATTGAAATCGTCAAGGAAATGTTTAATGTTTACTTACTCTTGACTTACCAGTCTCTCTCATCTAGAAGCCAGTGGCTTGGCAAGTAGAATATATGAAGAAGACCCTCTCCCATTCTCTGTGTTCTCTCTGACTTCTCTTTTAAAATCGATTTTGAAATATTATATAGATTCAGGAGATCTACTGTACAACATGGTGACTATAGTGAATAACCATATATTGCATTTTTGAAAAACGCTGAGAGAATGGATTAAGTGTTCTCATCACAAAAATGATAACTATGTGAGTCACGCATATGTTAATCATACAGCACATTACATAAAGTGAAGGCGGGAGTCTCCTAGGTACTTTACCCTCTGTGACCTCGTTCATACTGTTTCTTTAGCTTAAAGTGACCTTTCCCAATTCTCTAGTTTCCAAATCCTGTTGATCCCTCAAGATTCAGCCAAACATCCCCTTCATAAAGAAACTCTAGGTGATTCTTCTAGATGTTTGCATCCTTTTCTCTGCTCTCACAAAATGGGCTGCCTATTCTTCCCTTTCAACCTCATTTCTTTCTGCTATATTTTGTAGTTTGTCACTTAAATTTGTTTTCCTCACTCCAATGCAAGGTTCTTGGAAGTGGTAATCGTATGTTAGTTTTATTTGTCTTTTTCAAGCACCTAGGACAATGCCTGAAACAGGGTAGGCATTTGATAAATATTTGTTGAATTGGATTACATTTCAGATTAGAATTAAAAAGGTATTTATTTATTTTTATAATGGCCTTTTATAACAGTAACACTTTATATAAAGAGAGTGATTCATTTTTTGTGTGAATTGCTTTACAGTTGTCAAAACTTTTTTTTTTTTTTGAGATGGAGTTTTGCTCTTGTTGCCCAGGCTGGAGTGCAATGGCACGATCTTGGCTCACAGTAACCTCTGCCTCCCGGGTTCAAGCCATTCTCCTGCCTCAGCCTGAGGAATAGATGGGATTACATTCATGCTCTACCATGCCCGGCTAATTTTGTATTTTTAGTAGAGACGGGCTTTCACCATGTTGGTCAGGCTGGTCTTGAACTCCGGACCTCAGGTGATCCGCCCGCCTCAGCCTCCCAAAGTGCTGGGATTAGAGAGGCGTGAGCCACCATGCCTGGCCAACATTTTTAAATTCAAAGATTTACCTAAATGAGACAGCGAAAAAAATGGGCTTGGCTCAATCTTTGAGGTCCTTTCTGTGAGCATGTTGATCTCAAATTGCTAGCTTCACTGCCTCTTTAAGGACACGTGAGTTTATTTAGAGGCAGGGAAAAAATAAAAATCAAAGGTAGATGCTGACCTTGGCATTTAAAACGATTCTAAGCTTAGAGCCTAATGCATTTCACTATCCTCACAGTTTTCTTCAGGTATCTACGTATGCCTGTGAGGCCTCTTTTTGGCTATGAAATTTATGTTGATGTCATCAGAAAGTGTAATTCTGCTGGATGTATTTTTAAGTTCATGATGCATGTGTCAAGAGTCGTTGGGTAATTATAGCATTAAATGTTGAGGCAGTATGTGGTTTGGGGAGTAGTGGTGTTTATTTAGTTTTGAAGTAAGGGGATCCATGGTAGCATTTTTTTTCCCATTTCTCATTTGAAATCATTGTTCAAAACAGGAAAAGAAAACTTCTGTAAAACTGAAGGCACAGTGCTATATTTTCTTCCAAATGGCCTCATTAAAGGCCATTTGCTGAGCAGCGCTTAATGACTACTGAAGGTCCTCAGGGTAATGTGGGCAAGCTCTTTGGCTAGCAGCAAGGTGGTTCACACTCTGGATGCAGGTGGTGACAGAGAGCCCGCTCAGGGTTGGAGCTGGGTGGCATTTGTTGAGCAGTCAACAGGATGGCACATAGGAGTCAGGCATGCAGCCAGGCAGGGGCCAGGTTCACAGCAGGTGGGCTGAAGGAGGCTGATCTCATGAGGACAGGTGCTGGGTAGGCAGACTTCACATTGACAGCTTATGTCAGAGGGGCAGATAGTGGTGGCCAGGCCAGTGGGGACGCTGCAGCATCCTTGGAGATAGGAATCACAGCAAGACATAGTGACAGTGGACCAGGACAATGTTTTGTGGCAAAGGAAGGCTTTCTTCTACAAGGTTGTCCTCTATGGGTCTTTTATATCCACCTATCTCAGGGAACACGGCTTCTGTCCATCAGAATGTTGGACGGAACATCCTTGTTGCTGTTTACCTAATTCTGTAAAAATAACTCACTAACTTCTTATGTATCAGACAGGGGATGAGCTCTCCTTCAGTTTTATTTAGTTGTGTTGCTGCATTCAAACTTGCTTTCTGTTGTAGTTTCAAAATGGTGTCAGTGTAGTTTTCCACTTACTCACATGTAGACACATCCATACTGTATTAGTCTGTTCTCATGCTGCTATAGGGACATACCCGAGATTGGGTAATTTATAAAGGAAAGAAGTTTAATGGACTCACAGTAGACCCACCTCAGCCTCCCAAAGTGCTGGGATTACAGGCACGAGTCGCTGTGCCTGGCCTCAATAACAATTTGAAGGAAAAATGAAATATCTTGTTTTTTATTATATTATCAAGGATAAACAATTATTAATGTTAAGGGCAGTTGTTTTACCTTGATTATTGATGCTGAAGTTGAACTGAAAATGTGTTTGAGTTGCCAAACATTCTGCATTTCAATTCAAAGTTAATGATGCAGCCAATATTTCTTCTCTGCTGACACTGCTAATCAGTAAAGTCTGACTTTTTAAAAAAGGTTTGTTCTTAACTTAGAAACACGGATACCTTTTTTAATACTCATTGTATACACTCATTTTATTTTAGACTATAATCACCACAGAGAAAACAGAGAAAACAACAAAAGATACAATTGACAGGGATAGTAGAGAATATATTGTCAAGTGTCATATACTTTCTCCTGAATAAAGAGAGCCACCTATAGTCACATTTCTCTTTGACATATTGCTGTCTGTGGGGAAGGTGAGTGCTTTGGTGTAGTGGAAAGAGAAGGGACTTCGGACTTAGTTTGGGGTTTAAGTCCTTCTCTCTCACTTATGATTTATGTAACTTTTGCAAGTAATTTAGTCTTTCTCAGCCTGAGTTTCTGCACCTGTTAGTGGCCTTTCTTCACCTGTTAGTGATGCAGGGCAGGGGAGCCCCAAAGTGGGGCTTAGCCTGCAAGGGTTCTTGGCTTTGCCTAGGGAAGAATTCAAGGGCAAGCCAGAGGTAGAAAACAGCTTTATTGAAGCAGCAGTGTTACAGCTCTGTGATTGCTCCTGCAGAACAGGGCTACCTCTGTAGGCAGAGAGTAGCAGCTCAGGGCAGTTTTGCATATTTCTACCTACTTTTAATTAGATGTAGATTAAAGAGTGGTTTGTGCAGAAATTTCTAAGAAGGAGTAGTAAGTTTTAGGTCATTGGGTCATTGCCATGGAAAGGGGTGGTAACTCAGGTGTTGCCATGGCAATGGTAAATTGACACAGCATGCTGGTGGGCATGTCTGATTGGAAAGCTGTTTCTGTCCCCATCCTGTTTTAGCTAGCCCTCAATTTGGTCCAGTATCTGAGCCCCGCTTCTGGAGTAGAGTCCCACCTTCTACCTCATTAGTATGTCCAGTAGATACTCACTCAGTGTGAGCTATTCCTAATGAAAGCAGTAAAAGTAATGAGGTAGAATGGGCTTGGTTAGTTGCATGGGGTACTTGTTACTTAGAATGCTTCTGGATGATCTAGAATCATAGAATGTTAAAACGAAAAGCAACCTTAGAGATGGTGTGATCAACCAACCCATTTTACTGCTTTAACACCTGAGACCCCAAGAACTTAATTGACTTGCTTAGGGCCACAGAGGCAGCTCAAGGCAGAGCCAGGACTAAAACAACACATCTTCTGGTTTCCAGTTGGGGATTTATAACTAGGCCAGGGCCCGTGAATGCTAAAGACCATGGTAGTAGTAATAGGAACTTCGAGTTATTTTAGGTATTAAAAACAAACTCTAATTTTTATCCCTTACTAGCATGTATGAAAACATGAAAATTCTTTGTTTTTGACTAGAAAAAAGGTAACTTGGCATGGTAACAAAGGTTATTCTATAGTAATCCTAAACATTTAATTGATATTTATAAATGTATTTATGAACACAAATGAAGGAATTAATAAACATTTTTAAGAAAGCCATTTGGGAAAAATACATATTTCAAGAAATAAAAAGATGCCCAACCTACGTATCCATCATCCAATGAGTGGATAGAGAAACTGTGGTATGTATACACCATGGAATACTACTCAGCTGTTAAAGGGAATGAAACAATGTCTTTTGTGGCAACTTGGATGGAGCTGGAGGCCATTATTCTGAGTGAAATGGAGTGGGAAATTACAGGAATGGAAAACAAAAAACCATGTTTTCACTTATAAGTGGGAGCTAAACTAAGTATGCAGATGCATATGGAGTGATATAATGGACTTTAGAGACTCAAAAAGTGGAGGGTGGGAGGGAGGCCAGGGATAAAACACTACACATTAGCTACCATGTATACTCCTTGGGTACGGGTGCACTAAAATCTCAGAATTCACCACCACTATATAATTCATCCATGTAACCAAAAACCACCTGTAACCCAAAAGCTACGGAAATAAATAAATAAATAAATAAATAAATATTTTTAAAAGATGTCTTTTGGTGAGAAAGTTGGGAACTTCCATATGGCAGTAATGGTGAGAGTCTCTCATGTGTAACAGGTTGATGCTGTGGACACGGTGGTTTCTACACTTCAGGGCATCTGGTCCTCACAATAATCCTGAGACAAAAGCAGGGCAGAGAGTAATAACAAGCTAACTGAGCCTGTAGGAAACCAAGCTATAGGTAGGAAACCACGCTATAGGTAGGAAATCACTTTAATAACAGGGAAATTGAGACTGAGAGGGAAGCAATTGGCCCAAAGGCCAAAGGCAAGTCCAAAAGTGTGTGTGTGTGTATATATATATATATATATATAATCACAATACCTTTATTTTTTGCAAAGACCTAATTGCACCTAGATTTTTCTAAGATAAATAAGGACATGAATTAGTGGTTATCGTAGTAGTTTTGTTCTAATAGAAACTGTGTGTTTTTGCTCTCAGAATTGTGTGACTATTTCTGGTGTATAGAAAATACTACACTGTAGTCTGATATTTTAAGCATATTTCAATGTCATGATATTATATGTCACTTAGACTAGCAAACTTCTAATCATAGTCATGACTAATGTAAACCAATGTAAGCCCCATTTGAGGAATCAATGAATACTCGATAAATGCTAACATTAATTAAAAATGGATTGTTTTGGAAGACAGCATATATGAAGAAATGGATATATACACTTCTCAAAATTGCTTTGCATTTTGAGCTCAGAATTTCAGATGACTGTGAGGACTAGGATAATCAAATTATTTATACACACCAGCACAGTGATCAATTCATTTAGTCAATTAAGGAAGAAAGAAAAATCAATGTCAGAATCAATGGAAACTAAAATCAAGTATTTTTAAAACATTCTGTTAATCTCTAGACTCTAGCATAGTGCTTGCACAGTGGATGTCTTCCAATAATATCTATTAAATAAATATCTGTTAAATAAAAAGCTTCTATAAAATGAACTACCACATTTTTTACTTTTTAACTTATCACAAATAACCAGTATCTATTTTTTCGATAAATTCCACTATGAGAGCTCTTATTCTGTTGGGGTAAATCTTGGATAGTGTGATAACCTACTGTTCAGGTTTAGGTAGGCATTCCACTTTCCCTAATGGGAGACATGAAAATAAATAATCACAAGGTCATATTTGCTAAGCCAGAATAAAGTTTATTAACAAATGGTCAAAATGGTTATTTCTCAAAGAGTGATGAAATAGCCTAAAAGACAGAAGGGAGGTCTCCAATGGTACCCAAATGTGCAAATAATTAAGAAGATTCATCAAGACTTGGCCCCGGGGATTGGGATGGCCTTAGCCTTGATGTAGGCAGTAGTGAGTGCTGAAGCCCAGATGGTGCAGAGGACATTGGGCAGCCACCTCACGGAACCTGTGCAGACTCGGCTGGTTAACAGCGGGGCTCACAGGGACTCTCACAGCCAGGCTGAACATAGGTGGTCAGGTTGATCCCACTCAGTCCGGGAGTCGGGTGACAGTTGTTGAGCAGCCAGCAAGTTGGCACATAGGTATCAGGCTTGCAGCAGGGTGGGGGGCAGGTGTCACAGCAGATGGGCTGAAGGAGGCTGATCTCATGTGGGCAGGTGCTGGGTAGGCAGACTCCACAGCGGCAGCTTTTATCAAATGAGCAGAAGGTGGTGGCAGGGCCGGTGGGGACGCTGCAGGAGCGGAGAGCACAGCAATACATGGCAATGGGAGGTGGGTTTTTGTTGAGTTGAGAGAAGTCTGTTGGTGTCTCGATGCTCCTCTCTTCTGCTCTGGCTCTTATATACCCATCTCCCTGGGCGTCAGCCTATTACTGAGGGTTTTTCCCCCATGTTTCAGTTTATAGTTATTTCCATAAAAAATGCCTAATTACTTAAGTGTTTATTACCTAAGATACACTGCTCACCTCATAAAAGAGATTTAGGTTGTTTTGTTGTCAAATTAGGACTATTCACATTGCCAGTGTGTCACTACACAGAAATCTTCATTCCAGTCTTCAAAGGTACCGGGCCATTATCTTCTAATCATTATACCCTCACTAATAATGGCTCGGTATGCCAGGCATCTGCAAACGTTTCCCACTTCTTTTGTTTACTTTTCAGATGAAGAGGACAAGTAAGCTTTTTGTTTGCTGTTCTACCAGTGACTACAGGTTCTATGTGATCCTTTAGGCCCTCAGGCTGAAAAAGTGATATAACATTTTAGATTTATTATTTGTGGCTCCAATAAACTGAATGAAGATGAATGGATAGAATCTATAGAGAAATAGATTTTGGTTTTGTGTAAAGAGGCACTTTCAAACAGAGCTATAACAAATCGTTTGTTCTGCATTCCTTTCAAATATGCTCTGAACAATAACTTGGTAAGAACATGCAGGTGGGAATGAAGACCTTCATGGGTGACAAAGATGGGTGTCCTTTAAGCTCCATCCAACTGTGTTATAAATGGAGATTATTTATAACCAAAAGGCTGGTTGTATTGGGCCATTCAGAAGCTAAATGATGCAGTATTTACCAGACTGAGTTCCATGAACACTGGTTCCAAGGGACTTGAAAGTGTTTTCTGGTAAGTAAGTTTGGGAAATGCTGAATTCTTCATTGTTGGGCCTCTCGGAGCCTTTAATGTGCTAAAATGCTCTATGACTTTTCAATACAGAGATATAGCATATATTTTTCTCCAAACTTACTTGACCATGGACTGCTTTTTGTTTGTTTTCAGAGATTAGCTCTATAGGTCAGTGCTTTATGAAACATACTTGGGGAGATTTAGCAACATCTTACAGCAAGCTTGTTCAACCTGTGGCCCAGAAAGGCATTGAATGCAGCACAACACAAATTCATAAACTTTCTTAAAACATTATGAGATTTTTTTGTGATTTTTTTTCTTTTTTTGCTCATCAGCTGTCATTAGTGTTAGTGTATTTTATGTGTGGCCCAAGACAATTCTTCTTTCAATGTGGCCCAGGGAAGCCAAAACATTGAACACCCCTGTCTTACTTCCAGGCTCTGTGGTCCAGAATAGAGACATTTCCGAGTTTCATCTAAACCACTAAAACTCTAAAAATAAAGTTTTAAAAGTAGATAAAGGTAGAAAATTTAGTATGATGATTTAGAATTACTTTAGAATATGAAAAATACTAAACTGGTAAAACCTTTAGAAATGGCTTACTTAGAAAGGCTTAAAAACATGTACATATTTTCTTGACCCATTTTTTCAGATAAGATGGCTCAAGTTCTAAAGTAGAAAATTGCACAATGCAGAGGAATCAGAAGCCAAATGAGATGCAAATCAACAAGATGTTGGATTAAAAAAATGCTTAGCATGAAACTGCTTTCTTTTTAGCCATTTTCTTATTGGAATGATTTTGCAGTTTTGGATTCCTATGCTAGAATTTACATCTCTCTTAGATATTTACATATCAAAATTAGAATTTACATATAAAATGCTCATTGATTGAACACCTGTTGTATGTTGGGCATCATGCAAAAAGTCGCAATAGGCTCCTGCCCTTACAGGGGTCATAGAGAAGAAGACAGACACAGAGAAGTAAACCAGCAAACAATAACAAAGGATTGTACATTTAGATTTTCCAGGTTATGATATGAGAATTTAGAGGTAGAAGCCACAGACTTCTCCTAGAAAACTTAGGAAGCCCTTCACAAAAAGAGAACATCTGTTTGGATCTTGAAGGGTGAAAAGGAGCTGAGCAGATAGAAATAAATAGGAAGGAGATTTCAGCCATTGAAACAAAATGCCACAGGGCCCCCATGGTATGACAAAAAGTGTTGCCTGGTTGAAGCATAGGTTCTGAATCTGTTGGAATGAAGACGGAAAGGTGGGTTAGTGCCACAGTATGAAGAATTTGTACTGTGCTTAGTATCCTACACTTAGGATTTTGAACTTTATCTTGTAGGCAATAGGCATTATGTAAAGGTTGCTGAACAGGCATGTGACATGACTAGATTTTGGAAGGATACTGTAGTTTTTGAGGGAAGGCTCATCATGGTTATCATTGCCACTTACTAAGTATTAGGTAATGTGCTGAGTGCTTTGCATGCATTATTTCATACAGTTCTTACAACAACCTTATGATGATGTATGCAATGATATTATCCTTGCCCTTTGACAGACGAGGAACCTGCAGCATAGAGAGGCTAAGTAGCTAGTGGGTGAGTAGCTGGCATTTGAAGCCAAGCAGTATGGCTTCAGACTCCATGGTCTTAATCACTGTGCCAGATTCCCTCTTGCTTTAGGGGTATTGTCTGACTACAGTGCAGAAGACCCTCAAGATTAGTTGAGTGTAAGATTGGTAGGAAGGATGAGGCCAGGTCATTGAAGGTCTTGGGACCACAAGGGGAGTTGAGTTTAGAGCTATTTTCTTAATCAAAAGACTATGCTGTAGAAAGGAGGAAACTTGAAGACAAGGACAATAATTAGGAAACTATTTGGGTGTTCTAGGGGAGTGAGGAGTGTCTTAGAAGATATCATAGTTTTGTGGGAATAGAGAAGTGGGAGTTACCAGAGATTTCTTATCACATCATTCAGTTTTTAGGGACCACCATCTGGGTGGTACAGCAGTTTCCACAATAAAATTAATATTTTTGTTTTTAAGGTAATGGGAACACTAATCCTCTGCTAACACTTTTCATGGATTGGATGTATACCATGTGTCAGGCATGGTGCTAAGTATTATTGTGCATCTTCTTCCTTACATCTTACAACCCTTTAAGATCACTATTGGGTACACTATTACTGTACCCATTTCCCAGATGATGAAACCAAGAATAAGGATATTAAGTAATGATTCTAAAGTCACACTACTAGTGAACGATGGCTCACCTAATAGCAATAGTTTGCACAAAATCGATATTTTTGTGGAATTAAATTTTATATAATTGTAGATTATGCTCATGTATTTTTTAAATTTATTAATGCCCTCAACAAAATGTCTAAGACTATGCTAGGTGCTAAGCATAGAGCAATAAACAGGTCAGATAAGGTCCTTGTTGTCAAGTGGGAGAGACAGACAATAAGAAAACTAACAAATGAATAAATAAGAACTCCAGAGAAGTGCCAGGGAGTGTATTACCTTAGTTAGAGTGGTCAGAGTGGCTGGACTATAGTGAAGACAAGGAGCGTAATAGGAAATGAGGTTACAGAAGGTGGCAGGTGGCAGGCCGTGTAGGATTTTGAAGGAGTATAATAGGAAATAAGGTTACAGAAGGTGGCAGGTGGCAGGTGGCAGGCCGTGTAGGATTTTGAAGGAGTATAATAGGAAATAAGGTTACAGAAGGTGGCAGGTGGCAGGCCGTGTAGGATTTTGAAGGAGTATAATAGGAAATAAGGTTACAGAAGGTGGCAGGTGGCAGGCCATGTAGAATTTTTTAGTTGTTCTACACAGTTTAGATTTTACTCTAAGGGTGTTGAAATCCACTGGATGACTTAAAGAAGGGAGTGATAACATTTTCCTTATGTTCAAAGGAAAATGAACTACAGCAGAGCAAAGTGGAAACTGGCACGACTAGAAAGTGTGAGGATAGACAGTTGATGCTAGTTTTTGATGAACTGTTAAGAAGTGGTAGAGTTTGGAAGCCCTTTTGAAAGTGGAGATGATAGGTCATGCTGATTGAGAGGATGTGTGGAGCCAAGGATCATGTCTAGGTGTCAGATTTACTCGTAGAAACAGCTGCTGTCTGGGGTGATAGGAAAGGGATTGGAGATGAGTTTAGTTTGGGACCTACAGACAAAGCATCCTGAAGCCGTGAGAGGGAGCAGAGCTGGACGTGCAGATTTGGGAGGCTCCAACATACAGGAAAAATTTTGCTTACAATGATGTGCCTGGACTGAGAACGAGATAGTCACTTTTATGTGCGTTAGTCATGTTTTGCTGTGAGCCACTTTGTGCCTTACGAATATCCATCTCCCAACAACTCAGTGAATTTGTGGGTGGCTGTTGGGAAACACCTTCCACAGTGTCACCTCCTGAGTCAGCAGGGATGTTAGGAAGCTTCACACCTTAGGGCCACTCAATTTTCCTAAAGCCTGTTGGAATTCTTCATCCCTTCACAAAAGCAGGATATAGAAACCTTTAAAGTTTGTCATCCTAATAAAAATGTCTAGTAAATAAAAACATTTGGTCTTCATTTCCTGAATTGCATGATCTTTGAAACTGCCAGTGCATTCCTTTATAGTATAGATTGAAAGAAAGAATGGCTGGTATCAAGGCTGCCATTGACATCAATTTATTCTTTGTTTACTTTGCTATATGCTGAAAATTCATGCAAAGGATTCTGGGCTTGGGTTAAATGGTGAACTTTGGGAGTGTTTTCCAGTTGCATCAGATTTTTTTTTTTTCCAGTTTGTGGTTATAGTCAAGCCTGATATATCTCATCACCTTATTAGCTTGCACTGAAAATTACCCCCAAATTGAATTTCTTTTAAATGGAAGTAGTGGTGTTTTCCACTTGAGGACATCTGATAGTCTCTATAATTGTCATCTGGCAACATGCAGGGCTGATCTCATAGCTTTCAGTCCCGTGGCACATGCAACATTCTTGCAAGTGATTGCTTAGCCAGCTGGCTGGAAGTGTTACCTATTTTTCCTGGGAACCCTAGGCTTTCAGTTTAATTCTTATGTATTATTGTAGGCTGTGGAGTATACAGATAGTAACAGATAATTCTTTATGATTAACTAATATATAAAAATATGTGTTAACTAAAATTAATATGTTTAGGAAAATAGACACTCCATAAAATTTGAGTACCTACTATATGCCAGGCACTGGTAAAATAAAATTTTCAGCTGCCTACTATGTGAAGTATTGAGATATTTAAACTTACAATTATTCTAGAGTAAGCTTTGGAATTTTCATCCTTGGAATTATTTTCTAACAATAGTTGTACTTTATAAATTTATTTTGAATCAGAGACTTTTTTCTCCATTGATTAGATAAATCTGACTACTGTATTGAATTGAATGACCACTGATTTTCCAAAGAGCTCCTGCAGTACTTGAAATTTTTTGAAGAGACTTAATTGTTATGTATTTAAATATTAGCTGACACTATGGCTTTAAAATATACTTTGAGTTTTTAGCTTATTTTACTAAACATATAGTTGGCTATATGGTAAGGGCAAATTCTCATACAGAATTTTCTGTGTGACAGATTTTTTTAAAAGTGCACTACACGTATCATGTCATTTAATTCTTACCACAGCCCTATGAGGTTGGTATTAAAGCTATCCTCTCTTTCATAGCTGAAGGAAACTGAGGCATAGAGTGGTTAAGTAAGTTGCTCAAAGTCAATAGCTGGTAAGTGATGGAATTAAAATCTGAACCAAGGCCACCTGACCCCAGAGTCTGCATTCTTAGTCACTATACATTAGTTTATAATTTCTCTATTATTGATTATTGCATTTTTCAAGAGAAAATATATAACTTGGTTTATTTCAACCTATCTCTGTTGAGCACCTGCTGTTTGCTTTGTACTGTGCTAGGAGATTTAAGGCATTCAAGGACAAGCAGGACATGGTGTACTCTTAAATATCTGAGAATTTACTGGGATTCGCAGGGTACACAGGGCTTGAATGCAAGGCAGAGGAGTAGGAAGGCATTCCAGCTATAGGGAACAGCAGCAGTAAATGCATAGAAGTGGAAAAGAACAAATGGTTGTTAGGAAGCCATGAATAGTGCGCTGTGTCTAGAGAACAATTGTGTGAGATAAAAGCAAGATGTAGAGTCTTGACCCCAGGATGAGGTGTTTGAACTTGAATTAAGTAGACCCATGGAGAACCACTGGTATATATTTTTCTAAGGCAGGAAGTTACCTCTTTAACTCCGTCATTTGTAAATATGGCTAATGTTACTATCACATTGATAGGATGTTTAAAGAATAAATTAAAGAAAGCATTAAAATGTGCAATGCAGTGCCTGGAACATAGTAAGTCCTCAATAAATGATTCTAATAGGTGTGATTGTTGTTACTAAATAAGCAGAGGGAGGCTGGAGCTTTTTTCTTCCCCGTCATTTTCAGGTATTCTTTCTCTCCGACGATAGGGAATCTAGGGCTAAATTTGGGAGTTTAGCTTTTAGGTTTCCCACGCCTGGAAAGCCTGCCTGTTGATAGTCTTCATTATAGTTTTTGTAACCAGTGAAGACCCCGCCTCCAAAAAGCAAACTGTGCCCCTCGACCTTGCTTTGCTGGAACCCTGTGAGATCACTGGTAAGCAGTGTGCACTCCTCATGTCCCCTCTACCACGTTGCCTTTTTCAGGAGGCAGTCATCACAAACGCCTAGCAGGATTTATTACTCAGAGGGGACTGAAGAAATGCTCTAGCTGCTTGAGCGTGACTTCTTCCTCATTCTTTCTTATTACTATCTGTGATTTACATGAAGTGACACAATTTATATTTTGATACAGTTAAAAATTTCCTCTGTAGAATAAGATGTATTGCAACAGCTTGTAATTATAGCCGGTCAGTTTTCCTGAGTGGAAATTTGACATCTGAGTCCATTGGGATGAAAAGAGCAGAAAGGAGGAAGATAACATGAGATAAACGTTCCCACTAATATTGTGTGTTTTGATTTTCGAGAGTACACCACGCTCAGTGCTGGAGGTGAAGATTTGGAAGGCTCCAACATATAGATGAAAACTGTGCTTACTATGAAGCGCTTGGACTGAGAATGAGATGACCATTTTTATGTGATCCATTTTATTCAAATGGAATACAACATCACCCTGAGCAATGCTCTTCCTATTTTTAAAGCTATTTTCCACACATGACTATCTGGCTCATGCTATCCTCTCCATAGCCAAAAGGGCTTTCTGCTCCTGAAGACATACACTTGAGTGGAGAAGAGGAATAGAAAATAAAATTTCTGGAGCACCTACTATATGCCAGGCATATTACTATTAATAACCTTATTTGTTATTCACAGCAATACTGTGACATATTAGAACCCCCATTTGATATAGAAGACAAAAACTGAGCTTCTGAGAAGACTTGTCTAAGGTCACAGTCAGTGAGTGAGTAGAGTTGGGATTTTAAACTCAGGTCTTCTGATTCCTTTCTCATCCCACTCTCTGCCCCTTCCTACAGTTAAAAACATCTTCAGAGTGATTAAAGTGTCAACCTATACTCAAATACAATAGCAGTCCCCATTCTTTTTGACACCAGGGACCGGTTTCATGGAGGACAATTTTTCCATGGACTGTGGGTGGGATGAAGGTGGGATGGTTTTGGGATGAAACTGTCCCACCTCAGACAGATTCTCACAAGGAACGTGCAACCTTGATCCCTCGCACGTGCGGTTCACAATAGGCTTTGCGCTTCTGTGAGAATCTAATGCCACCGCCGATCTGCTGAGCTGACAGGAGGCAAAGCTCAGGTGGGAACACTTGCTCCTCGGCTGCTCACCTCCTGCCATGTGATCCAGTTCCTAACAGGCCAGGGACAGGTATCGCTCTGCAACCCGGGGCTTGGGGACCCCTGAGAAACAACATAACAAGTTTGTTTTGCTTAGTACACGTTAACACACAAAACAAGTGTTTTGTATGACTTCTAGTCTCAGCTTCTGGTTCCCTCTAACTACTATCCCTGGCTTTTGTGCAGTTCTCTTTCTGTTTGGTCCCTTCTGATCACTAAACCAACAAGCGTTGGAGTAAAGGGCAAAAATGTTAACCTCAGAGTTTCCTGAATTCTATCTCTAGGATTCTATTGTTTTGTCTCCCTCAACCTCTCCTGAATAGAGAACGTTGAATTTCCTTCTGTTCAGAGTTTTTTGTGGCTGTTGCTGTCAACCTCTGCCATCTCTAACTCTTCTCAAACTTCCTCATGCTTCCTGGCTTCAGTTGCTCTGAAAATCCTGAGTTCTTTCCCTTCTTCCTACCGTAAGGTTATCAGCCCACTAGGATCTTTTTTTTCCAGGGTCACAGGTGTCATCTTTTGAACAAGTCAGTACTGTCTTAGAGATAACATAATTGTAGTTCTTTACTCTGGCCCCATTTGGACCAAGATTTCTCTGATCCTTTTGGGAAAATATCTCGTTTGTTTCATTCATGCAACTAAAATAAATAAGATATTAAAAAATTGAGAAAATAAAAGTCGAAATTTTGTATGTTAAATATTAACCCATTAAAAGCCAGGAATTTTGATTTTCATGTTGTGTATTCTACCACTCCTGTTTCTCTATCCCATATTTGTAATGCAAGAACAAAGAAGAAAAAAGAGAACGTGCTTAGAAATGAATAGGCCCAACATAGGCTCATAATAGTTGGTGCTTTGGATTAGTCTCTCTCAACCTCACAAAACAATTTTACTAAACTCTCAAATCTCCGGTCTTACCCAAGGCTTTCATGCTTTAGTTGATGTGATGATTCAACATTTTCTCCCTTCAAGTTTCTCAACATCCCTTTGTGTCTTTGAGCTTTTAAAACTAATTCTGTCTAATCGCACTTAACAGAATAATCATGATGGAGAATAGGTTTCTTAAGTCAGAGTTATGATTCTGGGGATAAGTCAGTCATTAACAAAGGGCCGTCTGCAGTCAGGTCTCTGGGCACATCCCACTTTTCATGGAAGGCCTTTGATAGAAAAGGTGGAACTTTCTTAACTACAGAGCTTAATGTTGTTGAGTAATCTTTCTAGTTTCTCAATTGGATTCTAACAGGTCTAAAATGCTGTAATTCTCTGACTGCCATCTCCAAAGCTCAGATATAATTTTTTTCTCATAATCCACTATGGTGATTAATGAAAGGGAGTAAGTGAACATTCTGTACAAATGGCTCACTAAATAATCTAATTTTTCAAAGGCAGTAAGAGTATAACAGTTAGGGTCCCGCAGAAGATGAGAACCAAACCCTTTCTTTTTCTATTGAATAAAATTCATAAGAATAATTTTTAAGCTGTTCACTAGGTAAAAAAAGAGGACCCTAAAATACCACAAATGTGGAAACTGCAGAAAGCCCTAGTTTTCCAGGGAAGCTTTAAAGGCCTAGCTTTAAATGCAGGAGGCAAGGAATTAAACCTTAGAGAGGGAGATGTCCTGTAGCGCTGAAACTGTTGTTTTAAGAGAGGACTGGTTGGTCCTGGTGACCCTGGAAAGGAGACAATGAAGCTGGTTCTTCAAGTGTTGAGAAAACTGCAAACTGAATTCGTGTGCTGCCATGGGCAGGATCTGCACCTGCTGGAGTGAGAAGTGTGACTTGGGGCGATTATCCTGGGATCTGCTTAGCATACAGGAAGTCCCAAATGGAGCAGAAGGAAGGAACAAATCCTGCCTTCCTATTCCAGCTTTGCAGTTTTCCTCTGTCACCCCCTAGTAGAAAAGCCTAACAGAACTGCGGTCAAAGCCACAGTGTGTTTTGCAGAGTACAGAAGGGAGGCCTTGAAGCCGAGAAATAGGAACATAATGGGCACAAAGAGGAACTTATTCTGAAGCCCACAGCTGCCCAAGGAGATATCCTTGGATCTACTGAATCTCCCAACACCAATCTTTACTTCCAATTCCTTAACTTCATGGTCTCATCATGAATTTTGGGGTCAGAGTTGGGTTTGTATTTCTGTTTTTTACTTATGAATAAACTATTGAACCGCCTTTAGGTTTGATTTCCTCATCTACAAAGGTAAGGTAACAGTATCTATTTTACAGGATTGATGTAAGTATTCAATGAAATTAGGTTAATATGAAGCTTACTTAGCTTGGGGTATAACATACGGCAGTAGCCCCCAACCTTTTTGGCACGAGGGACTGGCTTCATGGAAGACAATTTTTCCATGGACCAGGGAGGTGGGTAGGATGGTTCAGGATGATTCAAGGGCATTACATTTATTGTGCACCTTATTTCTATTATTATTATAGTGTAATATATAATGTAATAATTATACAACTCACCATAATGTAGAATCAATGGGAGCCCTGAGCTTGTTTTCCTGCAACTAGATGGTCCCACCTGCGAGTGATAGGAGATAGTGACAGATCATCAGGCATTAGAGTCTCATAAGGAGCCCACAACCTAGATCCATCACATGCGCGGTTCACAATAGGGTTTGCGCTTCTATGAGAATCTAATGCCACAGCTGATCTGACAGGAGACAGAGCTCAAGCAGTAATGCTTCTGGCCAGTGGCTCACCTCCTGCTGTGCTGCCTGGTTCCTAATAGGCCACAACTGGTACCGGTCCACTGCCCAGGGGTTGGGGGCCCCTGCCTTAATAGATTGCTCCTGTGCACATCCAGCCTTATAGTTTGGTGGGTAGATAACACCCAGCTAAGCATGAGAAGCTCAGGTTGCACAGTCATTCCATTTTTTCCAGTTCTTGCCCACTAGCAAGCCGGAAGTAGTTTATCAAAAGGACAGTAGTTATTTTCAGAGGAGGGCATGGATTTTCTCCAAAACCTTATAAGTCTGACCTGTAATTCTTCTATTGATGCTTGCCAGAGGCTATATACGGTGAGCGTGTGTTTTCCATAGACACTTCAAATATGGTTGGATGTGCTGGATTATAAGGCTCAAATGAAATAGCAGCTTGAATTATAGCTGGGACTTTTCTTTCTTTCTTCTTCTTCTTTTTTTTTTTTTTTTTTTTTTATGGAGTCTTGCTCTGTCACCCAGGCTGGAGTGCAGTGGCGTGATCCGGGCTCACTGCAAGCTCTGTCTCCCAGGTTCAAGCAATTCTCCTGCCTCAGCCTCTCAAGTAGCTGGGATTACAGGTGCGTGCCACCACGCCCATAGCTGGGACTTTTCTTTAGAGCCTTCTCTTGCTCTTGCCCTAAAACCTAGCAGCATTTTGAGTTATTCATTAAGTGGGTTGAAATAACACACTCAAATATGGCATATGTTGACCCCAAAATACAAAAATGCCCACCAAGAGTTGTGCCTTTTTAGCTGAAGTTAGCTTAAAATACAGCAGTTTTTCTTTCACCTTGGAAAGGATATGTCAGTGTGTTCCAGACAATTTGACTTCAAGAAACTTCATTGAGGCTGTGAGCTTTTTAATTTTTGTAGAGTTTGTTTCTTGCCCTGGAGTTCATTAATGTTTTACCAAGTCCTCTAAGGTACTTGTTACTTCCTGCTCATCAAATGTCACCAGCAAGATGTCATTGATGTAGTGGACTGTTATGATGTTGTATGGAAAGTCAAGATGATTAATAGCATGAGTATATTAGGACAGAGAGCAGGATAGTTGACATAGCCCTGAGGCAATGCTTGGAAGGTTACTGTTGGCCATGCCAGGTCAAAGAAAAGTACTTCTGGCTGCCCTGATACAGAGAAAAATGCATTTTCTTGTCAATAGCTGCATACCAGGTGCCAGGGGCTGTCTTAATTTGCTCCATTCAAGATACAACATTTGGGACATCATCTCCAGTTGAGGTCATCACCTGAATTCATTTAAAATAATAATACATAATTGTTCTGTTATACTCCAGGGTTTATCTGCTTTGTCTACGGGATAAACAAGCTCAATGGGGAGATGGTAGGTATCACAACCCAGCTTTTTCCAAGTCTCTGATAATGGCACCCATCTTCAAAATTTTCCCATCAATATAGTATTATTTTTTATTTACTATTCTTGTATCAAGGAAACTTCTGGGGGCTTCAACTTGGCCCTTTTTTACCAAATGAGCTTTATTCCTCAGTGCCAATGTGGGGATTCTGCCAGTTGTCAAACATGATTATTCCAATTATACATTCACAAATTGGGGAATTGTCCTGCAGGCCCACTGGGTCCACTGTGATTCAAACGTAGACCAAGATTCTAACTATCATCTGGCCACCAAAAGTCACCACTTTTTTTTGGAGGACCAGTGGCATTTGGGTCTCTAGAAATTAGTGTCAACTTAGTGTCTAATAGTTCCTGTGATTGGCAGAATTTCAGCCTCCAAGGCCTCTGAGCCCTTGTGTCATGACCCAAGGTCATGTACCTTCAACCCTAGGGTCAGTAGCTGCTTCCTGTAGTTGCTACTTCCATGTTCAAATAATTGGCATGGATTTTGTCTCCTCACTAGATGCTGACTGATAGAAAAGTTGTTACCAGGAGTGGTCCTGGAAAGTAGACCTTCATAGATGGGACTTGGGGATGTTATGTAGCATGTCTGCTACATAACAAAAGGGACATTTCAAATGTAATTAAGGTTACTAATCAGTGGACTTCAAGATAGTGACAATAGCCTGAATTATCCAGGTGTGTCCAGTGTAATTATATGTGCCGTTAAAAGCGGAACATTTTTTTCCCAGCTGACAGCAGAAGAGGATATTGGAGAGGGAAGTGGGGGTAGGGTAGGAAATCAGAGATTCAAAGTATAACATGAACTTGACCTACCACTGCTGGTTTGAAGATGGAGGGGACTATATGAAAACATGAGAAAGAAATGAATCCTGCCAACAAAACAATTCCTGGAAGAAGACTGAGCCTCAGATGAGGACCAGCTGATACTTTGGTTTTATTCCTGTAAGACCAAGAGCAAAGAATCTCACCATGCCCTGCTGTACTCCTGACCCACAAAATCTGTGAGATAATACATTTGTGTTGTTTTAGGTTGCCAATTTTATGGTAATTTGTTAGAGGAGCATTTGGAAACTAATACAATCCCCTGAATATCTGAGTATAGATATCAACCAACATTTTAATAGGCTTCCCCTTAATTTCATTCCAAGGATACCATAATAAACTATCTACTGACAGATCCCTGTGGGTCAAAGCATTCTGGCTACCACTATATCTCTGTTTCTCTTTACAGTGAATGTACAGTTGTCTCTCAGTGTACTGGGTGGGGGGGATTGGTTCCAGGCCTCCTGCATATACAAAATCTGCACATATTCAAGTCTCACGCTCAGCCCTGTGGAGTGTTTATGAAAAGTTGGCCCTCCATATATGCAAGTTTTGCATCTTGAGAATACTGTATTTCAATCAGTGTTTGGTTGAAAAAAATCTGCGTGTAAGTGGACCCATGTAATTCAAACAGGCCAACTGCACTTACTTTTACTTTGGTAGTCAAGTTTTGTGACTTAGCTTCCAGTGCTCTGAGATCCTATTATCTCTACTGAAATCAAGGAGAGGGAGTATCTCCACCATCATATCTAGGCTACTGCAAGAGTCCCCCATGAATATAAAATCCTTGAGTGAAGGCAGTTTTCTCTGGGACTTTTGGGAAGTTACTTGGTGCTGCGTATGTGTGCAGTGTAACATGATAAATCTTCTCCAAAATTCCTATCTCCTTAAGTCTTTGATTCCTTTCCTTTATGTTATGTCAAAAAAGTCCTGACATCTGAGCATCAGTAAACATAGGCCATGGTTGATTTCAAGTTTAAACAAACAAATCAAATAATTCTTTGTACAAAAAATTTACATCCAGAATCTTTAAGTGTAACCACGTCATTTAGGCATTCCATATAAGCAACTTCCCCAAGTGAGACTATAAGAGTGTCATATTCCATCTTCTTTGGTTTACTACCCCAAAAATACACTTACACATATTCCTCAGGTTTCTGCTAATATATAATAATACAATAATGTTTTTTAAAAATACACTTTATTTCCAGAGTAGTTTTGAGTTCACAGCAAAATCGAGCACACAGGTTTCCTATATACCCTGTTTTCACACATGTGTAGCTTCCCCCATTATCAGCATCCCCCACTAGAGTGATACATTTTTTACAACTGATAAATCTACATTGACACATAATCACCCAGAGTCCATAGTTTTCATTTGGGTTCACTTTTGTTGTTGTTCATTTTATGGGTTTGGATAAATACATAATTTGTACCCACCTTATAGTATCATACAGAATAGTTCCACTGCGCTAAAATCCTTTTTTTGTTGTTCCTATTCCACCCCTTTTACCCCAACCCCTGGCAACCACTCATTTTTTTAGTCTCCATAGTTTTACTTTTTTCAGAATGTCATATACTTGGAGTCATACAGTATTTAGCCTTTTCAAATGGCTTCTTTCATTTAGTCATATGCATTTAAATCTCATCTATGTCTTTTCATGACTTGATAACTCATTTCTTTTCAGTACTAAATAGTATTTCATTGTCTGGATGTACCACAGTTTATCCATTCTCCTACTGAAGGGCATCTTGATTGTTTTCAAGTTTGGGCAATTATGTATAAAGCTACTTTAAACATCCATATGCAGGTTTTTGAGTGGACATATGTTTTCAACTTTTTAAGGTATATACCAAGTTGTATGCTTGCCAGATTGTATGGTAAGAATATGTTTAGTTTTGTAAGAAAACATCAAACTGTCTTCCAAAGTGGCTGTACCATTTTCCATTCCCACCAGCAATGAATGAGAACTCCTGTTGCTCCATATTCTTGTCAGCATTTGGTGTTGTCAGTATTCTGGATTTTGGCCTATTGCATGTTTTTTCATGTATGAGCTATTTTTCCTGGATCATACATTGTATTTGCCCTATGGAGCATCTGAAATGTGATCAGAAATACAGGACTAGTAGGAAAAATTTATAGTTATGGTGGCTATTCAGCACAATAGGCATTCCATATAAGTACATTTCCCAAGTGAGGTTATTAGAGGATTTTCCAGCAGTGGACAGCTGTTCTCATCAGACTCAGGAGGGAAATCTATTTTTACTGGTAGAGGAGGCTCAGAATGACTTGGAGATTCAAGATCTTCAGTCCCCTTTGAGTTCAGACAGAAATCCTTATGCCAGGTTTCAATTCTAAAACTTCTTCTTTATCAATTCCCTAACTTTCACATGACAGTCTTGTTGAAGCTGTGAATTCAGCTTAACTTTCAATTATGCAACTCACACAATTAAATTTAGTTAGTGTTTAATATGGGGCAGTATCAGTCCTGTGGCTATAACAAACAAGTTATTATTTTAGGGCTGCTGCTGAATCTTTTCTGTATCTCTGATTATGACCTGACCTGAGATATTAAGGTCTTGAATTTGCCATTTTTCTTTCTGAAAGCACACAGTACACTCAGAAGACATCCTCCACAACAATGCTTATAATCATCATGACTGTCTTAATAGTCAAGAGCAGCAGCAACTTGAGCCCCCAAGCCACTTATTTCAATAGGTGCTTTATTTAAACAACAAAAGTAATAATGGTGATGTTATTGCATGCAATGCATTTCATTTTTTATTGGCAAGGAGTTTAACACTGGGTTCAAGCTCAGGGACTTTACCAAAGCAATCCCCAAGTCCCATCTATGAAGGTCTACTTTCCAGGGCCACTCCTGGTAACAACTTTTCTATCAGTCAGCATCTAGTGAGGAGACAAAATCCATGCCAATTATTTGAACACGGAAGTAGCAACTACAGGAAGCAGCTACTGACCCTAGGGTTGAAGGAACAAGGAAGAGTTAGGAGTTATTAAAATGTGTAAGTTTAGAGGCTGGGTCCTGCAGAACTGACAGTCATATTTTTTCTTGACATATTCTGATGGCTCTGAACTTGGAGGATAGTCCCAGTGGACCTGACTCAGAATTCTGAGGATGGGGTGCTGGCTGGCTGGAGCAAGGCCTAATATGGAGAGCTGGAAAAGCAACAATGTGGCTTGCAGATTTCATCACTAACATCATAAAGCTGAGTATCGTAGGGAGGATGTGGAGTTCTGAGACCACAACTTAACCAGCAGCACAGAGTAACTTATTCTGAAGCCCACAGTCTCTGAAATAGCCGTCTTTAAATCTTACAAACTTTCCCACACGTTTCTTTATATCTATTTTCTTAATTTCATTCTCTCCATAAATTTTGGAGTCAGACAGAGTTGCATTCAGATTTCAGTTTTGTTTCTAAACTTATGAGCTATGTGACTGTAAGCAAGCTATTTAACTTCTTTTAGACTTACTTATCTACAAGCCAGGATCACAATATCTATTTCACAGGATCAGTATAGATGTTATGTGAAGCAAAGTTCGCATGATGTGTACCTGGCACATGCACAGCATATGGTACTAACAAGGCCACGCTGGTTCACCTCCTTTCCCTTCAGGTGTGTCTTCTCCATCACTCTTCCTCCTTTTCTTTCAGCCTCTCATACCTAGCCTTTTTCACTGTGTCTTCTCTCTGTCTTTTCTCCTATATTTTGTTCTCTTCTCCCCCTTTTCATTCTTGTCTCCATCCTTCGATACCTTAATTCATCTTGCTTCATCCCTTTCGTTGTCCACCTACCCTTACATGGCCAATGATCCTCAATAAAAGAAAAGCTCCCACATTTGCTTTCGACTTGGAAATATGTGTCTTTTTACCATTACTTAACTTTTTAATGCACTTTATGTCTTCTTTGGTGTCATATATAGGAAATTGCCATTTTGAGAGCTTGCTGCAGTTTATTGCATAGTGTAATGGAGTGCAGTAGCATGATCTTAGCTCACTGAAACCTCTGCCTCCTGGGTTCAAGCGATTCTCCTTCCTCAGCCTCCCAAGTAGCTGGGACTACAGGTGTGCACTACCACGCCCAGCTAATTTTTTTTTTTTTTTTTTGTATTTTTAGTAGAGACAGGGTTTCACCATGTTGCCCAGGCTGGTCTCAAACTCGTGAGCTCAGGTAATCCACTCACCTCAGCCTCCCAAAATGCTAGGATTACAGGTGTGAACCACTGCTCTTGGCCTCAAGTAGACATTCTTGAATTATAAGCAGTTAAACCAGGTGATGTACAAGTGAAAACAAAGACAATGGTTTCTTTGCCTAGTATATAATATTTATTAAGAAATGACAGAAGACATTGTATCACAGATATAACTGAAATATCCAGCAGGCAAGATCATTATGATCCAAAAACCAAGGGATGGATCAGATGTTAAAATGTGGAAAGTCCAGCCTACTTCTTAGAAGCTGAATGTTGGGTGATGAGCTTCCATTCTCTCTGGTGACTTGAGGAATGTCACTTGGCTATAATTTGGTGTCTTTGATGTTGCAAAAAATTTTAGGTAAACAAGATAAAATAGATTATAAAGCATGGAAACATTAGACTTGTGGATAGTTCTCATGGATAAATTCCACAACATGTCAGTAATTTTTAATCCTGCAGAAATATCAGAAATAGTATATCCCAAGCAAATTGATGATCAGCAGGTGGCTTTGTAGCATTTCTGTGTCCCCAGTGAAGGGTCAAGGTATTCATTGTAGAATGGAATCAGATAGAATTGTGAGCTCATATACTTAGTAGTCTCCATCACAAGCAATGCAAAGTCTGAGAACTTGTTAGTGGTCCAGAGGTGGTCAAGGGATGAACAGTTCAGAGACACTGTGACCTAGGCAATTGAAAATAAGCAAACTGGCTTTCAGCAAGTGGGCTCACAGCAGCAGACTGGGCGGCAGCAGGACTGTCCACAGTAGGACGGGCGGCAGCAGGAGGCCTGGGCATGGTGCAGTTGGCAGCAGGATGGGGGCGTGCAGCTCACCACACAGCAGGGGGGTAGGTAGGTGCCCTCCACACGACTGTCTGGGCGGCACCACCTGATACGGGTGCTCACAGCTCCACTGCTGCCCTCCTGGCCATAGCTGATGCCACCACCAATGCCACAGCCAGTTCCGCAGGAGCTGATCTGGCAGCAGCTTGGCTGGCAGCAGCTGGTCTCACAGCAGCTTGGCTGGCAGCAGCTGGTCTCACAGCAGCTTGGCTGGCAGCAACTGGAGCTGCAGGTCCCACTGGTTGAGAAGCTGGGAAATCCGCAGAAGCTAGTCTGGCAGCTGCGTGGCTGGCAGCAGCTGGTCTCACAGCAGCTTGGCTGGCAGCAGCTGGAGCCACAGGTCCCACTGATGGAGAAGCTGGGATATCCACAGAAGCTGGTCTGGCAGCAGGTCATGGTGTCAGAAGTTGGGTTAAGAGTTAGGTTGCTTGGAGGAGTTTCTGAGGTTTGGTGGTGACTTCCACGTTGGTCCTTTTATATATCTGAACCAGCTGCTGTTTACAAAATTGTTAACATATTTTCTTTGTTTTTGTTTAAATTTGTTACTCCGTGGATCTCTGATTGGCTTATGTTGAAATACTTGTGACACATTATGAGCAATAGTTTAGAAATTACTGTTTTATAGTTTCTTCTGGACTCCTCATATCAGTCCTTTGCTCTTTGGAATATGTTTGTGGTTTCCCATGTTCAAAGAGTACTTCCATTTTAGTCCAAATGAATGCTCTCATTTTACATAATAGTTATTCCACGTGACAATCTATCCATACCTCTAAGGCTAAGAGTAATAATTGTGCTGTTATATTTAACTATTATTTTTTCCTCCTAGATATATAGACTAAATTTTATTGAATTTTGGATATCTGGATATCTACTGAACTGAAGGAATACCTTTGGTCATACATAATTCGCAGATTTCACCTTTTTTTGTTCCAATGTCTTATTGAATTACCGATTATAGTTCCTTTGATTTCAACCAATTTGGAATGTGTGACTATTATTCCTGTTCCAGACCAGAAATCTGTTCTTGGGAACCAAACTGACATAGTATTTAGGAAGGTATCCAGCAGAGTCCTTAGTTTGTGGTAGAACCTTAATAAATGTTTACTGAATCTGATTCAATAAATGTTTATTGAATAGGTGGAGTAAAAGGCTTGATTCATGGATATCAATACCACTCAAACATGATTAAAGAGAACTTTCAAGCTGTAGTACTTCTCATGAAAGAGTCTTGTTATTTGCTGTAAAGAGACTAGGAAATGTGTTTTTTGGTTTATTTTATTTTATTTTTTGGATTTAGTAGTGGAACCGGGCTCGGGAAAAAATATCTAGGAGTTATGACACTTTGAAAAATGTACTGCCATCTACTTTATTCCTCTTGGAAATTGCATAATTTTGTGTGTAATCCATCATTGCTACCAATTAAATATAGAGGTAAGTTCTGGGAGCTTGTAAATAATGTGGAAAACGTGTTTCTTTCTATATTTGCATCCTATTGTATTTTGTGTATTACACTCTAATGCCTAATGAAGAATTTAAAAATTAAATGGTAAAATATGTTTTGTTTTGTTCTAGGTTGTGTTAATTTTTTTTTTTGAGACAGAGTCTTGCTTGTTGCCCAGGCTGGAGTGCAGTGGCGTGATCTTGGCTCACTGCAAGCTCTGCCTCCCAGGTTCACGCCATACTCCTGCCTCAGCCTCCCAAGTAGCTGGGACTGCAGGCACCCACGACCACACCTGACTAATTTTTTTTTTGTATTTTTAGTAAAGACTGGGTTTCACCATATTAGTCAGGATGGTCTCAATCTCCTGACCTCGTGATCCACCCATCTCAGCCTCCCAAAGTGCTGGGATTACAGGCGTAAGCCACCGTGTCCAGCGTGTTAACTTCTTAAGAGAATATCTTTTAAGTTGGGTTGCAAAGTGCAAAATATAATCGAGCTGTTTCAGATTTCTAACACTTCTGTCTGACAAATGGCAATGGTAGAACTCAGCGGGTGCTCTCTATAGCTGTTTCTTCTACTATCATTTAGACCAAAGATACACCTTATGCATACGTACATCAAATGAAGGTGAATAGTGGGAGTTGAAGCTTAGAGAGCAATTCAAGGATCAGTGGGAAGAATGTGAAAGGCTAAGGTGTAGAAATTAAACCTAAATTCTCTTGGAAAATAGGTAGTATCTAGTAGCTATTTTTAAATCTATTTAGAAGGTAATGCAATTTCTTTAGATTTTGGGGCATAAATGAAGGAGAACATTTAGTATATTAAATGGAAGGAGACAAAAGATGGTAGAATTACATTTAGATAGAAATCAATAGCTTTGATCAACCTTAACATTTTAGCTAAAGGTCAACCTTTATTGGTCTAGACCTAATCATAATAGATTAGAGCATGTAAATATTTGAACTATAAAAATTCTTTAATTCATGGAGCATTTTTAAGCTGATGGATTCAAGCATAATTTACTTTGTATTTAATCTTTCTGGTTTAGACTTTATGGTTATGCCTTGGTATTATTATCAAATTGCAAATCCACTCTTGAATACCAGCTACAAGAAGACATGTTTAAAGGTAGAAGGAGGACATAACTCAGTTTGCTTTGCACATTAAAACATTTTATTTGGATTAATCAGAGATATTCAAGGAAAAACCAGGTCTGAAGATGCATGAGCATCAAGAGAGAGTTGGGGGAGCAGAGATGTCACTGAAATGATGAACTATTCCATCCTGGTCCTCTGCTCAAGCAACGCAAGCTATCCAGAACACTGATTGATACATCTTTCAGTAAGTGAATTCGGCACATCCACAGTGTCCTAACTAGGAGTTTCATTATCTCTGAGCAGCTTAACAACATCATGGTACTTAGCATCCAAGTAAAATCGAACAGTTCTTCAGAAATCAGCACAATTTTGCTGTGCTTCCCCTTTCATTCTTAAGCGATCAGCAACCTGGCTTTTAGCAGGTGGGCTCACAGCAGTGGCAGCAGCAGGCTGGGCGGCAGCAGGACTGTCCACAGTAGGACGGGCGGCAGCAGGAGGCCTCGGCGTGGTGCAGCTGGCAGCAGGATGGGGGTGTGCAGCTTACCAGGTAGCAGGGGGGCAGGCAGGTGCCCTCCACGTGGCAATCTGGGTGGCACCACCTGATACGGGTGCTCACAGATCCACCGCTGCCCTCCTGGCCATAGCCAATGCCACCACCAATGCCACAGCCGGTTCCGCAGGAGCTGGTCTGGCAGCAGCTTGGCTGGCAGCAGCTAGTTTCACAGCAGCTTGGCTGGCAGCAGCTGGAGCCACAGGTCCCACTGGTGGAACAGCTGGCCATGGTGTCAGGAGTTGGGTTGAGAGCTGTGTTAAGAGAGGTTTCTGAGTTTGGGCTGTACCTTCTATATCTGTCCTTTGATATGTTCCCTAGAGCTGCATATTTACCCAACACCTTTTCTTGATGTCAATTTCAGTGTGAGTCTCTGGCTAATACCTGAGGTGTTTATAAAGTTATAAATAGCATTTCAATAGCCTTTTTCCATTGTACAATTAAGTCTCATTATGTTTCTTCTTTGCCCTCTGGGCGAAGTGAAGGCTCATCATGGAAGCCAAGCACCGAAGTGCCTCTTTATGCAAGTCACATGACAGACTAGCCTTGAGCCAAGTGTCGCCCTGGCACGTTTTGTCATAGTTGTCCTTTGATAACCTTTAGGCAGAATTTATCTTAACTGATCATTTTTCCTTAAATGGTCACTTAACTATGATCATGATTTTATAAACAATTTGTCCAGACTTGGAAAGACTAACATTAGTGTCATCAAAACATGAACTACAACCTGATGTATCAACTTTCAAACCAAGTATGCCTTTCTATGATCAATTTGTGCAAGTTATAGGATCCTCAGAGCTCTATCTAATATTCTTGCCTTCAGTAATAGTGAATGTACAAATTGCTAACTAAAATCTTTAATGACTTTTGCTTGTAGATTGTTTTCTGACTCTATTAAATTAAACATATGTGCTAGTAATGAGTACACATTGTAACAAGTCAAAGAGTACAGAGGTATATAAAGAAAAATTAGTGTCTTTTCCCTTCCTGGAAGATGCACACATCTCTTCCAAAACTAATGCTCTAGAGGTAATCAATATTAAGAATTTGGTGCACATTCTTTGACACCTTTATCCTTGCTTCTGCAAATATAAACCAGCATATATACATATATATCTTCTATTTCAGAAAAGTTTGGGTCTCCTACACATGTTTATAGTTACAAATTTTTAATTGTGGTAAAATATACATACCATAAAATTTATGAACCATTTACATTAACCATCTTAACCATTTGTAAATAGTCTTGTCACCCTTGTTGAAAATCATTTGACCACATTCACATTCAGAAGAAATGAAATTAGACCATTGTCTCACATTATATACAAAAACCAACTTAGAATGGATTAAAAGACTGAAATGTAAGAAAGACTCAAAATGATAAAACTATAAGAAGAAAACAGAGGAAACTCCATGACTTTTGCCTGGCCAATATTGTGATATTGTGAACATGAATCCAAAAGCATCAGCAAAAATAGACAAGTGGGATTACATCAAACTAAAAAGCTTCTGCACAGCCAATAAAACACTAAACTGAGTGAAGACGCAAACCGCTGAATGGGAGAAAATATTTATAAACCACATATCTGATAAAGGGTTAATATCCAAAGTATAGAGGAAACTCAAACAACTCAATACCTGTAGTAAGAAAACAAATAACGTAATTGAAAAATGGGCAAAAAATCTAAATAGACATTTCTCAAAAAAAATCTACAAATTGCCAACAGGTATATGAAAAATTTTCAAAATCACCAATCATCGGATAATGCAAATTGAAACCACAATGAGATATCGTCTCACACATATTAGATAGTTATTATCAAAAAGACAAAAGATAGCAAGTGTTGGAGAGGAAGTGGAGAAAAGAGAACTCTGGCACACTGTTGGTGGAAATGTAAATTAGTACAGCCATTATGGAAAACAATATGAAGGTTCATCAGAAAATTAAAAATAGAACTGTCATATAATCAAGCAATCCCACTTCTGTGTATATACCCGAAGGAAAGTAAATCAGTATTTTGAAGAGACATCTGCATTCCCATGTTCATTGCAGCATTACTCACAATAGCCAAGATATGGAAGCAACCTAAGTGTCCATGTCCATCATTAAATGAGTGGATAAAGAAAATGTGATACACACACACATACACACACACACACTCACACACTGGAATATTATTGGTCATAAAAGAAGGAAATCCTGCTATTTGGGGCAACAGATTAAACTTGAGAACATTATACTAAGTGAAATAAGTCAGACAAAGAAAAAGACTAATATTGCACTTTCTCACTTACAAGTGGAACTTAATGTAAATGACAAGTTATTGGGTGCAGCACACCAACATGGCACATGTATACATATGCAACAAACCTGCAAGTTGTGCACATGTACCCTAGAACTTAAAGTATAATAAAAACAAAAAAACCTCAAAAAAAAGAAAAAGTTGAATTCATGGAAGTAGAAAGTAGAATGGTGGTTACCGGGGGTAGGGTGGTGGTGGAGTGTGTTGGGAAGATGTTGGTCAAAGGATTACAAAATTTCAGTTAGATAAGAGGAATAAATTCAAGAGATCTATTGTACAACATAGAGACTATAGTTCATAACAATATGTTACAGTCCTGAAAATTGCTAAGAGAGTAGATTTTGTGTTTTCACTACAAAAAAACTTATGTGAGGTAATGCATATGTTAATTAGTTTGATTTAGCCATTGTACGAAGTATACATATTCCAAAAAAATGTGTTGTACACAATAAATACATATAATTTTTGTCAATTCAAATAAATAAATAAATGAACTCATTTAACCATATGTGTATTTGAGGGTTTATTTCTAGGCTCTCTGTTCTTTTCCATTGCTTTATATATCTGTCTTTATATCAGTATCACACTGTTATGATTACTGTAGCTTTACAGTAAATTTTGAAACAGGAAAATGTGAGACCAACTTTGTTCTTTTTTAAGATTGTTTTGGCTATATAGGACCCCTTCTAATTTCATATGTATTTTAGGATGGATTTTTTTAAAATTTCTGCAAAAACATCATTGGGATTTTTATAGGGATTGCGTTAAATCTGTAGATTCTCTGGGTAGTATTGACATCTTAACAATATTAAATCCTATAATCCATGATCTCAGGATGTCTTTTCATTTATTTGTGTCTTCTTTAATTTCTTTCAGTAACATTTTGTAGTTTCTGGTGTACGAGTCTTTCCCCTCCAAGGCTAAGTTTGTTCCTAAGTATTTTATTCTTTATTTTATTATTATTATTATTATTTGAAATGGAGTCTCACTCTGTCACCCAGGCTGGAGTGAAGTGGCACAATCTTGGCTCACTGTAACCTCCACCTCCTGGGTTCAAGCAATTCTCATGCCTCAGCCTCCCCAGTAGCTGGGACCACAGGCATCCACGAACATGCCTGGCTAATTTTTGTATTTTTAGTAGAGACAGGGTTTCACTATATTGGCCAGGCTGGACTTGAGCTCCTAACCTCAGGTGATCTGCCCACCTCAGCTTACCAAAGTGCTGGGATTACAGGCATGAGCCACCATGCCCGGCCATAAGTATTTTATTCTTTTGATGGAATTGTTTTTAAAATTTTCCTTACAGATTTTTCATGGTTAGTATATAGAAATGCAATTTATTTTTTTTAGTAGAGATGGGGTTTCACCATGTTGGCCAAGCTGATCTCAAACTCCCGACCTCGTGATCTGTCTACCTTGGCCTCCCAAAATGCTGGGATTACAGGTGTGAGCCACCGTACCCAGCCAGAGATTTTGATTTCTGTAACTTCCTGGTTGTGAAAGCACTGTGTAAGGTTAAGTTATGGTAACAGAGCCTTTGCCATTTCTGAGGCCCTAAATAACTACACTTACTCTATGTTTTTATGGTCATTAACCTCCACTGGACCTCTGGATAACAAATTTCCTAATGTGGTATTAGAAGAGAAGGGATATCAAAAGCAGATTAAAGTTTTTCATATGACATTCTATGAAATATACATCCTGAGTACACTCAATGAAAAAAAAAAGATATGTTTGTTGCACCAATAGTTAAAATTTATTAGACCTTGGTATATTATTCCTCTTTCATAGGGGGTGCAATTTGCAGGACGGTGGGATACAGGAAGTGAGTGTCCTGAGAAGGACAGATGGCTCTTCCATGGTCTCGTCGGCGCTGAGACTCAGAGCGTGGGCTTCAATGCTTGCAAAGGCTCAGTTTCAAGGTAAATCGGCTTTTTCATTTCTTGGGTCAAATTTGTATTTTGGCGTCCTCAGAGAGAAGAGTAAGGTCTTTCTGGAATTGAAAGGAATCAGATAATTCTGAGGCCAAAATATTTGGTAACCCCCATAAGAAAGACAAAGAAAGGTTGAAGAATTTGTTCGTTGTCCATAAGTGCTTGAAGAAATAATTCGTTCATGAATGGAACTGAAAGTGGAAATTTCAAGTTGAAAATCAGCAAACTGGCTTTTAGCAGGTGGGCTCACAGGAGTAGCAGCAGCAGACTGGGCGGCAGCAGGACTGTCCACAGTAGGATGGGCGGCAGCAGGAGGCCTCGGCGTGGTGCAGCTGGCAGCAGGTTGGGGGTGTGCAGCTCACCACACAGCAGGGGGGCAGGCAGGTACCCTCCACACGGCAGTCTGGGCGGCACCACCTGATACGGGTGCTCACAGCTCCACTGCTGCCCTCCTGGCCATAGCCAATGCCACCACCAATGCCACAGCCAGTTCCGCAGGAGCTGGTCTGGCAGCAGCTTGGCTGGCAGCAGCTGGTCTCACAGCAGCTTGGCTGGCAGCAACTGGAGCTGCAGGTCCCACTAGTTGAGAAGCTAGGAAATCCGCAGAAGCTGGTCTGGCAGCAGCTTGGCTGGCAGCAGCTGGTCTCACAGCAGCTTGGCTGGCAGCAGCTGGAGCCGCATGTCCCACTGGTGGAGCAGCTGGGATATCCACAGAAGCTGGTCTGGCAGCAGGTCATGGTGTTGGGAGCTGGTATGAAGTCTGGGTTGCTTGGAGGAGTTTCTGAGTTTTGGTGATGGCTGCCACATTGGGCCTTTTATAAGCCTGGGCCAGCTACTGTTTACATAATTCCAGAAGTCTCTTGCTTATTTGTGTTGGATAATTTGTCTCTGAATGATAATTGGCCTCTCCCTGAATTATTTGTTGAACCTACTGAGAGCCTTTGAAAGTTGATTGTATTTGGTCTGCAATTAGGCTTCTTTACCATGGTCAAGAAGTCATTGGCATTAATTAGGAATATGATCCCTAACTCCTCATGTTTCTTAAAATTTCCTCATGGTCAAGGAATAATTGACTGATGCCTCACCTTTAAGGATTGTCAATATTACTCAGTGTTGACCCTTACAACTGGGTGATTGGGTCTCACATGACAGTTTAATTCCCTCCAATTTTAACTGTGGCTCCTTCTCTAACTTTCTTATCTTCCCTTTGACTGTGAAGCAAGACTATATTCAGCTGGCCAGAAAGGGATGCTTTCTTGGGCCTGGGAGATTTGCATTAATTGCTATTGATAACATTTTCCCATCACTGATTATGTGCCTAAATAGTTCTGAGTACTTCGCATGTATCAATTTGCTGAATTTTCACGGCAATCTATGGGCTAGGTATCACTGCCACTCCCATCAACCATGTGAGAAAACTGAGCCACAACAGGTTGAAGTAACTTACCCTAGTTCACACTAGTATCTAGTGAATCTGAAATTTGAATCCACAACCTCTGATTCCAGACTAAACTCTTTAAACACTATAGTCAATTCTTTCTCTCTTTCTCTCTGTCTTTCTCCCTTCCTTCCTTCCTTCCCTCCTTTCTTCTTTCTTTCTTTCTTTCTTTCTTTCTTTCTTTCTTTCTTTCTTTCCTTCTTTCTCTTTCTTTCTTTCTTTCCTTTCTTTCTTTCTTTCCTTCCTTCCTTCCTTCCTTCCTTCCTTCCTTCCTTCCTTTCTTTCTTTCTTTCTTTCTTTCTTTCTTTCTTTCTTTCTTTTTCTTCTTTCTCCTTTCTTTCTTTCCTTTCTTCTTTTTTTATGTAAAAAGTCATTCTAAGGAAATTCCAATGGTGAAAGCAAGCCGTAAAAATTTGCTTCCTTTCTTACGGACTTTTTTGAGAGTAAAAGGAAGGAAGGGAGAGCTTAGGGTAAGTAATAACACAGTTTACTACAGCCATTCCTAGAGATTTTATTTATTTATTAACAGCATAATAAGCACAGTTCAAGAAAATCTTAAGTGCTAAAAAAGTTAACCTTCTTGTGACTTTGTCTCATCTTTTATCTTAGGATATTCTATAGATTTAGATTTTTTAACTGCATAAAATTATAGTTTTTAACATATTAATACTGGAGTATGTGATTTACTACAGAGTGTTAGATCGGCTGTATGCAGTTTATTATAGATATTAGAGACTAATCCAGTGAACTGGAAAGTTTATATAATTTGAATGAGACAGCTGATGACGGTGAATATAAAGGTTTTGTTTAGATGCAATAAAAGGTGACCAGGCCTCCATGGAGTATGGGTTCATTACTGAGAAATGCAAGTTACGATGCTACTCTTGGATTTTGAACCAGAACACCAAGTGGTAGTTCTGCTTCTCTAGAAATGACAGCTTTGAGTTTACATCATAACTCTTTCTGAGTCAGAATTAAGACATATTTTCAAATCCCACATCAAATTTGGTTTAAAAGATATGATTCTTTGTGAATTCCTTGCTTCTTCTTAAGCAAAGCTACATCACAGATTCTTTGATTAGCTAATATTTTTTATGTTGGATGCTTGAAATACGTGGGTGTGTCATGACAACAATCTCGGGAGCTATTTAATTCAGATCTAAATTTAGCAGAATCTTTGATACTAAACAGATGTATCTCCTTTTGCAAAAGGCTCAGATATCTGAGGACCTGAAATACATTATTGATAAGAGCACTGGAGACAGTGGCGTTGCATATCAGTTCTCCCTTTCTGGGCTTTTCTACTGTGGCACTATTTTCAACATCTTCCTCAATGCAAAATTTAAGGTATGACACTTACTTGAGAATTTGACTCCTGTGCCACAGAACGAAGACTAATCTGAACATTCCCTTACCTCCTCTAAGTAAATTAAGAAAATGAAATTTATTTTATTTCACTTTACATTATATCCTTCAAGTTTAGGTATGTTGTAATATGTGACCGAATTTCCTGCTTTTTATAGACTCAATAGTATTCCGTTGTGTGTATATACCACATTTCTTATTACTGTGCTGATTCCCTCTGGCATTCATTACTTCATTTAAGTGATGGGCTGTAGACCATTCCAGTACCATAAGAAGAAAGAATGTGTTTGTCTGTTATTCCTGAACGTGGCTTTGGTTTAACACAGACACTAATGTTTGAAATTATTTTTCTTTAAGATATCATGGTTCTGGTTTTCTAGTTACAAGTTCTGGGGATTCTCCCAATTTCTTCATCTCCGTTTTACTAGTTCTCTAATTCGGTTGTGACTGCCTTACTTAGATTCTCGAGAAATAAAACATGATTGATGTACCAGTCAAATGAATACAACATTCCTATGTAGGGCTTCTGTGCTTCTGCTCTGGGCTTCCATCCTAGTAATCTAGACCAGATAACACATAAACTTCAAGGACCTCCTCTTACTACCAACTTTTATCCTAAGCCAAGTCACAAGATCTATCTCTTCCCTCCTGAATGCCAACCAGGATTTTTTGGGGTGCTTCTGAGCCAAAGTCCTTTTAATTAAAAGGTACATCCAACCTAAACCCTCTCAGAGACAACAGAGCTCTAAATGAGGGGAATAAAATGTTGACTACATTGTAGGGCCATTGTGTATAGATGTACAGGTCGCGCCCTGATGTGTGGCTCTGTCCACTCAGAGGAAGGAGCATATTATTTCTTACATCAAGCTGGAGGCTCAACAAACTGTGCACTCCTCTGTCTGTATCTTCTCCAAAGTGGTGCCTTTTCCTAATTCTTTTAAAGTTGTGCTAGCAGAGGTCCTGTTCTTTTGATTTTTTAAAATGGAGGTTAAATTCACATAACCTACAATTAACCATTTTAAAGTGTATAATTGAGTGACATATAGTATATTTATAATATTGGGCAACATCATCTCTCTCTAGCTTCAAAAACTTTTCCATCATCGCAGAAGAACACCCCCATGACCTTTAAGCAATCACTTCCCATACCCCTCTACCCCCAGGCACTGGCTCACCACTTTGATTTAATGACAAAAGATTTTATCCCTTGGAATGAAAGCCTCACTATGCGTCTTTTATTTAATGCTTGCTTCATCTAGAACTCTCTCTGAAAATTAGAATAAGAACAGTGACAGTATTTAAATCCATCCTTGCAGTGAACATTTATTTTCTGCTTCACAATACATAAGAAGATTATACAGGTATTATAAAAACATCAGTTGATACTCCCTTTCATCATTTTTCAAAGTATATTTTGAGGAGTATTTGTGTTACAGGGTGTTAACAGGTAACATAAAAATAGAGAGTTTTCTGGCTAAGTTAGTTTGGGAGTGATGGTTATAGAGTTGTTTTTTTTTTCTTTTCTTTTTCTTTTTTTTTTTTTTTGAGATGGACTCTCACTCTGTCACCCAGGCTGTAGTGTAGTGGCGCGATCTTGTTTCACCGCAACCTCCACCTCCTGGATTCAAGTGATTCTCCTGCTTCAGCCTGTAAGACCACAGGTGCCCGCCATGACGCCTGGCTAATTTTTGTATTTTTAGTAGACACGGGGTTTTGCCATGTTTGTCATGCTGGTCTCGAACTTGTGACCTCAGGTGATCCACCTGCCTCAGCCTCCGGAAGTGCTAGGATGACAGGTGTGAGCCACTGAGCCCGGCCACTGGTTGTAGAGCTTTATTTATTGCAGGCCATCTCAGTCCCTTTAATATTCCAGTGTGGCTTTATAAACTTGCAAAAAGGTGATAAAGCATACAACATAATTTGACCACTGTATATTTTTTCCTCTTTGGGCATCTGAAGCTATTACTGGTCAGTGTGTAGCCTGTTTAGGAAATTATCTACCCTCTTATGCCTGGAAGGGATGTTGTCAGTAATGACTCAATTCTCTCATTTCCCAAATTAGAAATAGGTACCCAGGCAAGTGAAGGGACTTGCTCAAGGATTCATGGATAGCTAGTTACAAAGTTGGGACTAGAACTCAGGAGTCTTGATTTAGCTTTTTGTTCTTCTACCCAATAGCATAAGCTATTTTTACATCTTATGCTATTGGGTAGAAGGAAAAAAAAACACACTCAAATGTTCTTTCTACTCTCTCACTCAACAACAATCAACACAGAAGATTTCTGTGGCTAATGTGTGGGGATTTCTCCCCATCAAGAAGCAAGGAAATAAATTCTGCAGCAGATACCAGCTGCATGTTTTCCACTCCAATTCCATTCTAACGCTATTTACTTGGTGATAGTGTCAGGTTTTACAGGGGGAGGGCTCAGTTCTGTAAGACTGCCCCCTACTTCCAGTGCCAAGCACAAGCTCCAGGTTGTTTTGCCTGTGCTTCTGACCAACCAGCCATAAATTGGGAATTCCATGACACCCTCAAGTTTGATGAATGTGCTAGGGCAGGTCCCAGGACTCAGGGAAACATTTAGCTTATTGGTTTATTATAAAGACAATTACAAATGGCACAGAAGAAGAGATGCATAGGGTGAGGTGTGGGGGAAGGGGTATGAGGAGCTTTCATAACCTCTCTGGGAACAGCACATTCCAGGAACCTCCACACATTCAGCTATCTGGAAGCTCCTCAAACTCTGTGGGTTTTTTTTTTTTTTTTTTTTTGAACATTTTACGGGGACTTCAGTGGATGGGCATGATGGACAACCATTAGAAACGTGATTGGACAAAAAGAGTATGATCTAATGTTAGTAGAGTGAGTGATGAAACCTGTCTGTCAGATCCTTCTTGGTCTCTCTATGCAGCCTTCCTTCCTCCAGGGCATGGGGCAGAACCTCTTCTGAAATGGGGATCTTATGACCTACAATCAGGCAAGGTAGGTAGGAGAATATCTTGATGGCCAGTGCCAAGAACAGTGGGGGAAGATTCTTGCCTTGAGGAGTAAAAGGAGCAGGTGAAAAGAGGTGGGGAGAAGGCCAGAGAGAGAGAGAGAGCAAGAGCAAGTGAGTGAGCGAGAGCGAGAGAGAGAGAGATTCTGTTTTCTGAGGCCTGCTTCTGAAGTGTAAAGTGCCCTAACATCAATAAAAGGGCTATGGGAGTTATGAGCCTAGACCTTGAATGAAATGTGTATATTCGTTACATGCTATTACTCTGTAATCTTGTGTTTGTATTCTTTCACAATTTTTATTATGCTTTTGTATATCTTGGAGGACAGAAATAATTGTATACAACCTCATATATGAATGGATGAATGAATAGATTTGGCAAAACCTCAAGAAGCTGAATCAATCTGTTGGAATACCTAGCCCACCACTTTGCACATGAGAGGACCTTAGGAAACAGTTCCTAAATGTTGTCAAGTTCCTTTAATCATATGTCTTGGCTGCAAAATATTGGACCATTTAATGGTAAAACAAAGGAAAATTGCTGTTAAATATCATCATTAAAAGAGCAAAAGTACAGAAAAACCATAGTGTCATGTCATGTTGATATTTTGAAAAATCCCAGTACCCCAATATTGTTAATAAATTCCAAAGCAAAGAAAGTTCAAACAACAACTTCATCATTGAAGAGATGAAAACTTTTATTAAATTTAAGTCCCAATAACTGTTGAAATATTTCAGGTGATATTTATAGTAAAATAGTATCTAACTCTTTTCACATTGTAGGACTTTGGCTGACAACCAGGTCTAGGAAAAATTTTTGGTCTTCCATTGTAAATGAATTTACTTCCTAGGGAATTTATGTGGCTGTGTGATGAGAGGTTGCAAGCCCAGTTATAGGTACTGGAGTTCAGAAGATTGTTAGGATTCTAATTTGGCTAGTTTTAAGGTGCCATCTTATCAGGATCCCCAGCAGAAGGAGGTTTTCAACAAGTGGGCTCAGAGCAGTAGCAGCAGCAGACTGGGCGGCAACAGGACTGTCCACAGTAGGATGGGCGGCAGCAGGAGGCCTCGGCGTGGTGCAGCTGGCAGCAGGATGGGGGTGTGCAGCTCACCACGCAGCAGGGGGGCAGGCAGGTACCCTCCACACGGCAGTCTGGGCGGCACCACCTGATACGGGTGCTCACAGCTCCACTGCTGCCCTCCTGGCCATAGCCAATGCCACCACCAATGCCACAGCCAGTTCCGCAGGAGCTGGTCTGGTAGCAGCTTGGCTGGCAGCAGCTAGTTTCACAGCAGCTTGGCTGGCAGCAGCTAGAGTCACAAGTCCCACCGGTTGAGAAGCTAGGAAATCCACAGAAGCTGGTCTGGCAGCAGCTTGGCTGGCAGCAGCTGGTCTCACAGCAGCGTGGCTGGCAGGAGCTGGTCTCACAGCAGCTTGGCTGGCAGCAGCTGGAGCCGCAGGTCCCACTGGTGGAGCAGCTGGGAAATCCACAGAAGCTGGTCTGACAGCAGGCCATGGTGTCAGGAGTTGATCTGAAGGTTGGGTTGCTTGGAGGAGTTTCTGAATTATGGCTGCCTATTCCACTGCCGGCTTTTTATAAGTCTGGGCCAATTCCTCTATTTGTGGCGAGCAACATTTTTATCTTGTTACTCTTTAAACCAGCCTTTCTAGGGCCCTCTGATGGTTCAAATGCTGAATTGTTTTAAATATATCTCAAAATTGATTTTTCCTTATTGCTCAGCTAATACTCACCAAATGTGTTTGTCCTTGGTAAAAATGTTAACATTTTGTTTACAAACAATGGTATAATTTCCACTTGAGCTTCAGCTTCAGGTTTGCACTTGTGGGTATATCACCTGACAAAGTGACTCTCACCCATAAGGTGATGTGATTTTGGAGATCATATTCACCAAACCTCAGGTCTCCAGAAAAGAATTATTAATCATGATTGCCCTTATGTAAGACTGCTTTGTATTTTTTAGACTAATAAGATTATCCTCTCTCGATATAATCTTATTAGCCAGATAGAAACTCTGATAAACTCTATATTCATAGAAATTCATAGATTTTTCCCTGAAATGGAATCTTTCCAATTTCTGTGATATCTCCTGAACTTCACATTCATATTTTAGGAAACATTGATCACTCAGGAGGATATATAAAACAAAACCTGTTCAATTTCAATGTCTCTTAAAAAAGAGGCTAAAATTCATATTCAGTAATTGGAAAAAATTGCAAAATATTTTAACAAAATTTACACTTCTCTATGAAAGACAAAAATCACTTGTATATGGATTATCTGGCATATAATTTTTCAAAGGCAGAATTTAATTTTAATTTATGTCATTTCAAGTTACTAAACCATGTGTCCTGTGAAAAGATATTAGACCAAAGAGCATGACAACTGAATTTAGGAAAGGGAATAAATCAAAGAAAAAGCAAGAGTTAGAAAATACTTTTATCTGCTTTATAAGGCAGGTTAGAAAATGGGTGACCAAATATAGTTCAAGAGGTGTAGTATAATAAATGCAAAGAGATTAAGAAAAATTTCAGCAAAATAAAAGTTAAAACAATTCCTGGTCATTGCCAGAAGAAAGAATGTAATTTTCACTGGGAGTTTAGGGTTACGTGAGATAAATGAAAAAAGGCTGGTCAAAAACATATTATTTCTACTTGGGGTAGGTTTATTTCTCCCTTCCAATCATGAATAGAAACACATAGTTAGCTTTTTATGAGGTGGTGGCATTTGTTTGTACAGGAATGGGGTTATATCACAATGTGATTCATGCCAGCTTCAGTAAAGATGTTCACGTCATATGGTAACCATGACTGTAGGTATGAAGTTGAAAATGGTTATATGTAATCAATGAATGTTGGAGATCAAAAATGTAGTAAATTATCTTGTTCCACCACTTAATTTTATAGGTGTAGAAACTGACATCATTCTTATTATAAATAGCACATATTTATTAACTTCTACTATGCCCAGAGCACTAAAGGCTTATACAGAAAGCAAGATCCCATCTATTTGTTTTGTATCTTGCTCTAGTATAAAAATCAGTGTAGTAGCAATAGGAGGGATTAATCAAGGAAAAGAGTTGAGTATAGAACCATTTAGTCTCAAAGTTCTAAATGGGAACATTGGTGATGTGCTATGGAGCACTTTTCATTTTCACTTAACATCGGCTGATGTTAGAATACTCTTGAGTCTTGAAGAGGTTAAGTGGCTTGTTCCATTCACACAGTACACAACCAGAAGAGCTGGGTATAAAATTCCTATCACTTGTTCCTAGACCAGTTCTTTTTATTTTATACCATGCTGCTTTTCAGAATCAATTAATGTTAGTAAGGCTCTTTGTCTTTGTCTTTTTTTCTAAAAAAAAAAGGTATTTTGTAATAGCACAAGAATAGAAATATTAGATGGTAGAGAGATGGCACTATGGAGTAGTGATTTTAAATACACAATAAATAAGTACAAATATGTTAAAGTTCTTTTAAGTATCTGGACCAGAGACTTATAATTGGAATAAGTCACATTTGCCTCCTAGTTGTTTTTTGTTTCCCACATTCAACTAAGTTAATATACTTTCTGGGTTTCTACATCTGCTATACTCATTGTGTCTTCTTTATTCCATGGGTATTATCTTAGTTGAGCTCTTATTGTAATCACTTGACCAAGGCAATATCTTCCTGATTAGTTTCTGTATAGTTCTGTACGACTCATTTCTCTGGCCTTTGACCTCTGTCTTTATAAGGAGCTATCATGAGAATTGTCCCAATGCCCTGCTCTTGTTATGCCATTTTCCTGCCCCAAAGCTTTCAACAACTCCTTACTGCTTATTGCATTAAGGGTGTACTCCGTTGGCTAGTATTCAAAGCATACAAATTTTCCAAATCTTTCTTTCATTATCACTCTATATATATCCAGTGCCCCCAGCCAAACCGTACTCTGAACAACCCTATGGTTCCCCTCCCTCCACACCTTTGCTCATACTATTTCTATTGCTGAGAATGCCATCCCTGTGATCTGGACACCACAATCTGAACCTATATAAAATGTTAGCTTCTCTTTTCAATCTTTCTTATTTTCCCCAACCAACAGTGACTTCTGTGTTGACACCACACAGTGTTGTACTTTTATTTTTTAATATTCTAGTTTTTAGATGAATTATAGGTGAATATGACTCATGTCTCTAGAATCTTTTTGAAGATGGGAACATTTTTAATTCAATTTTACTTTCTATTTTATACCATATAGCCTGTGACTTGCATATGGTAGGCAAGCAGCACATTTAGACCCTATTTCTTAACTCATTTAAAAACAACCCAAAATGGATTAAATACTTAAATATAAGACCACATATAATAAAACAACTAGAAGAAAACCCACAGGAAACATTTTATGACACTTGTCTGGGCAATGGTTTTTTCTTGGGGGGATAAGACCTCAAAGGCACAGGCAACAAAAGTGAAAGTAAACAAATGGGATTATATAAAATTAAAACCTTCTGCACAGCAAAGGAAACAATCAAATCAGCAGAGTGAAGAGACAGCCTAGAGAATGGGAGAAAATATTTTCTTTTTTGGTACTTTTTTTTTTATTATACTTTTAAGTTCTAGGGTACATGTGCACAACGTGCAGGTTTGTTACATATGTATACGTGTGCCATGTTGGTGTGCTGCACCCATTAACTCATCATTTACATTAGGTATATCTCCTAATGCTATCCCTCCCCCCTCCCCCCACCACACAACAGTCCCCGGTGTGTGATGTTCCCCCTCCTGTGTCCAAGTGTTCTCATTGTTCAATTCCCACCTATGAGTGAGAACATGCGGTGTTTGGTTTTCTGTCCTTGTGATAGTTTGCTGAGAATGATGGTTTCCAGCTTCATCCATGTCCCTACAAAGGACATGAACTCATCATTTTTTATGGCTGCATAGTATTCCATGTATATGTGCCACATTTTCTTAATCCAATCTATCATTGATGGACATTTGGGTTGGTTCCAAGTCTTTGCTATTGTGAATAGTGCTGCAATAAACATACATGTGCATGTATCTTTATAGCAGCATGATTTATAATCCTTTGGGTATATACCCAGTAATGGGATGGCTGGGTCAAATGGTATTTCTAGTTCTAGATCCCTGAGGAATCGCCACACTGTCTTCCACAATGGTTGAACTAGTTTACAGTCCCACCAACAGTGTAAAAGTGTTCCTATTTCTCCACATCCTCTCCAGCACCTGTTGTTTCCTGACTTTTTAATGATCACCATTCTAACTGGTGTGAGATGGTATCTCATTGTGGTTTTGATTTGCATTTCTCTGATGGCCAGTGATGATGAGCATTTTTTCATGTGTCTGTTGGCTGCATAAATGTCTTCTTTTGAGAAGTGTCTGTTCATATCCTTCACCCACTTATTGATGGGGTTGTTTGTTTTTTTCTTGTAAATTTGTTTGAGTTCTTTGTAGATTCTGGATATTAGCCCTTTGTCAGATGAGTAGATTGCAAAAATTTGGGAGAAAATATTTTCAAACTATGCATCTGACCAGGGGTTAATATCTAGAATATATAAGGAACTTGAACAACTCAACAGTGAATAATAATAAAAAATCCAATTAAAAATAGGTAAAAGACCTGAATAGATATTTCACAAAAGAAAACATACAAATTTCCAACACATATATGAAGAAGTGCTCAGCATCACTAATCATCAGGAAATGCAAATCAAAACCGCAATGAGATACCATATCACCACAATTAGAATGGCTATTATCAAAAATACAAAAAGATAACAAATGCTGGTGTGGATGTGGAAAAAAGGGAACTCATACAAGGTTAGAGGGAATGTAAAGTAGTATAGCCATTATGGAAAACAGTATGGAGGGTTCCCCAAAAATTAAAAATAGGACGATCATGTGATCCAGGAATCCCACTACTGAGTATATACGCAAAGGAAATGAAATCAGTATGTTGAGGAGATTTCTGCACTTCCATGTTTATTGCAGCACGATTCACAACAGCCAACATATGAAAACAATCTAAGTGTTCATCAATGGATGAATGGATAAAGAAAATGTGACACACACTCACACCCAAACACACAATGAAATACTATCAGCCATGAAAAAGAATGAAATACTGTCATGTGCAGCAACATGGATGAACCTGGGGGACATTATGTTAAGTGAAATTAACCAGGCACAGAAAGACAAATAGCACATTCACTCACTCCTATGTGAAATCTAAAGAAGTTGATCTCATAGAAGTAGAGAGTAGAATAGTGACTACCAGAGGCTGGGGAGGGTGAGAGGAGGGGAGGATAGGCAGAGATTGGTCTACAGGTACAAAGTTACAGGTAGATAGGAGGGATAAGTTTTGGTATTCTAATGTACAGTAGGGTGACTGTGGTTAGTAATATTTTATCATATATTTCAAAATAGCGATCAGAGAATATTTTAAATGATCTTACCATGAAGAAATGATAAATGTATGAGGTGACGAATATGCTAAACACCCTGACTTGATTATTACACAACGTATACATGTATGGAAACATTACATTGCACCCCATAAATATGTACAATTATGTGTCAGTTTTTTTAATTAAAAAATTAATTTAATACAAAATATTAGAATGAGTAAATAAAACCAAATCTTTTTGCAAGGCCAAAGAACAGATATTTATTAGAAAATAAACATGCCACGAAATCTTAAGAAGAAGGAAATTGCTTCTTTTACAGACTTCAGAATGGCCCAGGTCTTAATAGATGAGCCCAGTGCTCGGTTCCCTGCTTGGTTGATGTGGGGTTTTGTGGGCTCAGGGCAGGAGGTTTGTTAAAGTAGAGAAATGGGAGTGTGACTTTTTCAGAAGGTGAGTTACGCGTTCCGGGCAGTCAGTGCACTGCTCAGCAGGAGGAGGTCCTGCAGGTGGTGCTGCAAGGGGTCGGCTGGCCGCAGGGGGACTGCACAGACACAGGCTGGCAGCAGGTGGTGGCTCAGCAGGAGGAGGTCCTGCAGGTGGTGCTGCAAGGGGTCGGCTGGCCGCAGGGGGGCCGGCAGCAGGGGGACTGCACAGACACAGGCTGGCAGCAGGTGGTGGCCCAGCAGCAGGGCCTGCACACCACAGCCGTGCACGACGAGGGGCAGCAGGTGATGGGGCGGCAGCAGCCTTCCTGCAGGGAGCAGGGGTCGCAGCACACCGGGCGGCGGCAGGGCTCGCAGATGGGGCGCGTGCAGCGGGGCACGCAGGTCACGGGGCGGCACACGGTGGTCTGGCAGGTCACGGGGCGGCAGCAGCAGGGGTCGCGGCAGCAGCAGGGCTGGCAGCAGCCTCCCCCGTAGCTCAGGGAGGAGAAGGTGGAGCCGCAGCAGGAGCCGGTCATGGTGGTGTCTGAGGCTGGTGTGGGTTGGGCTGTGGAGAGGAGCTGGATGTTCTCAGGTGTGAATGTCCTCCTCCCCCTCTGGGCCCTTTATATACCCTGGCCGGGTGCAGGTGACCCTTTTCGTTTACCTTTTGGCCAATTAAGTAGAATTTTGTTTTGACTAATGGTTGCTTGTGACACACTCATTATCTCACTAAAGAGCTCTTGTTTTATCTCTAAGTATGGATGTACTCACATTGGGTGAAAATCTAAGAACTCATCGTCATTTGAGGTGATAGTAGCTCTTGATGCTTATTTTGAGTAGATAACACTGGATCAAATCTGGACAAAACGGTCTAAAAAAACTTCAGTTTTTAAAAGAAATTAAAAACATAGAGAAGTACATAGAACATTGAGTAGAGCCTATCCTGACCCCAATAGGGGACTCAAGTCCTTGGAAGCACCTACATGTGAAACGTGAATCACACGAGTGTTAGACAAGCCCTCCCACGTAGTCTGCTTGGGAATACGTTTGATTATCACTTGATATAGTGGGATACATAGGCCTTGAATAGGATAGCAGCTCATAGAGTTGTACAGGACAGACAAAAATTTTTGCAAACCACTAAGTGTTGGAATAAAACCTCCAAGACTGCCTTGCATGTTTTCTTTTCTCTAGTTCAGGTTCTGTGCAACTCTGGTCTTTCTGTCATAAGATGCTGATTTTTATCTCTGAAACATGTCATTTTTTAGCGTTGCCTTTCTTGTGCATGTAATGAAGAATTCTGTAATGGGAAATTTTTCTGAATATACCTTGTTGGCCGGGCGCAGTGGCTCATGCCTGTAATCCCAACACCTGGGGAGGCCAAGGCAGGTGGATCACCTGAGCTCAGGAGTTCAAGACCACCCTGGGCAACATGGTGAAACCTCAACTCTAATAAAATACAAAAAATTAGCTGGGTGTGGTGGCAGTGCCTGTAGTCCCAGCTGTGCCGGAGGCTGGGGAACGAGAATCACTTGAGCCCCAAAGGCGGAGGTTGCAGTGAGCCGAGATCATGCCATTGCACTCCAGCTTGGGCTACAGAGTGAGACTCCATCTCAAAAAAGAAATATGCATATATACTTTGACATAGGTGCTCTGATTAGCAAGTGACAAGAAAGGGGTTTTCAACCAACATTGCACACATATCCAGAACACTGTTCAGGGGTAGACGCATTGGGAGGCTGCCCAGTGTTCTGCTGTGGCACTGCTAAAAGCGTGATGGATGCGCTTCTTCAGGAAGTGTTGCCAGGGGCAGTTCAGGAACTACATGGGGGAAACAGTCCCATTACTTTCCAGCTTTACTCCTCCTGTTAGTCACCAGACAGGGTTTTGAATCACTTCGGGATCATTTTCTTTATTTGAAAGAATGTGCCTTGGGGCCGGACATCTAAAGCTCCCCAAATGGAATTTCAAGCATAATTTCAAAACTTTAAGAGGAATGTAAATTGACTGGACCCGGTAGTCACAATTAGGGAAACAGAAGAGGGAGATATCAGGCACAATCTCATCGCTAGAGACCTTTGACTCTCCTGTTTTACATTCTTTTCTTTGTTTACGGACGTGGGATTTTTGTTTTTCAAAGTGGTAACCAGAGGTAACTAGGTAAAAAGTTGTATATTCTGCTCTTTTCGAGACATATTATCTCATAATTTATTTTCATGCTGCTGTGGAGTCTTCATGATAATCACATTTTATGCAATGGGAGCCTCTTTGGAAGACTTAAATCATCACATTAACAAGACTCATTTCTCTACTGCAGAAACTTCAAACCCAAGGTCATTCTAAAGAGATCTGTCTCTCCCCTTTATAAAGATCTGTCTCTCCCCTTTATAAGGATCTGTCTCCCCTTTATAAAGGTCCAAAAAGATAATCTGTGCATCACTCAGTAACCTTTCTAGTGTTTATTCACTCTAAGACACTTATCCACACCCCATAGCCAAACTTCGTTTTCAGGCAGAGAAAATATGGGTCATGCTTCAGTTATTCATGCCTCAGAGTTGTAAGAGCACAGACAGCTCTGCGGTTTGACACTTGGTGGCAAGTCACATCCTATTTTCTGACCCCACTTATTCTGAAACTGGACAATGCTCATTTAAAGCTCTGCCACTTACTGGCTGTGTGTCCTTGGGCCATAATAATAGTTCATATCAGAATTGTAAGGATTACATGAGCTAATATTTGTCAAGTGCTAAGAACAAACAATGTCTGGCACTTAGTGTCTTGTATTTGTTAAATATATATATATATAGTAAATATATATATACACACATATATACACATATATAGTAACATGACCTTTTACTATATATATAGTAAAATATATATAGTATATATGTATATATACATATGTATTACATATATAGTAAAATATGTATAGTATATATGTATACAGTATATATGTATGTATACTATATATGTATATGGTGTTGCGGGAAGTCAGGAACCCCAAACGGAGGGACTGACTGAAGCCATGACAGAAGAACGTGGATTGTGAAGATTTTATGGACATTTATTAGTTCCTCAAATTAATACTTTTGTAATTTCTTATGCCTGTCTTTACTGAAATCTCTAAACATAAATTGTAAAGATTTCATGGACACTTATCACTTCCCCAATCAATACCCTTGTGATTTCCTATGCCTGTCTTTACTTTAATCTCTTAATCCTGTCAGTTGAGGAGGATGTATATCATTCCAGGACCCTGTAATAATTGCATTAACTACAAAAATTGTACAGCATGTCTGTTTGAGCAATATGAAATGTGGGCACCCTGAAAAAAGAACAGAATAACAGCAATTGTTCAGGGAATAAGAGAGATAATCTTAAACTCTGACCGCTGGTGAGCCGGGCAGAACAGAGCCATATTTCTCTTCTTTCAAAAGCAAATGGGAGAAACATCGCTGAATTCTTTTTCTCAGCGTGGAACGTCCCTGAGAAAGAGAATGCGCACCTAGGGGTAGGTCTCTGAACTGGCCCCCCCGGGGTGTACCTGTCTCTTATGGTCGAGATTGCAGAGGTGAAATAAACTCCAGTCTCCCATAGCGCTCCCAGGCTTATTAGGAAGAGGAAATTCCCACCTAATAACTTTTGGTCAGACCGGTTGATCTCAAAACCCTGTCTCCTGATAAGATGTTATCAATGACAGTGGTGCCCAAAACTTCATTAGCAATTTTAATTTCACCTCGGTCCTGTGGTCCTCTGATCTCGCCCTGCCTCCACTTGCCTTGTGATATTGCATTACCCTGTTAAGTACTTGATGTCTGTCACTCACACCTATTCGTATACTCTCTCCCCTTTTGAAACTCCCTAATAAAAACTTGCTGGTTTTTGTGGCTTGTGGGGCATCACGGATCCTACCAAAATGTGATGTCTCCCCCGGACACCCAGCTTTAAAGTTTCTCTCTTTTGTTCTCTGTCCCTTTATTTCTCAAGCCAGCCGATGCTTAGGAAAATAGAAAAGAACATACGTGATTATCGGGGCAGGTTCCCCGATAATATGGTACATATATATTACATATATAGTAAAATATATATAATATATTACATATATAGTAAAATATATATAATATATTATATATATAGTAAAATATATATAATATAATATATATAGTAAAATATATATAATATATTATATATAGTAAAATATATATAATATATTATATATATAGTAAAATATATATAACATATTATATATAGTAAAATATATATAATATATTATATATATAGTAAAATATATATAATATATTATATATAGTAAAATATATATAATATATTATATATAGTAAAATATATATAATATATTATATATAGTAAAATATATATAATATATTATATATAGTAAAATATATAATATATTATATATAGTAAAATATATATAATATATTATATATATATTAAAATATATATAATATATTATATATATAGTAAAATATATAATATATTATATATAGTAAAATATATAATATATTATATATAGTAAAATATATATAATATATTATATATAGTAAATATATAATATATTATGTATAGTAAAATATATATAATATATTATATATAGTAAATATATAATATATTATATATAGTAAAATATATATAATATATTATATATAGTAAAATATATAATATAATATATTATATATTTATATATACAGATATACTAGATATATTTTACTATATATAGTATATATGTATATATACAAATATGTATATATATTTTACTATATGTATTTTACATATACTATATATATTTACTATATGTATACCATATGTATATATAGCAAAAGGTCATGTTACATTGGTACTTTCTAAATTCTAAACTTTAAGTTTAGAAAAAAGACCAACATATTTGTTATGGCAAATGGTTAGTTCTCTGCTCAGTCACCAAACAATACACATGAAATAACATTATTCAGTAGTAAGTTCCATTAATAGCATGAAATAAAATAAAAGCACCTGGAAGGAAGAAACAGAGCACCTTCTCATTGAGCACTTACCTCTGTGAAGGGAGTCAGGCTATTGTTGAACTGACAGAAGGCATATCTGTCAGGACTGTGTATAGCAACAAGACCCCTACTGAGAACCCCACAGCCCATGCAATACAGAATGGGGTCTTAGAGAAGCATCCTTAAAAAAAAAAGCCTTCAAATTGATTTAGACAGATTTCTCATGGTGATGGACAACAGATTTTGTGTAACAAACTCCAGAGCTTTATTTCACATTATCATTTAACAATAACATTATGAACAAATTTTTTTTTCATTATTTCAACTTTTCCTTTAGATTCAGGTGGTATATTGTGTGATGTGCCAGTTTGTTATGTGGGTATACTGTGTGATGCTGAGGTTTGGGGTATGATCGATCCTGTCACCCAGGACTGAGTGTAGCACCCAACAGTTTTTCAGCCCTTGTCTCCCTCCCGCTCTGCCTGCTCTAGTAGTCCCCAGTGTCTATTGTTGCCATCATTATGTCAATGAGTACCCGATGTTTAACTCCCATTTGTCAGTGAGAAAATATGGCATTTGGTTTTCTGTTCCTGGGTTAATTTGTTTAGGATAATGGCCCCCAGCTGCATCCATGTTACTGTGAAGGACATGAGTTCATTGTTTTTTATGGGTGAGTAGTATTCCATGGTGTATGTGTACCATATTTTCTCTATCCAGTCCACCACTGATGGGAACCTAGGTCGATTCCATGTCTTTGCTATTGTGAATTGTACTGTGACAAACATGCAAGTGCATGTGTCTTTTTGGTAGAATGATTTGTTTTCTTTTGGCTACAGACCAAGTAAAGGGATTGCTGGGTCAAATGATAGTTCTACTTTAAGTTCCTGAGAAATCTCCACACTGCTTTCCATAGTAGCTGAACTAATTTACATTCCCATCAACAGCATATAAGCATTCTCTCCTCTCAACAGCCTTGTCAGCATCTGTTGTTTTTTAACTATTTTTTTCTTTATTCTGAAAGTATGGGGCTTCAGTTACTGAGCTTTTTAATAATAGCCATTTTGACTGGTGTAAGATGGTATCTCATTGTGGTTTTGATTTTGCATTTCTTTGATGAATAATGATGTGGAGCATTTTTTCACATGTGTGTTTGGCTGCTTGTATGTCTTGTTTTGAGAAGTGATTGTTCAAGTCCTTTGCCCACTTTTTAATGGGATTATTTGTTTTTGCTTGTTCAATTGTTTAAGTTCCTTATAGATTCTGGATGTTAGGCCTTTGTTGGATGCACAGTTTGTGAATATTTTCTCTCATTCTGTAGGTTGTCTATTTACTGTGTTCATAGTTTCATTTACTGTGCAGAAGCTCTTTAGTTTAATTAGGTCCCACTTGCCAATTTTTGTGTTTGTTGCAATTGCTTTTGAGGACTTAGTCATAAATTCTTTCCCAAGGTTGATGTTAAGAATTATGTTTTCTAGATTTTCTCCTAGGGTTTTTAAAGTTTGAGGTCTTACATTTAAATCTTTAATCCATCTTGAGTTAATTTTTCTATATGGTGAAAGTCAGGGTCTAGTTTCAATCATCTGCATAAAGCTAGCCAGCTATCCCAGCACCACTTATTGAATAGGGAGTCCTATCCTCATTGCTTATTTTTGTTAATGATATCAAAGATTAGATTGTTGTATGAGCATGGCTTTATTTCTGGGTTCTCTATTCTGTTCCTTTTGTCTATGCCACTTTATATTTTACAACTTTCTGTTTTTGTACCAGTACCATGCTGTTTTGTTTACTGTAGTCTTATAGCATAGTTTGAAGTCAGGTAATGTGATGCCTTCAGTTTTCTTTTTATTTACGATTGCTTTGGCTATTTGGGCTCTTTTTGGTTCCTTATGAATTTCAGAATAGTTTTTTTCTAGTTCTGTGAAAAATGACATTGGTAGCTTGATAGAAATAGCATTGAATCTGTAGATTGCTTTGGGCAGTGTGGTCATTTTAATGATACTGATTCTTCCAATCCATTGGCATGGGATGTTTTTCCATTCGTTTGTGTCACCTATCATTTCTTTAAGTCGTGTTCTGTAGTTTTCTCTGTAGAGATTTTTCACTTCCTTGGCTAGATGTATTCCTAGGAAGTGTGTATATGTGTGTGTGTGGCTATTGAAATGTAAAATAAAGTTGTAGAATGTACAACCATTTTGTGATTAACATGTCTCTCACCATACTAAGAAGTGTTTGACCTGAGGTCTAAATGCAGGAAACTTGTATTCTCCAGGGTCTTTTCTGAACTTTTGGGATTATAATTACATTAGTAAGTAACTTATTTACTCTTACATTATTCATGTTTCTTTAACTTCAAAAACAGAGGTAATTGGCCAGAGGTTGCCTAAGGCTTCTTCCACCTCTAACACCCTGGGCGTTCTATGATGTTCCAACAGGTGTCGGATCAGTAAACACACCATTAGGCTGGGAATGTAAGTTTCAACCCAGGTGCGGCCTCCTAGCGTGTTTCTTGTTGCAGAACATTTCTCAGGTGTTCAATGCATGCCTGGAATTTTGGGCACAAGTGACTCTGTACACATGATAAAGTCATAGTTGTATCCATCTTCCTGACTCAGCTGTGCTCCATAAATGCCATTTACAATGATTATAAGAAAACTACTCAGACTTAAGTTATGAGAACTGTATAAGAGGATTATTCTGCATCTTGCTTTGAGTATCTCTAGAAAAAAAGAGACAATCTCCCAGAAGAAAATATCACAAAGACCATGATTTCTATGGTAGGAGTATTGAGTTTATTAGAAAGCAGACAACATGATATAGGAGTTAGACTGGAGTCCTAGGAAAAGTATTTCTCATCTGTGGTTGGTCTGAAAAGGTGTCTTCAATGCATAGTGTGAGCTAGTATGAAGAGATGAGAAATGGGCTTCTCAAGGAAACGTGTATTGCTCTGCGGTGAAGCCCTGAGGGGCAGCGGGATGGACCTGGCCATCTTCTGAGGGGCCCTTCGTGATAACGGGCTGCTCAGCAGGAGGAGGTCCTGCAGGTGGTGCTGCAAGGGGTCGGCTGGCCGCAGGGGGACTGCACAGACACAGGCTGGCAGCAGGTGGTGGCTCAGCAGGAGGAGGTCCTGCAGGTGGTGCTGCAAGGGGTCGGCTGGCCGCAGGGGGACTGCACAGACACAGGCTGGCAGCAGGTGGTGGCCCAGCAGCAGGGCCTGCACACCACAGCCGTGCACGACGAGGGGCAGCAGGTGATGGGGCGGCAGCAGCCTTCCTGCAGGGAGCAGGGGTCGCAGCACACCGGGCGGCGGCAGGGCTCGCAGATGGGGCGCGTGCAGCGGGGCACGCAGGTCACGGGGCGGCACACGGTGGTCTGGCAGGTCACGGGGCGGCAGCAGCAGGGGTCGCGGCAGCAGCAGGGCTGGCAGCAGCCTCCCCCGTAGCTCAGGGAGGAGAAGGTGGAGCCGCAGCAGGAGCCGGTCATGGTGGTGTCTGAGGCTGGTGTGGGTTGGGCTGTGGAGAGGAGCTGGATGTTCTCAGGTGTGAATGTCCTCCTCCCCCTCTGGGCCCTTTATATACGCTGGCTGGGAGCTGATGACCCCCAGGACACAAGGTCATTTCCTTGTTTTCACTTATTCTTCCTGAAATAACACCAGCAGATTAGTAAGTTTTGTAGACATTGTTTAGATGCTCAGGTACACATAAAAGTCTATTTTCCTTATTTAGTGTAGACCCATTATATTTTGCTATTTATGGTTCAAATATGAATTTAATGACCCTAACTTCAAAGTCTCCAATTATCGTTATAATTCAATGACGCTTTTGCTAGTTGCTGTTTTGATAGCTCAAAGCAGCTGTTGTGCTCTGCATGCTCTGAGGGTTATTACTTGCTAGCAGTTGAAGTAAAGCGAGCATCTCAAGTTGTTAGTATTCTTTGCCACTGCTAAGCTTCCTGGGCAAAACAAGTTGAGGATAATACTACAGGGATAGTTTAAAAGTCAGGATTTCTCAGTAAAAGAAGAATTTTCCTGTCCCCTTTTTGGAGGTACAAGAATGCATTTTAGTAGGTTTCCATCATCCAGTGGTTTTTGTCTTAGAGATATGTTCATTGATTTCTATGGTTGTATCTTTCCAGACCAAGGTAAATTTCACTGTAATCTTCATGATAGCCAGTATCATTAAGTTGTAACTATGTTCCAAGCATCATATTAAAAAATACATGCATTAATCTAATCTTCATAACATTCTTAGGATGTGGATATTGTTTATTTCTCATTTCACACATAAGGAACCAGATAAGTGACTTACCCAAGGTCATGTACCTAGTAAGTGTTGGAGCCAATACTCATTCCAGAAATATCTGTGGGAACATTATTTATCAGCCCAAAAAGCTGAAGAACTCACTGTAGCTAAAGAATGGATTGTAGGTACCACATTCCCAGGTATTAAGGAATGTCTATTTTATTTAGGAGCTTTTACAGTGTATTTACTTTGAAAACAGTTGTTATTTATGATATGTCTAATTTTTAGAGTCGGTTGAAAGGACTCTATGTCTTACCAACAGCCTCAGGAGTGGGAAGAATTACCTTCTATTCAGCCTTCTGAAAATGTCGAAACATACCCTAAGGAGATAGTGTCATAGTTGGGCATAACTGAATGATTATGGGGTATTGTGAACAAAGCCACCAATATGGTGAGGAAGTCAAACAAGTCTATGTAGAGGAAGGTTGCAGTCTTGCGGTATAACAAAACCCTTCAGTAGTGATCCCACTTGAACGTGTTCTCGGGCCTCATCTGGCCCATACCTCAGTGTCTTCAACATCTCCCTGTGTGCTATGCTGGGGCTCATTTCTGCTTATGGAACCAATTGTCATTTTTAATTGTTTCAAACTGTCATGACTTGTAGGCAAATTATGTCACTCAATCACTTTTGAGTCTTTGCCTCTTAATTTACTTGGTTCTGACCTTTTCCTTTACAACTAAGACTGTTCTATTAGGTTGGTGCAAAAAGTAATTGTGGTTTTTGGCACTTTCAATGGCAGAAGCTACAATTATTTTTGCACCAGCCTAATAGATCTGAAGTTGAAGGTTCAAGTGTAAGCATTCTTATTGATCACACCACTTGCATGGTTTCTTATAGGCTTACCCAGATCTGCACCAGCCACTTCAGCCAACCAGAGAATGGGGTGACTGTGGGAATAAATGAGATCCAATAATAATGATAGGTTTGAGGGGAAACAAGGCATTGTCCATTTGAGAAAACACTTTTAAATAAGGAGGTCTCTAGAAGGCTAACAAGAAAAACTCTGAGAGGAGAAAAACAGATGTACTTAACGAATTTTGAAAACAGTGATCAAGAATATATAGAAAGAAATTAGACTTGTGAGCCTATCCATTGGTTAATTACCAAACCGTTAAAAAAGATAAAACTCCATTGTGCACGTACTGCAAATGTAAAGTTTTTGAATATAACAGTCTTCTTGTTGAGAAACTTTTACCATATTTCCAGAAAAAAGATCTTTCTTCATGATTGGTTTATTGTTTTATTTTAAGAATATGCATATCCAGCATGAGTTGAGAGTTGGGATGGAATGATAATGTCTTTCTCTGTTTTAACCAATCCCCTTAGAACTTACTCATTTATCATTCAACACATCATTTCTGATTATACTCAATGTGCCAAATATCGTGCAGATCAGTGGGAATCTAGTAGTGAACAAAGTTAGTCGAGATCCTGGCCCTCAATGTAAATTAGCTCAGCCATTGTGGAAAGCAGTTTGGCAATTTCTGAAAGTATTTAAAACAGAATTACCATTCAACCCAGCAATCCCATTAGTGGGTATGGACCCAGAGGGATTGAAATCATTCTACCATAAAGACATATACATGCATATGTTTATTGCAGCACTGTTCAAAGTAGCAAAGATATGGAATCAACCTAAATACCCATCAAGGGTGGACTGGATAAAGAAAATGTGGTACACATACACCATGGAATACTATACAGCCATAAAAAAGGAAATTATGTCCTTTGTAGCAATGTGGATGAAGCTGGAGGCCATTATCCTAAGCAAACTAACACAGATACAGAAAACCAAATACGGCATGTTCTCACTTATAAGTGGTAGCTAAACATTGAGTACATATGGACACAAATAAGGGAACAACAGATACTGAAGCTTACTTGAGGGCAGATGGTGGGAAGAGGGTGAGGATAAAAAAACCATCTATCTGTTACTATGCTTTTGTTTAATTAAATTAATTAATTAATTAAGTTTTGAGACAGAGTCTCACTCTGTCACCCAGGCAGGAGTGCAGTGGCGCAACCTTGTCTCACCAAAGCCTCTGCCTCCCAGGTTCAAGCGATTCTCCTGATTCAGCCTCCTGAGTAGCTTGGATTACAGGCGCATGCCACCATGCCCAGCTACTTTTTGTATTTTTAGTAGAGACAGGGTTTCACCATGTTGGCCAGGATGGTCTTGAATTCCTGGCCTCAAGTGACCTACCCATCTCAGCCTCCCAAAGTGCTGGGATTTCAGGCTTGAGCCACTGCACCTGGCCATCTGTTACTATGCTTATTACCTGGGTGATGAAATAATCTGTATACCAAAACCCTGTGACACACAATTTACCTATATAACAAACGTGCACATGTACCCCTGAACTTGAAATAAATTTAAATTAAAAAGACTAAAGACCCCTGCCCTCACAAAGCTTCCCTTGCCTCACTTCTCTCAATGGGCAGGTAGATATGCCCAGGAATACATGCTGAACAATCAAAGAAATCTCTTTTCTATCACATGCTAGGAACTAAAAAGATATTTATCAGGAAAATGATAGTGGTTAGCCTTCCTTACCAACATACAAGTATTTAACAAAATCAAAAATATATGCAGTATGGATTAATGTTATCAGCATTTCAACCGCATTGCAGTTGTTTAAATGGTTAAGATGTATGCGGAGCTCAAAACTAGGATGATTACAACCAAGGCTTCATTTCTCCCTGTCTTCTCAGCAGCAGCCACTCCACTGGAAGTAGAACTGGCCATGGTGGTGCTGACGGGAACCATGGAGAAGATGGGATAGTGGTTCCTCCAGCATAGGATGTTCAGTGGCTAGGGATTCCCAGGTCTTGTTTGACATCAATTACCGTACAGTTTCCTACATTGGTGAACAAATAGGGCTATAACTTAGCTTAGACTTCCTCCCCCTTATCATGTGTGTGAATTATTCATAAGTCAAGTTTATGTTTACAGAGACCTACTGTAGTCTCACCATTTCGTCAGCATCACCATAAAACCTGCGACTCGAAATATGAAGGTGAATCATGAGATGATCAGATTTATTTGAAATGCTATTAAAATTATAGACCTTCCACCTGAGTTGTTCCTATTCTAAAGCTCAAAAATGGCCCTTAGAAAATCTCTCCTTTCGTTCTTCTGGTTCTGCATGCTGTAATGTAAGCTAAATATGAGCTTTTGAAGAGCAATAAACAATAAATAAAAAGAAATGTTTGCTTCCCCAGAAATATAATTTTATTTTTTTTTACAGTGCAAAAATACAGCATACAAATAGTATTATCCTGGAAGAAAAAAATCTCATCTGAGAACCTTGAAACAGTAGAAAAAAGGGTGATGAGTCAGTGGGACAGAGTTCTATTCAAGAGGAGCTTTGATTTTTATTTACTCGTTTTTTTTTTCAAGCCAGGAATTCGAATGATGAAAGCTGGAATTTTTCTCAAGATTGTCAGAGAGGGCCAGGATTAGCTGCATAATTATGTGGGGAAATAGATAGGATGTTATTGTTGAATTCGTGCTTGAGGATCAGCTAGGCTGCAAAGGTGGAGTCTCTCATCTGATCCAGAAGGGGTAGAAGAGTCTGCACAAGCTTCTGTGCACCTGGGAATGTTTCGTGCGTTGAGAGGAGAGGTGGGGTCTCAGCAGGAGGAGGTCCTGCAGGTGGTGCTGCAAGGGGTCGGCTGGCCGCAGGGAGGCCGGCAGCAGGGGGACTGCACAGACACAGGCTGGCAGCAGGTGGTGGCCCAGCAGCAGGGCCTGCACACCACAGCCGTGCACGACGAGGGGCAGCAGGTGATGGGGCGGCAGCAGCCTTCCTGCAGGGAGCAGGGGTCGCAGCACACCGGGCGGCGGCAGGGCTCGCAGATGGGGCGCGTGCAGCGGGGCACGCAGGTCACGGGGCGGCACACGGTGGTCTGGCAGGTCACGGGGCGGCAGCAGCAGGGGTCGCGGCAGCAGCAGGGCTGGCAGCAGCCTCCCCCGTAGCTCAGGGAGGACAAGGTGGAGCCGCAGCAGGAGCCGGTCATGGTGGTGTCTGAGGCTGGTGTGGGTTGGGCTGTTGAGAGGAGCTGGATGTTCTCAGGTGTGAATGTCCTCGTTCCACTCTGGGCCCTTTATATATCCTAGCTGGATGCTGATGACCCCCAGGACATGAGGTCATTTCCTGGAGTTGTAGCTGCCCGTTGAAATGAGAACTCTGGATTTAACTGCTGAGGCAGCGATCCCTAAATCACTAAAGAATGCTTTGTTTTCTACCTGTCTACTTTTTCCCTAGAACGGAATACCTGGTCATGTATATCATCAGAACAATTGCTCATCTATCAGCTAGTCCTTCCAGGCCATGCCATGTGAGAAGGTGCAAGTTTGAAGAATCCAGCCACCATCACACTTTCCTCTTGTTCGCTGCCATCCGTGACTTAAGCATGGGACTGGAATGTTCATGAGTCACAGGCTGGGTTTCTGATTGGCATTGAGATCAAGCAAGAATTTCTTAAAAACCAAAATGGCTCATAAGAGCAGATGTGTATTGATTCTGCTATGGAAAGAATGGCCCAGTGTTTAATGACACAGTGCCTAACCTTGTTTATAAGAAAATCATCACCAAAGCTGCTAGACTGATTTTATTTTAGTAATCTGAGTTGGTTTATAACTCATTAACACTTATGAGACACTTATTATGTAGATGGTACTGTACTATTTGGGGGTGGAGGGGGAAAGGAAAGAAAAATAGCTTTCAAATAGTTTCCTATCACATAGTAATCATAACTTTTAGTAAGGCAAGACAAAGATAAATCAAGCAATTAAAGGGAAAGAACTTTTCTGGGAACAATAAGGTCAAACTAAATGGGGATTTCATTCATTCTGTGCCTTTCTGAATGCCCTTCCCTGATTATTGACCTAGAAATAAAATTGAAATTGGGCTATTTCTTGCTTTCTTGCTTTGACATATGCACTTTGTATTACATACTTAAAAATCTATGGACAATATCTACAAAGGAATCAATTATCTTTCTGTCACAGCTTCTTTAGTTTGTTGGCTGAGGGTTTTGTTTGTTTATGAGGTGGGAAGGTGGCATTATGAAAAAGACAAGGGGAATTAGTTTAGCTGGTGACCAATAAAATAGCTTTGTCTTTTCCAGCCATAGCAAAGATGAATAGGAATACAGAAAATAAATTTAGAGTTGGAAGGTAGATTAAAGATAACATTGTCCAAGGAATGCTGATGGTCTTCAGTGCAAATTTACCTCTGAGGTGTGTTTTGTTTTGTTTTCTCTTTTTAAAAATACACCCTTTGGTCTATCATATCCCTGATCTTTGAAGTCCTTTGAGTCTATGATCCATCATAGTCCATCACAGTTTTTGGAAGACCAGATTTACAAAATGAATTCCTCCAAAGTCGTACGGATCAAAGAGTGGCAAATATTTAGCAATACCACAGGTCTTCTGTGGAGTAGAAACACTGGTGATGTCTCCCAGTCTTTTTCCAACTCGGAGTCACTCAAAATAGATAACATGTAGCAGTAGTTATTAAAAAGTTTTATTCCCTTTAGTGAAATAAAATAAGTACTCACTTGATACATGGTTTAGCATTCTGTTCTTTGTTTTGGAATGTATACAGAGATGCCAAACTAAAAAGAGAAATATGTCTGTAAATCCACTGCTTTTGTTAACAAAAGAACACAGTACTAAGAAATACTGTTTTCTAAAATTATAGGCTGTTAGAAACCTTGCTCTTCCAAGCCACATCAGTAAGAAGGAAACATTTCACTCTTGCCTAGACAGGATCTAAGTCATCTGGACAGAGAAGCAACCTCAGTACCCAACCCAGGTACAGAATTTCAGACAAGTGACTTGCAGACACAACATTCCCCATTTGTCTCAACTATACAGTTTCCAGTGAAAGAGGACCATAAGTCTGTTTCACAGCTCAGGTCTGGTGTTAATTATTTTTTATACACAGCCCTGTTTTTCTTGAGCCTATGAAAACACTATGTCACGTAATTTTACCCCACCATTCCTCAACATTTTATAATAACATTTCTCCTCCTTTGTTTGGGAGGATGCCCCATGGTCCTCAGCCATGTGGTCTCCCTTGCTGTAGCACATTAATAGTCCTAAGCTATTGGACAAGAGATGTATCCCTGGTCTTTACCACATGGACTTTTTTAGTCATGTTATTCAAGTTCCACACATTCTTCAAGTGCATAATCACCAGGATGGAAACAAGTAAATCTGAAGCACAGTGAAAATAACTTGTGAGATTTTTGTAGTTGGATAGATAAAGAATGTAGTGTTGGTGACCTCTTGTGATGGTGGGCCATGCCCTCTTCTTAATAGTTTTATGAATTATATTTTGTTAGGAACTAGTCTGGAAGCCACTAGATGTTAGGAAAATTATTAAAATTCTAAAATTAGAAAATACATTCCTTAAGGACTTCGTTCTCAGAAATAATCTTAAAAATATCCTCCAATCATAAGAGTCAGGGATGGGATGGGGAATATTGACGGGCACAGGGCAGGAGGAAAATGGAGAAGATAAAGAAGGATTCCAGTCCTTTCTCCACCTCTTTGCAGTTGTCTAACTTAGAGTAAATGACTTACCCTTAGCCAGGTTTCCTCATCTGTAAAATGGGCAGAGTCTTCGGTGCCTGGTGTTCTTCAGAGGCTGGCTTATCATAAAATCCATACAAACATGGAAGACAGAGAAAGGGATATAATTAATTAGATATAATTAGAAAAGAAAAGAGTTTAGTTGTGAGAGACAGAAAAACTAAATGATCAGGGGACTGGTGGAATTTGTTGCTAGAATTTTTTTAAAAATTTCATCTGAGTTTTTTAGATATTCATTTGCCTAAAGTCAGGGAAGGCAAAGTAATCTTTTGAGGTCTATTACAGCTTTGAGTTGTTTAATTCCCTTGGAAGGTTCAATGTGAAAGAAAGAGTCGAACCATCAGATACTTACATGTTGCTCAATCCTTCTTTTACCTGATGCTGCACTCCTATTCATAAATCCTATAATCTAGGACTCATTCCTGTGGACTTGTAGAATGAATTTTTAAAGATTATTTTCATTCTGAGACAGCCTTAATCTGATGCCAAGTTGTTGTGGGTTTTTTTTTTTGCCTTCTTCATTATATTTATTAGAAAATCTATTCCTACTGGTAGATGTAGACTATCCTGAAAAAAAATTACAATTTAAGTTTGGTTAGTAAAGCCCTCCCCTGAATTTGTTCCCATTCCCAGTGAGTTGATATGTAGTAGATAGCACATCTTTTGAGCCTGTTCGATACAGTGATGTCCAAATGCTCCACAAGGAATATAAATGAATGTTACTGGGCATTTAACTATGTGCCAGGCATCTTGCATACATAAAAAGTTATAATTGTTATTTAACTTCCCTAGCAATCTACATTGGTAAATGTTGCTTTTCCCATTTTGCGGATGAGAAAACTCGAGAGTCAGAGAGGTTAAGTTACACTAATGCCAAAATTTTTTCTTTAAATAATTATCTACCTTTTAAAATTCTTGTGGTAAAGACAATTTCCTTTTATTTTGACAACTAAACAAACAGAAATTAAGTACCGGCTACGTATTAAACTTTGAGCTCAGTATTGGAAGCCAAAAACAAACTGTGGTCCCCTCCTTGGAGGCAAAAAAACATATAATCTCAATACAATGCCTTATGGGGAGGGAGGTAAGCTATTGGAACTTGCTGAGAGCTCCTAACCTGTATGTGTGTGTGTGTGTGTGTGTGTGTGTGTATGCATTTGCACATGTGTTTGTGTGATACAGGGGTTGGGACAGGACTACTGGAGAAGACTGAATTGAATCTTGGAAATGAATCAGAGTTAAGTAGGTGATGAAGGTGAAGAGAAAGAGTGTGTAAAAGAACAGATAAGTGAAAGAACATGAGGAAAAGCGAAACATTTGGAACTGCAAATGTTTAATAACTATAAGGTCAGTGTTGCTTGAAGTGAATCTTAGTGGGGAGCAGTGAGACATGGATCTATAGAGATGGGCAAAGGACAGGCAGCAGACCACCTGATGTGCACACACTTCCTAGCCACATGGGTAATCTGAGGACTGGCCTAGCTCTCCTGTAACATCTTCAAATACCAAATACTTGTACCAGGAATCCTAGTGCCTGTCTCTGTTCCTCTTCTGTCTTTCTCATCATCTCCATCATCTTCCTCTTCACTCTTCCTCCTATTCATTGCCTTGCCTCCCCTCTTCACTTTTTATTCATCCCTTATCTCTTACTTTTTGTCTCTCTTTTTTTGTTGTCATTTTATTCCACCTATGACAAACTCAAGATACTGTTTTTTTGCACATTCATTTACATTCACTTCTCTGCCAAACCGATTCTTCTGATTACAGTTTAGCAGGTGCTGTTTCATACTTATTATTATATTACATTTTTTTCTTCACTTTGGGTGTCTTCATTGTGGCTTGTCCTTGTGACTATTCTTGGAAGGCTTCCAGGCCATGCTTGTTAAGCCCTCAAGGAGCTCAAATCCTGGTCTTCCTCTGAAATAATGGTCCTGAAATTCTAATGAATTACATGGAAGTGATAGAAAATAAACAGCCTTGGGCCCCACTCCCAGAGATTTTGATTCATTAGGTTTGGTTTGGGGCCTAAGAATGTGCATTTTAATAGGCAATTGCAAGAGATTCTATTGTGTATGACGCATGGGCCACACTTTGAAAAATGCTACTCTAGGAACTGTGGTAAGAAGATGAGATGCGCTGTGCTGGTCAGTTTACTACCAGTGGTCATTCTGGGCTTGGCATATGCTATTCCCACTTCTACCCCTCTTCATGAACATTGTCTTTCCTTTTGTCTATTCCATTAGACCATAAGCTTCTTGGATACAAGGCATGTAGCTTGTTCATCACTAATCAGGCAGCACCTGTCAACTGGAGGTCCCTTGATAAACAATTCCTGAATGACTGAATAGATGAGATTTCTATGGATAAGGTTTTGCTTAGGTTGAGCTTTGTTTCCCTTGTGCAGGTTCCAAAATCTTGCTTATCTGTGTACGCTAATAAACATGCACTAACGAACAAATCAGGGAGCAGGGCAGTCTGCTATGCCAGGAAAAATTAGTTTATTGACAACAGTGAGCAACACATTGCAAAAGATGATGGTGACAGTTTGAGCAGTAAAAACCATCAGGTTGTAGAATGTGTTTGCAAAGTCCACCCCAGGAATTCTTAAAGGTCGATTTACTATCCATAATGACTAAGGCTGATGTAGACACCTGAAAATGTGGGTGAGGGTGGTAATGGACGTCTGCTTACACCAGGCTGTATCCAGATGGTAAAAATCACTATTGTCACCTTGTGAAAAAAAATCTATTTTTCTTTTAACTTTTTAAAAACACCAGATAGATGTTTAGGCTTCAGTGTATTGCTCTGTGGGGGCATTGGGGTCTCAGCAGGAGGAGGTCCTGCAGGTGGTGCTGCAAGGGGTCGGCTGGCCGCAGGGGGGCCGGCAGCAGGGGGACTGCACAGACACAGGCTGGCAGCAGGTGGTGGCCCAGCAGCAGGGCCTGCACACCACAGCCGTGCACGACGAGGGGCAGCAGGTGATGGGGCGGCAGCAGCCTTCCTGCAGGGAGCAGGGGTCGCAGCACACCGGGCGGCGGCAGGGCTCGCAGATGGGGCGCGTGCAGCGGGGCACGCAGGTCACGGGGCGGCACACGGTGGTCTGGCAGGTCACGGGGCGGCAGCAGCAGGGGTCGCGGCAGCAGCAGGGCTGGCAGCAGCCTCCCCCGTAGCTCAGGGAGGACAAGGTGGAGCCGCAGCAGGAGCCGGTCATGGTGGTGTCTGAGGCTGGTGTGGGTTGGGCTATTGAGAGGAGCTGGATGTTCTCAGGTGTGAATGTCCTCCTCCCCCTCTGGGCCCTTTATATACCCTGGCTGGGAGCTGATGACCCTTCAACATATGATCATTTTCTTGTGCATCTTCTGGCCAATTAAGTGAAGATTTAGCATTGACTAATGGTATTTTGGTCACTCTTCACCTCATACATATTCATGTACATACACCACAAATATTCGCTCATTTTCTTGTATTGTTTATCCTCACTAAATTTAGACATTGGATTCACTTCTGATTAATTTTCCTTTGAAATATTCCTAACCCATAAGAGAGAAAAGAATGTGTTTTCTAAATTAGTGTCTAATCGCTCTGCCCTTTGGCGCTAAAATTAGCATGTTCTTCCTTGTCTTCAAAGGCTCCCATCACCGGCACCCAAGCAGTGACTTGCCTTATTAATGCACATGGGCATGATGGTAGCAGGTTAATTGCATCATCCTAGTGCAGACCAGTAGTCATCTGCTTCACAGATAGCTCCTTCCATGACTCACTTAAAGATAGGCTTGTGGTTTTTCATATGAGCAGGGACCACACGAAATGCAGATCCCTGGCCACTGGTGTGGTCACTCTCCCCTGACTAGGACCTGGGCTTTCCTGCCTTGGTTTTGATGTGTCATCATTCACCTGGAATGCCCTCCTCATCCTTCCAATCCAAACTCAACTTCTACCTTGATTGTAAAACCCTCTTCAAGGATCCATTGCAATTATTATATTTGTAATTTGTTTGGAATTAGTCGTTGCATCTGTAGAGTCCGGGAAGGGATTGCGGAGAATATGTAGGCCTATGCCCTCACTCTACAGCTGAGGTCCTGAGAGTGTACCAAGGTCACACAATGAGGTCACCATATGAGGTCTGAGATCCAGGTCTCCTCAGTCTGCAGTAAGTAGCCTCTACTATGAGTTTTATGCTCATTGGATTCAGTAAACCATGGTCTTTAGACAGGAAAGAAAACATATATTAAAGTAGAAGCCCAGACTTCATGCCACTATGCAATATATCCATGTAACAATGCTGCATTTGAACCTCTTACATTTATACATATTAAACACAGATTTAAAAAAATAAGTAATGAACTTTCCTTTCAGCAGCAAGGTTAGAAGTGGTACTGGAAGAGAATTAGGGAAATGTTTTGCCCAGATGACACATTGTCATCCTGGACCCCCATTGACTCCACTAAGTATGACAATGTGTCTGAGAGCTAGAGAAGGGACCTGGAGAAAGCTAACATGATGCAGGGTTTATTAGTGGAACTTACATACAAGGGTGGTCCAGTGGTGGTATCTGGACAGGAGAACTGCTATTATTTGTAAAAAGCATGCAGTTCACACAGTATTTTCATTAGAACCCTCCACCTAACAACCTCCATTTAATCCAAAACAAAGGGCCTCAATCCCCAGTATGACCTGTGTTCTAATGGATGAGGTGGGGATTCAAATGTCCTTCATAGATAAGGAGTGGATCTCCAAGTTGGCCACTCCCAGATCCTTAGCTCAGAACTCCAAGCATACATTCTTCTTTGATTGTAGGATCATTCTCAGGGTATGCTTAAGTTAAGTTATTGCTGCCAGATGTGTCTGCCATACCCTCCACCTCAGCATACCCTTGAATAGCCCTTACATTCTAATCACACCATTCTTCTGAGATTTCCCTGGGGCTAGGATATGCAGAGGAGCATTGCAACCAGATGTTTCAGCAGCAACATAAACTACTACAACAAAAAAGAATAATGAATGTAACAACAATTGTACTGTATAGAAAGTTTTTCCAAGCACTCAGGAGTTGATTAAACCATGTGGTTACAGGGTCATAAGATAGAGATTCTATAGCAGAAATCTGGGTATCTAGGGCCCACATGGCCTGTGTTACATTGTGAGAGTAATCAGGGATATATACACAAAATTCAGTTTTAATTAATGCACAGGTTCTGCCCTGATAAGCGGTTAAGATGTCCTGGGCCATGCAATTTTGCAAAGTAACACACCTAATTTGGGCAGTTTCTTCAGTGAGAAGAGTAATATCATGGCAGATATCATTAAAGACTGCAGCCCTATGTTAAGCCAGGGCCTCAACTTGCAGCTGTATGTCTATTGTCACCACTTGGGTGGTGAGTGGTGGGGGGAGTGGCGGGGGGGACATGGCAAAAGTGGCCAACGGGTAAAACCACTGGGATGCATGCTTCCAGCAGTGCCTGGCTTTTACAATTTCCCAGTTAGTAAGAATGGTGTCTAAACTGGGCACGATGTATCCCAGCAAATGAGGATGTCCCCAGGTGCATCTACCAGTCCAGTTATAGGGTAAGTAAGGCCAACTGTGGATGCCGCATGCCCACAGCCATCCTAAGGGGTGTGGTAGGCCCCCAGGTGGAGAGTCACTCTGTCGTCGCAGTCAAGTATCACTGGTTACCTGAAGAGATTGGTTTCATTGCTGTCATATTCCATGTCTATTACCTGAAGAAATAGATTACATTACACTGTGGGGGTAGCCATCCCATACTACTGGTTTTAGCTTGTGGCATGCTATTATCATGCCTTTTAATACATGTGGGTGCACAGCCCACAAGCTGTATCTATACTGCTGTTGTCCACCCTGGCCCATCATCTACAGAATACCCCACAGTGGGGGTGACATTAACCTGCTCCTATACTAGGTGGAAAATATGTTGTCTCATCTCTGATGGTGGGAAACTTATCACATGAAGTGTGGTTATTGCTAAAGGGAAATGGGTGAGGGTCATTATACCAAGTATAGAAATGGCTCCAGATACTGAGGTTAGCTGCTTGGATGCACCATGGCAGGCTGATGCTGGAGGAGAAGGGCAGCTCCCTGCAGATGCAACAGTCTGTTTTGTTTTGGGGAAAGGTCGCCATTTGCACCCAGTTGGTGAAGAGGTACACCACCTATGGGTGACAGGTGAGATACCTAGTGGGTAGAAGAATGGGCAAGTTGGCCGGGCACAGTGGCTCACGTCTGTAATCCCAACACTTTTGGAGGCCAAGGCGTGTGGAACACCTGAGGTCTGGAGTTAGAGACCAGCTGACCAACATGGTGAAACCCTGTCTCTACTAAAAATACAAAAAAATCAGGCAGGCGTGGTGGTGCATGCCTGTAATCCCAGCTACTTGGGAGGCTGAGGCAGGAGAATCTCTTGAACCCAGGAGGCAGAGATTGCAGTGAGCTGAGATCATGCCACTGCACTCTAGCCTGGGCAACAAGAGCAAAACTCCATCTCCAAAAAAAAAAAAAAAAAGAAGAAAGGGCAAGTCAGGCCATCTAACAAGACAGGAAGTTGTGTCGTTCTGAGAGATCACCACCCCCAGCAGCAACCTGTGCCTGGTTTGCAATACCACATGGATTGCCCACTTCTGCAACACGTTGCAGCCACAGTAAGACAGTGTGGATATTGTAATGTCCCATAATGACAGGATGATCACTCCCTTGCACAAGTGGGGACTAGGATTGATTATTTTAGAAGTACAAGGAGGAATAGGATGTAAAATAGGTGTGATCTGTATATCATTTTCTACGCCCTTGCCCCATGGAGTGAAAAAACTGTACCAACTGGGGCTGGTTTGTGATTTCCGGGCACATGTAATGATGTGCTCTCCAGTGGGTAGGTCCTATGGCAAGGGCATAGCCCCAGGTTGAGTCCCAGGTTGAGGCAAAGGAGGGGGGTACCATCCCTTACACTGTCAACCTGGATCGTGATGGTGGTATCAGGTCCTTGAGCCAGAAGAGTGTGTGCACTGGGGAGATGAGAGCACACCTGTTAATTCAGGGATATCTTGGGCCTGCACGGCCTGAGTTACATTGTGAGAGTAATCAGGGATATATATACACAACATTCAGTTTTAATTAATGCAGAAGATCCACACTAAGCGTCCAGGGCATGTGATTTTGCAAAGTGATACATCTAATTTGGATAGTTTCATTCAGGGCGCAGATGGGTGCTGGTAAGCAGTGTGTCCACAGAGCCAGAGAGGGCGTCTCCTGCCAGAGTTGTTTCTTCAATGGTTGTTTCATCCATTCAATCAGCCCCGCTGCTATAGGGTTGTATGGCAGGTAGAAATGCCAATGGATATCCAGGGCCTCCACCGATTCCTGCACTTTGTATATGGTAAAGTGAGAGCCCTGGGCACTGTTGATATCAGTGGGGACGCCACAGGCCACATATAACTCCAGTCTTTTTATGGTGGTTTTCTGGGTAACATACTTGCTGGGATACACCTACAGTAGCCCCATGCAGGTGTCTGCACAAGTCAAGGCGTAGCGGAAGCCATCAGATAGGGGCAAAGGCCCTTGGGATTCTGGGACCTTGGCCTTCATCCTAGTATAAAGGGGCTGGCACCTGCCATTCCTCTGTGGGAGGGCAGCGGGCTGAGCCTGAGGCTCCTTTGTGAAGCACTCTTCCAGCTTGAGCTTCTGCCATAGCCTGACCAGAACAGCATTGAACTGTAGGCTCTTAGATAACAGTCTAGATTCAAATCCAAGCATGTCTAAATCGAAAGCTGTGTTTTCACAAATAGGCTTATGAAAATGAGATTCTCCTTTGAATTAATTTGAATAGGCTCACTTTGCACTATCCATTAATCCTCATTATATTGATAAAGCTAAAAATTTAACTAACTATCCCCTCCAGAAAATTTATCAAAATTTACCATAAAACCAACCCTGTCACAAATACTTGGCCACTGTTCTATTTTTATTTTCTTTGTAGAAAGCCATCTGTTCATCCTTGTGTATTGATTGGTGTATTAAGCTGGCTTCACATTGCTACCATGGTTGAATTAGACAGCTATTGCTGCATAGCAAGCAACCACAAACTCTCATAGCTTATTGTAACAAGTATTTATTTATTGGTCATATATTTGTAGGTTAGTTGGGGTTTGGTTGATTAAGGTTGGCCTTAGCTTCTGCCCACAGGTTGGTTTGGGACTTTCTTTTGAATGAGAGTTGTCATATTTAGCAAATAAAAATACAGGTTCCCCAGTTACATGTCAATTTCAGAAAAACAACAAATAATTTTATTACAATTATATCTGATTATGCATGGGTATACTTACATTTAAAAATTATTTGTTGTTTGTCTGGAATTCCATTTTAATGGAGTGTCCGGTATTTTAGGGGCCATCCTCCTCTGAGAACAAAGGCCCAAGGGAACAATCTCACATTTTGAGTCTTCGGGTCATGCCTTCTCATTGGTCAAAGCAACTCACATGGCAAAGTCCAAGTCAGAGGGTGGGAGAGGATACTTCTGGAGTTGGGTGGGAGGAGGGGGGAGAGTAAACATTAATAAGGAATAATCTAATCTACCAAAGTAGAGAATCAATTATTTTAATAATCTTTGTGTGAGGCTTGGAAAAGACTTCTAGAAGATCAAATTAGATTATGTCTATTTCATTAGAAATTCTATTTTGGGATGGGAGTGGTGGCTCATGCCTGTAATCCCAGCACTTTGGGAGGCCGAGGTGGGCTGATCATTTGAGGTCAGGAGTTCAACACCAGCCTGGCCAACATGGTTAAATCCTGTCTCTACTAAAGATACAAAAATTAGCTGGCCATGGTGGCAGGTGCCTGTAATCCCAGCTACTCAGGATAATAATCAAGTGACACAGCATATCCAAGAGCATTGCCTAGAAATCTATATTTATTAAAAACAAAACTGCCTGAGATGTTCTAGGAAGATGCCAAGAAGAGTCCAAGGCCATGACCTTCTCATCAACTCCTTGCTGGGTGCAATTCCATCCATAAGACTGTGGCCTAAATTCAAATATAACTGCGACTTTGTATTCTCAAGAAGATGAATCAGGAGTAGGGCTCTGTGAAGTATGGCATAAAGAGCCAAGCTTTTTTACAAGGCGGGAAAGACCAAAGACTTAGTGACTTGAAAGGATATCAGTATTTCCGGTGAATCTTGTGTGGGTCAAAGACCATTTATCTTGTTGCTTGGTGAGTGTGGCTACTTCCTTGAACCACATGGAGACACACTGTACAGGAAGAAGTGCCTCCTTCTGCTCGTCATCTGCGATTCTCATCTGACACCATGGTCAGCTTCTGTTGTAGCTCTGTCTGCTCTGAATAGAGCTGTGGCCAAGGCCTCTGCCAGACCTGCTGCTGCTGCAGTTGCTGCCAGACCACCTACTGCAGAACCATCTGCTACCATCCCAGCTGCTCTGTGTCCAGCTGTTGCAGGCCCCAGTGCTGCCAGTCCCTGTGCTGCCCCAGCTGCTGCATTTCTAGCTGCTGCCACTCAAGCTGCAGTGTGTCCACCTGCTCCAGGCCCAGCTGTTATAATCCCCAGTACTACCAGCCCTCCTGCTGCCACCCTTCTGCTGCACTTCTAGCTGCTGCCACCCTGGCTGCTGTGTGTCCAGCTGCTGCTGTCCAGTCTGCTACCAGACCACCTGCTGTGGTCCAGTCTCCTATGAATCCTCTTGCTGTTGAACTTCATTCCTGACCACCAGCCCTGGTTCAACCACCTTGTTGTCAGTGTACCAGTCATTCTCATTCCCCTTCTCCACTGGACCTGGCCTTGCCCTGATCCACCACTACATTTATATAGCTCATTGTTCATTCCACCAAGCAACTATTTTAAAAGCAAAAATTTAAATGCATATCGTACAAAACCTCCAACTTCTATGCTTGGTGTGCAGTCAGATGACCAGATATCTCACACTATTTCATTGGAACAGGCTTCTAAGCTTACAATTGCCGAGTGTGGTCTGGACTTTGCAATGAATTACGTCTGGTAGAGTAACTATATCTCAATAAACACTCTCTTGGTATCAAAAACATTTGTGACCTTTCAGTATTTCTTACTGTTGATTATTTATTTGTAAAATGGTTTGAGTTCCTATTGTATGGGCAATAACAAAAAAATTGATATTATATGTATCAGCCAAAGCCTGTATTAGAGAAAATGCCAAATAATTCATTTTTTAATCCAAAACAGATTGCTCACTTTACCTGCCATCAAGTTTATTGAGACAAAACAAGAACTCAATTTTTACTGTAATTAAATTAAGAACAAATTAGCAAGCTATTGGGCTCTGGGAATTGCATAAAATGAATGAGACCCACTTCTTTTCCCTTAGGTAACTCACAACATAATCATGGATTTTTTTTTTTTTTTTTTTTTGAGATGGGGTTTCGCTCTTGTTTCCCAGGCTGGAGTGCAGTGGCATGATCTCAGCTCATGGCAACCTCTGCCTCTCGGGTTCAAGTGATTCTCTTGCCTCAGCCTCCCAAGTAGCTGGGATTACAGGCATGAACCACCATGCCCGGCTAATTTTGTATTTTTAGTAGAGACGGGGTTTCTTCATGTTCATCAGGCTGGTCTTGAACTCCTGAACTGAGGTGATCCACCTGCCTCGGCCTCCTAAAGTGCTGGTATTACAGGCGTGAGCCACCACACGTGGTCTGAAAGTTATTTTTCTTTCCTTTCCCTCTCCACTCAATTAATTCAATTAATCATGAATTTAATTTAAATGCATATGTCAGGGAGAGTATGTTGGTAATATTAGTGAGAAAAAGGACTCTATTCTATTGGAGAAAAGTAATACATACGTAAGGATTGATTCATAGAAATAAAATGTGTCAATTCTGAAAATTCAGGTTAACATGCACAGGTCTCAAACACGTAAGATTATGTGAAGGAGAATCAGATCACAGCCGAATATTTATATCTTTATGAAGGGTAGTCTTATTAAAAAGACATTTAAAAAATTATAGTCCTTTTAAGGAGGAGGGATATGTCAAGATTAATTCATGGTGAGTTCTATGGAAAAATAAGAGGCATAATTTTAGGCTGAAGCCATAGAGTCAGTGGGAAAATCAGCGAGCATGAGTGATGAAACACGTCATTATGGGAAAGAAAGTGATGGAAACCAAATTGGAATTGCAGTTGAGTTCTATTTTTGAGATGCTTCACTGACCCATTAATGATATTCATCCACTCATGCTCCATTAAAGCTCCAATTGCAGAGTTTGCATGCAGGTCTACCTATGAGACATGCAAAGGTTAGGGCTCACTCCACATGACCTGGATCAAGTCACCCAGCTACCTGTGTTTCCTTTATAACTTTGAGATTCCCTTTTGCATTGGGAGTTCAGTTCATATTGTATTTCCTGTGTCTTTTCAAGCCATTTCCTTCCATTTCAAAATGATATCAATCAAAATGATATCAGTAGGCTCAAGAGCTCTAGGCAAAACTTTTAGCTGAAGAGGAAAATAAAAAAGTAAAGTAAGCACAAAACTCAAAACAACATATTCAGAAATTGATATGGTAATGCGACGTGAGAATCGTATCTTTGGGCTCAGGCATCCCTCTTCAATTTATTCCAGGACCATAAATGGTCTATACAAGCTGTTTCTCGTTTCAGTATTGCTTAAGTACCTAGGCCTGAGAAATCTATCAGAGCCTCAAACTAGTAATGATGCCTATTCTGTCATATCTGCATATTGCAAAACTGTATTTGTTTTATTCATTTCTATGATCTCTTCTATGGCACATAAACATTTATAAATATGTTATCTTCATTTTTGAATTTTTTCCTTTTTTTAAAAGACAGGATCTGGCTCTGTCACCTAAGTTGGTGTGCAGTGGCACCATGTCAGCTCACTGCAAAATTCAACTCCACGGCTCAAGCCAACCTCCCCTAGCTACTTCAGCCTCCCAAGTAGCTAGGACCGCAGGCATGCACCACCATGTCTAGCTAATTTTTGTATTTTTTGTGGAGACAGGGTCTCACTATGTTGCCCAGGTTGGTCTTGAACTCCTGAGCTCAAGCAATCCACCCACCTCGGTCTCCCAAAGTGCTGGGATTACAGGTGCAAGCCACCACACCCACTTTATTACCAGAAAATATAGGTATTGTTACCCCATTTTTTAATTTGCCTACCACTTGTGTATTCTTTGCTATTTTTATCCCCTACCACTTTTAGAATATATTTGAATCTTTTTAAATTTTATCAGCTTCATCTCTCAGAACCATTATTTTATGCATGACATCTATACTGTAATGGAATTCTTTATTTTGACTTGTATTTCAGTCAATGGGAATATTTCTTAAAGGAATTTTAAAGGGAAGTTATATATCCCGAGTCCTTGAATCTATGAGGAAATCTTTCCATTGCCTTCACACATGACCAATAGCTTGTGTGGATCAAAATAACAGGGTCTGATTCTGTCACCTAAGCTGGAGTGTGGTGGCACCATTTCAGCTCACTGCAAGCTCCAACTCCTGGACTCAAGCCATCCTGCCACCTCAGCCTCCCAAGTAGCTGGGACCACAGGCATGCCACAATTTTTTTTGCCCTTCAATGCAGTTTAGGCGTGAATAAAATATTGGAAAATAAAATTAACCTTCAGGATTATTTAACATGCTTTGGAAACACAGAGAAAGAATCTCACCAACATCTGGAGCATGGGCACTAGTTTACTTCAGGAACACTTAAGGGGGAGTGTATATATGAGATACTAAGTCTAATTTTAACAGTTTAGTAATAGCAGGTCCTTAAAATGTCAGAAAATTAACTTTTATGTCCTCTTATCCTCTTTGAATCCATTATGATACACCAACTTTTAAAAGGTGTTAAAAAACAGAAACCCTCATCTTACTTTCTCAGGACAGGAGACAATAGCAGATAAGAAAGTGTAGCAAATTTGGGGCAAGAGCAATGGTGGTCAACTAAAGATAACAAAAGGAGCTACAATGTGAATGCATACAGAGAGAGTACCACAGAGTGTAAAGTTGGTTTTCCTTGAATCCTCAGAAAGGCTCAGAACCCGGAGTCACCAGGTAATACCCCTGAAGGCAGGGTAGGCAGCAGGATGCTTCGACCCCTGGATCCCTACCCCACCCTACAAAGTTGGTCATTAGGCCTCCCCCACTTCCAACCAGGAGAAACAAGGGTTATCTTCCAGAAAATTTAGTGACAGAGACTCCAGATTTGGGAATACTAAAGTGAACAAAAGTCAAGAATAGAACAGAAAACAGACTCATGCAGTGAAAATCTGAGTACTGTGCTCAGCATCCAGGACTGATGGCCATAAGCTTTCCAAGCAGGATATTGGAAGATTCTCCTCTAAAGAAACTAAACATATAAATCTTGACTTCTTTTTTGTGGATGAAGGGGAGGAGAGGTGAAGAGATCAATTAACAAGCCCTGCTGTCCACACAGAACTTTCAATTGGCTTTTTAGTGCCATGTTAACCAATATGCTTCAGACACTTGGGAAATGTCTCCAGCCTGACAATTCACACTAATTTAAAAAGAAAAAAAGAAAAAGGGGGAAAAACAAATTTGACAGGAATAGAAACTACAGGGAGCAGAATAGAACTAAAAAATTGTAAAACAAGAACTATTGTAAATAAAATACTCAAGAGAGCTAAGAGAAGAAATTCTGTTTGAAATAAAAACAAGATTCTAAGAAACAGGAGCAGTCAGAGAAGTTGAGTGAAAGCTTGAGAATTAAAATGTGATAGAAAAAATTAGAAAAACGTTCAGTAAAATGTTTGGAAGGTAAAGTAGAACAAGGAGTCAAATAATTTGTTCTCCTGTCTTGAAGATATGTAAAAAAATTTATAAAAAGAAGTGAAAGAAATGGACATTAAAGAAACTATAATAACACAGAGGATCAATTCAGGAGATCTACCACTCAATGAAGAAAAATTTTAGAAAGACAAATGAGAAAACATAAGGAGTCAGGTGTAATGGTTGCCTGTGCCTATAGTCCCAGTTACTTGGGAGGCTGAGGTGAGAGGGTCCCTTGGGCCCAGGGATTTGAAGCCAGCCTGGGCAACATAAAGAAGTCTTGTCTCAAAAGGAAAAAAGAAGACAGGAAGGGAAGGGAGAAAGAAAGAAAGAGAGAGAGAAAGAGAGAGAGAGAAAGAGAAAGAAAAGAAAGAAAGAAAGAAAAAGAAAGAAAGAAAGAAAGAAAGGAAGAAAGGAAGAAGGGAAGGAAGGAAGAAGGGAAGGAAGGAAGAGAAGGAAGGAAGAAGGGAAGGAAGGAAGAAGGGAAGGAAGGAAGAAGGGAAGGAAGGAGGGAGGAAGGAAGGAAAGAAGAGAGGGAGGAAGGAAAGGAGAGAAAGAAAGAGAAAGAGGAAGGAAGGAAAAGAAAGAAAGACAAGGAAGAAAAAGAAAGGAAGGAAGACAGGAAGAAAGGGAAATAGAGAAAGAGGAAGGGAGGGAGGGAAGGAAAGAAGAAGGAAGGAAGGAAATACAAGGGAGAAAACTATCAAAGAAATAGTATAAGAAAATTTCTTTCAGAAGGGAGCTCCAGATTAAAAGACCACCAGCGCTGAGAACAGTGAATGTAAGGCTTACATCAAGATACATCACTGTGAAATCTCAGAATATTAGGGATATGAAAATGGTACTGAAAGCGTCCAATGAGGAAAATAATATGTGGTTCCCATACCAAGGTTCAGGAGGCGAAATGGCATCACACTTTTCAACATCAACACCGGAAGCCAGAAGACAATGGGAAATGCCTTAAAATTTCTCAGTGGGATGTTTTTTAGCCTAGAATTCCATGCCTGGCCAAACTACCAAACAGAAACAAAGGAATAGTAACATTTTCAGATATGAAAAGCCCAAAAAAATCCTTATTGTCCGTGAACCCTTTCTAAAGTAACGTCTGGAGGATGTGCACCACCAACATGAAGAAGAAGTTGACAAAGAGGAGAACACAGATTCAGAAAACAGGAATTTCAAGTCGGAAAATCAGAATTGCATTCAAGATAAATCCAAAAATGGCAACCGTACAGCAAGCCTAGAAAGCAATCAGTGCAGAGGAGAACAGTAAGATGAAGATTTTGGAGGGAGAACTCTAGGAAAAAAGATCTTTCTAAATGGTGTGGTTACAGTACTATTTCTTGACTTTTAAAGTTTAGATATTATCTATTGGCCCACTGTTATGTGTGATGAGAATTTAGCTCTTACATCCCTCTCTATCCAACAGCCACCATTCTTCCTCTCCCTTTGTGTTCCAACTTCCCAATTGACCTGAGAATTCTAAATTACTGTCAAATGTAGTCTTTGAAAAGGTGCTCAACGTCACTAATCATCAGGGAAGTGATAATGAAAACCACAATAAGATATTACCTCATGCCTGTTAGGATGGCTGTTATCAAAAAGTCAAAAGATAAGTGTTGGCAAGGATGTGGTGTAAAGGGAACTCTTATACATTGTTGGTGGGAATGTAACTTGATGCAGCCATTATGGAAAACAGTATGGAGGCTCCTCAAAAAATTAAAAATAGAACTCACCTGTGAACCAGCAATTCCACTTCTGGATACATATCCAAAGTAAATAAAATCACTATCTTGAAGATATCTGCACTTGTATGTACATTGCAGCATTATTCACAGCTACTAAGATACAGAAATATCTATATGCCCATCCACAGATGAGTGGATAAAGAAAATGTATATAAATGTCATTATTCAAAATGCAATTCAGCCTTTAAAAGGAAGAAAATCCTGTCATTTATAACAACATGGATGAACCCAGAGGACATTAAGCTAAGTGAAATAAGCTAGACACACAAAGACCGATACTGCATGATCTGACTTATATGGTGGTTGCATGGGGTGGAATGAGGAAGAAACGGGTAGACGTTGGTCAAAGAGTATAAAGTTTCAGCTATCCAAAATCAGTAAGTTCTGGAAATTGAATGTATGGCAATGTGACTATAGTTAACAATACTGTATTGTACACTTGAAATTTGCTAGAACATAAGTATTTTCACCACAAAAAGAATAACTATGTGAGGTGATTGATATGTTAATTAGTTTGATTGTGGTCATCTATTTCACAATGTATATGTATATCAAAACATTATTTTGTACACCTTGAATATATGCAATTTTTACTTGTCAATTATATCTCCAAAGAGCTTTCAAAAAGCTAACAATAAATTCAACAATATGAAACACATGAGAAACATGCTGCCAGGATCTTAGAAGAGGGCAACTTAAGGGAGAGGTGGCTTGGGCAGAGAGCATCAGGAAAGGTTTGCTTGTGGAGGTAATAGCACCTAAGTCTTAAAGAACAAGTAGAATGGAGGTTCCTGCATAGTCTGTAGAACAGAATGAGAGAGTTCTCACCATTGTTGAATAGATAAGTGAATGATGATCTATAGCTGTATAGGACTCCTAATTTCCGATTATATCAAACCCAACAAAGACCTTCCAAAAGAACATTTCTGACCAATATAAAGCTCATCTGCGCACATGGACCTGCTATTGTGATCCCACCTGTGAGTCACACAGGGCTCTTCAAGGCCCTAAGCCAATCCCTACATGACCCTGTGAATATTCTGAACATTGAAGACTGTGGCATTAGTGATTCACTTTTGCTCTATTCTATTCTATTGGCATTATGTATTCCTAGGAGTATTGTGTGTTGGGGCAATAATTCATTACTTGACTAACATATTACCTGAAATTCTGATGATCAGGTTACATCATAGAAAAGAATTAGGACAATGTCCTGAATATCTCCTACGCTTCCTAAATTTCTTGCTATAATTGATCATCATACAACAAAATCTTATTAATTTGGGACATGTGCAGGCTAATTTTCCCTGGCCTGTACCGAGGGAAAATTGGCATCTTCCACAAAATTCATGGACAAATTGGGAAGGTAAATGTAATTACAGAAGATATATTTAACCTAGCGTGAATGTACTTTGTGCTAATTGCAAGTGAATCATATTATTCTGTACTTGAGCCTTGAACCTCATCACTTAGAAGCACTCTTTAGCTATGATGCTTAATTATGTTTAAATGTATTGGGAAGAAACTAAATGACATTATTATTTTATTTCATTTTTTAAGTTTTGAGGTACAAGTGTGACTTTGTTACATGCATAGATTGCATAATTAGCAAGTCAGAGCTTTTAGGCCATCATCACATGAGTAACATAAACTGTACCCATTAAGTAATTTCTCATTGTCAACCCCACTCTCACTCTCTAAGCTTTCTGAGTGTCCATGGTCTATCATTCTACTCTCTATGTCCATGCGCACACATTATGTAGCCCCCATGTGTGAGAATATGCGATATTTGTCTTTCTGTGTCTGATTTGTTTCATTTAAGATAATGATCTCCAGTTCCATCCATGTTGCTGCAAAATACATGATTTTATTATGATTTTATGGTGGAATAGCATTAAGTGACATTATTTTCTAAAGTCCAAGTCAACCAAATTAGTGTAGCCTGCACTTTGGGGCCATCATTAAGTAAAATGAGGGTTATTTGAAAGCAAGCACTGCATATCCTACAGTACTGCAACAGTCAGTCTGGTAACTGAGATAATTACTCGGGGATTAAAGGGTGGTCATGTATACAGTATGGACACAGGGAGGACATTTGTCCCAGGCAAGACAGAGCAGGATTGGTGATATTTCATCATACAACTCAGAATGGCATGCAATTTAAAACTTACAAATTGTTTATTTCTGGGATCTTCCATTAATACATTAGAACCGTGGTTGACCATAAGTAACTGAAACCGTGGAAAGTAAATCCACAGATAGGGAAGGAATACTGTAATGCTATGAAGAGAGCATTAAGGGTGATTCTGGTCAGGGCTCAGAAGAAAATAATAGCTGTAGGGAAAGTATGAATCTTCTTATAGGTTATTTAGGTGGTCGTGGCCAGAATGCTGAGAGAAATATGGACAATAGAGGCTATTCTGATGAGATCTCAGATGGAAATGAGGAACAAGAATTGGAAACTGGAGTAAAGGCCATCCTTGTTACAAAGTGGCAAAGGACTTGATTGAATTATGTTCATGTCTAAAGGCTTTATGGAAGGCAGAGTTAAAGAAAGAAGAACAAGTATATCGGGGGAAGAAATTTCCAAGAAAAATGTTGAAGGAGCTGATTGGTGTCTTTGAACTGCGTATAGTAAAATGCAAGAGGAAAGAAACGATTTAAAGGTGGAATTCGCAATTAAAAGGGAAACACAGAATATAGATGTAGAAAATGTGCAACCTGACCAACAATGAGAACACATGGTCACAGGAAGGGGAACATCACACACCAGGGACTGTTGTGGGGTGGGGGGAGGGGGGAGGGCTAGCATTAGGAGATATACCTAATGTAAATGACAAGTTAATGGGTGCAGCACACCAACATGGCACATGTATACATATGTAACAAACCTGCACGTTGTGCACATGTACCCTAAAACTTAAAGTATAATAATAATAAAATTTAAAAAAAAGAATGAAAAAGCATGCAAGGGTGTGGCCAAGTGATGCTTTGATACAAGGATTGATAAGAATAGAAGGAAGCTAGGTGCTGTTCATCAGATCAATGGGAGAATGGCTCTGAAGGCATTTCAGAGATTGTTGAAGCTATCCCTCCCATCACAGGCTCCAAATGAGAGAAACTTGAGGTCAGAAAGGGCTTGGTACTCTCCACATTCTAGCACAGTGCCCCTTTGCTGCTCCAGTTGTGGCTCAAGTGGGCTTAGATGAGACTTGTGCTGCTGCTGCAGAGGGTACAAACTGTGAGCCTTGGTGGTGTTGATGTAGTACTGACTGTAGATACACAGACTGCAGGAGTTGTGGGGCAATGGTTGTCCACCTAGGTTTGAAAGGATGTTTCTGACAGCCTGCCTTAGGGGTGTAGCCACAGCAGAGAGGTCCTCCTAGGGCCATGCTCAGGAAAACGGGGGGTCAGAGCAGCCACTGAGACCCTAGAACTGTAGAACTATCAGCCTGCAATACTAGCCTGAGAGAGCTGCAGCAGAGACTCCAATCAGATAGCTGCTGTATGGGCTGAGCCCAGCAAAGCCATGGGGCAGGGCTATCTGAGGGCATTTGGGGCCTAACACCAAGGCCCCAGGCAGCCCTTCCCCATGTCGGGCACATCCAGGAGACAGCACATGGAGTCGAAGTTTATTCTCCAGTCTTAAGATTTAATGCTGTCTTCCCTGTTGGACTCACCTGGGGCCAGTTACCCTTTTTCTTTCCTGTTGCTCCCTTTTGGAATGGGCCTGTCTATCCTATGCCTCTCCCACCATTGGATTTTGGAACTAGATAACTTCTTTAATAGGTTCACATATGGAGGAGAATTTGCCTCAGGATAAGTCCTGTGTTGAGTCTTATTCATATCAGAGTCACATGAGACTCTTAGATTTACATTTTGACTTTTAAGTTGGTGATGGAACATGACTTTGGGACTATTGGGATAAAAGGAATATATTTTGCGTATGAGAAGGACATGGATGTGGGGGGCCAAGGGTGGAATGCAATGGTTTGAATGTGTCCCTCAAAGTTCATGTGTTGGAAACTTGATCCTCAATGCAGCAGTGTTGGGAGGTGGGGCCTAACAGGAGATGTTTGGGTCATGGTGACACCACCCTCATGAGTGGATTAATGTTGTTATCACAAGAGTGGGTTCCTTATAAAAGGATGAGTTTGACTCCTTCTTTCTCTGTCTCACCCTCTCTCCCTTCCACAATGGGATAACATGGTATTCCTGGTTATCTATAACCAAGTCTCATTCTATAAACGGAATCCTAATTCCACAAGGTTCCACATATGCTATTTATCAGGGGACATGTTGCTTACCACATAAATAATTGTAGTTTTCCTGAAATGAAACTCTGATCTCCTTGTTTGGAATGTTTTCCTCTCTTTTATCCAGAAGTCAAACGATATATACATTTTTAAAGGACCTTACATGCTTCTATGTCATCAAAAAGCCTTCATTCATTCAACAAACATTTATTTCCGGTGTTCTCTGTGCTGAGTATCATGGTAACAAAAAGAAACGTCATAGCCCATGCCTTCAGGCTATTTGCATTGCATATGGGGGAATGAAAGAAGTAAACGTCTATGATACAGTAGAATGTATCACATTATGAGCACAAGGCAGGAAATAATGATAAATGAATGGGGTAGTTTATCAGGAAAGATATTACTGAGGAGGAAATATTTAACTGGGTTTTGACAAATGAGTAGGAGTTTGCAGAGTGGACAAAAAAAGACGACACATTCCAAGAAGATGAAGCAGTTTCAGCAAGCTTAGCAAATTTTGTTCTTTACCACTTTCTTGGCTACACTAAGACATATTAGGCTTACTTTCTCTTTAATCTTGGACAAGCATTTTGTTTGTTTGTTTTAGCTTTTTAATGCTTCTTTTGAGTATTCTGCTAAAAGAGCAATAAGAATGTACACTACTTTATAAGGTTGTAATAAAGAGTGAAAATGAAAAAGATATTTAGCACAATGTCTGGTACATAGTCAATACTTCACAAGTAATATACATACCCTGAGGATGTATGGAACTTATCCACATACTATACATTTTTATTTTAGTTGTTTAATGAACATAATTGTAATTCTTTTCATTTTTGCCAAATTCTGTTTCTTATGCATGTGTCTTATACAAGTACCTGCAGGAAAAAGAGGAGGGTTTATCTGTTCTATACCCAGAGTACCCAATAGAATGTCTTGGATGCATATTATTGAAGGCTTAATAATTCTAAATATTGTTTACATATAACAAATGCTTTTGTCAATGAATAATCCATCATGCAGTTTTGATGATCAAAGGTAAATCAAAACTTCCTACTCCAAATGCCTATACTGTAAGACATACAGAAAAATGTGTTTTTACTCATTAAAGGCAATGAGTCATGGCTAAGTACTTTCACTTGGAGTGGTGGAATGAGATCTGACACAGAGTTTATAACTTCCTTAAGATCTGACCATCTCCCCAACCATTCAAGAAGCATACACGGAATCAGAGTCATCTTCATTATAGATGGGACATCCTTCTCCCGAATGAGTCCTTCCTTCTAATTCCTTTCCAACATTTCATCTGACCAGGACATTATTTGACAACAAAAGACACATTAACATTATAAAAGTTGTCCCCCATGATTTGCAGAGAGCAATCTACAGGTAGGAGGGAGAATCACATTTAGAAATAAAGTGTCAGAGTCATGTGACCAGTGCTTTGTAAAAGACACTGCAGAGACCAGGGACAAAGGTGACCCCCACTAAGGAAGAAATATGACAAGTGTTTCCAATAGAAACACAGGAGCACAGCAGGAAAAGGAAATGGGTTATTTTCTCTCTTTTGGAGTATTTAAGTAGAAACACACAATTATGTAATTACATGATTAAGTTTTCCACGAGGTAAATAATAAGGAAATAATGACGTGGTGGCAATGGGCCTTCAGCAGGGTATAAAGGAGGCTATGGACCCAGAAGACTTCCAAACCCAAGAACTTCACTCTCTTGGAAACCCACCCAGATCCTCCCCGTTCTGACACCATGGTCAGCTCCTGTTGTGGCTCCGTGTGCTCTGACCAGGGCTGCAGCCAAGACCTCTGTCAGGAGACCTGCTGCCGCCCCAGCTGCTGTCAGACCACCTGTTGCAGGACCACCTGCTACCGCCCCAGCTGTTGTGTGTCCAGCTGCTGCAGGCCCCAGTGCTGCCAGTCTGTGTGCTGCCAACCCACCTGCTGTCGCCCCACCTGCTGTGAGACGACCTGCTGCCACCCTAGGTGCTGCATCTCCAGCTGCTGCCGCCCCAGCTGCTGTATGTCCAGCTGCTGCAAGCCCCAGTGCTGCCAGTCTGTGTGCTGCCAGCCCACCTGCTGCCGCCCCAGCTGCTGCCGCCCCTGCTGCTGCCTGCGTCCAGTCTGTGGCCGAGTCTCCTGCCACACCACTTGCTATCGCCCAACCTGTGTCATCTCCACCTGTCCCCGCCCCTTGTGCTGTGCCTCCTCTTGCTGCTGAGCCCACTGCCCTGGCTCACGTCCCCCTTCACCACTGGCCCACAGATGTAGACCCTTCTACTGTGCTGACCATTAGGATACATGAAGTGGGGTTGATGTCATTCAATAGGATGGACCTTATGCTTCCAAAGAGCCCACCACCATTTCACTGACTCTGTGAGAACATTCTGGTTCATTTTAAACTCCCTCCTTTGCTTTCTTTTTCTTCTGGTGGTGGCACCAAATGTGAATTAATTTGTAATACACTAGCTAAGAAATTATTCCAATCTTCTGATTTCCTTATTTTCTTTATCACTTTAAGGTACAGATTCTCCTTCTCAGTGAGGTAGATATTATCTGCAGGACCAGTTTTGTCACTGATGTTGCACCCTCAGATCCAGCCACCCAATTGTATTCTGTGTTTCTCCTAGGGTGAATTTCTTATGCTTTGTTGTATCTCTGCTTTCTAATAAACTTTTCTGCACTTAAGAATTCATTGGTATCATTCTCTATTGCTTTCATAATTATTTTACTGATTCCCTGGCAATTATATTTTACACAAAGACACAGGAGGAGCAACCCGTCTTGAAATCATTTTGAAGATACATTCTATATCAAATATAGATAATTTAAGGTATTGGAATAAAAGTGCTGTGTGTATATGTGTGTGTATGTGCACATGTGTCTTAATATTCTAAATTAAGACATTTAATTCATGCCTTAGCTCTTGAAACACATTTTATCATGAACACATTATATCTCACAATACTATTGTCCCTATTTTGACAAAAAACATAAAACCAAATTTCAGAAAAGTAGACACCAATGAAATAAGGGAAATCTTCTATAAAGAATTTAATGTACTCGAGTCATTTCACTCAATAAACAACATTTTGGAATTTATAACCAAAAAGCGGGCTTTATTTCCCAGTGAGTTCTGCTGAGAAAAAAAAAGCATGTTGAGCTGTATTTTATCTGGATAGCATGGTATATTTCTGACAGTGGTCTCTATGGGTTTACGTTATAATTTAAACATCTCCACACTTAACATTTTACTATATATAAACCCAGAAAGGCTGAAAATTTCAAGGCTCACTTTTCTTTTTAAGAATTATTTTCTTGTAGATTTGTTTGAGTTCATTGTAGATTCTCGATATTAGCCCTTTGTCAGATGAGTAGATTGCAAAAATTTTCTCCCATTCTGTAGGTTGCCTGTTCACCCTGAAGGTAGTTTCTTTTGCTGTGCAGAAGCTCTTTAGTTTAATTAGATCCCATTTGTCAATTTTGGCTTTTGTTGCCATTGCTTTTGGTGTTTTAGACATGAAGTCCATGCCCATGCCTATGTCCTGAATGGTATTGCCTAGGTTTTCTTCTAGGGTTTTTATGGTTTTAGGTCTAATATGTAAGTCTTTAATCCATCCTGAATTAATTTTTGTATAAAGTGTAAGGAAGGGATCCAGTTTCAGCTTTCTACATATGACTAGCCAGTTTTCACAGCACCATTTATTAAATAGGGGATCCTTTCCCCATTTCTTGTTTTTGTCAGGTTTGTCAAAGACCAAAAAACAAACAGCCCCATCAAAAAGTGGGCAAAGGATATGAACAGACACTTCTCAAAAGAAGACATTTATGCAGCCAAAAGACATATAAAAAAATGCTCATCATCACTGGCCATCAGAGAAATGCAAATCAAAACCACAATGAGATACCATCTCACACTAGTTAGAATGGCGATCATTAAAAAGTCAGGAAACAACAGGTGCTGGAGAGGATGTGGAGAAATAGGAACACTTTTACACTGTTGGTGGGACTGTAAACTAGTTCAACCATTGTGGAAGACAGTGTGGCGATTCCTCAGGGATCTTGAACTAGAAATACCATTTGACCCAGCAATCCATTACTGGGTATATACCCAAAGGATTATAAAACATGCTGCTGTAAAGACACATGCACATGTATGTTTATTGTGGCATTATTCACAATAGCAAAGACTTGGAACCAAGCCAAATGTCCAACATAGACTGGATTAAGAAAATGTGGCACATATACACCATGGAATACTATGCAGCCATATAAAATGATGAGTTCATGTCCCTTGTAGGGACATGGATGAAGCTGGAAACCATCATTCTCAGCAAACTATCGCAAGGACAAAAAACCAAACACTGCATGTTCTCACTCATAGGTGGGAATTGAACAATGAGAACACATGGACACAGGAAGGGAAACATCACACACAGGGGCCTGTTGTGGGGGTGGGGGGAGGGGGGAAGGATACCATTAGGAGATATACCTAATGTTAAATGACAAGTTGATGGGTGCAGCACACCAACATGGCACATGTATATATGTAACTAACCTGCATGTTGTGCACATGTACCCTAAAACTTAAAGTATAATAAAAATAAATAAATAAATAAATAAATTGAGAAAAAAAAGAATTTTTTTTTGAAATTAGTTCATAGCCTTGAGTAGGTCGCAGCTGGGGTGCATATCCTAATTAGAATCTTCAAGAGTAGTGCCTTCATTTGAATCTGAAAGAATATGGTAAGTGATTATAACTTGGCATTCTAGTAGGAGCACCTGCTCTTGATGTTTTTACTTTTACTTGACAATTATCAGCTCTGAAGTGCCCTAAGCTATTGAGCCAATCAAGTTTAAGATGATTTGTTCAGATATCATTGATAAGCTTCACATTTTTTCAGATGCCTTAAGAAAATTGTTGCCCAGATCTTAATCATAGAGTTATGATGCCTTCTTAAACATGAGGCAGGATAAATAAGGTTAGAAGGCTGTGAAAGTAAAATAAATATTGGGGCCCCCAAATCACTAAGCTAAAGGGAAAAGGCAAACTCAGAACTGCTTAGGGAAAATCTGCCTCTCATTCTATTCAAAGTCACCCCTCTGCTCACTGAGATAAATGCATATCTGATTGACTCCTTGGGAAAGACTAATCAGAAACTCAAAAGAATGCAACCATTTGTCTCTTATATACCTATGATCTGGAAGCCCCCTCCCAGCTTTGAGTTGTCCCGCCTTTGCTTCGAGTTCTCCTGCCTTTTCTGAACCAAATCTGTGTTTATCTTACATATGTTGATTGATGTCTCATATCTCTCTAAAATGTATAAAACAAAAGTGTTATCTGACCACCTTACACACATGTTGTCAGGACTTCCTGAAGCTGTGTCACTGGAGCAGCCTGAAGCTGTGTCACTGAAGCATCCTCAACCTTGGCAAAATAAACTTTCTAAATTAACTGAAGCCTGTCTCAGATATTCAGGGTTCACATTTTTGTAATTCTGAAGGGATTCTGAGTGGAGATGCACCTGACCTTTGACAAATATCCAGTTGGTACCTGGTAATAGCATGAGCCAACCTTATGGCTCAAACCAAGAGGACAATTTACTGAGTTCTGGAAGCACCCTCCCCAAAGAATCCATGATCTCCCAAAATTTGGTGAAGATCTAAAGTGTATTTTGCTGTACAACTTCCCCATCTATTTTTTTTTTTTTTTTTTGGAGTTGAGTTTTACTGGCTTACTTGCCTTCCTTTACAAGGAAGGCAAGATTTATTTTACTTCCTTTACAAGGAAGGCAAGATTTCCTGCTTCCATGATGATGAAACGCATGTAGAGTTTGAGCTCACTCCCAGCAGGGAACACCAGTTTGAGTTTTTTTCCTGCTTCTAGGATGGTAGAAAGCAGCCTTCAGCCTGAGACCCATCCCTACGTAAGTAGCTGAACTGGGGCTTTGTCTTGGCTAAAGTTTAACAACCAGCTGGTCTTAATTTCTCCTTATCATTAGAATGCTTGGTAATCGTATTGTTGGACATTTTGTTGTTTGTTTTGGTCTTTCTCCCATCAGACTTGACCAACTCTACCTGACTTGGTCAAATCCAAGTGAGAATTCAAAATTATGGGTAACAAAGCCTCTTTAATTTGGCTAAAATTCATTACAGCTGCAAAAGAAGAAAACAAACAAAAAGAACCAAAAACCCATGCACTTGGTTTCTGTGTTTGCTTCCTGCCTTAGAAAACAAATTTTCTTTCATTTACTTTTCTTCCACCATATACCTCCTCCCCCTTTGCCATTTGCAGTACCAAAAAATCTAGAGAAGGCTTCTAATGACTTGAACTCCCTTAAAGAATCAGAACAAAGGTCGCCACTCACCCCTTTTGGGGTGTTTTGTTTTCTTTGTGGAGTTTCAAGAGTCATGGGTAGATACTTCTTAACTCTAAACCTCTATTTTCCTGTATTGCATGACCTGACCTCTTTGGCTTTGACCTTGCTGGGTATAATGGTAGATGACAGCTACAGAGTTAAGGGGTGTCTGAGCACAGTTTACAAAAAGTGGTCTTGGCTGTTGTTTCGTTTTCCTTCCAGGAAGTTGTTGTTTAAAAATCCTAATTCTAGTTCAGAGATGCATTCTAAAGGGTCCTCTCTGTTGCTTTTTCTCCACAAATTAAGCTCGATTCGGCTTGTCTGTGTGCATTTGCATGAGGAACTGAACTGTTGTTTTCAGTGGTGACCCACTGTGGAGTCCTGCCCACAAATGGCACATATTGATCCACCACAGAAAACCTCTAGGCCTCAGCTCAGTTCCTCTTTTTAAGAAGAAAACTGGGAAACAAATAATCTAAGAATGAGGAGAAAGCAAAGAGAATGATTCCCTTTCAAGCACTCCATAGGTTTTATGGCACCTGTACTTGCCAGAGTTTAAGTAAAATGGAAGTAATATGGTCTTTGTGCATATTTACATTAAGAAAGAAAGGGCCCATGTAAATTAGTTCAACCATTGTGGAAGACAGTATGGTGATTCCTCAAGGATCTAAAATCAGAAATACCATTTGATCCAGCAATCCCATTACTTGTTATATACCCAAAGGAATACAAATCATTCTACTGTAAAGACACAGGCACATGTATGTTTATTGCAGCACTATTTACAAGAGCAAAGACATGGAACTAACCCAAACGCCCATCAATTATAGACTTGATAAAGAAAATGTGGTACATATACACCATGGAATACGATGCAGCCATAAAACGGAGTGAGTTCATGTCCTTTGTAGGGACATGGATGAAGCTGGAAACCATCATCCTCAGCAAACTAACACAGAAACAGAATACCAAATACAACATGTTCTCACTCACATATGGGAGTTGAACTTTGAGAACACATGGACACAGAGAGGAGAGCAACACATATCAGGGGCTGTTGGGGGGTGGGGAATGAGAGGAGGGAACTTAGAGGATGGGTCAATAGGTGCAGCAAACCACCAAGGCACACATATACCTATGTAACAAACCTGCACGTTCTCCTGCATGTATATTTCATTTTTTTTTAGAAGAGAAAGAAAAGAAGGAAAGAAAGCAAGAAAGCAAGAAAGAGAAAGAAAGAAAGCAAGCAAGCAAGAAAGAAAGAAAGAAAGAAAGAAAGAAAGAAAGAAAGAAAGAAAGAAAGAAAGAAAAGAAGAGCCTTAAGGTGGACCTACAAACTACAGAGTTCCTAAGTTCTCTTTTTTCTCTATTTTCTTTTCTGCCTGCTTTAAATCTGCTGTTATTTTTCTATTAAGATCAAAACCACTGTTTGGATACAACAGTTTTTTTGCTTGCAAGCTGGTGAATTTGTATTTGTCTCATGGCTAAAGTTCTGAAGTAAAAGCTATAGGATGTGTGTGTGTGTGTGTGTGTGTGTGTGTGTGTGTGTGTATTTAAAAGGCCTTTATAATTTTTATAATTTTATGTTTATTTGGCAATGAAGTCCATTTTAATTTCCCTCTAGCACCACCAGACTTTTTCTCTCTGTACCTTAAGACATAAATTTTGCTCTTTGATTTTTGCCTGAGTTGTTTCCTTTAATATGCAAACTTAAAGCCATTTAGCTGACAACTTCCTAGGGGATTAAAACAGGTTATTGAGAATTTGAAAGTCTAAGATAGTGGAAAAATCTTCTTATGAATCTATAAGATGTACTTCTATCAACATGCCTACTAGGTCTATGTATTTATGTGTTGTGTACACAATGTCTCACTACTGAAAATATATAAAAGGGCTCTAATTAATTGGCTTAAGAAAAAAAGCACTTAAATCAAATACTTATTAGGAAAAAAGAAAAGACTAGTTGAATGCTTTCTCAAGTTTATGTAACTTAAGTAAAATCTTTAATAAATAAGCTACTTTTAAAATGATTGGTAAAGTAATATTAGACATGTCTTAAGAATTGCCAGCATGCATTTTGTTTGCATTTATTAATCAAGCAATTTCATGTTTATCCCTGTCAAATACTATAAGGTGTCAAAATTTGGCATGGGGTTACAAAACTGTGATAGAATGATCTTTGCTTGTGTAATCTTTAATAAATAAGACATTGATACTGGTTTAATAAAAATAGCCACATCTTGAATTTAGTCAGATTACCATAACTTCTAATCTTGTGGCTTTTAGTGGTCTAGTCCACAGGCAGTAATATTTACTTTGGGAATGAAATATTATAATCTTTGTTTCAAAGGTAAACTATAAACTATTTTCCTCTCAAAGTCTGTTCAGCCTGTGCTGGTAAGAAAGCTTAAAGAGAAATAATTTCATATGAGAAAGAATCTTGTATGGTAAATTTAGACCTAAAATAAAATGACTGATTGTTTAAGAAAGATGGATGTTCAAAACAAACTAGATAGTCCAAGCATATCATGAACAGTCTCTATAAGTCATAAGAGGATTTATTTTAAAAAAATACCAAAAAACTTTTATATGATTGAGTTGTCTATAATTAAAGGGAAATTATAATGGTCTTCCTGAAGATTGGGCTTCATGCTAAAAAAAACACTTATAGACTAAATAATTAGTTACAGCGATGAAATTTTCTTAAGGGATTGATTTACTCTTAATAAATTATAAGAGATTTTAATTTTTTAACCCAAAGTTCAACTATTTACTTGCTGTTTTCTCTCCCCTTCAACTTGTTTTCAGCTCATATAAGTTATTTTCCTTAAGTTCTGTTTGTTGTGGCCTGATGCTAACAATGTTTTCTAAAAGTCTAAAGGAAATGTTTTCTTCCAAAGTAATACTCTGTGCAGTGTAGAAGGTCTTTTCTTTTGCCTTTTGGTAATTGACCTAACAGATTTTATGGCTTATTGAAACAATTCCTATGCCATTATTATTAATTTTTGGTTTGCTTAGGAAAAAGAAACTGAGACAATTTTTTTAAAAAATTAACGTTATTACATCCATGTATATTTCTGTGTGCACTTTGAAAGTACCTGTGACATTGAGTTACCGGCCTTTAACTCCTGGATCTAAAAAGGAGACCAAGATCTGCTAAATCTTAAACACTGACAGCAATTAAAACCTCATCTTCAGGCCTGGTAGAAGATGCCTATCAAAATAAGCTGCATTTCTGAGACATAAGGCCATAAATCAAAGCTATTCAACTCTTCAAGACTCAGGAACAATCACAGAAGAGGTAGGCATGTGAGATTATAAGGGCTGATTTTGAGAGATAAAATAAGTTCAGTCTCTATACAAGTTAATAATTGATGTCAAAGGCACACTGATGCAATACCAGCATATGGGCCCCTGTGTCAGATTAACAAGGTTTTCTTGAAGTGTTAACTGACCCCTTAATAAAGGTTATAAAGGTTATAAAAGGCTTATGAAAGTTGTATCTTATGGTCAAGATTAAAATGTTATAGATTGTTTAAAAAATTTTGAAAAACAAATTTAATTGGCTTTATGCTGTTTTATTTGGGCTTATTGTTTGAAAAATTGACTTATTTTATGATGACCTGTCATATCAAGTGTTTTAAACCTTTGATATTTGACAAACTTTCCAAAATCAAATTACAAGTTGTGTATTTTTCTGACCTAATTAATCCTTTAAGATATTAGTTTCCCTCAAGTCCAAAAATGAAATAATTTGACTTATTTGGTATAAAAATTATACAGGAAGCATTGTCAAATATAAAATGGTGTTTGGTTTTATTTGGGCTGTATTTGTATAAAATTGTTATTGGTATGTGCACCAAAATTATGGGAAACTCCTATAATTCTGATATGACCTGGTGTACATTATCAGTAATAATTATGATTGTTATATTAAATTATTGTGTGCCATGGTGGTAACAAATTTTCTTGTCAATTGTATCTTCGCCTATGGCTGACCTAAAACTTTTTGTCACCCATGGACAATTTTTGTCTTGTTTTAGTCCTCTTTAGAAGATGGTTTTATAATCAGCTATAAAACTCTAACAGGTATTCTTGAATGCAGGTTTCTAATAACTCTGGAGATTGTGACATCACAATGAAGGAAAAGCTTTCAGGACTCATGGAGACCTGAAATGTTCATGAATAGCAAGCAGAACAGGAATTAACTGCATGAACTGAACTAACAGAAGACTGAAGTAATCTTTTTGACTTTTTGCTTAAAACATTGCTGACCCTTTATTTTGTTTTTTTCAGTCAAGGAAACTTTTCTTTTGAGCTGTTGTCAGCTTTTAACAAGTTAGTATACTCCTGTGAAAAATATTTGGAGCATATTTGTTTCTCTCTACCTGATTTTCCCTAGAATTGGAAACTATCTGTGAGTATTCTTAACTTATGGCAATACAGTTATTTGCGTAAGTGCAATAAGAATCTGTTTTCATTTGTAACAGGACACGATAAATTGGTCATTTTACCAAGGCTTTTACTTGAATGGTGTGCTCTTCTTTGAGGAATCAAACTTGACTTATGGAGCCAATAAAAGCCCCTTGGGAGAACTGGCCTCATACCTTATCTACACAGTCCCTGTACAGGGTTCCTGACCTGTGGTAAGTAAAGCATGTCACTTTCTAACAGTTCCAGGAGCCCCAAGTTTATCTTGGAACCTCAAGAGGAGAGGAATTCACCCAACTCATAGGTATTTGATGGTACAAATCCATGGCTAGGCTAAGCTTTCCAAAAGTCTTATCCGAAATTCCTTCTATGGAACAAAGTTCTGATAGGGCCAGGGGACAGAGAAATTCTAGGCAGAAAAGGATAGGTCTCTGACAAAACCCCACCTTCAAGCTGAAAAGCCTTAAACCATGGCCCAAAGTGACAACTTATATCCCTGTTTTCCTGCTTGAAAGTTGCCTTTTTCTAAACCACTCATGGCCCCATCCTGTCCCATCCTGTGCCTGTGAAGATCTCAGACTGAGCTGGCAGAGGCAAGAAGCAGCTGGATGTTGGGGACTACAGCCGGACATCAGAGAGAAGCAGCTTGACTGCAGAGGGACAGCTTGATGGTGTAACCTTGGAGAAGAATCCGGCTGGATACAGCCTAACTTTGAGGAAGATTACCTACCCACCCCATCCTTTTTCAGCTCCCTTCCTGCTAAGAGCCACTTTCATCAGCAACAAAATCCCCCACATTTACCATCCTTTGATTGGTTCATGTGACCTCACCTTTCCTGGACACCCGACAAGAGCTTGGGAGCCAGGAGAGCAGATACAAAAGGCTGTCACACTGGCCTTCTGCTCTTGCTGTTGGAGGGCAGCTGCCTCATGCAAAAAGGCAGAGGGCTCACTGAGCTGTTGACACTTAAGCCATCCATGGAAGGCAGAGTTAAAAGAGCACTGTAACATGACTTCTGGGGCTATGGGAGTTGCAGGCACCTCCACCTAGATGCTGCTGTGGGGCCCGCACAGAGTTTGCTCCTGCCAGCACCCAAAAGCACTCACTCTGGCTCCTGCACCCATTCACCTGCATGCTTCCTTCCATGAGCAGGGGACTGCAGCAGGTCCAAGTGAGTGAAGTTTGATCCTGCAGCACTGAAGTGCTGATTCCAGCACTCATGCACTCCAGTTCCTGCCTCATTTGCTTGCATGCTCTCTCCTGCAAGGAGGTGAGAGTGGCAGGCTGAATAAATGAGGCCCTGTCACAAGTCCCACAGAAGGGTCAGGGAAACATCCTGCTTCGCTTCCATCAAAGAGAATTTAAAAGCTTATGCAAAAAAATTATTACTATTACTATGACTGTGCTGTATACAATAATCAGGTCAAGTATAATAAAGCAAATCAGCTCTGCCATGATTTGTCTTTAGTAAAAATGGTAAATGGGAGAGAGAAGAATTGTTTCAAAAAATGATAGTACACCTGTTGTTAGATTCTAGTCTTGCCTAATGTTTTTCCATTTTTATTAATTTTTACAGTTTGGACTGAATTCTAATTTTTCTTGGCTACAGGTCTTCAAAAGATTGTCTTCAGTTTTTTTCTTCTTCTTCTTTCCACCATTTTTCCTAATTTGGAGTCACCGAAAACTCATCTGTGCTTTTATAAAGCCCTGTGAACTGCAGCTATAAGATTTAAACTTCAGAAGAAAATATTAGCAACCTTTTCACATACGTGAGCCTCTTTCATACCTGCCTACTGATATATGGACTTCCGAGTAATGTGGCCCATATTGATTTTCCAGGATTGTTCTTTTGTTTATTTTTGTTTTTCTCCCTTCCTTTCCCTATTTTCTCTTCATAGGACATGAAACTTCACAACCTGCTAAAAATGAACTTTCCTAATAACTCAGGAATTATCTTTCTAGGAATAAACAATCCTAGCCATGAGATATCAGATGAAACTTGAGACCAAAGACTGACTTTCTTCTAAAATGCTTTCTCAAAAAGATTTTTAAGAAGAAATGGGCGGAAATGTGAAAGGAAAATAAACCTTGGGGCCCTGAAATCACTAAGGTAAAGGGGAAAGTCAAGCTGGGAACTGCTTAGGGCAAACCTGCCTCCCGTTCTATTCACAGTCACCCCTCTGCTCACAGAGATAAATGCATATCTGATTGCCTCCTTTGGAAAGGCTAATCAGAAACTCTGAAGAAAGCAACCATTTTTCTCTTATCTACCTATGACCTGGAAGCCCCTCCCCACTTAGAGTTGTCCCGGCCTTTTCCGGACGGAACCACTGTTCATCTTACATATGTTGATTGATGTCTCATGTCTCCCTAAAATGTATAAAACCAAGCTGTGCTCTGACCACTTTGGGCACCTGTCTTCAGAACCTCCTGAGGCTGTGTCACAGGTGTACATCCCCAACCTTGGCAAAATAAACTTTCTAAATAAACTGAGACCTGTCTCCGATTTTGCGGGTTCAGAAGGCTATACTGAATTGTCCCCTGTGTGAAGCCCAGCAGGAGCCTTTCACAGCAGGTTCTTTTCACTTGAACCTTTGTGCATCAGCACCTAACTCTTTCGCAAGATAAGGGGTCCTACGGAATACCAGCAGACCCACCAGAGGGTTACAAATTCCTGATACCTAGTACAACCTGGGAAAGAGAGCAAAAGCCCTTTATTCCTGATGTAGCTTCCCCAATCTCTAGCCAATTTGCACCAAAAGCCCAAGAAACTCCTAACTACAAATTCCTTCCAGGGGTGGGGTGTGTGGGAGGGTGGGCAGGGACTTCTCTGGGGTCCTGCATGCACAGCTAGGCTCAAGGTTCAGCTTATAGTAACCTTTTCCTCATTTTAATAGTAAAAACAGCCACAACAAGAAAAACACCCCTAGGCGGAGATTTCATATGCTAATGATACATGCAATGGGTGTTACACCATGTTGATCCTGAGCACATGTGCCAACCGCAGGTCTGCCTTTGCATACTTGACCTCACCGGTACTTTTTGATTATGTACGTATAGCTCTCATGAGAGGAATTCCTTTTACAGCACTAGCTGCTGTCTCTCCCATTGAGCAGCCCACTCTGCCTCTCAAAGGGTACTTTTGCTTTGCAACAAACTTCTTCGCTTACTCTTACTTTGGATTTGCTCTCAAATTCTTTCGCGCAGCAAATTCAAGAATCTGAACTGGTCCACCAACAACAAAATAACAAAATTCCCTTATATAACATTTGGAGTCTGCCTTAACTGATTTGAATCAAGATGGAATGCAGTAGGATGAGATGTACTTTTTAAATTTCACACAGAAGAGTGAGGAGTATTACCATGATATCATAATTTCTAAAATAATGGATGAACTTACAAACAACAATACTGGGGGCTTTACCTATCCCAAAGCATTCCGTATATCAAATTGAAACAATGAAAAGCTTCTATTTTATTTTAGTTTATCTGTGACATTACTAGGGGTTTTACGTATCCCAAACCATTCCGTATATCAAATTGAAACAATCAAAAGCTTCTATTTTATTTTAGTTTATGTGTGACATTGGAGCAGTTTGGCACTATGATTTCATCCCTGAAGTCTTACTTTGGAATCATGCTTTGAGAATCCCCTTCTACTGCATTCCCACCTCACCCCCATGAATCAGTAAACTCAGTGAAAATTATCACAAAAAATGCAAAAAACAATAAAAGATTTCTAAATGAAAAGTTTAATACAATATATTTTGTGAACACAATAAAGATAAAGAACTAATAAAATAGAAAAATTCTGACAAACTTGAACAGTGAGAGAAAGAGAGAGCAGGGAGAAAGCGGGAGAGCACGGGAGGGGCAGCCTCCTACCTTTCCAAAAGAAAAGAATGACTGAAAGGCTGACAGACAAATAGTATGTTTGAAAGGGAGATAATGTGTACCTAATTGGGAAGGATATTCTGTAGGCTCAAAATGATTTTAAAAAATGAGGAATTTAGAGGATTGGAATAATTTCTTAGCTAGTGGATTACAAATTAATTCGTATTTGGTGCCATGACTGGAAGAAAAAGAAAGCAAGGGAGGGAGTTTAAAATGAACCAGAATGTTCTCACAGAGTCAGCGGGATGGTGATGGGCTCATTGGATACATGAGGTCCACCCTGCTGAATGACATAAATCCCACTCCATGTGTCCTAATATTCAGCACAGAAGAATGGTCTACATTTGTGGACCAGCGGTGAAGGGAGAGATGAGCCAGGGCAGTGGGCTCAGCAGCAAGAGGAGGCGCAGCACACGGGGCGGGGGCAGGTGGAGATGACACAGGCTGGGCGATAGCAAGTGGTGTGGCAGGAGACTCGGCCACAGACTGGACGCAGGCAGCAGCAGGGGCGGCAGCAGCTGGATTCACAGCAAGAGGGGCGGCAGCAGCTGGAGATGCTGCAGCTGGGGCGGCAGCAGTTGGGCTGGCAGCACACAGACTGGCAGCACTGGGGCTTGCAGCAGCTGGACACACAGCAGCTGGGGCGGCAGCAGCTGGAGATGCAGCAGCTAGGGTGGCAGCAGGTGGGCTGGCAGCACACAGACTGGCAGCACTGGGGCTTGCAGCAGCTGGACACACAGCAGCTGGGGCGACAGCAGGTGGGCTGGCAGCACACAGACTGGCAGCACTGGGGTCTGCAGCAGCAGGACACACTGTAGCTGGGGCGGTAGCAGGTGGTCCTGCAGCAGGTGGTCTGACAGCAGCTGGGGCAGCAGCAGGTCTCCTGGCAGAGGTCTTGGCCACAGCCTTGGTCAGAGCACACGGAGCCACAACAGGAGTTGACCATGGTGTCAGAGGGTGAAGGATCTATTTGGGTTTCCAAGAGAGTAAAGTTCTTGAGTTTGGAAGTTTCCTGGGTCCATAGCCCCTTTATACCCGCCTGAAGGCCCGTTGTCACCACGTCATTATTTCCTTGTTATTATTTACCTACTGAAAAAATTAATCATGTAATTACATCATTGTGTGTTTCTAGTTAAATACTCCAAAACAGAGAAAATAACTCATTTCCTTTTCCTGCTGTGCTCCTGTGTTTCCATTGGAAATGCTTGTCATATTTCTTCCTTGGTGGGGGTCACCTTTGTCCCTGGTCTATGCAGTGTCTTTTACAAAGCACTGGTCACAGGACTCTCTGACATTTTGTTTTTAAATATGACTCTCCCTCCTACCTGTAGATTGCTGTCTGCAAATAATGGGGGACGATTTTTATAATGTGAATGTATCTTTCATTGTCAAAGAACGTCCTGGTCAGGTGAAATGTTGGGAAGGAATTAGAAGGAAGGACTCATTTGTGGAAGGATCTCCCATCTGTAATGAGGATGACTCTGATCCCGTGTGTGCATCTCGGATGGTCGGGCAGATGGTCAGATCCCAACAAGTTCTAAACTCTTTGTCAGATCTTATTCCACAGCCTCCAGCAAAAGTACTTACCCATGACTCACTGCCTTTAAAGGGTAAAAACACATTTTGCTGTATTTCTTACAGTATAGGCATTAAGAGTAGGAAGTTTTGATTTATCTTTTTTTTTTTTTTTTTTTCTGACGGAGTCTCCCTCTGTCACCAGGCTGGAGTACAGTGGCATGATCTCGGCTCACTGCAACTTCCACCTCCTGGGTTCAAGCAGTTCCTTTTCCTCAGCCTTCCGAGTAGCTGGGACTACAGGTGTGTGCCACCACACCCAGCTTACTTTTGTATTTTTAGTAGAGACAGGGTTTCACCATGTTGGCCAAGATGGTATTGATCTCTTGACCTCATGATCCACCCGCCTTTGCTTCCCAAAGTGTTGGGATTGCAGGCGTGAGCCCCCAACACCCAGCCTGATTAATCTTTGATCATCAAAATTGCGTGATGCATTTTTCATTTACAAAAGCATTTGTTATATATGAAGAATATTTAGAATTATTAAGCCTTCAATAACATGCATCCAAGATGTTCTATTGGGTACTCTGGGTGTAGAACAGATAAACCCTCATCTTTTTCTTGCAGGTACTTGCATAAGACACATGGATAGGAAACAGTTTGGCAGAAATGAAAAGAATTACAATTATTTTCATTAAACAACTAAAATAAAAAATGTATAATATGTGGATAAGTTCCATACACCCTCATGGTATGTATATTACTTGTGAAGTATTGACTATGTAGCAGGCATTGTACCAAATATCTTACATTTGTTTCATTTTCACACTTTAATACAACCTTATGAACTAGTTTATATTCTTATTAGTCTTTTAGGGGAATACTCAAAAGAAGCATTAAAAACTTAAAACAAACAAACAACTTGTCCAAGGTTAAAGAGAAAGTAAGCCTAATATGTCTTAGTGTAGCCAAGAAAGCCCTAAAGAATACAATTTGCTAAGCTTGCTGAAACTGCTTCATCTTCTTGGAATGTTTCATCTTTTTTTGTCCACTCTGCAAACTCCTACTCATGTGTCAAGACCCAGTTAAAATATTTCCTCCTCAATAATATCTTTCCTGCTAAGCTACCCCATTCATGTATCATGATTTCCTGCCTTGTGCTCATAATTTGTTACATTCTCCTGTATCATAGTCATTTACTTCTGTCATTCCACCACGTGCAATGCAAATACCCTGAAGGCATGGGCTATGGCATTTATTCTTGTTACCATGATACTCAGCACAGAGAACACTGGTGGTAAATGTTTGTTGAGTGAAGGAAGGCTTTTGATGACATAGAGGCATGTAAGGTCCTTTAAAAATGTATATATCTTTTGACTTCTGGATAAAAGAGAGGAAAACATTCCAAACAAAGAGATCATAATTTCATTTCAGGAAGACTAAACTAATTTACGTGGTAGGTAACATGTCATCTGATAAATAACATATGTGGAAAGTTGTGGAAGTTAAGATTCAATTTATAGAATGAGACTTGTTTATAGATAACCAGGAATACAGTGTTGAACGTGCATGCCTATATTCACACAGTAAAAAGACAGGAAGGAAGTAAACGCCAGATGGTAGCACTGGTTCTCCTTCACCTCCTGACTCCCTCGTTTTACTCTTGTCGATTGAAATAACTATTATTTCCAGTTTCGTATCAGTCAGCCAAAAATGTTTGTTGATCATCTGTTGTCTTAACTTAAATTCTACCCAATGCAAACCTTGAGAAAAATACCTGGGTGCACATAATTTATTTGGGGGATGATCCCAGGAAGCACAAGTGAGGAAATGGCGAAAGTAAGACAGAAAAGGTAGAAAATCCCAACAGTGTTTGTGTTAATGGTAGGACCCCCACTGTGGGCATCTGGGGATGAACCCCGGGGACAGGCCTGAGGCTGGAGGCACTTGGCCACCATGATTGCACACCTACAAAATCCTGGAGAGTCAGCTGGGTATTAGTATGAATCATGAGATCAGATAAAATATGAACTTATACTAATCTATAGACTTTTTATACACTAGCAATAATTGTCTCTAAAATTTAATGGAGAAAAATCACACTGGGGCCTGTCGTGGGGTGGGGGGAGGAGGGAGGGATAGCATTAGGAGAAACACCTAATGTAAATGACGAGTTAATGGGTGCAGCACACCAACATGGCACATGTATACATATGTAACAAACCTGCACATTGTGCACATGTACCCTAGGACTTTAAGAATAATTTTAAAAAAGAACAATGTGCTCACAATTCTCAAGAGTAAATAGAAAAATATGTAAATAAATCTGCCAAGCCTATGTGAAGGAAAGTGTTAATATTTCCTGAAGGACATAAAATAACGTTTGAATAAATGTCAGAACAAGAGATGTGCAACGAAAGCCAAGTTTTCAAATAAATACATACATGTGTTATGCATGCATTTAATGAGGATGTATCTCAATTTGTAACATTAGGTATTGAATGGGATTGGCAAAGACCGTGATGGGAAACTTACCTTTGGTTGCATTCTTTTGTATTGTCTAAATGTTTAAAGAGCATATATTTGTGTATAAATGATATAAAAATCCTTAGAAAATAATAAATTTGATTTATATAAAATTCATAATTTTTTCTACAGATTCTGTTAAGTATGTTTTCTGCTATTATGTTTACATTCTTATTTCTTTCAGGAACTAAAATATTAAAAGTACATTTCAGTCAGTCATTTGAGCTCTCAAATTAGCTATCATGAATTTCAAATTGTTTTGGGGGACAGGCTGGGTTCCCCAGGAAGCAGACACTGAGATGGAGAGCAATATGCAGGAGGTTTATTGAAGCATGCTCTTGGGATTAACACTGGGGAAATGAGGGGAGGGGAGGGGAGGGGAGGGGAGGGGAGGGGAAAGTGAAGGGAGAGAAGGGGAAGGGGAAGGGGAGGGGATTAACACTGGGGAGAGGAGGGGAGGGGAAGGGCGGGGAGGGGAGGGGAGGGCAAGGGAAAGGAAGAAAGGGAGGGGAACGGGTGGGGAAGGGAAGGGGAGGGGAAGGGGAGGGGAGGCACAGCACAAGGGGTGGGGGCAGGTGGAGATGACACAGGTTGGGTGATAGCAAGTGACGTGGCAGGAGACTCGACCACAGACTGGACGCAGGCAGCAGCAGGGGCAGCAGCAGCTCGATTCACAGCAAGAGGGGCAGCAGCTGCTGGAGATGCAGCAGCTGGGGTGGCAGCAGGTGGGCTGGAAGCACACGGAATGGCAGCACTGGGGTCTGCAGCAGCTGGACACACAGCAGCTGGGGTGGCAGCAGGTCGTCCTGCAGCAGGTGGTCTGACAGCAGCTGGGGCGGCAGCAGGTGGGCTGGCAGCACACGGAATGGCAGCACTGGGGTCTGCAGCAGCTGGACACAGAGCAGCTGTGGGAGCAGGAGGTGGTTCTGCAGCAGGTGGTCTGACAACAGCTGGGGTGACAGCAGTTGGGTGGGCTGGCAGCACACAGACTGGAAGCACTGGGGCTGCATGGCATCTTTGAACTGCACATAGTAAAATGCAAGAGGAAAGAAATGATTTAAAGGTGGAATTCATAATTAAAAGGGAAACAGAACATAAAGATGTGGAAAATGTGGAGACTGACCATATAAAGAATGAAAAAGCATGCAAGATTGTGGCCAAGTAATGCTTTGTTACAAGGATTGATATGAATAGAAGGAAGCTAGGTGCTGTTCATCAAATCAGTGGGAGAATGGCTCTGAAGGCATTTCAAAGATCTTTGAAGCTGTCCCTCCCATCACAGGCTCCAAATGAGAGAATCTTAAGGTCAGAAAGGGTTTGGTACTCTCCACATTCTAGCACAGTGCCCCTTTGCTGCTCCAGTTGTGGCTCAAGTGGGTTTAGATGAGACTTGCGCTGCTGCTGCAGAGGCCACAAACTGTGAGCCTTGGTGGTGTTCATGTAGTACTGACTGTAGATACACAGACTGCAGGAGTTGTGGGGCAATGGTGGTCCACCTAGGTTTGAAAGGATGTTTCTGACAGCCTGCCTTAGGGGTGTAGCCACAGCAGAGAGGTCCTCCTAGGGCCATGCTCAGGAAAACGGGGGGTCAGAGCAGCCACTGAGACCCTAGAACTGTAGAACTATCAGCCTGCAATACTAGCCTGAGAGAGCTGCAGCAGAGACTCCAATCAGATAGCTGCTGTATGGGCTGAGCCCAGCAAAGCCATGGGGCAGGGCTATCTGAGGGCATTTGGGGCCTAACACCAAGGCCCCAGGCAGCCCTTCCCCATGTCGGGCACATCCAGGAGACAGCACATGGAGTCGAAGTTTATTCTCCAGTCTTAAGATTTAATGCTGTCTTCCCTGTTGGACTCACCTGGGGCCAGTTACCCTTTTTTCTTTCCTGTTGCTGCCTTTTGGAATGGGCCTGTCTATCCTATGCCTCTCCCACCATTGGATTTTGGAACTAGATAACTTCTTTAATAGGTTCACATATGGAGGAGAATTTGCCTCAGGATAAGTCCTGTGTTGAGTCTTATTCATATCAGAGTCACATGAGACTCTTAGATTTACATTTTGACTTTTAAGTTGGTGCTGGAACAAGTTAATACTTTGGGACTATTGGAATAAAATGAATATATTTTGTGTACGAGAAGGACATGGATTTGGGGGACCAAGGGTGGAATGCAATGGTTTGAATGTGTCCCTCAAAGTTCATGTGTTGGAAACTTGATCCTCAATGCCGCAGTGTTGGGAGGTTGGGCCTAACAGGAGATGTTTGGGTCATGGTGACACCACCCTCATGAGTGGATTAATGCTGTTATCACAAAAGAGGGTTCCTTATAAAAGGATGAGTTTGACTCCCTCTTTCTCTGTCTCACCCTCTCTTTTTCCTTCCACAGTGGGAAGACACGGTATTCCTGGTTATCTATAACCAAGTCTCATTCTATAAACAGAATCCTAACTTCCACAACTTTCCACATATGTTATTTATCAGGGGACATGTTACTTACCATAGAAATAAGTGTAGTTTTCCTGAAATGAAACTCTGATCCCCTTGTTTGGAATGTTTTCCTCTCTTTTATCCAGAAGTCAAAAGATATATACACTTTTAAAGGACCTTACATGCTTCTATGTCATCAAAAAGCCTTCATTCACTCAAGAAACATTTATCACCAGTGTTCTCTGTCCTGAGTATCATGGTAACAAAAAGAAACATCATAGCCCATGCATTCAGGGTATTTGCACTGTATATGGGGGAATGAAAGAAGTAAATGTCTATGATACAGTAGAATGTATCAAATTATGAGCACAAGACAGGAAATAATAATAGATGAATGGGGTAGCTTATTAGGAAATATATTATTGAGAAGGAAATATTTTAACTGGGTTTTGACACATGAGTAGGAGTTTGCAGAGTGGACAAAAAAAGATGAAACATTCCAAGAAGATGAAGCAGTCTCAGCAAGCTTAGCAAATTGTATTCTTTATCGCTTTCTTGGCTACACTAAGACATATTAGGCTTACTTTCTCTTTAATCTTGGACAAGTATTTTGTTTGTTTGTTTTAGCTTTTTAATGCTTCTTTTGAGTATTCTGCTAAAAGAGTAATAAGAATGTACCTACTTTTTAAGGTTGTATTAAAGAGTGAAAATGAAAAAGATATTTAGCACAATGTCTGGTACATAGTCAATACTTCACAAGTAATATATATATACACTGAGGGTGTGTGGAAATTATCCACATACTATACATTTTTATTTTAGTTGTTTAATGAACATAATTGTAATTCTTTTCATTTTTGCCAAATTCTGTTTCTTATGCATGTGTCTTATACAAGTACCTGCAGGAAAATGAGGAGGGTTTATCTGTTCTATACCCAGAGTACCCAATAGAATGTCTTGGATGCATATTATTGAAGGCTTAATAATTCTAAATATTGTTTACATATAACAAATGCTTTTGTCAATGAAAATCCATCATGCAGTTTTGATGATCAAAGGTAAATCAAAACTTCCTACTCCAAATGCCTATACTGTAAGACATACAGAAAAATGTGTTTTTACTCATTAAAGGCAATGAGTCATGGCTAAGTACTTTCACTTGGAGTGGTGGAATGAGATCTGACACAGAGTTTATAACTTCCTTGAGATCTGACCATCTCCCCAACTATTCAAGAAGCATACACGGAATCAGAGTCATCTTCATTATAGATGGGACATCCTTCTCCCGAATGAGTCCTTCCTTCTAATTCCTTTCCAACATTTCATCTGACCAGGACATTATTTGACAACAAAAGACACATTCACATTATAAAAATTGTCCCCCATGATTTGCAGAGAGCAATCTACAGGTAGGGGGGAGAATCACATTTAGAAATAAAGTGTCAGAGTCATGTGACCAGTGCTTTGTAAAAGACACTGCAGAGACCAGGGACAAAGGTGACCCCCACTAAGGAAGAAATATGACAAGTGTTTCCAATAGAAACACAGGAGCACAGCAGGAAAAGGAAATGGGTTATTTTCTCTCTTTTGGAGTATTTAAGTAGAAGCACACAATTATGTAATTACATGATTAAGTTTTCCACGAGGTAAATAATAAGGAAATAATGACGTGGTGGCAATGGGCCTTCAGCAGGGTATAAAGGTGGCTATGGACCCAGAAGACTTCCAAACCCAAGAACTTCACTCTCTTGGAAGCCCACCCAGATCCTCCCCGTTCTGACACCATGGTCAGCTCCTGTTGTGGCTCCGTGTGCTCTGACCAGGGCTGCGGCCAAGACCTCTGTCAGGAGACCTGCTGCCGCCCCAGCTGCTGTGAGACCACCTGCTGCAGGACCACCTGCTGCCGCCCCAGCTGTTGTGTATCCAGCTGCTGCAGGCCCCAGTGCTGCCAGTCTGTGTGCTGCCAACCCACTTGTTCCCGCCCCAGCTGCTGTCAGACCACCTGTTGCAGGACCACCTGCTACCGCCCCAGCTGTTGTGTGTCCAGCTGCTGCAGGCCCCAGTGCTGCCAGCCTGCGTGCTGCCAACCCACTTGCTGTCGCCCCAGCTGCTGTGAGACGACCTGCTGCCACCCTAGGTGCTGCATCTCCAGCTGCTGTCGCCCCAGCTGCTGTGTGTCCAGCTGCTGCAAGCCCCAGTGCTGCCAGTCTGTGTGCTGCCAGCCCAACTGCTGCCGCCCCAGCTGCAGCATCTCCAGCTGCTGCCGCCCCTCTTGCTGTGAATCCAGCTGCTGCCGCCCCTGCTGCTGCGTGCGTCCAGTCTGTGGCCGAGTCTCCTGCCACACCACTTGCTATCGCCCAACCTGTGTCATCTCCAGCTGCCCCCGCCCCTTGTGCTGTGCCTCCTCTTGCTGCTGAGCCCACTGCCCTGGCTTATCTCCCCCTTCACCACTGGCCCACAGATGTAGACCCTTCTACTGTGCTGACCATTAGGATACAGGAAGTGGGGTTGATGTCATTCAATAGAATGGAACTCATGTTTCCAATGAGCCCATCACCATTTCACTGACTCTTTGAGAACATTCTGATTCATTTTAAACTCCCTCCCTTGCTTTCTTTTTCTTCCGGTGGTGGCACCAAATGTGAATTAATTTGTAATCCACTAGCTAGAAATTATTCCAATCCTCTAATTTCCTCATTTTCTTTATCACTTTGAGGTACAGATCTTCTTCTCAGTGAGGCAGACATTATCTGCAGGACCAGTTTTGTCACTGAGGTTGCACCCTCAGATCCAGCCGCCCAGTTATATTCTGTGTTTCTCCTAGTGTGAATTTCTTATGCTTTGTTGCATCTCTGCTTTTTAATAAAATTTCTGTACATAAGAATTCATTGGTATCATTCTCTATTGCTTTCATAATTATTTTACTGATTCCCTGACAATTATATTTTACACAAAGACGCAGGAAAAGCAACCCGTGTTGAAATCACTTTGAAAATACATGCTATATCGAATATAGATAATTTACGGTATTGGAATAGAAGTGCTGTGTGTATATGTGTGTGTATGTGTGTGTGTGTGTGTGCACATGTGTCTTAATATCCTAAATTAAGACAGTTTTAATTCATACCTTAGCTCTTGAAACACATTTTATCTTTAACACATTATATCTCATAATACTATCGTCCCTGTTTTGACAAAAAAGATAAAACCAAATTTCTGAAAATTAGACACCAATGAAAGAAGGGAAATCTTCTATAAAGAATTTCATGTACTGAATTCATTTTACTCAATAACAACATTTTGGAATTTATAATCAAAAAGTGGGCTTTATTTCCCAGTGAGTTCTGCTGAGACAAAAAAGCATATTGAGCTGTAGTTCATCTGGATAGCATGGTATATTGCTGACTGTGGTCTCTACGGGTTTACATTATAATTTAAACAACTCCACACTTAACATTTTAATATATATAAACCCAGAAAGGATGAAAATTTCAAGGCTCGCTTTTCTTTTTAAGAATTATTTTATTGGAATTAGTTCAGTCTTGAGTAGGTCGCAGCTGGGGTGCATATCCTAATTAGAATTTCCAAGAGAGGTGCCTTCATTTGAATCTGAAAGAATATGGTAAGTGACTATAACTTGGCATTCTAGTAGGAGCACCTGCTCTTGATGTTTTTACTTTTATTTGACTATTATCAGCTCTGAAATGGCCTTAAGCTATTGAGCCAATCAAGTTTAAGATGATTTGTTCAGATATGTTCAAATATGAAAAATAAGCTTCATATTTTTTCAGATGCCTTAAGAAAAATGTTGTCCAGATCTCAGTCATAGAGTTATGATGCCTTCTTAAACATGAGGCAGGATAAATAAGGTTAGGAGGCTGTGAAAGTAAAATAAATATTGGGGCCCCCAAATCACTAAGCTAAAGGGAAAAGGCAAACTCGGAACTGCTTAGGACAAACTTGCCTCTCATTCTATTCAAAGTCACCCCTCTGCTCACTGAGATAAATGCACTGATTGCCTCCTTGGGAAAGGCTAATCAGAAACTCAAAAGAAGGCAACCATTTGTCTCTTATATACCTATGATCTGGAAGCCCCCTCCCAGCTTCGAGTTGTCCCGCCTTTGCTTCGAGTTGTCTTGCCTTTTCTGGACCAAATCCGTGTTCATCTTACATATGTTGATTGATATCTCATGTCTCCCTAAAATGTATAAAACAAAAGTGTTATCTGACCACCTTACACACATGTCATCAGGACTTCCTGAGGCTGTGTCACCGGAGCATCCTCAACCTTAGCAAAATAAACTTTCTCAATTAACTGAGACCTGTCTCAGATTTTCTGGGTTAACATTTTGGTAACTGTGAAAGGATTCTGAGTGGAGATGCCCTTGACCTTTGACGAATATCCTGTTGGTGCCTGGTAATAGCATGAGCTAACTTTATGGCTCAAATCAATAGGACAATTTGCTGAGGTCTGGGAGCACCCTCCCCAAAGAATCCCTGATCTCCCCAAATTTGGTGAAGAACTAAAGTTCATTTTGCTGTACAACTGCCCCACCTATTTTTGTTTTTGGAGTTTTACTTGCTTACTTGCCTTCCTTATAAGGAAGGCAAGATTTACTTTTACTTCCTTTACAAGGAAGGCAAGATTTCCTGCTTCCATGATGATGAAAGGCATGTAGAGTTTGAGCTCACTCCCAGCAGGGAAGACCAGTTTGAGTTTTTTTCCTGCTTCTAGGGTGGTAGAAAGCAGCCTTCAGCCTGAGACCCATCCCTAGGTAAGTAGCTGAACTGGGGCTTTGTCTGGGCTAAAGTTTAACAACCAGCTAGCTGCTCTTAATTTCTCCTTATCATTAGAGTGCTTGGTAATCCTATGGTTGGAGATTTTGTTGTTTGTTTTGGTCTTTCTCCCATCAGACTTGACCAACTCTACCTGACTTGGTCAAATCCAAGTGAGAATTCAAAATTACGGGTAACAAAACCTCTCTAATTTGGCTAAAATTCATTGCAGCTGCAAAAGAAGAAAACAAACAAAAAGAACCAAAAACCCATGCACTTGGTTTCTGTGTTTGCTTCCTGTCTTAAAACACGAATGTTCTTTCGTTTACTTTTCTTGCACCATATACCTCCTCCCCCTTTGCCATATGCAGTACCAAAAAGTCTAGAGAAGGCTTCTAATGACTTGAACCCCCTTAAAGAATTCAGAACAAAGGTTGCCACTCACCCCTTTTGGGGTGTTTTGTTTTCTTTGTGGAGTTTCAAGAGTCATGGGTAGATTCTTCTTAACTCTAAACCTCTATTTTCCTGTATTGCATGACCTGACCTCTTTGGCTTTGACCTTGTTGTGTATAGTGGTAGATGAGAGCTACAAAGTTAAGGGGTGGCTGAGCAAGGTTTACAAAAAGTGGTCTTGGCTGTTGTTTTGTTTTCCTTCTAGGAATTTGTCGTTTAAAGATCCTAATTCTAGTTCACAAATGCATTCTAAAGGATCTTCTCTGTTGCTTTTTCTCCCCAAATTAAGCTCAATTCAGCTTGTCTGTGTGCATTTGCATGAGGAACTGAACTGTTGTTTTCAGTGGTGACCCACTGTGGAGTCCTGCCCACAAATGGCACATATTGATCCACCACAGAAAACCTCTAGGCCTCAGCTCAGTTCCTCTTTTTAAGAAGAAAACTGGGAAACAAATAATCTAAGAATGAGGAGAAAGCAAAGAGAATGATTCCCTTTCAAGCACTCCATAGGTTTTATGGCACCTGTACTTGCCAGAGTTTAAGTAAAATGGAAGTAATATGGTCTTTGTGCATATTTACATTAAGAAAGAAAGGGCCCATGTAAATTAGTTCAACCATTGTGGAAGACAGTATGGTGATTCCTCAAGGATCTAGAATCAGAAATACCATTTGATCCAGCAATCCCATTACTTGTTATATACCCAAAGGAATACAAATCATTCTACTATAAAGACACAGGCACATGTATGTTTATTGCAGCACTATTTACAAGAGCAAAGACATGGAACTAACCCAAACGCCCATCAATTATAGACTTGATAAAGAAAATGTGGTACATATACACCATGGAATACGATGCAGCCATAAAACGGAGTGAGATCATGTCCTTTGTAGGGACATGGATGAAGCTGGAAACCATCATCCTCAGCAAACTAACACAGAAACAGAATACCAAATACAACATGTTCTCACTCATATATGGGAGTTGAACTTTGAGAACACATGGACACAGAGAGGAGAGCAACACATATCAGGGGCTGTTGGGGGGTGGGGAATGAGAGGAGGGAATTTAGAGGATGGGTCAATAGGTGCAGCAAACCACCAAGGCACACATATACCTATGTAACAAACCTGCACGTTCTCCTGCATGTGTATTTCATTTTTTTTTAGAAGAGAAAGAAAAGAAGGAAAGAAAGCAAGCAAGCAAGAAAGCAAGCAAGCAAGAAAGAAAGAAAGAAAGAAAGAAAGAAAGAAAGAAAGAAAGAAAGAAAGAAAGAAAGAAAAGAAAAAGAAAGAAAAGAAGAGCCTTAAGGTCAACCTACAAACTACAGAGTTCCTAAGTTCTCTTTTTTCTCTATTTTCTTTTCTGCCTGCTTTAAATCTGCTGTTATTTTTCTATTAAGATCAAAACCACTGTTTGGATACAACAGGCTTTTTGTTTGCAACCTGGTGAATTTGTATTTGTCTCATGGCTAAAGTTCTGAAGTAAAAGCTATAGGATTTCTGTGTGTGTGTTTGTGTGTGTGTGTGTGTGTGTGTGTGTATCTATTTAAAAGGCCTTTATAATTTTTATAATTTTATGTTTAATTGGCAATTAAATCCATTTTGACTTCCCTCTAGCACCACCAGACTTTTTCTCTCTGTACCTTATGATATAATTTTGCTATTTGATTTTTGCCTGAGTTGTTTCCTTTAACATGCAAACTTAAGGCTATTTAGCTGACAACTCCCTAGGGGAGTAAAACAGGTTATTAAGAATTTGAAAGCCTAAGATAGGGGAAAAAAGCTCCTTAAGTATCTATACGATGTACTTCTATCAGCATGCCTACTATGTCTATATATTTATGTGATGTGTACACAATTTCTCGCTACTGAAAATATATAAAAGAGTTCTAATTAATTGGCTTAAGATAAAAAGCACTTGAATCTAATACTTTATCAGGAAAAAAGAAAAGACTAGTTGAATGCTTTCTGAAGTTTATGTAACAAGTAAAATCTTTAATAAATAAGCTAGCTTTAAAATTATTGGTAAAGTAATATTAGACATGTCTTAAAAATTGCCAGCATGCATTTTTGTTTGCATTTATTAATCAAGCAATTTCATGCTTATCCCTGTCAAATACCATAAGGTGTCAAAATTTGCCATGGAGTTACAAAACTGTAATAGAATGATCTTTGCTTGTATAATCTTTAATAAATAAGACATTGATATTGGTTTAATAAAAATAGTCACATCTTGAATTTAGTGAGATTACTGTAACTTCTAATTTTGTGGTTTTGGTGGTCTAGTCCACAGGCAGTAAGATTTAGTTTGAGAATGAACTGTTATAATCTTTGTTTCAAAGGTAAACTATAAACTATGTTCCTCTCAACGTCTGTTCAGCCTGTGCCCAGGATTGAACAAGAACAGTTTGGAGGTTAGAAGCAAGATGGAGTCAATTAGGTCAGATCTTTTTCACTGTCTCAGTTATAATTTTGCAATGGCAGTTCCATAACTTTAAATGATGACTATTGCAGTTTTCATAAATAATCTAGGTAAACAATTCCTTTTTAAAAAGGTGAACAATTGTCATCTAATTCAATGCTTATTTAAAGATTATGTATAAGACAAGTTAAAAGGAACCAGGAAATCAGAGAGATGTAAAGAAAGGTATAAAAATAAAGAGGATAAAGAGGGTTCTTTTTGGTAAGGAAGCTTAAAGAGAAATAATTTCATATGAGAAAAGATCTTGTATGGTAAATTTAGACCTAAAATAAAATGATTGTTTAAGAAAGATGGATGTTCAAAACAAACCAGAAAGTCCAAGCATATCATGAACAGTCTGTAAAAGTCATAATAAGAGGATTAAAAAAAAAACCAACAAACTTTTATATGGTCAAGTTGTCTGTAATTAAAAGGAAATTATAATAGTCTTCCTGAAGATTGGGCTTCATGTAAAAAAAAAAAAGCAATGATAAACAAAATAGTTAGAGCGATGAAATTTTCTTAAGGGATTGATTTACTCTTATTAAATTATAAGAGATTTTAATTTTTTTAACCCAAAGTTCAACTGTTTACTCGCTGTTTTCTCTCCCCTTCAACTCGTTTGCAGCTCATATAAGTTATTTTCCTTAAATTCTATTTGTTATGGTCTGATGCTAACAATGTTTTCTAAAAGTCTAAAGAAAATGTTTTCTTCCAAAGTAATATTCTGTGCAGTGTAGAAGGTCTTTTCTTTTGCCTTTGGGTAATTGACCTAACAGATTTTATGGCTTATTGAAACAATGCTATGCTGTTATTATTAATTTTTGATTTGCTCAGGAAAAAGTATCTGAGATAATTTTTTAAAATTAAGGTTATTACATCCATGTATATTTCTGTAGGTGCTTTGAAAGTACCTGTGACATTAAGTTACAGGCCTTTGACTCCTGGGTCTAAAAAGGACACCAAGGTCTGCTAAATCTTAAGCACTGACAGCAATTAAAACCTCATCTTCAGGCCTGGTAGAAGATGCCAATCAAAATAAACTGCATTCCTGAGACATAAGGCCAGAAGTAAAAGCTATTCAACTCCTCAAGGCTCAGGAACTACCACAGAAGAGGTAGGCATGTGAGATTGTAAGGGCTGATTTTGAGAGACAAAATAAGTTCAGTTTCTCTGCAAGTTAATAATTGATGTCAAAGGCACACTGATGCAATACCAGCATACGGGCCCCTGCGTCAGATTAAAAAGGTTTTCTTGAAGTGTTAACCGACCCCTTAATAAAGGTTATAAAGGTTAAAAAAGGCTTATGGAAGCTGTATCTTATGGTCAAGATTAAAATTTTAAAGATTGATAATAAAATTTCAAAAAACAAATTTAATTGGCTTTATGCTGTTTTATTTGGGCTTAATGTTTGAAAAATTGACTTATTTTATGATGACCTATCAAGTATTTTAAACTTTTGATATTTGGCAAAGTTTCCAGAATCAAATTACAAGTTGTGTATTTTTCTGACCTAATTAATCCTCTAAGATATTAGTTTCCCTAAAGTCCAAAAATGAAATAAATGACTTATTTGGTATAAAAATTATACAGGAAGCATTGTCAAATATAAAATGGTGTTTGGTTTTCTTTGGGCTGTATTTGTATAAAAATGTTATTGGTATGTGCACCAAAATTATGGGAAACTCCTATAATTCTGATATGACATGGTGTACAATATCACTAATAATTATAATTGTTATATAAAATTATCGTGTGCCACAGTGGTAACAAATTTTCTTGTCAATTGTGTCTTTGATTATGGCTGACCTAAAACTTTTTGTCACCCATGGACAATTGTTTTGTTTTAGTCCTTTTTAGAAGATGGTTTTATAATCAGCTATAAAACTCTAACACGTGTTCTTGAAGGCAAGTTTCTAATAACTTTGGAGACTGTGACATCAGAATGGAGGAAAAGCTTTCAGAACTCATGGAGACCTGAAATGTTCATGAATAGCAAGCAGAACAGGAATTAACTGCATGAACTGAACTAATAGAAGAGCAACGTAATCTTTTTGACTTTTTGCTTAAAATGTTGCTGCTCCTTGTTTTCCTTTTTTTAGTCAAGGAAACTTTTATTTGAGCTGTTGTCAGCTTTTAACAAGTTAGTATACTCCTGTGAAAAATATTTGGAGCATATTTGTTTCTCTCTACCTGATTTTCCCCAGAATTGGAAACTATCTGTGAGTATTCTTAACTTATGGCAATACAGTTATTTGCATAAGTGCAATAATAATCTGTTTTCATGTGTAACAAGACACAATTGGAGAAATTGGTCATTTTACCAAGGCTTTGACTGGAATGGTGTGCTCTCCTTTAAGGAATCAAATTTGACTTATGGAGCCAATAAAAGCCCCTTGGGAGAACTGGCCTCATACCTTATCTACACAGTCCCTGTACAGGGTTCCTGACCTGTGGTAAGTAAAGCATGTCACTTTCTAACAGTTCCAGGAGCCCCAAGTTTATCTTGGAACCTCAAGAGCAGAGGAATTCATGCAACTCATAGGTATTTGATGGTACAAATCCATGGCTAGGCTAAGCTTTCCAAAAGTCTTATCCGAAATTCCTTCTATGGAACAAAGTTCTGATAGGGACAGGGGGCTGAGAAATTCTAGGCAGAAAAGGGTAGGTCTCTGACAAAACCCCACCTTCAAGCTGAAAAGCCTTAAACCACGGCCCAAAGTGAGAACTTATATCCCTGTTTTCCTGCTTGAAAGTTGCCTTTTTCTAAACCACTCATGGCTCCATCCTGTCCATCCTATGCCTGTGAAGATGCCAGACTCAGCTGGCAGAGGCAAGAAGCAGCTGGACATTGGGAACTACAGCTGGACGTCAGAGAGAAGCAGCTTGATTCAGAGGGACAGCTTGATGGTGTAATCTTGGAGAAGAATCCAGCTGGATACAGCCTAACTTTGAGGAAGATTACCTACCCACCCCATCCTTTTTCAGCTCCGCTTTCTGCTAAGAGCCACTTTCATCAGCAACAAAATCCCCCACATTTACCATCCTTTGATTGGTTCATGTGACCTCACTTTTCCTGGACACAAGACAAGAGCTTGGGAGCCAGGAGAGCAGATACAAAAGACTGTCACACTGGCCCTCTGCCCTTGCTGGTGGAGGGCAGCTGCCTCACACAAAAAGGCAGAGGCCTCACTGAGCTGTTGACACTTAAGCCATCCATGGAAGGCAGAGTTAAAAGAACACTGTAACATGCCCTCTGGGGCTATGGGGGTCGCAGGCACCCCCACCTAGATGCTGCTGTGGGGCCCACACAGAGTTTGCTCCTGCCGGTGGCCAAAAGCACTCACTTTGGCTCCTGCACTGATTCACCTGCATGCTTCCTCCCACAAGCAGGGGACTGCAGCAGGTCCCAGTGAGTGAAGTTTGATCCTACCGTGCTGCAGTGCCGATTCCAGCACACGTGCACTCCAGTTCCTGCCTCATTTGCTTGCATGCTCGCTCCTGCAAGGAGTTGAGAGTGGCAGGCTGAATAAACGAGGCACCCGTCACAAGTCCCACAAAGGGGTCAGGGAAACATCCTGCTTCAGTTCCATCAAAGGCAATTTAAAAGCTTATGCAAAAAAAAAGTATTACTATGGCTGCGCTGTATACAAATAATCAGGTCAAGTATAATAAAGAAAATCAGCCCTGCCATGATTTGTCTTTAGTAAAAATGGGAAATGGGAGAGAGAAGAATTATGTTTCAAAAAATGATAATACACCTGTTGTTAGATTCTAGTCTTGCCTAATGTTTTCCCATTTTTATTATTTTCTACAGTTTCCACTGAATTCTAATTTTTCTTGGCTACAGGTCTTCAAAAGATTGTTTTCAGTTTTTTTTTCTTCTTCTTTCCCCCATTTTTCCTAATTTGGAGTCACTGAAAACTCATCTGTGCTTTTGTAAAGCCCTGCGAACTGGAGCTAGAGAATTTAAACTTCAGAAGAAAATACCAGCAACCTGTTTACATACATAAGCCACTTTCATACCTGCCTACTGATGTATGGACTTCAGAGTAATGTGGCCCATATTGATTTTCCAGGATTGTTCTTTTGTTTATTTTTGTTTTTCTCCCTTCCTCCCCCTATTTTCTCTTCATAGGACATGAAACTTCACAACCTGCTAAAAATGAACTTTCCTAATAACTCAGGAATTATCTTTCTAGGAATAAACAATCCTAGCCATGAGATATCAGATGAAACTTGAGACCAAAGACTGACTTTCTTCAAAAAGGCTTTCTCAAAAAGATTTTTAAGAAAAGGGGGGAAATTTGAAAGGAAAATAAACCTTGGGGCCCTGAAATCACTAAGGTAAAGGGGAAAGTCAAGCTGGGAACTGCTTAGGGCAAACCTGCCTCCCATTCTATTCACAGTCACCCCTCTGCTCACTGAGTTAAATGCATATCTGATTGCCTCCTTTGGAAAGGCTAATCAGAAACTCTAAAGAAAGCAACCATTTGTCTCTTATCTACCTATGACCTGGAAGCCCCTCCCCGCTTAGACTTGTCCCGCCTTTTCCGGACGGAACCACTGTTCATCTTACATATGTTGATTGATGTCTCATGTCTCCCTAAAATGTATAAAACCAAGCTGTGCTCTGACCACTTTGGGCACATGTCTTCAGAACCTCCTGAGGCTGTGTCACAGGTGTACATCCCCAACCTTGGCAAAATAAACTTTCTAAATAAACTGAGACCTGTCTCCGATTTTGGGGGTTCACAAGGCCATACTGACTTGTCCCCTGTGTGAAGCCCAGCAGGATCCTTTCACAGCAAGCTCTTTTCACTTGAACCTTTGTGCATCAGTGCCTAACTCTTTCACAAGATAAGGGGTCCTACAGAATCGAAGCAGACCCACCAGAGGGTTACAAGTTCCTGATACCTAGTACAACCTGGGAAAGAGAGCAAAAGCCCTTTATTCCTGATGCAGCTTCCCCAATCTCTAGCCAATTTGCACCAAAAGCCCAAGAAACTCCTAACTACAAATTCCTTCCTGGGGTGGGGTGTTTGGGAGGGTGGGCAGGGACTTCTCTGGGGTCCTGCATGCACAGCTAGGATCAAGGTTCAGCTTATAGTAACCATTTCCTCATTTTAATAGTAAAAACAACCACAACAAGAAAAACACCCCAAGGCGGAGATTTCATATGCTAATGATACATGCGATGGGTGTTAGACCACGTGGATCCTGAGCACATGTGCCAACCGCAGGTCTGCCTTTGCATACTTGACCTCACCAGTATTTTATGATTATGTACGTATAGCTCCCATAAAAGGAATTCCTCTTACAGCACTAGCTGCTGTCTCTCCCACTGAGCACCCCACTCTGCCTCTCAAAGAGTACTTTTGCTTTGCAACAAATTTCTTCGCTTACTCTTACTTTGGATTTGCTCTCAAATTCTTTTGCACAGCAAATTCAAGAACCTGAACTGGTCCACCGACAACAAAATAACAAAATTCCCTTATATAACATTTGGAGTCTGCCTTAACTGATTTGAATCAAGATGGAATGCAGTAGGATGAGATGTGCCTTTTAAATTTGACACAGAAGAGTGAGGAGTATTACCATGATATCATAAGTTCTAAAATCATGGATGAACTTACAAACAACAATACTGGGGCTTTACCTATCCCAAAGCATTCCATATATCAAATTGAAACAATCAAAAGCTTCTATTTTATTTTAGTTTATGCGTGACATTGGAGCAGTTTGGCACTATGAGTTCATCCCTGAAGTCTTACTTTGGAATCATGCTTTGAGAATCCCCTTCTACTGCATTCCCACCTCACCCCCATGAATCAGTAAACTCAGTGAAAATTATCACAAAAAAATGCAAAAAACAATAAAAGATTTCTAAATGAAAAGTTTAATACAATATATTTTGTGAACACAATAAAGATAAAGAACCAATAAAATAGAAAAATTCTGGCAAACTTGAACAAACAGAGACAAAGAGAGAACAGGGAGAAAGCAGGAGAGCATGGGAGGGGCAGCCTCCTACCTTTCCAAGAGAAAAGAATGACTGAAAGGCTGACAGACAAATAATATGTTTGAAATGGAGATAATGTGTACCTCACTGGGAAGGATATTCTGTAGGCTCAAAACGATTTAAAAAATGAGGAATTTAGAGGATTGGAATAATTTCTTAGCTAGTGGATTACAAATTATTTCATATTTGGTGCCATGACTGGAAGAGAAAGAAAGCAAGGGAGGGAGTTTAAAATGAACCAGAATGTTCTCACAGAGTCAGTGGGATGGTGATGGGCTCATTGGAAACATGAAGTCCACCCTGCTGAATGACATCAATCCCACTCCATGTGTCCTAATAGTCAGCACAGAAGAATGGTCTACAACTGTGGGCCTGCAGTGAAGGGAGAGATGAGCCAGGGCAGTGGGCTCAGCAGCAAGAGGAGGCACAGCACAAGGGGCGGGGGCAGCTGGAGATGACACAGGTTGGGCGATAGCAAGTGGTGTGGCAGGAGACTCGGCCACAGACTGGACGCAGGCAGCAGCAGGGGCGGCAGCAGCTGGATTCACAGCAAGAGGGGCGGCAGCAGCTGGAGATGCTGCAGCTGGGGTGGCAGCAGGTGGGCTGGCAGCACACAGACTGGCAGCACTGGGGTCTGCAGCAGCTGGACACACAGCAGCTGGGGCGACAGCAGCTGGAGATGCAGCATCTGGGGCGGCAGCAAGTGGGCTGGCAGCACATAGACTGGCAGCACTGGGGCTTGCAGCAGCTGGACACACAGCAGCTGGGGCGACAGCAGCTGGAGATGCAGCATCTGGGGCGGCAGCAGGTGGGCTGGCAGCACACAGACTGGCAGCACTGGGGCCTGCAGCAGCTGGACACACAGCAGCTGGGGCGACAGTAGGTGGTCCTGCAGCAGGTGGTCTCACAGCAGCTGGGGCGGCAGCAGGTCTCCTGGCAGAGGTCTCGGCCACAGCCTTGGTGAGAGCACACGGAGCCACAACAGGAGTTTACCATGGTGTCAGAGGGTGAAGGATCTAGTTGGGTTTCTAGGAGAGTGAAGTTCTTGTGTTTGGAAGTCTCCTGGGCCTGTAGTCCCTTTATACCCTCCTGAAGGCCCATTGCCACCACATCATTATTTCCTTGTTATTATTTACCTACTGGAAAAATTAATCATGTAATTACATCATTGTGTTTCCAGTTAAATACTCCAAAACAGAGAAAATAACCCATTTCCTTTTCCTGCTGTGCTCCTGTGTTTCCATTGGAAATGCATGTCATATTTCTTCATTAGTGGGGAGTCACCTTTGTCCCTGGTCTATGCAGTGTCTTTTACAAAGCACTGGTCACAGGACTCTCTGACATTTTGTTTTTAAATGTGACTCTCCCTCCTACCTGCAGATTGCTGTCTGCAAATCATGGGGGATGATTTTTATAATGTGAATGTATCTTTTGTTGTCAAAGAATGTCCTGGTCAGGTGAAATGTTGGGAAGGAATTAGAAGGAAGCACTCATTTGGGGAAGGATGTCCCATCTGTAATGAGGATGACTCTGATCCCATGTGTGCATCTCGGATGGTCGGGCAGATGGTCAGATCCCAAGAAGTTCTAAACTCTGTCAGATCTTATTCCACAGCCTCCAGCGAAAGTACTTACCCATGACTCACTGCCTTTAAAGGGTAAAAACACATTTTGCTGTATGTCTTACAGTATATGCATTATGAGTAGGAAGTTTTGATTTATCTTTTTTTTTTTTTTTGACAGATTCTCAATCTGTCGCCAGGCTGGAGTACAGTGGCATGATCTCTGCTCACTGCAACCTCCACCTCCTGGGTTCAAACGATTCTTTTGCCTCAGCCTCCCGAGTAAGGTGGTTTGCGCCATCACACCCAGCTTACTTTTGTATTTTTAGTAGAGACAGGGTTTCACCATGTTGGCCAAGATGGTCTCGATCTCTTGACCCCGTGATCCACCTGCCTTGGCTTCCCAAAGTGTTGGGATTGCAGGCATGAGCCCCCAACACCCAGCCTGATTAATCTTTGATCATCAAAATTGCATGATGGATTTTTCATTTACAAAAGCATTTGTTATATATAAAGAATATTTAGAATTATTAAGCCTTCAATAACATGCATCCAAGATGTTCTATTGGGTACTCTGGGTGTAGAACAGATAAACCCTCAACTTTTTCTTGCAGGTACTTGCATAAGACACATGGATAGGAAACAGTTTGGCAGAAATGAAAAGAATTACAATTATTTTCATTAAACAACTAAAATAAGAAATGTATAATATGTGGATAAGTTCCATACACCCTCATGGTATGTATATTACTTGTGAAGTATTGACTATGTAGCAGGCATTGTACCAAATATCTTACATTTGTTTCATTTTCACGCTTTAATAGAACCTTATGAACTAGTTTATATTCTTATTAGTCTTTTAGGGGAATACTCAAAAGAAGCATTAAAAACTTAAAACAAACAAACAAACAACTTGTCCAAGGTTAAAGAGAAAGTAAGCCTAATATGTCTTAGTGTAGCCAAGAAAGCCGTAAAGAATACAATTTGCTAAGCTTGCTGAAACTGCTTCATCTTCTTGGAATGTTTCATCTTTTTTTGTCCACTCTGCAAACTCCTACTCATGTGTCAAGACCCAGTTAAAATATTTCCTCCTCAATAATATCTTTCCTGCTAAGCTACCCCATTCATGTATCATGATTTCCTGCCTTGTGCTCATAATTTATACATTCTCCTGTATCATAGTCATTTACTTCTGTCTTTCCACCACGTGCAATGCAAATACCCTGAAGGCTTGCGCTATGGCATTTATTCTCGTTACCATGATACTCAGCACAGAGAACACTGGTGGTAAATGTTTGTTGAGTGAATGAAGGTTTTTTTGATGACATAGAGGCATGTAAGGTCCTTTAAAAAATGTATATATCTTTTGACTTCTGGATAAAAGGGAGGAAAACATCCCAAACAAAGAAATCATAATTTCATTTCAGGAAGACTAAACTCATTTGTGTGATAGGTAACATGTCACCCGATAAATAACATACGTGGAAACTGCGGAAGTCAAGATTCAATTTATAGAATGAGACTTGTTTATAGATAACCAAGAATACAGTGTTGAACGTGCATGCCTATATTCACACAGTAAAAAGACAGGAAGGAAGTAAACGCCAGATGGTAGCACTGGTTCTCCTTCACCTCCTGACTTCCTCGTTTTACTCTTGTTGATTGAAATAACTATTATTTCCTGTTTCGTATCAGTCAGCCAAAAATGTTTGCTGATAATCTGTTGTCTTAGCTTAAATTCTACCCAATGCAAACCTTGAGAAAAAGACCTGAGTGCACATAATTTATTTGGGGGATGATCCCAGGAAGCACAAGTGAGGAAACGGTGAAAGTAAGACAGGAAAGGTAGAAAATCCCAACAGTGTTTGTGTTAATGGTAAGGCCCCCACTGTGGGCAGCTGGGGACGAACCCCAGGGACAAGCCTGAGGCTGGAGGCACTTGGCCACCATGATTGCACACCTGTAAAATCCTGTAGAGTCAGCTGGGTATTAGTGTGAATCGCGAGATCAGATAAAATATGAACTTATACTAATCCATAGACTTTTTATACACTAGCAATAATTCTCTCTAAAATTTAATGGAGAAAAATCACACACTGGGGCCTGTCGTGGGGTGGGGGGAGGGAGGAGGGATAGCATTAGGAGAAATACCTAATGTAAATGACGAGTTAATGGGTGCAGCACACCAACATGGCACATGTATACATATGTAACAAACCTGCACGTTGTGCACATGTACCCTAGAACTTAAAGTATAATAAAAAAAAAAAGAAGCATGTACTCACAGTTCTCAAGAGTAAATAGAAAAATATGTAAATAAATCTGCCAAGCCTTTGTGAAGGAAAATGTTAACATTTCCGGAAGGACATAAAATAATGTTTGAATAAATGTCAGAACAAGAGATGTGCAACGAAAGCCAAGTTTTCAAATAAATACATACATGTTTTATGCATGCATTTAATGAGGATGTATCTCAATTTGCAACATTAGGTATTGAATGGGATTGGCAAAGATCATGATGGGAAACTTACTTTTGTTCACATTGTCACATTCTTTTGTATTGTCTAAATGTTTAAAGAGCATATATTTGTGTATAAATGATCTAAACATCCTTAGAAAATAATAAATGTGATTTATATAAAATTCATAATTTTTCTACATATTCTGTTAAATATATTTTCTGCTATTATGTTTACATTCTTATTTCTTTCAGGAACTAAAATATTAAAAGTACATTTCAGTCAGTCATTTGAGCTCTCAAATTAGCTATCATGAATTTCAAATTGTTTTGGGGGACAGGCTGGGTTCCCCAGGAAGCAGTCACTGAGATGGAGAGCAATATGCAGGAGGTTTATTGAAGCATGCTCTTGGGATTAACACTGGGGAGGGCAGGGGAGGGGAAAGGGAGGGGAGGGGAAAGGGAAAGGGAAGGGGAAGGGGAGGGAAAGGGAAGGGAAGGGAAGGGAAGGGAAGGGAAGGGAAGGGAAGGGAAGGGAAGGGAAGGGAAAGGAAGGGAAAGTGAGAGAAAGATCAAGTTTGACACTGGGATAAATCAAACTGCAGGGCAATCTCCGTGGAAGTCTCAGATGAACCTATAGGGAGTTCTGGAGATGAGATGACCCATTAGAGGCATCCCTAGTTGGGGAGAAATGTGGGTCTTTATAGTTTCATCCTAAAAAAAGGGCATGACTTTGGACGAAAAGAAAAAAAATCAGTCTCCAGCATACCTGTGAGTTTTCACTAGGCCTGCTTCCTTCATTTCCATCACCTGCCTGGCCGTGAAGGTGGCCCTCTCTACATGGCAGCATGAACTCCCCATTGAAACTCTGCCAGTCAGAATGAAGGAGATCCACTGTGTTTGTGTTGAGGATTCATTACACATGACTCAGTAGAAAATACATGGACTTTGCTAAACCACCTAATAGCTGCTTTTACTGGAAAAAAAAAGAAATTGAAATACAGTGTTTTAAAAGATCACAGCTCTGTGCACAATAGTAAAGACATGGAATCAGTCTAGGTGCCCATCAACAGTGCATTGGATAAAGAACATGTGACATTTTCACACCATGGAATACTACACAGCCATAAAAAAGAATGAAATTTTGTCCTTTGCAGCAACATGGATGTGGCTGGAGGACATTATCTTAAGCAAATTTTTCCAGGAACAGAAAACCAAATATTGCATGTTGTCACTTACAAATGGGAGCTAAACATTGGATACACATGGACACAAAGATGAGAACAATTGGGGACTCCAAAAAGGGGGGAGAGAGGGAGAGAGGAAGGGCTAAAAATGACCCACTGCTCAGTACCTGGTGACAGAATCATTTGTAGCCCAAACCTCAGCATCACACAACATGTAACAAATACGAATATGTACTCTTTGATTCTAAAATAAAAGTTGAAATTATTTTTTAAAAGATGATGAGTTGTGATCAATCTTTCAAAACGTTTCCCCTGTTGTTATATTCATGGATATTTCATGACTTCAGCTTCACTCTTTTTGTCTAAAGAATACAAAATGACTAATTGATTTGCCTAAGCCTGAAAAGACTTTTCTAGAAAAAAACTAGGCAGTGATCGATGTCAGTTGACCTCTGTTAGAAGGTTGACTAATCTGTGCTGTGAGCCCTACAGGTGTAGTTAAATGTAATCACCCAGGACCTAAATATAAAACCCTTTTTAAAAAGAGAATAAGAATCATATTCAATTTTCAGTGCCAATAGAATAGAGGTTTATTTTGGTACATGGAAATAACAAGGTACAAAAATGTTTGCAAAAGACTTTAAGAGAGAGACTTCACTGGACTTCAAGGTTGGAGGCTTTAAGATCTGTGGCCCTACAAATGATGGAGGCAATCTTCAAATTCCTTAGGCATGATGAATAAATGTCCTGAAGTCAAAGAGGTGGGAGGATGTTGGAGGACAATTTGTCAATTTATTAGGAGATTGTCAATGAATTCCTTTGGAAGGAAGGGAGTTTGGACAAAAGGTAGAATGCAAATACAGAATTTCTAAGGATGAGGTTTGCTTATGGGACCCAGATCAATTCTCTTGAACAGTCCGCATGTTTGCAATGAGAGCCTTCATCTGTAGGAAAGGACGTAATAAGGAAGTGGTGTGTTCACAGCAGAGATTTAGCAGCAAGAGGAGGCACAGCACAAGGGGCGGGGGCAGGTGGAGATGACACAGGTTGGGCGATAGCAAGTGGTGTGGCAGGAGACTCGGCCACAGACTGGACGCAGGCAGCAGCAGGGGCGGCAGCAGCTGGATTCACAGCAAGAGGGGCAGCAGCTGCTGGAGATGCAGCAGCTGGGGCGGCAGCAGGTGGGCTGGCAGCACACAGACTGGCAGCACTGGGGTCTGCAGCAGCTGGACACACAGCAGCTGGGGCGGCAGCAAGTGGTCCTGCAGCAGGTGGTCTGACAGCAGCTGGGGCGGCAGCAGGTGGGCTGGCAGCACACAGACTGGCAGCACTGGGGTCTGCAGCAGCTGGACACACAGCAGCTGGGGCGGCAGCAGGTGGTCCTACAGCAGGTGGTCTGACAGCAGCTGGGGCGGCAGCAGGTGGGCTGACAGCACACAGACTGGCAGCACTGGGGCCTGCAGCAGCTGGACACACAGCAGCTGGGGCGGCAGCAGGTGGTCCTGCAGCAGGTGGTCTGGCAGCAGCTGGGGCGGCAGCAGTTCTCCAGGCCACAGCCCTGGTCAGAGCACACAGAGCCACAACAGGAGTTGACCATGGTGTCAGAGGGTGGAGGTTCTCGGTGGGTTTCCAGGAGAGTGAGTGTTCTGAGTTTGATCTCTCCTTGTTCTCTCTTTTGCTTTTTATACCCTGCTGAGAACCACTATGACAATGTGAATAATCTTGTGGTTTGCACATTACTAATAGAGAATCAGTTGTTTTTTAGTAAATTAGATAGTTGTCCTTATCTGGTAAATATTTCTATAAATAGAAAAGGCAACATTTCCTTTTCCTGTTGTATTCTGAGCTATCCAATTTGGTTAAGCCAAGTGAATCAGCTCTCATTCTCCTTCCTTCATCTGATGTGTCTTCTGATGTGTAGACCCATTACATGACATTGTTTGATTGGATTTCATAAGTTAATTCTTTATTTATTTGACTCCTGGATAATAAGTTGAAAATAGATTTTATGATGACTAAATCTCCTCTGCTCTCAAAGAGGTTAAAAATAAATTACATAGAATGCTGGTAGGAAAATGTGATGAAAGATTCATCTTTGGGGGGTGATAGGAGGTAACTTGTGTATAATAAGGAACACTGTGATTCCTTTGAATTTTGTGGCTGGTCAGTGAGATATAAAAGATCCCACTGAAATTCCTGTTTCATGTTATTGACTCTATTTAGCTTGAAACAGATATAATGCAATGATTCATTGCTTTACAAGTAAAAATACATTGGCATGATAGGTCCCTTTATAAATTATTGTTGGCATGTTCTTCAGAGATGGGGATCATAAGGAACATTTTTGTTCTATTTTGTTGGTAAGTCAAGATACCCACTGAATGTGTTTAACTGAAGTGTTATTGAAAGTAGATTTTCTCATACTCGAAAGCTGCTTTTTCTCACAATGTATGTTGGAGATATTTTGCTTGATACATGGAGAAAAGAAACAAAGGATCAAGTTTAATTTCTGTCCTACAGAAGCTTAAACAAGACAAATAAGAAACATGTATAGGAAAGAATTTAGCAACTATTTAGAGAATGGTGTGATTAGTGAACAAAATAACAATTATGTATTTAATCTGTACACTTCCAATGAAAGATGAAACAATACTAATAGTTATAATTTTTTGAGTGCTTACTATGTGTCAGGAATTTTCTGAGTCCTCTATAATTGTTATCTTGTTTATACTTCACAAGGATTCTGCTATGTAGACACAATTTTTCTAAATTCTTTACATCCAAGGTACTTGAGGCCCAGATAGATTGAAGTCACACAGTCTGTAACAGGGAAAGGGCGTCTCTCCTAGAGTGTTCAAGGAACATTTTGCGCATGAACATTTTGCAATTAAATCCCTCCTGATATTTAAAAACAATTATTTATAATTAAAAAGATGCAAGGTATGTTCTCACTCCTAAGTGGGAGTTGAACAATGAGATCACATGGACACAGGGAGGGGAACATCACACACTGGAGCCTGTCGGGGGTGAGGGACAAGGGGAGGGAGAGCATTAGGACAAATACCTGATGCATGTCGGGCTTAAAACCCAGATGACGGATTGATAGGTGCAGCAAACCATCATGGCATATGTATAACTATGTAACAGACCTGCATGTTCTGCACATGTATCCCAAAACTTAAAGTAAAATTTAAAAAAAAAAAATGTATGGTAAGAAACCATCATAAACAAAGTAAAAACACAAATGACTAAATAATAAAAAAAGAACTAGCAATTAATATCACGGACAAAGGGTTAATAGTATATAAAAGACTTCTGAGACTGGACACGGTGGCTCACACCTGTAATCCCAGCACTTTGGGATGCCAAGGCAGGCGGATTGTTTGAGGTTAGGAATTTGAGACCAACTTGGTTAACTTGGCAAAACCCCATCTCTACCAAAAAAACAAAAAAAAGCAAAAAAAAAAAAAAAAATGGCGAGGTGGCATGCATCTGTGGTCTGTGGTCCCAGCTACTCAGGAAGCTAAGGTGGGAGGATTGCCTGAGCCCAGGAGGCGGAGGTTGCAGTGAGCCAAGATTGCACCACTGCACTCCAGCCTGGGTGACAGAAGAAGAAGAAAAAAAGGCTTCTGGAAATAGATAGAAAACAGACCAACAGCCTAATGGGAAAATAAAATGCAAATATTTTACCACCATATAAATATACTCAATCTCATGCATAGTAAGAGAAATGAAATAATATGGTACGATACTTCTCACCTGTTAGATTATCAAAAATTCAAAATCTGATAGCATTCTCTGGAAGTGAGATGATGTGAAAATAGGCATGCTCGTATTTGTCTTGTGAAGGTTTGGCAATAACTAGCAGCATTATTCTTTGACTCAGCTATCCCAATTCCATAAAATATCTCAAAGATACTCAGGTAAATATATGAAAGATATTGCACAAGACGATTCATAAGAGTTCTATTTGGGAAAAAAACTAAAAACTACAACAACACTGGATACAACCCAGGTGTCCTTCAATAGGGTACTGGTGTATAAACTGTGGTGCCTTCCCATGATGGAGTACTATGCAGCTGTCAAAAGGAATAAGGAGTGTCTCTATAGGCTACTATAAATTAATCTCCAGTAGATATTGTTAGGAGACGATAAAGCAGTGGAGGAAAATGTGTACAATTGTTCTGCAACAATGTTTTAAAAATCCAGGATATAAATATTGAAAGTATATTTGCTTACACTTTAAAAAACGACAGAAGAATAGAGAGAGAGGAGATGAGAAAACAGGAAAGAGGGACTTCTGTCAAAACATCAAATTGTGCATTTTAAGTACATGCAGTTTATTTATTATATGTCAATTGTAATTTAATGTAGCTGAAAAAAAAAGAAAAAAATAATGGAAGAATCAACCACATTTGGTTTTGTTGTTGTTGTTGTTGTTGTTGTTGTTTGAGACGGAGTCTCACGTTGTCACCCAGGCTGGAGTGCAGTGGAGCGATCTTGGCTCACTGCAACTTCCACCTCCTGTGTTCAAGCAATTCTCTGCCTCAGCCTCCTGAGTAACTGGGATTACAGGCGCCCACCACCACACCCAGTTAATTTTTGTATTTTTAATAGACATGGGGTTTCACCATCTTGGCCAGGCTGGTCTTGAACACCTGACCTCATGATTCCCTGCCTCAGCCTCGCAAAAGTGCTGAGATTACAGGCGTGAGCCACCGCACCCAGCCCATGTTTGTTTTTTAAAAATTGACCCATAGAGGATGGAGGGAATAGAATAGAGAAGATAGAAACAGACACTAGATTATTTTTGAATGTATCTTTTTCTGTAGCTTGGACTTTGCACCCATGTAAATATTTTACATACTTATAAAAATATTAAATTTTTAAAATCTCTCAAAATCACTAAAACCACCACCACAACAATGGAATCTAACTGTATATCCAGGCATAACTTCAGAGAAAGTAACTATCCCAAGGCCAAAATGTTTTTTTCAAAAACCTGTTAAGTTTGTTTGCAATAACTACACTGTTGTTATTAGTATTGGCAATATTATTCCAAGATTGTTGTGCAAGCATTAGGTAATAAAGAAAATGAGTAATTACATCAAGGAACTGTTATTTTTGGCAAGGAATAAAAGAGATTTAGGAAAAAGATATGAGGTTAAGTAAAAATCCTGTAATTATCAGTAGAAACGCTGATGTACTTTATCTTTTAAGCAAATATTTTCTAGTTGTGGACACTGAAAAAGTTGAGAGAAAATAATCAATTTAGTAATACTCATCATTTTTACATTTCAATCTTTCGTCCCAAATGCCATATTCACTACAAGGAACAGGGGTTCCTTGGAGAAATGGCTGAATATAAGTGTGGGTAAGGAAATATACAAATGAACCTGGAATATCTTATTATATATATATTAAAAAAAATCTACTAGATTCACGTCAAAAGTAGCCAGAGACCAACTTGAAGTTTGTTATTTGAGCACCAATGGGGATATGAACTGGAACCCACAGGTTCATATTGACAGGAGTTAAAAAAAATACTTTGGTCAGCTTTGAATGATGTTCCATTAGCAAGATTAACCAAGAAAAGGGAGAAAAAATCTAAATAACCTCACTAAGAAATGAAATGGGAGCTATTACAACTGACACCACACAAATACAAAAGATCATTCAAGGCTACTATGAACACCTTTATGCACATAAACTAGAAAACCTAGAAGAGATGGATAAATTCAGGGAAAAATACAACCCTCTTAACTTAAATCGAGAAGAATTAGATACCCTGAACAGACCAATAACAACCAGTGAGATTGAATGGTAATTAAAAAATTACCAACAAAAAAAAGTCCAGGACTAGGCAGATTCACAGCAGAATTCTACTAGACATTCAAAGAAGAATTGGTAACAATCCTTTTGACACTATTCCACAAGATAGACAATTAAGGTATCCTCCCTAATTCATTCTATGAAGCCAGCATCACCCTAATACCAAAACCAGAAAATGACATAACCAAAAAAGAAAACTACAGACCAATATCCTTGATGAATATAGATGCTAAAATCCTTAACAAAATACTAGCTAACTGAATCCAACAACATATCAAAAAGATAATCCACCATAATCAAGTGGGTTTCATACCAGGGATGCAGGGATGGTTTAACATATGCAAGTCAATAACTGTGATACACCACATAAACAAAATTAAAAACAACAATCACATAATCATCTCAATAGATGCAGAAAAAACATTTGACAAAATCCAGCATCCTTTTATTATTAAAACCCTCAGCAAAATCAGCGTACAGGGGACATATCTTAATGTAATAAAAGCCATCTATGACAAACCCACGGCCAACATAATACTGAATGGGGAAATGTTGAAAGCATTACCTCTGAGAACAGGAACAAGACAAGGGTGCCCACTCTCCCACTCTTCTTCAACATAGTACTGGAAGCCCTAGCCAGAGCAGTCAGACAAGAGAAAGAAATAAAGGGCATCCAAATCAGTAAAGAGGAAGTCAAACTGTCCCTGTTTGCTGACAGTATGGTTGTTTACCTTGAAAACTCTAAGGATTCCTCCAGAAAGCTCCTAGAACTGATGAAAGAATTCAGCAAAATTTCCAGATATAAGATTAATGTACACAAATCACCAGCTCTTCTATACACCAACAGCGACCAAACGGAGAATCAAATCAAGAACTCAACCCCTTTAACAATAGCTGCAAAAAAAAAAAAAAATACTTAGGAATATACTTAACAAAGGAGACAAAAGACCTTTACAAGGAAAACTACAAAACACTGTTGAAAGAAATCATAGACGATAGAAACAAATGGAAACACATCCAATGCTCATGGATGAGTAGAATCAATATTGTGAAAATGATCATACTGCCAAAAGCAGTCTACAAATTCAATGCCATCCCCATCAAAATACCACCATCATTCTTCACAGAGTTGGAAAAAACAATTCTAAAATTCATATGGGACCAAAAAAGAGCCCACATAACCAAAGCAAGACTAAGCAAAAAGAACAAATCTGGAGGCATCACACTATCTGATTTCAAACTACATTCTAAGGCCATAGTCACCAAAACAGTGTGGTACTGGCATAAAAATAGGCACATGGATCAATGGAACAGAATAGAGAACCCAGAAATAAACTCAAATACTTACAGCCAACTGATCTTCGACAAAGCAAACAAAAACATAAAATAATATTCTTATTAATTTTTCTCCACAGTTTCTCTCATTAATTCCATAGTGGATTAGAGTATTTGATTATTGGCTTGTCTTATTTTTATTCTTATATTAACTGTAGCTTCTGTATGTGAAGTTTTATCTCTATATTTATGTGTTGATTGTAGCCTTTAGCATAATACTTTTTCCTACTTTGTCTTCTGTAATGCTTTTTGTGTAAGTCTAACTTGTGGGATAGAAGAATTGTAGCCCCTGCTTTCTTCCATTTGCATTTTCATATATGTATCTCTGTCTTTACCTTTTCACTTTTAACCTTCTGATGCTTGTTGATTCACTTGTGTCTCTTTATAGACAGCATAATGCTGAGCTTTCCTTTTCATAAGCCAATCTGAAAATCTTTTTTTAAAGTCAGTTGAGCCTATTATATGTATGGATATAATCAATATGCTTAAATTTAATTATGTCATTTTTATTATACTTATATATAATAATGATATATAATAAGTTATCTTCTATATTTGTTAAATATTTCTCTTGCCTGTCTCTTTATCTTTCTATCTCTCTGTCTTTCACTTTTAAAATTCTAATCTTTCACCTTTTAAATTCTCTCTCTTTCTCAGTATGCCTTTTGGTATTTAGGAATGTTTGTATTTTGTACTAACGGTTACCTTTATATACCTCATGAGCTCTATTTTTTAGCTACTGTCAGTTGATTCTCTGCTTACAGAAATATTGAAATTATCTGGTTACCTCTTTATTCCTCACTCCCTGAGCATGAGATTTGAATTCCTGGTTAATATCTATAAGGCAATCAGCAAACTTCTACTTTATATATTTGCTCTCCTTTTCCTTCCTGTTTTGGTAGTTGTGCTGTATCAACATTGTCAGTACATAGCTGTTAGTTATCACACTTCCTCTCTTAGGCTTATCGTTCATTCTGTTCTTAGTTCCAAAGGATATATATCGATCCAGACCTCATGTAGATGTCCTTCCAGTATCTTTAGTCATCTGATTTTATGAAGTTCACTTGTTAATAAATTCTTCAGGATCCACCCATGGTGGAGAATATTCACTGAGTTTTTTCATGTTTATAATAGTTTGTTTGTGGCCTTTATACCTGAAGTTCAGTTTGGCTGAATTTAAAATCTTTGCCTCACATTTTCTTTCCTTGAGCATTACTCTATTATCTTCTGACATTTTCATCAAAATGTGTGAAAACAAGCTCGTTTTATTTCCTTCTGGTTGACATGGACATTTTGCCTGGATGTTCAAATGATTACTTTTCTTTAAATAATTATTATGTTTTTCTTTAAAATTCAAGGCTTTTATAACATTATGTCTCAATTTTGACCATTATGAGCTTATTTTTCCAGAAGGGGTAGCTATACTTATAACAGATAAAACAAACTTAAAATCAACAACAGTAAAAACAGAGAAAGGAGGTCATTATATAATAATAAAGGGATCAATTCAGCAAGAAGATATAACAATTCTAAATATACATATTAGTAAGAGAGTGAGCTTAGTAAATTTGAAAGTCCCTTTGCCACCTGTCCTTTTTTGTGCTCTGCTGAAGCAGCTGTGACCATGTCCGGGATCATTTCCTACTTTATTTTCTTATGGAGATGTTGGGGCTCAGAAAACAAAACCCCAAAATATGATTCTTTGGTACCTTGATTGGGGAATTGTGGGGAACAGCAGCTATAAGCAGAGGTTTTCTCTGAGGTTCCCGTATCTGCCTGAAGACATCCAGGAAAGATATATAACAGGAAAAGAGGCTAAATGTTGACATCACCCCAGAGCGGCTTTGCCTGAAAGACTTTACCTACATAGCAAGACAGCCTTTGTTCACCATACATTTCTTTCCCTCACCTTCCCATAGCTTGTGGACACCTCCCCTAAGAATCCCCAAGACCCTATTCTGATGCTATACAAACTTCAATCATTGGCCCTTCTTCAAGTCTTATAGTTTGTGAGGCTCTGCACATGCATGTAATAAATTTGTATGCCTTTTCTCCTGTTGATCAGTCTGCTGTCACTTTTTTCCAGAGACTCAAATTCTCACATCTAGAGAGTAGAGGGAAGTTTAAAACACACCTATACACTATACACGAAATTAGATCATTACGTTTTTCTGGTTAAATATTTTAAGATGTAGGAAAATATTATTTCCCTTTCCTAGTGTGTTAAGATTTTCCAATCTGGACTTTCTCACAGAATTATCTTGCCTATTTCTTTGTCTACTGTGTCTTCTCAAGATGGCCCATCACATGGATTCAGTCCGGTATGTACCTGTGATCTGTGCATCACGCCATGATCCTGTTTGGGCAAATTGTTCTCATGATGCCAAGATCTCTTTTGATGTCAAAGAGAAGCAGAATTAGAGTAGGGAAATAAAAAGAAACAAGCTCATCTTTCTGAGTTAGTTACCGGTGAGCAATGAGGAAGACATATCCTATTTGTGAGTCATAAATGCTCATTAGATAGTGGACTCTCTAGACTTCTTCAAAGTATGCACCAGGTATCATTTCCTTTATTCAATTTGAAACTGTTAACAATGACTCATTGTTTTAAAATATGAAAAGGCATTTGGAGCTACTCTGAATAAACTTTCACTGGCCTAATATGGGACTTGGGCACCAAAATGAATATTGGCAGTAATAGATTACAACCCATCAAATAAAATTAAGGATTGATGAGTCCATATTGATATGAATTAAATGGAGAAGTTAAAAAAAGGAAGATGAGAAAGTTATCCATGACAGTAGAATGTCAATGAGTAAATGTAGAAGGAATAAAGGAGTTTCAAATCACCATTTACAGCCATTATAATAAAACTTGATCAAGTGAATATCATCAATGAATGCTATAACTATTGGGTGGAAGTTTAATGGGGAGCAGGATATTTGCACACTTCAAAATATTTTCCCAATAACTGTTTATTAATTTCAAAGGGAAAATGTTAACTTTACTGTGAAGAAACTTGAGAACATACCCTTCATCACAGGATCAAAGTTAGCAGCATTAATAATGGTCAAACTAGCATGTGTCTCCTGAAGTCACACACTGAAAGGACACATTACTTATGCAATATTTCTGTTAAAATGCAAAACCTGAATATAAGCATGAGGAAACATCAGATAACCTCAGACTAAGAAATACTCCACATAACGACTGGTCTGCTATCTTCAAAAATATTAGCACCATCTAATATAAAGACAGTCTGAGCAAGTATTTCAGGTCTAAATAAAGTAAGGAGATATGATAGCTAAATGCAATGTATGAACATGGATAAAAATTGCTTTATAGGATATATTGGAAAAATGGCAACATTTGGATATAGCATGTATATTAGGTAATAATATTGCATCAACATTCAGTTTAATTGATATCTTTACTGTGGTTATACATGAAAATGTCCTTAGTCTTAGGACATAAGTCTATCTCTATCCATGTCATCTCTCTAGAGAGAGAGAGAAATCAAATGTGGCCAAATGTTGAATCTAGGTGAAGACTATATGGCATAAGGAATTCTTTACTCTTATAACTATTCTGTAAGTTTGAAATGTTTTCAAAAATGAAAAAAGTTTAAAAATAAAACGAATTAGGATTGAAAAAGTATTTTTTCTTTGGCGTGTTAAAAGAAACATTTAGGCAAATTAAATTTAACAGATTTTAATTCATCAAAGAATAATTCATGAATTGGGAAGCTCCCAGACAAGCACAAGTTCGGAGCAACTCCTTGGCTTCCATTTGGTTAAATAACATTTATGGATAGAAAAAGGAAAGTGATTTGAGTAGTTGCAACTGAGACCATATGATGTTCTACTAAATATCTGAAGATTAAGATGAAGAATTGAGTTATGATCACATACCTCAATTATTAAAAGTAGCCCTAATCTAAAAAAAAGAAAAAAAGAAAAAAAAAAGGAAAAGGAAAGTGATGTACAGAAAACCAAAGTGAGGGACAGAAATAGCTGGGCTCGTTAGAGCTCAACGTTTGCTTTAGTTGAACATGGTTTAAACAGTTGGCCCCTGTGATTGACCAGAACTGGGCTGCCGTGGACTTGGATACTTGTTGGAAAGGTAGGTTACAGTTTGTTTACATATCCAGTTAGGTTACAGTTTACTATGCATGGAGAAACGTTTATGCCAAGCCTAAAATATGTAAAGAGGCAGCTTTAGGCTAAACTTAATTTAACAATTCTTAGTATAATAAGAGTGAGGAGTTTGGGTCTTTTGGAGGAAATGCTGAAGTATATAATAAAATTTACTTCATAGGAGCATCTACTATAAAAACCCTTTAAAAATATTTCTAACACAGGAAATCTTTCATCTCCTTGGGTCTCTGAAAATAAAGAACTTCTGGCAATGTAGCTGACTGAGTTGATACTGACAGACCCACTTCCTGGTATGAGTAAGTATAAATTCTTCAAAGATTTTTTAAAAAATTCAATCGTAGTTGAACTTGAGAAAAGTAGAGAAAAATTCTCATTTGTCAGAAACTAAGAGGGAACTCAAATGGCAAACACTAGCTGATGTCCTGTGGCCTGTGGGAAGGTTTGGCATCCAGTTAGATGCCCTCAGAACTGGAGGCTGGTGGTTAAAACTCAGGCAGGTACAAGAAATGGGACCTGAAACTATCACCAGGCAGGATCTAGGAAGTAAGACCCTTATATAAAGTTTATATTCTTAAGAACGCTGTTTGGGCAGATTGTTCTCATGATGCCAAGATCCCTTTGATGTCAAAAGAGAAGAATGTAAACTTAAGGTTTACATTCTGAAAGCATTTTTGTGCATAAGATGGAGACAAGAAAACCTTAGTCTGCCTACAGGAATTTTATGTGGTAATAAAGTCATGAACAACTAAACCATGCAATATCACCAAGCTTCTTAATTCACACTGTATGCATAGTGGAGGAACCTCAAGGTGAGAAACTGCTGATACTAAATAGTGCATGTCCTTGAAATAATCAGAAACAAAAGCAAAAGGAATAGCACACAGAAAGAACACCCCAAAAAGAAAAAAATATAAAAATAAAAAAGCATTAAGCACAAGGAAAAATAAACCTCTAAGAAACCACACACAGATTGCATGGGATCCCCCACAGGGGTCAATTTCTGCATAAGATAAATGCATAGGCAAATATTACAAAATATGTAAGAAAATAATTTATCATGAGTAGTATAGTAGACACAGGAAAAGGGAATATAACCCCTGGGAATTGAGATAACTGAAAATTCTGAAGGAGACTATATATAAATGGGTTTAAAAGGTAAACAAAAAATGGAAATCGGGGGGTTGGGGGCAAGGGGAGGGAGAGCATTAGGACAAATACCTAATGCATGTGGGGCTTAAAACCTAGATGATGGGCAGGGTGCAGTGGCTCATGCCTGTAATCCCAGCACTTTGGGAGGCTGAGATGGGCAGATCACGAGGTCAGGAGATCGAGATCATCCTGGCAAACATGGTGAAACCCCGTCTGTACCAAAAATACAAAAATTATCTGGGCATGGCTGTGTGCACCTATAGTCCCAGCCACTTGGGAGGCTGAAGCGGGAGAACTGCTTGAACCCAGGAAGTGGAGGTTGCGGTGAGCTGAGATCGGGCCACTGCACTCCAGCCTGGTGATAGAGCAAGACTCTGTCTCAAAAAAAAAAAAAAAAAAACACCTAGGCGATGGGTTGATGAGTGCAGCAAACCACCATGGCACGTGTATACCTATGTAACAAACCTGCACGTTCTGCACATGTATCTCAGAACTTAAAGTATATTAAATAAAAATTTAAAAATGAAAATCATAATGAAGAAATGGAATATAGAAAATGACTGATTTGGAAAAGAACAATGTAGAATTACCCTTTGTTGGGACCATCCTTCCTATCACTTTCCTTTTACTTGAAGCCTTTCTTTTGTTTTTTGTTTTTGTTTTTATTTTTATTTTTTGAAACAGAGTCTTGCTCTGTCGCCCAGCCTGGAGTGCAGTAGTGCAATCTCAGCTCACTGCAACCTCTGCCTCCTGGGTTCAAGCAATCCTTCCACCTCAGTCTCCTGAGTAGCTGGGATTACAGGCGCCTGCCACCATGCCCAGCTAAGTTTTGTATTTTTACTAGAGATGGGGTTTCTCCATGTTGGTCAGGCTGGTCTCCAACTCCTGACCTCAAAGTGACCCACCCACCTCGGCCTCCCAAACTGCTGGGATTACAGACGTTAGCCACAGCTCCTGGCCTAGTCTTTTTCTTTTGGCAAAGTTTTCTGTTAACCTATTCTCTCATTTCTGTTTTCCTGAAAATAACTTAATTTCATTATCTTTTTTGTTTCTCTGGGCATATAATTCTCTATCGGCAGTGTTTCCCTTCACAAGATGTCTCTTCATCGTCTTCTCACTTCCATTATTTCAGTTGAGTTTTAGGCTTCCTGTTCTTTTTGTAAAAGTGTATGTTGTTTTTTCCCCTGTTGCTTTTACTTATTTTATTATTTTATTATAAAATTATATATATATAATTTAAGGTGTACAATACAATGTTTTGATATACATTGTAAAATGATTACTAAAGGCAAGATAATCAACATATTCATTGCCTCACATAGTTAGTTGCCTTTGTGTGTGTGTGTGTGTGCATGTGTGTGTGTGTGAAAACACTTAACATCTACTCTCTTAGCAAGTTTCAAGCATACAGTACAGTATTATTAACTGTAGTCACCATGCTGTACATTAAATTTTTAGAATTTATTCATTCTACATAACTGGAACCTTGTACCCTTTGACAGATATCTTCTAATTTCCCTCACCTTCCTGCCCCTAATAACCACCATTCTACTCTCTGCTTTTGTGAGTTTCACTTTTTTTAAGGTTCCACATATAAGTGACATCATGCAGTACTTTTCCTTCCGTGTTTGCCTTATTTCACTTAACATAGTATCCTCCAGGCTCATCCATCTTGTCACAAATGGCAGAATTTCCTTTTTTAAAGCTGAATAATATTTCTTTATATGTATGCTTTAACATATATTAATATTATTATATATGATGTGTGTGTGTATGTGTGTGTGTGTGTGTATATATATGTGTGTATATATATATATATATATCTCCATTCATCCTTTAATGGACACATACTGAATCCATATCCTGGCTATTGAGAATAATGTTGCAGTAAACATGAGGTGCAGATAACTCCAGGATACTGATTTTTTACCTTCAGATATATACCTAGAAGTGGAATTGCTAGATTTTATATGGCAGACCTATTGTAATTTTCAAAGAAACTTCCATACTGTTTTCTATAATGGCTGTATCCATTTCTTGTTACGTTTATGATTTTCTTTTTATCTTTGGTTTTCAACAACTTTCCTTGATGTGCCTACATGTTGTTTTTCTTTTTATTCACTCTGCTTGGGTTCAGAGATGTTCTAGAATCTGTGACTGGAGGTCTGTCATCAATTGTCTCAAATTGCCATCCAGTATCTCTTTGTTTATAACTTCTCCATTCTCTCTTCTCTCTTTCTGGGACTCCAATTTACATGTATGTTAGACTTTTCACTATGCTCCAAGTGTGTCTTATGCTATTTTCTCCATTTTAAAACTTTTCTTCTCTCTGCATTCCAATGTGAATATTTTCTACTTCCATTTTGCTGTTCCTCTCTCCTGTCTAATCTTCTGTTAAGCTTATTTATTGAATTCTTAATTTCAGTTTTTGAGTTTTTTGGTTCTAGAATTTTTACTGAACTTTTTAAAAATAGATTCTACTTCTTTAATAAAATTTACATTTTTAATCTATTATTTCAAACATATTAATTGTAAGTATTCTAAAGTCAGTGTTAGTACCTGTATATAGATCATCCTTGGCTCTGTTTCTATTTTCTTTTTTCTTCTTGATTTTGCTCATTTAGTCATTTTTTTCTGGCATACTTGGTAATTTTTTTAATTGAATGCCAGAAATTCAGGAATTATATATGAAAAACTAGAGGCTGGAGGTGATCTTGTCTTTCAGCTGAAGGAATTTAATTTTTTTCTGAGACCATGGTCTCTCAAATACTGCCTGCATAAGTCAACTCCCAATGCTCATAAACAACTGTTTTCTTAGTTTTGTCTAATTGTCAGAGTCATTCCTACTGAGAGGTTGAATCTTCTATCAGTTACTTTGTCACAACTGGAAGTGGAATTCTGTTTTTTAATTTTTTTAATTATACTTTATGTTCTAGGGTACATGTGCACAACGTGCAAGCTTGTTACATAGGTATACATGTGCCATGTTGGTTTGCTGCACCCATCAACTCATCATTTACATTAGGTATTTCTCCTAATACTATCTCTCCCCCAGCCCCCCACCCCCCAACAGGCCCTGGTGTGTGATGTTCCCCACCCTGTGTGTGATGTTCCCTGCCCTGTGTCCAAGTGTTCTCATTGTTCAATTCCTACCTGTGAGTGTCCTTTACTTTTTCAAGTGACCACTCTTTCCTTCATCGGGATTTTGGACCTTGCACTCTGCTAGTTGTTGTCTTACTTCTCTGGTGATTCCTTTCCAGTCTCCTGTGGTTTCTGTTGCTTTGTTTTCAACTTACAAGTGATGGAGTGTCCCACAGCTCAGGGCATAGATGTCTTATTCTCAGACACTTATTCCCTATGACCAGGAAGCCACATTCAGTCCCACGGCATTCAAAGTCCCATTTCATATGCTGAGACCAACTGGAGGTTCATTTAATTTTCACCTACTTTCTCTGACCCATTAGGAGTTGTGTGCTGTAAGTGGTGTGAAGGAATAATGCCCCTACACAGTCTAAATTATTGTTCGTTCATGTAGTAGAACCTATGGAAGTTAAAGATTCATGATTCAATACCACTACATTATTTACTGGACCTTTAACTCCTAGAATATGTATTTAGTACAGAACTTTCTAAATGTTTCTCCTGCTTTTACTAGCTTGAATTGACATAAAATTTATTTTCACCATTTTCCCCCTAGGATGGAGTTTATAGGCCATATTCTGGGTTTAACTAAGAACCAAACTATTCCGTTAGTTGGTTTCTTCTAAGTCCCCATATTTCTCTATGAAAATTCATTTTTGTAGAATTTATTGACCAAGACCATGTGCCCCAAGACCATGCTATTAAATACACACCACAGAAAAGTCATTAAGGTAGGAAAAATACTAAAATTTGAGTATTTTACATTTTCTGCAATTCCCCAACTTCTCAGAAGATTGATTTTCCCTAAAGGTAATTATTTTGTTGTTAATGGATGGAGATGAAATTAAAGCAGCTGAGAGTGTGATAAATTGAATTACACGAGAGATGGATAAACCTTAAAGAGTAGCCTCTGGTTTTACAAGAATGGGATAAAAGAGATAAGGGCAGAACAAGATGACAGGATCGGGGGCCATGGGTGGAGGAGGGAAACGGAAAAATAAAGCAAATAAGAGAGGAGTGAGATTGTAGGGAAAGATACACTTTCAAAAATATTTAAGAAAATTTAGCTGTGGGATATAACCCTTCTCCATATTCATAAAAAAACTTAACTTAAAATCTTTATTTTTTTCAATACTTTTGGAAACATCCATGTATTGCCTTTTTTTTAGGTCATTACATGTTGCAATTTTCTTGAAGGTGAGAGCAAGAATAGGATTCGTTCAGTTGTGTTTTGGGTGGAATTTCTCAGGAACTAAGGACAATCATTACAAAGCAACACAAAAAGAACATTGTATTTCTATGCGACAAAAGTGGAGTTTTATTCAGAAGCAGCAAAAATAAGATACAGAAACATTGCTGTAAAAGGAAATACAGGGTGAAACAATCAGACTTTCAAATCTGAGAGTGAGACAACCTTGCCCCGAGTTACCCTGCAAGAATTTCCATGTTTGGGACAGAAGAACTTGGTATCCATAAATACAAATATAAGGTATAAAATTTGGTAAATTCTATTAATTTCTTTCTGTAAATAATATCTAATTTCACACTTGGGTCAACATGGGGAACATATATTCTAGATGTATAGCCAGGACATATATCCTAGATATATGTCCAGGATATGGAAACACAGTTGGTGGGAATGGCCTCTTCTGAGTTGTTTATGAGATGCACAAGGTCTGCTTCTGTGAGGAGTGAGCTGAAGGGGAGGAGATAGTTTCAGGCAAGGAGCTCAGCAGCAAGAGGAGGCACAGCACAAGGGACGGGGGCAGGTGGAAATGACACAGGTTGGGCGATAGCAAGTGGTGTGGCAGGAGACTCGGCCACAGACTGGACGCAGGCAGCAGCAGGGGCGGCAGCAGCACGGGCGGCAGCAGCTGGATTCACAGCAAGAGGGGCGGCAGCAGCTGGAGATGCAGCAGCTGGGACGGCAGCAGGTTGGCTGGCAGCACACAGACTGGCAGCACTGGGACCTGCAGCACCTGGACACACAGCAGCTGGGGCGACAGCAGCTGGAGATGCTGCAGCTGGGACGGCAGCAAGTGGGCTGGCAGCACACAGACTGGCAGCACTGGGGTCTGCAGCAGCTGGATACACAGCAGCTAGGGCGGCAGCAGGTGGTCCTGCAGCAGGTGGTCTGACAGCAGCTGGGACAGCAGCTGGGACGGCAGCAGGTGGGCTGGCAGCACACAGACTGGCAGCACTGGGGTCTGCAGCAGCTGGACACACAGCAGCTGGGGCGGCAGCAGGTGGTCCTGCAGCAGGTGGTCTGACAGCAGCTGGGGCGGCAGCAGGTCTCCAGGCCACAGCCCTGGTCAGAGCAGACGGAACCACAACAGGAGCTGACCATGGTGTCAGAGGGTAAAGGTTCTGGGTGGGTTTCCAAGAGAGTGAGTTTCGTGAGTTTGGGAGTCTCCTTGCTGCATGTCCCCTTTTATACCCAGCTGAGGAGCCTTTGTGATTATGAGAAGATTGTTTCCTTGTTTTTGTTTATATGACACAAATGCAATTACTAAATTATATTGTGTTTTTCTAGTAAAAAATCCCAATATATAGAAAATGATTATTTCCCTTTTCTCACCCTGGTGTTCCCACATGAGTCACCTCTTGTTTTCCTTTCCTTGGTTTCAGTGTCACATGACTTCAGTCTCTGGGTATCATGTGACATGGGAGGGCCACTGTCACTTGTCTGTTTCTCATCATGATATCGTTTTGGGAGAGCTTCTGATTGGGCTAAGATCTCTAGTGGAGAAATGCATGTGTCAATCAGCTGGAATGCTGACAGGAAAAAAAGAAAATATGCTCCTGTTTTTGAGTGTGAGAAATAAGGAAGCTTATGATTCATTGTATGTATTCTGGGTGGCCATTGAGCTAACTAAATTCCTAGGTCATTGCAAGCTGTGTTAATTCTCATCACTCTGGTGCACCTTGAAACAGTTAGTAGTGACTCACTGTTTCTAAGGAACAAAGCATCATCTGGGCTTGAGCTGCGTCTGTCTTCAAAAGTGTCCTACAGGCTGAAGTAGAGTAATGTGGATCATAGTTTTTGATCTGCCTTTTGAAATATCAAATGTGTAATGGTTATGCTTTATTGACATTTTGTTAAAATCTTTTTCATACATTTTGAGCTAAAACATCTAGCAGGGTTTTTTTTTAGTATCACTTATTTCTAAGATTTTTTAAGAAGCATTGAGAGGAATATAAAAGATATATTCTTTAACTTACAGGTACTTATGTAACTGTGGACCTCAATTTTAAAAATCACCCACTTTCTCTTCCTTTCCTCCCCTCTCACCTCTTCATTCCTTCCCTCTGCACACTCCCTTCTGGCAATACTATCTAATATCTTATCTAATTATATTCTTGCTTAAGAAATTCCAGAGGCTAATCTTGAAACAAACCAGGCACAGAGCCCTGAGGAATCCTCTCACTTAGGGGGAATCTTGAACAATTAATCCACCACCATTGGGCTGAAGTCAAAATAATGCCTCCCAAACCTCTGGACACCCAAGATAGCCATTGGAACAAGACATGCAGACTCAGCACCCTGCACCACCCCTGCATGTCTCCCATGCCAAGTTTCCCTTTCAAAACCCTATGGCAAATTTTAAAATTTAAGATGGCACTTTAGAATGCTAGTTCACTAGCTAAAGGATGTCAGTGAGATATATCTTGGGGTGAAATGTTTTTATTTCCTTCACTTAGCATTCTTCTAGTTATTCATTACCAGTTAGTTCAAATGCCATTTTTCTCCAATATCTTTCTTGGCCTCACACAAAGCAAGGTTATCCTCTGGTTTACTGGCTCTCCAACTAGAACTAACTTTCCTTTCACCAGCCCTTGCCTCTTATGTGTTGGCTTTCCAGCAGCAAGCAGCTGAACCTGGGTCCAGTTACATTTACACAGAAATTGCATTCATAACAAGTTTTTATTTTATTTATTTATGTATTTATTTTTTGAGATGGAGTTTCACTCTTATTGCCCAGGCTGGAGTGCAGTGGCACCATCTCAGCTCACTGCAACCTCTGCTTTCCAGGTTCAAGTAATTCTTCCGCCTCAGCCTCCCAAGTAGCTGGGATTACAGCCATGTGTCACCACGCCCGTCTAATTTTGTATTTTTAGTAGAGATGGGGTTTCACCATGTTGTCCAGGCTGATTTCAAACTCCTGACCTCAGGTGATCCACCCACCTTGGCCTCCCAAAGTGCTGGGATTATAGGAGAGAGCCACTGTGCCCGGCCCATAAAGAGTTTTTAAATAAAATCCTCACATGATCATGGTTCTAAATAAAGGGTCTTCTTTAGTGCCGTGGACATTCAGGGAAAAGCAATTATTCAAGGAAAGAACAAATTACCTTCACAATATTTTCTCTTCCTGGGAATGAAGGGATGTCTCTTGTGAACTTATGTGGGGCCTGAGGAACCTGGAGATCTCTGCCCTAGTGGAGTTTGTATTCTAGAAGGAGCTGATAGACACATGAATTTCCAATGGAGAATGAGATGATAGAGCCCATGTGTAAATAAGGCACCACAGAAGTGCAATGGAGGAAGGATTTTCCTCACTGAAAAATCACTGACTTGAGGCGGATTGATTAGTAGGAGAAAAGGCATACACATTTATCTAACAAGTATACCCAAGAGCCTTCAGAATGAAAACTCAACCCCTCAATAAGGTACAGAAGCTTATACAACATCTTGAGGTCCCAGAAAGAATGAGGGCTCAGAGCATGGCCAAAAACAGGAAACAGGTTTTAGTGGCAAGGCAGGTGTATTGGTCCATTCTCATGCTACTATGAAGAAATACCCAAGACTGGGTAATTTACAAAGGAAAGAGGTTTAATTGACTCACAGTTCACCATGGCTGGGGAAGCCTCAGGAAACTTACAATCATGGCAGAAGGGGAGGCAAACACATCCTTCTTCACATCGTGGGAGCAAGGAGAAGTGCAGAGGAGAAGGAAGATAAGCCCCTTATAAAACCCTTAAATCTCATGAGAACTCACTATCACATGAAGGTAACCGACCCCATGATTAAATTGCCTCCCCCTGTGTCCTTCCCATGACACGTGGGGATTATGAGAACTACAATTCAAGATGAGATTTGGGTGGGGACACAAAGCCTAACCATATCAACAGGTTATGGGAGGGAGAAAGAAAGAGGCTTGGCCAGCAAAGGGGGTCTTGTTATGTGGATGAAATCTCACAGGTAGCAACTCTCAGAGAAAAGAGATGGTAAATGATTTTTTTCAGAACTCTAAGGGTGTCAGACAGTCAGTTATTCTCTTCTAGATCCAGGAAAGGCCTATAATGAGAAGGCCTGACTGCATTAATGGAGATTCTCTACAGATGCAAATTTCCTTCACAAAAGACAGCTTTGCAGGGCCACTTTAGTCTGCTGGTCATGTGGCAGCCATCTTAAAATATGTCAAAAAATATATTTTGGGGTAAAATATTTTTTATTTTCTTAATTTAGCATTCTTCTATTTGTTTTTTACTGTCCAAATGCCATTTTTCTCCAATATCTTTCTTGTTCTCACACAAAGCAAGGTCCTTCCTCCACTGCACATCTGTTGTGCCTTATATATGCACAGCCTCTACCATCTGATTCTCTCTCAGAAATTCATTTGTCTATTGGCACCTTCTAAAATACAAACTCCATTAGGGCATAGACTATGATCTATTCATCTTTATATAACAGAACCTGAAACATATGTTTAATGGATGAAGATTTTGTCAAGGCTTTCAAGGGTCACACTGACCTTTGAGAATACAAACCATTCAAATAGGTGGAGAGAAAGGGGATATAAAAGGAGCACATAATTGAGATTGGGCATGACCCTGGCTTGTGATGGTGAAAGTGATATGCTGAAAGGTCTGTTTTGAGAAGTAATGAGAGAAGTTGGGATTGATAGCATGAGGGAGAAATTGTGGGTACCCTCAAATCCTGGAAGAAATGGTAGGGAGCTATGAAAAGCCTTCAGGAAGGAATGTTAGGTGATATTGTAACCGCCCAGTGGGTTCATTTTTCTTGCTGTTATAATTTTGGCAAAAGTGCTTTCAAAATATATGCTATGCACAATGTATTTTAATTTTTGATCTGCCTTTAGAAATGACAAAACACTCCTGGATTTCTGGGAAGAGATGCCATTAAAAAATTGAAGTGAGGCTGGACGTGGTGGCTCACACCTGTAATCCCAGCACTTTGGGAGGCCGAGGCAGGTGGATCACAAGGTCAGGAGATCAAGACCATCCTGGGTAACATGGTGAAATCCTGTCTCTATTAAAAATACAAAAAAATTAGCTGGGCATGGTGGTGAGCGCCTGTAGTCCCAGCTACTTGGGAGGTTGAAGCAGAAAAATGGCATGAACCTGGGAGGCGGAGCTTGTGGTGAGCAGAGATCATGCCACTGCACCCCAGCCTGGGCAACAGAGTGAGACTCCATCTCAAAAACAAGAGAAAAGAAAAGAAAAGAAAAAAGTTGAAGTAAGACAGTAAAATTTGAACTCTCAGCATCAGGTGATGGCCGTGAGCATAACAAAGATAAATTATTCTCTTTATTATGAAATAATAAATTTATTTATGAAATAACTAAATTCTTTCTTTGAAATAATCAGTAGAGACTTGGAACAAATTGAAAATAGAGGTATAAGAAGGGTTCTTCCTAAAAGTTATAAAAGATATTTCAATTGAACTAATTGTTTACATATTCTATAATTTTCTATATATGTAATTTATACCCCCTACCTACTTAAAGCCAATAATTAAAGTTTTTAAAGGATAAATAAATAAGAAAGGATAAGATGTGCCTAAAAAAGAAGAACTTAAAAAGAATAAGCCATTTAGAGATAAGGAAGAAATATTTACATTAAAAGACTAGAATGGAATCGTTGGCACAATTATGCACTAACTACACTTGTTCTTTTCAGAAACTTAAGCAAAATAAAAACCCAATGTTTTATGGAATTCCTGTCCCTCCCTCCCTTCCTTCCTTCCTTCCTTCCTTCCTTCCTTCCTTCCTTCCTTCCTTCCTTTCTTTCTTTCCTTTCTTTCTTTCCTTCCTTCCTTCCTTCCTTCTTTTTTCTTTCTTTCTTTCTTTTTCTTTCTTCTCTAAATATTGTATACTGAGAATTTTGCTGGATGCTGGAATAACAAAATAACAAACGACATGTTTTGCAATTGTTCTACTGTTTTACATATATTCGCTCAATTACTAGTCCCAACAATCCAGTATGGTAAATTCTATTATAATCCTCCCTTCACAGATGAGAAACTTAAGGCACAGGTGGGATTCAAGCCAGTAAGCAGGGGAAATGTAATTTTATTTCAGCCAGCCCAGCACTGGGTCCATGTTTTTAATCACTATACACACAACCTCTCTGCAAAATCAGATATGAAAGGAATTTTCTCTATCCTCATGTTGCTTTTGATGCAGTAAAATTTATGAATTTTTTTCTTTGACAGCTCCTGGGTATGTGTCATATTTTAAAAGGCCTTTCCAGTTATAAATTTACATAAGCATTATCCCATAATTTCTGTTAACTTCAAGGTTTCATGTTTTATATTTTAAAATATTTTACCTACTAGGAATTTATACAGATAAAAATATGAGGTTTAAATGTTTTATAATCAGATGTGACCAAGGCTCAACATCATTTATTAAATAATACATCTTTCCATTACTGAGTTAAAGTGCCACCTTTTCATATAATAAATTCTTTTGTGTACGTTAGTCTATTTCTGGACTTGATTTTCAATTCACTAATGATTTTTCATGTGCTAGTATCACAGTCATCAATGTATGGTATTAACATGCTTCTAATGGTTATCAAGTTCAAGTCTGCCTTGATAGGTTATGGCAATATGCTAGTGAACTCATATATCTGTGTTGCAAAATTGTATATGTATACTGCGTTCCTTGCCATGAAAATGTGAATTGCACCTGTCTGGGCTCTGAAACTGGCATCGAAAAGAATACACTAGCTGAGTCTGCAGTGGCGTATGAGTCTTACTAGGTTTGTTGAGTTTCCTGTAAAATTCTGACTTAGGTGGTGCAGCTGAAACAATTGGTGGAACCAACTTGTTTAATCACCAAGCTTGTTGATTAACCTCTTCCTTACTCACTGGCCAGATGGGACTGTTATAAGGGAGTTCATGGGAATTAAAACTCTTATTTCAGTTACTTCTTTAATCAAAACAGGCATCTATTGTTGCCTTTCTGGAGTTCTATCTTGCTTAGTTTTACTAGCTAGAAAGGCTTGAGCAATTCCAAAGCTATATATTTAGCATGGGCAAATAGTACTGAGAGACTTTGAAGTGAATGAAACATCAACTAAGTCAATGTTTCATTCACTTAAAATCCATCTCTACTGTGCATTTAGATAAAGCTGATGTGACCACAGAATAATAACTGCAGTCACACTTTCCCATTCATAAATTTATGTCTACCTTGGGTTTCACCACAATGTCTTCCATATCATCTTTGGACCCTTCAGAGCACCATAACTCTCTCCAAAGCCAATGACTGTACTTGAGTGTCTGTGCATACTTATTCTAAGAAGTTTCGCATGCCACCCTTGGGACATTTCACCCAAATTATTGCATAGGCCTTCAGACCCGGGGTACCTGCTCCTTGTTATTGTGAGCCCTGGGTACTGAGCTTTCCCTTGTTGCTTTCCCTGAACTCTAGCTACACCTTTGCAAATAGTCTCTTTATTACGCAGATACACTGTGTCATCTCATTCCTGCTGTGGCCCAGTTCTTGTGGACACAGGAAATTACAAGCCTCATATACTTTAATACTGAAAAGACCATATAAAACCTATAGTCTTTGATTTCACTCTAGCTAATAAAGCATAATGTTAAAACCAAAGCCTGCATCCTGTAATGAGCAGTTGTCAAAGAAAAACATATGAGAGGATAAAAGGTTTGTTAATTCTGATGTATGAAATGACAAGTCTGTACTCTGTAGAATAATTTAGAGTGAATGGAAAAGGCTGAAGCTGAAAGTGTCTGCAAGGCATTTTTATGATATGCTAAGACCATAACGCCTAACTTAGGCTGGAGTGAAGCCCACGTAATGTTAACTTCTATTCATGCAGTCGCTTGACAACTTAAAACTTCTTTATTTTTACATTTCAGAAATAATAATTAGCTCTTAGTTACATTTCTTTGGAAATATAACACAGCTAATAAATAAAATTCTGATTTATAGAAATTTTGGATTTAAAGCAGTTTTAATATACTTTGGATTATTAGCTGAAATATAAACCCTTATATTTATATAAATAAGATATTTTGCACATATTGTGACACATTTTTTCATCTACATAGAATAACACTTGTTTGAGTTTTGATGATGAGAAAACTGAGTCTCAAGGAAAAGTCCCACCCATGTTCTCTTAAGACAAAGCAAGGTGATTAAAGCCCAAAACAAAGGAGTAAAACTATCAAGAAAATGAAAAAACCTCAGTAACATTAGGGGCTAAAATTATAAAGGAGTTTCAGTCTGGAAATACTAAGACTTTGAGCATCTATTAATTAAAAGATGTAAAACTTTTATGAGAAAACTGCCACAGATGTCATAAATTTCCCGAAATCTTGACTTAGAAGGTAGACTGTGTTCTGAAAGATCATTTTATGTTAAGAGAGGAAAAAAGGAAGGAAGGAAGGAAGGAGTGAGGGAGGAAGGAAGGAAGGAAGGAAGGAAGGAAGGAAGGAAGGAAGGAAAGAAGGAAGGAAGGAAGGAAGGCAGGTAGGCAGGCAAGGGGAGGGGAGGTGGAGGGAAGGTAAAGGGATTAGAAGGGGAGGGAGGGGGAAGTAAGGAAACAAGAAAAAAGTACTTGAGCTAGGGAAAACACTCAAAATTTCCACAACAAATAATGGAACATACTGGAAGTAGAAATACAGTCAGACAAAATGTAGATGACTTCATGATGTTCAACTTGCTGGAGTTTTTAAGGGACACTTGAGGCATATACCAAAACTTAATTTTGAGTTGTAGAAGACAGCGCAACAATGATACAAATTTTCTTGCTGTTCTGTCAAAAAGAAAATTATGCTAAGATATTATTCTAGCCCAGGGTATTGTTTCAATCATAGTAACAGCAGAAATTGTATTTATTTATTTATTTATTTATTTATTTATTTATTTATTTATTGAGACAGAGTTGCTCTGTCACCCAGGCTGGAGTGCAGTGACATGATCTCGGCTCACTGCAACCTCCTCCTCCTGGGTTCAAGTGATTCACCTGCTTCAGCCTCCCAAGTAGCTGGGACTACAGGTGTGCACCAACACGCCCAACTAATTTTTGTACTTTCAGTAGAGAAGGGATTTCACTATGTTGCCCACACTGGTCTCGAATTCCTGGCCTCAAGTGTTCCACCCACTCAGCCTCCCAAAGTGCTGGGATTGCAAATGTGAGCCACCACGCTCGGCCAGAAACTGTATCCATTAAGAGCCTATACTGCATTATGTACCAGGCCCTGTGGTGAGTATATTACATGGGTTATGTCTCTTAACATTTAAAGAATGTAATGCATTATCTCTATTCACAGAGAAAGAAAACTGAGGCCTGAGGAGGTTAAAAAACTTGCCCCATGCCACGCAACAAATACCTAGGGGAGTCGTGATTCCAATGCAGGGAACATGAATCAAGAGCCCAGGCTCTTAAACATGCTCTCCTGCATTTGAAGAGAGATGGCCCTTGATGTGAACTGACAGGTAAAGACACACACACACACACACACACACGCACAATGAGATCACTAACAAATCAGAAGATTTCAATATTAGGGAAGTGGCTGTTTATTAATACATGAAAACAATATTATATGAGATCATCACAGTTAGTGTCCCCTTCGAATGAAGACACTGCTCATCTAAAAATAACTGCATTGGGGCCTGGCATAACATATTTTAATGAATGTGATTGTCTGTCATTTCCTAGAAGAGCTGAATGTCCACTCTGAATGCCACATGAGACAAACTGGCAGGGAAGTGTTCATTTTTCCAGTGACTGGCTGGCTACAGTGCATTTTAAATGACTAATGAAGACATTCATAGTATGACAAATATCACAAGGAGACATTAGCAGCAAGAGGAGGCACAGCACAAGGGGCGGGGGCAGGTGGAGATGACACAGGTTGGGCGATAGCAAGTGGTGTGGCAGGAGACTCGGCCACAGACTGGACGCACGCAGCAGCAGGGGCGGCAGCAGCTGGATTCACAGCAAGAGGGGTGGCAGCAGCTGGAGATGCAGCAGCTGGGACGGCAGCAAGTGGGCTGGCAGCACACAGACTGGCAGCACTGGGGTCTGCAGCAGCTGGACACACAGCAGCTGGGGCAGCAGCAGGTGGTCCTGCAGCAGGTGGTCCTGCAGCAGGTGGTCTGGCAGCAGCAGGGGCGGCAGCAGCTGGATTCACAGCAATAGGGGCGGCAGCAGCTGGAGATGCAGCAGCTAGGGTGGCAGCAGGTGGGCTGGTAGCACACAGACTGGCAGCACTGGGGCTTGCAGCAGCTGGGGCGGCAGCAGGTGGTCCTGCAGCAGGTGGTCTGGCAGCAGCTGGGGCGGCAGCAGTTCTCCAGGCCACAGCTCTGCTCAGAGCTGACAGAGCCACAACAGGAGCTGACCATGGTGTCAGAGGGTGGAGGTTCTGGGTGGATTTCTAGAAGAATGAGGTTCTCAAGTTTGGAAGTGTCCTTGGGCCACAGCCTCTTATATACTGCCCAGCTGTCTTGTTGGTACTACATTTTCCTTGTTTTTGTTTACTTAATAACTAAGTGATTATCAGATTACACAATAATGTTTGCCCATTTAATGGTTTAAACTTGTTGAAAACAAAATTTTCTTGTCCGGATGTAATAAGATCTATCATGTCTGCCTTCTCTCATGATTCACACCTCGGTAGCATCTTCTAGACCACGTTCTCTTCCTCTTCCTCCACAGAGGGCTGTTCATGTGATTCCCTGCATTTGGAATTGCATTTCTTACTCTCGCTTCAGGTACCCTCTACCAAAATGGGATTTGGTCAGTCACACTTCCAGTTATGCATTCCCTCTAGTGACCAATAGCGAGGAAAACCCATCTGCTCAGTGTGGCATTCCTAGTCTGTGGGTCATTATTAAGCAATAAGCAAAGGGATAGCAATACCTGCATGTGGCCTTGGTGACCTCTACACTATTGAAATGGGTTTCCCTGAATGTTTCAAATTTTGGGTCATATTCCATATCCTTAAATTTTTATACTTGGTGTTACTAATGGGTCAGTTTCTTAAATTGATACTTTGCTCTCCTATATTTTGTGTCATGTCTCTCCAGTTAATCTATTAGATTCCGGAAGACATAGTCCCATTTTTATTCCATAACTCATTGTTTTTTTTAAATGCCTCTAACTGTCTGTTAACATAATGCAGGTGTGTGTTTTCACTTTTTAAAAAAGAAATTTGAGATAATTGTAGATTTACATACAGCTGTAACAAACAGTCCCAGGAGAGGCTGTCTGTACTTCACCCAGGCTCCCTAACACTGTGTAACACCTGTATAATACTTTTAAGAATCTATCTACCCCCACTACTGTGTCTTGCATGATGTGCTTAATATAGAAAGAACTCAAGCTCAGTGAAATTAAAAACAATTAGTTATTTTTCAGATTGACGTATAATATTGTATTTACCACATACAACATAATATTTTGAAGTATATATACATTGTGGAAGGATTAAATCTAGCTAATAAATGCATTACCTCTCATACCTATCATTTTTTTGTGGTGAGAACGCTTAATATCCATTCTTAGAATTTTTCAAGAATACAGTATGTACAATATATCATCATTAACTATAGTCACTATGCTATACAGTAGACCTCTTGAACTGATTCTTCCTGTCTAGCTACAATTATATGTCTTTTGACCAGTATCTCCTCAAGCCCCTGACTCCCTAGCCACCCCTAGCCTCTGATTATCTTCATTCTCTGCTCTACTTCTATGATATCAACTTTTTTGAGTGCGATCATGTGAGTGAGATCATGTGCTATCTGTCTTTCTATGACTGATTTACTTCACTTAGCATAATTTCCTTGAGATGTATCCATGTTGTCACAAATGACAGAACTTCCGTCTTTTTACGGCCAAATAGTATTGCACTGAGTATATACTGCATTTTCTTTATCCCCTTACTCATTGGTGGACACTTGCACTGTGTGCATATCTTGGCAATTGTGAATAGTGCTGCAATAAATCTGGACATGCAGTTATTTCTTCAACATACTAAGTTCATTTCCTGTAGATATATAAGGTACCCAGAAGTGGATTGCTGGATAATACGGTAATTCCAGTTTTAATTTTTTGAGGAACCCTTATATTGTTTTCCATAATGGCTGAACTAATTTATATTCCCACCAACAGTGTACGAGGGAGTTTTTTTCACATCCTTGCCAATACTTGTCATCTTTTGTCTTTTTGATGATAACCATTCTAACAGGAATAAGGTGATATCTCAATGTGGTTTCGATTTGTATTTCCCTAATGATTAGTAATGTTGAGTACTTTTTCACAAACCTGTTAGCCATTTGTATGTCTTCTTTTGAGAAATGTCTAGTCAGGTCTTTTGCCCATTTTTAATCAGGTTTTTGTTTTCTTGCTTGTGAGCTGTTTGAGCTCCTTTTGTATTTTGGATGTTAACCCCTTATGAGATATATACTTTATAAATATTTTCTCCCATTCTGTAGGTTATCTCTTGACTCTTTTTGTGGTTTCCTTTGCTGTGTGGAAGCTTTTTAGTTTGATGTAATCTCAGTCATCCAATTTTTCTTTCGTCGCCTGTGCTTTTGAGGTCATATTCAAAAAGTCATTGCCGAGACCAATGTCATGAATCTTTCCCCCATGCTTTCTTCCAAAAATTTCATAGCCTCTGATCTTACATTCAAGCCATTAACCCATTTGAACTGATTTTTGCATACTGTAAGAAATAAGGGACTAATTTCATTCTTCTGCATGTGGATACCCAGTTTTCCTAACATAATTTATTGAAGAAACTGTCCTTCCCCCATTCTTGGCATCTTTGTTGAAAATCAATTGGTTATAAATGAGTGACTTTATTTCTGGTCTCTCTATTCCATTCCATTGGTCTGTGTGTCTGTTTTTATGTCAGAATGATGGTATTTTGGTTACTGCAGTGTTGTGGTTTATTTTGAAGTCAGGGAGTGTGGTGCTTCTAGCTATATTCTTAGTGTCCAAGATCACTTTGGTTTTTTGTGGTTCTATACAAATTTTAGAACTTTTTAAAAATATTTCTGTGAAGAATGTCATTGGTATATTTATAGGGATTGTGTGAGATCTGTAGATTGCTTTAATAATATTTGGACAATATTGGAATAAACACAGGATATCATTCCATTTATTTGTGTTTTCATCAATTTCTTTCATCTGTGTTTTACAGTTTTCAGTGTAGATATCCTCACTTCCTTGGTTAAACTTGTTCCTAAGTATTTTATTTTATTGTAACTATTGTAAATGAAATAGTTTTCTTGATTTCTTTTTCAGATGGTTTGCTATTAGTGTATAGAAAACCTACTGGGTTTTGCATGTTGATTTTATACTCTGCAACCTTACTGAATTTGTTTATTAGTTCTCACAGTTTCTCAGTGAAGTCTTTAGGGTTTTCTACATATAAGATCATGTCATCTGCAAATAGAAACAATGTAACTTCTTCCTTTCCAATTCAGATATTTTTAAAATATTTTATTCGTGTAAATGTATAATTTTGTTACATGGATATATTGCATAATGGTCGAGTCAGGACATTTAGAGTATCCATCACTGAAATAACGTGCATTCTACCCATCAAGTAATTTCTCATCATCCTTCCCCCTCCTACACCCCTGCCCTTCAGACTCTCCATTGTCTGTCATTCCACACTCTACCTCCATGTGTACGCATCATTTGGCCCCACTGTAACTGAGAACATGCAGTATTTGTCTTTCTATGTCTGAGTTGTTTCACTTAAGATAATGGCCTCCGGTTCCATCCATGTTTCTGCAAAAGACATGGTTTCATTATGTTTTATGGCTGAAGAGTATTCCATTGTTTATATATAGCACATTTTCTTTATCCAGTCATCCACTGATGGACATTTAGGTTGATTCCATATGTTTGCTACTATAAATAGTGGTGCAATAAACATATGTGTGCAGGTATATTTTTGGTATAATGATTTCTTTTCCTTCAGGTAGACACTCAGTCATGGGATTGCTGGATCAAATGGTAGTTCTAGTTTTAGTTCTTTGAGAAATCTCCATACTGTTTTCCATAGCGGTTGTACTAATTTACATTCTCAACAACTGTTTATGTGTTCCCTTTCAGCTCCATCTTCATCAACATTTGTTATTTCTGTCTTTTTGATAGCAGCCATTCTTACTGGTATAAGATGATCTCTCATGGTGGTTTTAATTTGCATTTGTTTAATGATTAGTGATGATAAGCATTATTTCAAATGCTTATTGGCCATTTGTATGTCATCTTTTGAAAAATGTCTGTTCATGTCCTTTTCCCCTTTTTAATGGAATTATTTGCAATGTTTTTGTTGGTAGAGTTCCTCTTAAATTCTGGATATTAATCCCCTGTTGGATGGATAGTTTGCAGATATTTTCTCCCATTCTGCAGGTTGCCTGTTCACTCCATTGATTATGTCTTTTGCTGTGCATGACAGACCAGGAGCACCATCATCTTGGACAAACACTGCCACTTGAAGTTGCAGCTCCCTTTCTAGCCTCATGCATTTCAAGGAAATCACTTCTCTTCTAACTACAAGCAGCCAGAAACAGCAGACAGTAAAACACAGATAAGATAGCTCTGGCACAGAGGGAAGCAGGGGGAAAGTCTCTTGGGTAACTGCCAAACTTCACCCTCGTACAATGGGCCCCAGTAAAAGAGTGGGCCTTAATAAGCACTTTCCTTTCCCTTCATGTGCACTAAGATAGGGAAGTTAAAAGCAGACTCGGGCTATGCCTGCAAGGGAATAGACACACAACTCTCCCTCCCAGATAAGCACAACAAAGAGACACAGAAGCAGTCCAAGCCTCTAAAAAACTCTCCCACCCTGAATCCTTAAAAACTCTTAGTCTGTAAAAAGTGTGCCTCCAACCTAACTCAGCCAAATGCCACTCTTAGGTTTGTTTTCTCTAAAATAAACCTGTCTTAACTGGCAAGCCATCTTTCATGTTTCTTTCCTTTTTGTTTAATTCTTACAGTGCAGAAACTTTTTAGTTTAGATAAATCTTATTTGCCTATTTTCTGTTTTGTTGCCTGTGCTTTAGAGGGCATAGTCATGAGTTTTTGGCTAGACCAATGTCCAGAAGAGTTTTCCCTAGGCTTTCTTCTGGTTTCTTTCTTTCTTTCGTTCGTTCGTTCTTTCTTTTTTTTAGACGGAGTCTCGCTCTGTCACCCAGGCTGGAGTGCAATGGCTTGATCTCGGCTCACTGCAACCTCTGCCTCCCAGGTTCAAGCGATTCTCCTGCCTTAGCCTCTGGAGTAGCTGGGATTACAAGCACCCATGACCATGCCTGGCTAATTTTTGTATTTTTAGTAGAGTCAGGGTTTCACCATGTTGGTCAGGATGGTCTTGAACTCCTGACCTCAAGCAATCCACCCGCCTCAGCCTCCCAAAGTGCTGGGATTACAGGCATGAGCCACCGCTCCCGGCCTCTTCTATTATTTTTATAGCTTCATGTCTTACATTTAAGCCTTTAATGCATCTTGAGTTGATTTTTGTACATAGCGAGAGATAGGGATCTGGTTTCATTCTTTTGCAAAGGCAATCCAATGTACCCAGCATCATTTATTTATTGAATAGGATTTCCTTTCCCGTGTATGTTCTTATCAACTTTGTCAAAAATCAGTTTGCTGTAAGTATGTGGCTACACTTCTGGGTTCTCTATTCTGTTCCACTGATCTATGTGTCTATTTTTAACCCCAAACCATGTTGTTTTGGTTACTATAGCCTTTTAATATAATTTGAGAATGGATAACGTAATGCCTCCAGCTTCCCCACCCCCCTTTCGGATTGCTTTAGCTACTTGGGCTCTTTTTCACTTCCTTATCAATTTTAGGATTTTTTTCCCTAATTCCATTAAAAATGACATTAGTATTTCAGTAGGAATTGCACTGAGTCTGTAGACTGCTTTGGGCAGTATGGTCATTTTAACAGCATTAATTCTTCTGATCCGTGAGAATGAGATGTTTCCCATTTGTTTGTGTTATCTACAATTTCTTTTGTCAGTGTTTTGTAGTTTTCCTTGCAGGTATCTTTCACCTCATTCGATAAATATATTCTTAAGTATTTTTATAACTATTGTAAATGAGATTGCATTCTTGATTTGGTATTCAGCTGGATCATTATTGGTGTATGCAAATGCTACTGATTTTTGCTTGTTGATTTCATATTCTGAAACTTTACTGAATTTGCTTATCAAATCCAAGAGTTTTTTGGTGGAGCCTTTAGGGTTTTCTAGATATAAGATCATGTCATCTTTTGCTGTGTGAAGCTTTTTAGTTTAAATAAGTCCTGTCTGCCAATTTTTGCTTTTGTTGCCTGTGCTTTTGAGATCTTAGTCATGAATTCTTTGGCTAGATCAAGGTCTAGAAGAGTATTTCCTAGGTTTTCTTCTGGTATTTTTATAGTTTCATATTTTACATGTAAGTCTTTGATTTATCTTGAGTTGATTTTTGTACATGGTGAGAGAAATGGATCCAATTTCATTCAGCAAACAGAAATAATTTGCCTTTCTGTTTTCAAATTTGAGTACTGTTTATCTCTTTCTCTTGCTTGATTGCTCTGGCTAGGGCTTCCAGTACTATGTTGAATAGGAGTGGTACAAGTTGTCATCCTAGTCTTGTTCCAGTTCTTAGGGAGAATGCTTTCAGTTTTTCCCTATTCAGTGTGATGTCAGCTATGGGTTTGTCATATGTGACCTTGACTATGTTGAGGTACATTCCCTCTATACCTAATTTGCTGTGAGTTTTTTCATAAAAATATTCTGAATTTTTAAAAATGCTTTTTTTTGCATCTACTTAAGTGATCATATGCTTTTCATCCTTCATTCTATTAATGTGACGTATCATGTTTATTGATTTATGTGTGTTGGCCTAACCTTGCATCCCCTGAGTGAATCTCACTTGATCACGGTGAATGATCTTTTTAATATGTTGTTGAATAAGGTTTCCTGGTATCCTGTTGAGTATTTTGTATTTTTGCACCTATGTTTATAAAGTATATTGGCCTATAATTTTCTTTTCTTGTAGTGTCCTTATCTGGCTTTGGTAAAGAGTAATGCTGTCATTATAAACAGATGTTGGAAATGTTCCCTCCTCTTCACTTTTTGTGGAAGAGTTTGATAAGGATTGGCATTAATCCTTCTTCAGATGCTTGTTAGAATTCACATGTGAAGCTATCTGGTATTGGGCTATTCTTTGCTGGGAGGTTTGTTATTGCTACTTTAATCTTCTTATTCATTATTGGACTCCTCAGATTTTCTATTCTTCATGTTTCAGTCTCGGTAGGTATTATGTTTCTAGGAATTCATCCATTCCTTCTAAGTTATCCATACATTTACACACAAACATACACAGACATACACATACACATACACATACTCATAAGTGCATGTAAAACTGATAAAACTAGAACAAGTTTTGTGGATTTTACCAATGTCAGTTTGTGGGGTTTGACATGTACTCTAGTGATGGAATACGTGACGACTGGGGAAAACTGGGTGAAGGGTGCATAGGACTTTGCTGTACTTTTTTTTCTACTTTCTGTGAATTTATAGTTATTTCTAAATAAAAAGTTAAAAATATATATATGAGGATTATTGGGAAAAAAAGGGGAGCATGCTTTTACTTGCCAATCTCATTGAATATTTACGACATCCTTACTATATTTTGTGGCTATTGTGATCATTTCCTTAAAGAAAAGCAACCCTAGGCTGAGATAGTTAACATGTACAAGAACATACCTGGTATGTAGTACAGTCAGAATTCAGCCCCAACTCTCTCTAATTCCCAAGTGCACAGTCTATACTGTATATAGAGCTTCCTTATCAGTTTAAATCCCTCCCTTTAAATAAGTTTAAATCACTTCATGGGATGCAGTTTATTGACGACTTTCTATTTCGGTGGCTGTTGCAATTCATAGCTCTTATGTTAGATGTATTAGGTTCAAATATGCCTCCTTTGATACATTTTCCTATTTCTGCTGTGAGACAGAATCCTAGTTTTGATTAAAAATCTCATTAGAGAATATCAATTTAATTTTTCAATTGTATGATCCCCTGATAACATGTACTCTCGGGTTGTGCAGAAAAAGAGACAGAAATATGCATAGGCCAATTTATTAATAATAAACAGTGAAAGAGAACCATACACACAGATTGTCTCAAGTCTACCTAAATGATACCTCTTTTATTACACAGAACAGCTGTATTTTTTCTTTTATACACTTTTTTCTCTTTAAACTCATTGTTTTGTTGTCATTTTAGAAGTTCATTTTTTTTTATGTTTACCTAATTGATACCTCATCTGGAGGATTGGACCATCTATGAATCTTCTTCCTCTCCCACAGGTTGACCCATAGCTAGTGGTAACTGATGTCTGAGTGCAAAATTCCAACCACCTTGCCTCTCAGAAAGATGGGTCTGTGATACTAATCACACTCTAGAGCTTCCTATGGGGTCAGAAGAGAAAATAATTCAATAAAAATCATGTTCTGCCTTAGGTTTTTAAACTCCTCTATTCTGCTTCCCAGTTTCTTACTGATTTCTCCTGAGAGCATTTTCTTATAAATCACTTATCCAAGAATCCTTGTTTTCGGTTCTATTTTGAGTGAATCCAACTTAGCACACCTCTTAAACACAGTTTCTTTTAGAATAAAAGTTACTAGCATGGCAATTCTGCCTTATCCTTCAGATATAATAATGTGGAAGAAAAAGAGATTGAAGACTGGGTGTGATGGCTCATGCCTGTAATCCCAGCACTTTTGGAGGCTGAGGCAGATGGATCACTTGAGGTCAGGAGTTCGAGGCCAGCCTGGCCAACATGGTGAAACCCCGTGTCTACTAAAAATACAAAAATTAGCTGGACGTGATGGCACATACCTGTAATTCCAGCTACTTGAGGGGCTGAGGTGGGAAAATCACTTGAACCTGGGAGGTGGAGGTTGCAGTGAGCTGAGATGGCACCACTGGCCTCCAGCCTGGGTGACATAGCAAGACTCTATCTCAAAAAAAAAAAAAAAAAAAAAGAGAGAGAGAGAGATAAAGACAACTAGTCCAGAGATAACTGTGCCAAAACTGAGAAGAAGAAAAAGAAGAAGAGGAAGAAGAAGAAGAAGAAGAAGAAGAAGAAGAAGAAGAAGAAGAAGAAGAAGAAGAAGAAGAAGAAGAAGAAGAAGAGGAGGAGGAGGAGGAGGAGGAGGAGGAAGAGGAGGAGGAGGAAGAAGGATAAGAAAAATATTTATTTAGAACATTTACCTATTTACTAGACAGTATACTCAAGAGTTGACCGTGACACCAGGGTAACCACTGATATTGTATAAAAATGATTTAATTATGTTACGTGAAATAGGCCAAGCACAGAAAGACAAATTGCTAATGGAATGGAACTCATGAAGATAAAGAATAGATTGCTGGTTATCAGAGTCAGAGGAGGGTGCCTGTGGGAAATGAAGAGGTGGATTGACGTGTACAAATATAAGTTAGAGATAAAAATATGACCTAGTATTCAATATAACTGTAGGATGACTATAGTTAACAATGATCTATTAAACATTCCAAAGTAGCTACAAAAGAATAATTCAGATGTTCCTAGCATAAAGAAAAGATAAACTGTGATGGATAATCCAATTACCCTGATTGGATCTTTACAAATTATATGGATGTATCAAAATTTTATATGCGCATCTGCTACATATCAATAAAAAAGGAAAAATGTTTTGAAGGGCACTAATACTGAGGTTAGGAACACTGGTGTCTTAGATTGGGTCCCCACTGGAGCCGACCCAGGAGTATATTTGGGAGGTGGTCCCAAGAAGTGCTGTATGGAACACGAAAAATGCTCCAGGAAAGGGAGGGAAGTGAATACAAGATGAGTTAATGATCAGAATAGCCCTGTAGGTAGCTGGAATTTGGTGTCTCTGAGGACCACTGACATGCTGGTACAACATGCTCCCAACTGGAGGAGAAATAACTAAAGCATGTGTTCACCAACTCTCACTCATTTGTTGAATACTATTCCAAGAGGCTTTAACTCTACAGTCCAGAGCTTGCTCCTTGGCTAGAGAAACTCTTCAAGAAGAGAGTTCCAGGTGCTTGCTCTAAGAAACCACCATTGTATATTAGAATAAAGTGTGCTGAGGAAATAGAGGTGGTGCCCCTGAAATTACATTCTGCAGAGAAGAACAACAGAAAAATTGACTGGTAATTGACCACACTCAAAAAAGAAAAATAATGAGACACAGTATCTGTATATTTCTATGCCTGAAAATTTATTTAAGATTTATTTAGATAAATATTTGTTTAAAATGGAATAGCTCCATATGAGAAATTATGGCAGAGAGCAAATATTTCAATTAAGATAGTTGACAGATTTCAGAGCAAATTACAACTTATGTTCATTTGGTAGAGAGGTAAAATGTGGGGGGAGCATATATTTGGAGGCCAGATTCAATCTAAGAATTGGTTGGAACTGAAGTTTTCCAACTAGCTTCCCATAACTCAGCTCATAGATGAGCTACATCAAGAATGCTGGTTGATGAGAATCTGGTGAGTCCAGATGACAGCCTCAGCAGCAAGAAGCACTAGAGCAGGTTGGGCGGCAGCACATGGTCTGGCAGCAGTTGGGGCGGCAGCAACTGGAGATGCAGCAGGAGAGCCTGCAGCAGCTGAAGCCACAGCAGGAGGAGCTACTGCTGCTAGAGATACTGCAGGAAGGCTGGCAGCAGCTGGAAATGCAATAGCTGGGGTGGCAGCAGGTGGTCCTGTAGCAGGTGGTTTGCCAGCAGATGGGCTAGCAGCATAGAGACTGGCCACAATGGGGCCTGTAGCACCTGGACACACAGCAGCTGGGGCGGCAGCAGGTGGTTCTGCAGCAGGTGGTCTGGCAGCACTGGGGTCTGCAGCAGCTGGACACACAGTAGCTGGGGCAGCAGCAGGTGGGCTGGCAGCACACAGACTGGCAGCACTGGGGCCTGCAGCAGCTGGGGCGGCAGCAGGTGGTCCTACAGCAGGTAGTCTGGCAGCATTGGGGTCTGCAGCAGGTGGGCTGGCAGCACACAGACTGGCAGCACTGGGGTCTGCAGCAGCTGGACACACAGCAGCTGGGGTGGCAGCAGGTGGTCCTGCAGCAGGTGGTCTGGCAGCACTGGGGTCTGCAGCAGCTGGACACACAGCAGCTGGGGCGGCAGCAGGTGGTCCTGCAGCAGGTGGTCTGGCAGTAGCTGGGACGGCAGCAGTTCTCTAGGCCACAGCCCTGGTCAGAGCACACAGAGCCACAACAGGAGTTGACCATGGTGTCAGAGGGTGGAGGTTCTGGGTGGGTTTCCAGGAAGGAGGGTTTGGAAGGCTTGGAAGTCTCCTTGCCCCAGATCCTCTTTTATACCCTGCTCAGGGCTGATGTCATCGGATGCAGCACTCTTTCCTTGTCATTGTTTGTTCTGATGAGCAGGCAATTATCAAATTAGGCAAGTTTGTTTTTCTGCTTAAATTTGTCAACATGGAGAAAAGCATTATTTCCTTCCCCTGGTGTGTTAGGATTCTTCAGGTCAGCTCTTCTTGAACAACCTCTTGTGTGCCTCTTGCTGCAGCTTCCTCCTTGAGCTGCCATGTGACATCTGCCTGCAGGTACCATGTGCTGCAGCCTCATTTTCCTTAATACATTATGTCTGACCTTGGGTGATTTTAATTCTTCTAGGCCCGTAATTTTCTTTTGGTGACTCAGGAGGAGAAAGCTGTGCTTTAATCTCATGGCATGTTTGTTATAGATCAAGTGAGCAATGAAGGTTTGAATGTGAAACAGGTGACCAGTGGCATGAAAACAAATACTATTAGGATATATTCCTTGCCACCTTCCATACAATGAATCATGACCCATTTTCTAGATGTTCTACTGGGGAAAGCAGAATTGTTTTAAGGTGGACATCTAAGTCATGAATTATCGATGCTTCTTTTTCTTGAGAAACAACACTCCAAAACTCAGTTTCAGGGCCTTTAGGGGAAATTGGCTACAGAGATCAGCTATACTAAAAGGTTCAGGTCCCTCCGCTCTCTGCTCTGAGGGGCTGATTTTCCTTCTGACTTTTCCTTCCTGTCTCTCTGGCTTTAACAATCACATTGAGTCATCTCCTCTATTTCTAAGGTTTACTTGCCAACCTAAGGTAAAGGACCCAGTGTCCTTGCTATATATATATAATATATATATATATATATAATATATATTATATATATACATATATATACTATATATAGTATACACACACACGTATATACACACTATATATAAATATACACACTATATATAAATATGCACACTATATATAAATATACACACATACACACACATATATGTGTGTGTATGTATGTGTGTGTATGTGTGCGTGTGTGTGTGTATATATATATATATATATATATATACACACACACACGCACACATACACACACATTATGTCTGACCTTGGGTGATTTTAATTCTTCTAGGCCCATAATTTTCTTTTGATGTATATGTATATATATATATACACTCACACACACACAGGTTTGGGGGAATATATATATTCTGCCAAAGGACCTTAGGAATATATATATATATTATACATATATAGATGGGTAGATAGAGAACCTTATATATAGGTAATATAGGAATATATATATTTACATATTTATGAATATATAATATATATTCTTCATATATGTTTGTATTTAATAGTATGTATAAATATATATATAATATATACAATAACATATTTAGAAATATATATATTTATATATATATGTATTTACCTTTATCTCCTAAGGCCCTTTACCTTAGGAATATTATGCACACACACACACACACACACTCAAACACACACACACACACACTCCCCCAAACCTGGATGTTAAAGAAACCCAAGGAAGAAGGCAGAAACTTCCTGTCTTTGTGCCACCCTCCACTTTGGGATGCTCTTGGGTTAGCAATTTCTGTTTGGACTGGTCTCTCTGAGGATACTATGGACACCCCAACTCTGCTGAGGGTCTTTCCATAAAACATGCTCATCTAAATATTTGGGGGCCATGAAGGTAAGAAAAAGTGAATATGCCAAATGGCAGAACCATGTTTCCAAAACTACAGAAATACTCTCACAAGGAATCAAACCTAACAAGATGAAATATCAGAACCAATTGTAGATCAAATGAGTGGTTATTAATGCAGCATGGCAAACGAGATTGGGGAGGAGTGAATATATCTAAATTTACTGGGAGTATTTATTTAACTATACACACACCCTAAGGTTGTGTCCCCTCTTAGCATCCCTTCACCAGATAGAATATTACAAGTTGAGGACATCTTATCTGAAAATCTGAAATCTGAAATTCTCCAAAACCCAAACCTTTTTGAGTACCTATATGATGCTCAAAGAAAATGCCCAATAGAACATTTAGGATTTCATGTTTTTGCATTAGGGATGCTCAACAAGTATAATGCGAATATTCCAACTCTGAAAAAACTTGACATTTGAAACACTTCTGGTGCCAAGCATTTCAGATATGGGGTACTCAACCTGGATCACCACAATGAGCTCTATTACTGCAGGCATGCAGTAGAAAGGCAGGTTGAGAACTTCTCGTCTAGAAACAACCACTGTATGTGTATAAGAAGACCTTGAAGCAGTTTATGATGAGGATTACTTAGGTGTGTCACACTTTAGTAACCTCAGTATTAGTTCACACTTACTGCCAACCACTTACTGCCACTAACACTGTGTTAACTCCTGCATGCAAACTTGAAACATTCATGAAAGTGGAACATTTACTAAGGTAGATGAGGCATTTCTAATCCTCCAAGAGTGTTCAGAACACATCTGGAAAATGCATTTCAATCCAGGCTAGAAGGATAAAGATAAATTGGGGTTTATGAAAAGCAAAGTTGCTGTGAGGGTGGCATTATGATCAATGAGGAACAAATGGAAACACTTTGGAAATGTAACCTAAAAAGGAGAAAAGTGGAACAAAGCAATGGCAGTGCAGCCTGAAGGGGCTCTGTATGAGAATGGACTTCCTCAGATGGCTGCCATGGGCTGATATAGGATAGGGAAGATAGGATGTTCCTAGGGAGAAACAAAATCTGACACAACATGAGGAAGGTGCTTTATGAAATGGCTGCCTCTAGAGATAATCAGGGGAGGGGGTTTCAGTGTGAGCTGGTGTTTCTGACTGAGGCACATGCAAGAGCCAGATGGAGGGAATTGGATGAAATTACTTTGAGCTTCCCTCTCTGCACTCAGGTCCATGTAAGTCTAATAAGTGGAATATAATGTTATACTGTTAACCAGTTTCTACTGCTGCCCTGGTCCTGATTTCCAGGCTTACACAACCAGGATGATAACAATCTGGCTCCTGAGTGGGCCCCTGCTTCAGCACTGGCTGGTGTTCTGAGTCTGCACTGGCTCTGATGCACCCAGACACAGCATCGTATTGAGGTCCTGAGCCTTTGTCCTCAGTCAGAATGAACAGAAGCAGGTTCCAAGCTGTTACGGGGTTAAAACCCTGGTGAGCCCGTTTATGGTGTATGAGAACAACTCTAAGATTTCCTCGAGAACTTGAATTATGGGAAAAGAATCACATCCTTGAAGAACCCTGATGACTGGTACCTACCGATGACTCAGTGGAGATCACTTTTATTTACATGAATTGACTATTTTTTTTCTTTGTAAGGTGAGCGTGTGTGTTTTGCTTAATGTAAATTTGCATTATGTTTAGAAATCTCTCACGATTTCTTCTAGTACTTCAGCACTTTCATTTTTCCCCAGCTTTATTGAGGTAGAGTTGGCAAATAAAATTTTATGTATATCAAGGGTACAACATGATGCCTTGATATGTATATATTGTGAGATGATTATCACAACCAAGTTAGTTAATACCTATCACCTCACGTAGTTATTGTTTCCTGTGTGTGTAATGAGAACAATTAAGATCTACTTTTTCAGAAAATTTCAAGTACTCAATACAGTATTATTAACTATAATCACCATGCTAGTTACTAGATCCCTAGAATTTAGTACCAATGTCAGATTTTGGGATTTGACATGTACTATGATCCTATGAGAAGCAACCACTGAGGGAAACTGAGTGAAGGGTACAGGGAACTTTGTCTTATTCAACTTCATGTTAATCTATAGTTATTTCAAAATCTATCGTTATTTACAAAAGTAAAAAAAAAAGAGGCTAATTGGTAGTAAAAGACAGCATGCTTTTTTTTTGGATATTTTCATATATTTATTCTTATTTTTCATGTGTCTATGTTTAACTACATGGGATTTTTTTTTCGATGTGTGGATATGTATATAGGAAAATTCAGAGATTATTCTTTTTAAGATTGGGTAATTGGCCAGTTTGTGAGCATTTACAGTGTTTTAAATAACTTTTATCTTTCAATTAGAAACACACATCAGGCATATCATACACTCTGTCATCATTTTTCCAATAGTTATACATGTACTTTATTTTCCTTATCTTATTGAGTAGTTCATAAGACTTTTGTTTAAAATACTTTCTGTAAAACTCGGAGACAATAAGGTGGGGCTCTGCATTTATGTTCTTGTTGAGTTCTTAGTAGTCCGAATCTTATGCAATTCACCAACTATATTTCTACAAGCAATGTAAATTGGGAAAAAAATCGGGTACTGAAATATTTATTTTTATAAATGAGCTAAACTTAAAAATGATCCAAAGGGTAAGTTCACAGCAAGCATTCATTTCTTTTCCCTCCATGTAATTTGCATGCAAGTCAGGCATTTTCACATATTTTTATAAATCTTTTTCTTGATTTGTTCTCCTTCTTACAATAATTTTAATACACAATTATTTTTACTCTAGTTAATGGGATTTTTTAAGTGCCCTGAATTCCATTTCAGAACTATGAAGGGAATTAAATATTTATGTTACATGGATAATAGTATTCAATATTCATCAAAGCATGCAAAATAAGCAATTAAGAATATGCAACTGTATCCCATTATGAACATATCCTTGATACGCCTTCCAAACTTAAATTCCAAATTCTTTCTGCTATTCAGCTAGAAGTTTTTGCTAATATTTTCTTCATGGAAAATTGTATTTTCTGCATTGATTAATAATTAATAACAAAAAAATTTCCATTTTTTGAAATAGCCTATTTCTTATTAATTTTTTAATCATTCAATTACCCCCCAGCTTATACAAAGAATTATATAGTAATTATTTTTTAACAGTTAACAAGTCACAGTAGGTTTGGGTTATAACGAACATACTGTGGCTTACAAGATAATATGGAATAGTGGCTAACCCATGAATATAGTGAGAAAACTTTTTAAAAGTTATATTGGAGTAATCCCTTAGCTAATAATTATTATTGTAGTTTAGCTATTTGGCTATGACAAACTAATACTAGTTGCACCTCACTTGAAAATATATGATAGCAACTTAGTACATGGTATTGTACATATCTTCACTTGGTTAAACAACTTTTAGAGGATATGCTTAGTGATTTATATTTCAACTCTAAATTGTTAGTTTTCTTTTTTTTTATTATACTTTAAGTTTTAGGGTACATGTGCACATTGTGCAGGTTAGTTACATATGTATACATGTGCCATGCTGGTGCGCTGCACCCACTAACTCGTCATCTAGCGTTAGGTATATCTCCCAATGCTATCCCTCCCCCCTCCCCCCACCCCACAACAGTCCCCAGGTGTGATATTCCCCTACCTGTGTCCATGTGATCTCATTGTTCAATTCCCACCTATGAGTGAGAACATGCAGTGTTTGGTTTTTTGTTCTTGCGATAGTTTACTGAGAATGATGATTTCCAATTTCATCCATGTCCCTACAAAGGACATGAACTCATCATTTTTTATGGCCGCATAGTATTCCATGGTGTATATGTGCCACATTTTCTTAATCCAGTCTATCATTGTTGGACATTTGGGTTGGTTCCAAGTCTTTGCTATTGTGAATAGTGCCACAATAAACATGAGTGTGCATGTGTCTTTATAGCAACATGATTTATACTCCTTTGGGTATATACCCAGTAATGGGATGGCTGGGTCAAATGGTATTTCCAGTTCTAGATCCCTGAGGAATCGCCACACTGACTTCCACAATGGTTGAACTAGTTTACAGTCCCACCAACAGTGTAAAAGTGTTCCTATTTCTCCACATCCTCTCCAGCACCTGTTGTTTCCTGACTTTTTAATGATTGCCATTCTAACTGGTGTGAGATGGCATCTCATTGTGGTTTTGATTTGCATTTCTCTGATGGCCAGTGATGATGAGAGAGCATGCTTTTATTTGTCAACCAGGCACCTTTATCTCATTGACATTTTATGATTACCTTCATGTGTTTTTGAGTTATTATGATCCCTTCTTAAGAGAAAAGTAATCCTAGGTTGACAGAGTTTAAATGCCATGTCTAAGATCATAGGTGGCATGCAGTACAGTCAGAATTCAGCCTCAACTCTGTATAATTCTCAAGTCCACAGAATATACTCTACATTGAGCTGCTTCTGTTTAAATTAGTTTAAATCACATCATGGGATGCAGCTTATTGAAGACAGTTTTTTTGTGCTGGCAGTTATATTCCACAGCTTTCATGTTATATGTGTTAGGTTCAAAAATGTCTCTTAAATTCTTCTCCTGTTTCTACTATGAGACTGAATTCTGGCTTGGATAAAATCTAATTGGAGAATGCCAATTTAATGTTTTAATTATTAGGGTGTTTGACAACATGTACTCTTCTTGTGTTGTGCAGAAAATAGACAGAAATATACATATACCATTATATTATAACAAATGAAAAGAGATGAGCATTTTTGGTGCTTTTGAACACTATGAAGTTTTATTGAGGAACATCAAACAATTCCACATGAAAATTGATACCACAGAAAACATTAGGAAGAAACATCTAGAAGGATACCATTTGAAGATTTATGTATATTGAATTAGAATAAAGAATTCTAAAACATGTGATGTGGAATTTGACTGTAAATTCAGATTCAATAGGAATAAAAACTTCTATAAAAGAGAATACATACTAATAAAATATTTTCCAAATCAGTCCATGCCTCTGTTTTCACGACATCAGGAAGTCCACATGTTCTCTGAATAGATACTCTGTGCCTGAACTGAAGGTTGAGAGCAAGAAGGTGCACAAATCCAGAGCAGCTTCACTCAGCAGCAAGAACTGCCGCAGCAGATGGGGTGGAAGCAGGTTGTTCTACAGCAGGTGGTCGGGCAGCTGAAAGGGCAGCGGCAGCTGGACACACAGCAGCTGGGATGACAGCAACTAGAAATGCAGCAAGCCGGGCGGCAGCAGGAGGGCTGGCAGCACTGGGGCCTGTAGCAGCTGGAGATACAGCAGCTGGGGCGGCAGCAGGTGGTCTGGCAGCAGCTGGGTTTGCAACAGCTAGAGATACAGCAGGAAGGCCTGCAGCAACTAGAAATGCAGCAGCTGGGGCGGCAGCAGGTGGTCCTGCAGCAGCTGGGTTTGCAGCAGCTGGAGATACAGCAGGAAGGCCTGCAGCAACTGGAAATGCAGCAGCTGGGGCGGCAGCAGGTGGTCCTGCAGCAGCTGGGTTTGCAGCAGCTGGAGATACAGCAGGAAGGCCTGCAGCAACTGGAAATGCAGCAGCTGGGGCGGCAGCAGGTGGTCCTGCAGCAGGTGGTCTGGCAGCAGCTGGGGCGGCAGCAGCTCTCCTGGCCGAGACCTTGACCACAGCTCTGGTCAGAGCAGACAGAGCCACAGCAGGAGCTGACCATGGCGTCAGAGGGTGGAGGTTCTGGGTGGGTTCCCAGGAGAATGAGGTTCTGGAGTTTAGAAGTCTCCTTGAGCCTCTTATATACTGCCCCAGTTTCCTGTTGTCACTATATTTTTCTTGTTTTTGTTTATTTAATTGCTAAATAATTATCAGATTACACAATAATGTTTGTCCATTTAATGGCTTAAAATCATTGGGAAGAAAATATTCTTGTCCAGATGTAATAAGATCTATACCATCTACTTTTCCTTGATTCTCACCTTGATGGCATCTTCTAGACCAAATTATCTTCCTCTTCCTCTACACAGGGCTATCAGGTGATACTCTGCATTTGAAATTACATTTCTCACTCTCTTTTCCTGTACCCAGTACCAGAATGAGATTTAGTCAGTTACATTACCAATTATTCATTTATTCCATTGACCAAGGGAGAGGAAAGCCCTTCTACTCAGTGTGGCCTCTGGCCTGGGACAAGAAGAAAATGTCCTATTTTGAGTGTCATTTTTGAGCAATGAGGAAAGGTTTAATGGCCACACACAGACACCTCCTGCTTTATTCTGTTCATTCAAGCTTTACAGAAGCACCTGGCTCAAGGTCCTGCCTTGCTTATAAAACAGAGGCATTAAATGGATAATCTGAGAGACCCAAGTTGCCAGCCATTGGGATTACAAATTTGATGTAGATTCTCCTTCAGGGGAGTTCACAGCTTGCTAGAAGGAACACACACACACATACACACACACACACACAGTATTATACTGTGATAAAGTAACATCAAAGGAGCTCATTATAGTTTAATTAAAAGAATCATACTTAAAACAAATTAGCAAACATGACAATTTGGTGGATTAATTCATAAATAAATATTTTAATTTAGTTTGTGTCTATTTTTATGATATTGTAAAATTTACATACACTGAAATGAACAAATCCCAAATGTACTATTTGATGAGTTTTTATAAATGGGTACATCCATGTAACCTCCACACCTATTAAGATAGAGAATGATGTAATTTGGCTGTGTCCCCACCCAAATCTCATCTTGAATTGTAGCTCCCGTACTCCCCATGTGTCATGGTGTCGTGGTGTCGTGGTGTCATGGGAGGGACCCGGTGGGAGGTAATTGAATCAAGGGGGCTGATTTTTCCCATGCTGTTCTCATAATAGTGAATAAGCCTCATGAGATCTGATGGTTTTATAAAGACCAGTTCCCCTGCACATGCTCTTTTGCCTTCTGCCATGTAAGAGATGCCTTTGCTCCTCCTTCACCTTCTGCCATGATTGTGAGGCCTCCCCTGCCATGTGGAACTGCAAGTCTTTTTTAGAGACTCACAATTAAACCTCCTTTTCTTTATAAATTACCCAGTCTCTGGTATTTCTTCATGCAGTATGAAAATGGATGAATACAGAGAACATTTTCATTATACTAGAAAGTTCCCAAATGTCACTTCAGTAAACTCATCACTTCATAGAGGCAGCCATATGGGGAAATTATTAGCAATGTTCTAATAATTTTTCCACCATAGGTTAGTTTTGATTTGAACATTCAAACAAATTATATATAGCATAATTGTTTTTTCTGTCTGTCATCTTTGCCTTGATATGTGGCTGTGAGAGTCACAATGTTGATGCATGCATCACTAGTTCATTCAGAGCTATACTAATAACTGCCAGGGCTTCATTTTAACTATACCAACCAATGTCATGGTAGGGTGACCAGCTGTTTCTGATTGCCCAGTCTGAGGGCATTCCCTGAACTCAGGGCTCTCATTGCTAGAACTAGGAAGTCCCAAGAAGAAAGAGACAGGTTGTTCACTCTATGATAGCATCCTTAAATGTCTTAATTAAGATCATTAAAGACCAAACACCTTGCAATATTTCTGTCACATTAACTTGTTTAGCAAACACTTGATTTACAAGTCTTTACTTTATGGGCTGTGTTTGCAAAGCTGGAGAACATGAAAGATTGAAACAATTGTATTGTGAAGCCACATGGTGTCCTGAAGAGGCAGTTGTTCATTTGATTTGCTGTATATCAGGGGCTGAGGAAAAATTAAAAACATAAAAGAAAAAGGTTTTGATTATGAGGGGAGAGGTTTCTATATAAATTTATGGAGATTAAGAAAACCCTATTGCCACAGCTACAAAGGCAGGTACATTCTGAATGTAGGGAAATGTATGGAGAATCACAACCCCTCATCCAGGGGTTCTACAAGTTGGCTGAATATTAGAGTCACTCGGGGAGTGTTAAAAACTACTGATGCCTGACTCTTGCTCAGAAAAAATCTGACTTAAGTGCTGTGGGTTATGGCCTGGGCACCAGAATTTTTCAAGTTTCTCAGGTAAAGGGCAGCCAAGCTTGAGACCCATCTGCTTAAACTGTTGTATGACATACATTGTATAATATTCAACTGGAAACAGAAGCAACTAAAATAATTAAAATACAATTGGTAGTATCTACGTAGTAGAGAAAATGATACTGGATTTTAAACACTGAATTTGGAGTATTGTAAACTAAAACACTGATAATTATCTTTGCTATTTTAGATGACTCTAATACCAAAACTGACAGTCCACATGGATGATAATGGAACAACAGGGCATGAACCACCATGGGAAATTCGTATAGACAGCACACTGGATTTTTACAAAATGAGCCTCAAAAGCAGGCGAGATGTCTGTCACTGTATGTATTTGCTGCTAAATTCTACTCACTGTCTGGTGAAGCATACTTGATATTAACTTGAGGACCACACACACAAGTTACGCCAAGTCTATCTAAACTGTCCTTCTTTTATTATATAGACTAGCAGAAGGAGTGTAAGTTTTTCTTTCATATACCTTTTTAAATTTTAAACTAATTTTATGGTTGTCTTTTTAGAAGTTCATGATTAAAGACTTCACTTAGGTAAACATCAAGGAAATTAGAATGAAGTGAACCCAACTGATATTTGCAATCAACACTGAAGAACATGTGTTGTGTTTACCCCGCAACCTGGACGCATCGTATTAACATACCCTTTAAAGAATGACATGGGAAATGGGCTTCTCTTGTCAGGTATCACATCTATTATGTTAGTACTCTGACATTTTTGGAATGAAAACCTAGTATGTATTTTGGAAATAAAATGTAATTTCATTAGGTGAATTACTGTGACTTAGTTATAAGACTGTGAAATACACAGAGAGGCCTACAAAAGGCATGTCTAATTGATAGATAAATTATCATATTTCCAATTCAATTAAGTTCCTATTTATAATAAAAATCAAACTATTAAAATATTTAAGAATAAGCATTAAACAATGCTACCATTCTTGGTATGAAGTGGTATGTGTAATTAGAGCAATATTTAAAATAATATGAATACTCATATGCCATTCAGTAAATCTCTTTGTTCTAAACTGTCTTCAATCACTGCTTTATCTTGACTTTTAAAACTTAAATAGGATATTTCAGTTCACCTTGGATTTTAAAAAAACTTTTTAAGTGAAAAAATATACTAAAAATATATAACATATATACATTAATTAATTAATAATTGATATAGCTAATAATTATTAAGCAAGCATGTATGTACCCAAAGCCTTCGTCAAGAAATAGAATCTTGTCATCCATAAGAGGTGCTCCTATATGTCTTTTCTTGACTGTATCTCCCTCCCTCCATTCTAGAAGTAATCACTATTCTGATTTTAAATCCTTCTACTGTATTTTTTATAGTTTTTCAACCTAGACATGCATCCCTAATAATACAGTTTATTTTCCCACATTTTAAAATTTAATCTAAATGGAATCATAGTATGTGTATTTTGTGTTTTGATTATCTTGCTCAATATTGTGTAAGAGCTGGGGCAGCAACCTCTAAGTTAGCCCCATTATTTCTGCCACCTGGTGCTCATGGTCTTAAGTAATTCCAACCCTTTGAGTAACTTACTTCTAACCAACATCATATGGTACATTGAATGATTAAGTTATTATTCAAAAGATTGTCACTTTCTTCTTGTTGGCCAGCTCTGGTTTGCTCTCACGCTCACTCTCATTGGGTTTGATGAAGCCAGCTGCTATAAGAGACAGAGATCCATGTGGTAACAACTCGAAGACAGCCCCCATCCAACAGCTCACAAGGAACTGAGGCTCCCTCTAATTGTCCTTGGGGGCTGAATCCTGTCAACAACCATTTAGTGAGCCTGGATGCGGCTGCTTCCTAGTTGAGGCTTTAGATGAGACTCTAGTGACAGTGAACACCTTGATTACAGCCTTGGAAAACACTATGACACAGAGAACATAGGTAAGGCATGCCTGAATTCTTGATCCACAGAAACTGTGAGATAATGTGTGTTGTTTTAAGCTGTTAAGTTGTGAAGTGATAATATAAGGCAACAGTAGATAACTAGTATAGATTTATCTGGTAACATACAGCCCATGGAAGAACAGGAAGGGATCAAAAGGTGCAGAGAAGGGAGGCTGAGGCGGGTGGATCACGTGGTCAGGAGATTGAGACCATCCTGGCTAACATAGTGAAACCCCAACTCTACTAAAAATACAAAAAGTTAGCCGGGCGTGGTGGCACGTGCCTGTAGTCCCAGCTACTCTGGAGGCTGAGGCAGGAGAATTGCTTGAACCTGGGAGGCAGAGGTTGCAGTGAGCTGAGATCTCGCCACTGCGCCCCAGCCTGGGAGACAGAGCAAGACTCCATCTCAAAAAAAAAAAAAAGTACAGAGAAGTGGAAATATTAAAATAGCTCTGGTCTTAAGGCCAAGCACCTGACTATATTTCTGGGGTGAGTCTTGGAGACATTCTGTTTACAAAAGCAGTAAGGAATGAGCAGGTAAGAGAGCCACCAACATCAATGAGAAATTTAGTAGTGCCTATTCCATAAAGTCAGCATTTGTGATAAAAAGTTTTGTTATAGAACTAAGCTTCCCAGGAGTAATGGGAATGATAAGATCCCAGAATAGCAAAGCCAGGAGGTAGCATTTAACTTTAAGAATTAGTGTAGGTATCATTATATGATATGCAGCAAGCAAGGAATGGCAAACTAGGCAGAGTGATCTGTGACTTACAGGGATCTGTAGTTATGGACAATAGAACATAGTGGTCCTCAGAACAGGACATAGGTGGCCAAAAGGGCATAGGAATAACTGCAGACTCTATGCATCAATAGCTATGTCTATATCCATATCTATATCTATATCCATAGCTAGCTACATCTATAGCTATATAATCTACATCTACAGTTGACCCTTGAACAACGGGTTTGAACAACATGGGTTCACTTACACATGGATTTTCTTCTGCCTCTGCCACTTCTGAGACAGCAACACCAGCCCCTCCTCCTCTTCCTCTTCCTCTCAGCCTAATCAACATGAAGATGACCAAGATAAAGACCTTATGATGATCCACTTCCACTTAATAAACAGTAAATATATTTTCTCCTCCTTGTGATATTCCTAATAACATTTTCTCTTCTCTAACTTACATTAATGTAAGAATACAGAATACAATACACATAACACATAAAATGTGTGTTGATTGTTTATGTTTTCAGTAAGGCTCTGGTCAACAATAGGCTATTAGTAACTGAGTTTTGGGAAAGTCAAAGTTATTCTTTAATTTCTGGCTGCACAGGGTATTGGCACCATAACACTTGTCTCATTTGAGGGCCAACTGTATATCTGTATCTCCACCTGTGTATATGTATATTTCAACAGCTTAAGATTAAACAAGCAAAAAGATAAGTTGCTCCAATGGAAATTCATAATCCTTTATCCAGTTTCCAGATGTGAGTTGATTATTGGACCTAGAATTTATCAACTGAAGGAGAGGCCAGTCCTCCCAAAAACGGGGTCACAGCAAATAGTAGCCTCACTAGTCCTTTCCCATAAATACCCGCAGCCATCTTCTCAGGGGAAAGTGGAATCCCCATGCATTTGGATCCTGTTCGATACCAGATCTGAGTTGACATTGACAGTTGGAAACCCAAAATGTGAACACAAACCCCATTAGGATCTCATAATGATGGTCGGAAAATAAATGGAGTCTTGATCCGGATTAGTCTTATAGTAGTTTCACAGGGTGCACAGACCCTCATGTGGTCATTTACCCAGTTCTCCAATGTAGAGTTCACCAATAACATTCCTTGACCTATGGAGTAAGAATTATTACAATAGGAAAGGCCCAATGGGAGCTCGTGACATTGCTTGGGACCTCTCACACATTCTCCACGCAAGTGAGTGGATAGAAGCAAGAAATTAGAGACATATTCAAGGCTTACAAATGCAGGAGAGGTGAATACCACCTTCATATGATTCACTAGTTCAGACCCAACAAAAACCACATAGATCATGGCAGATGACAGTGGATGAACACAAACTCTGTCAAATAAAAATCTAATTATAGCCAATGTGATTGATGCATGTAGAATCATTTCTGGGACAAATGAACACAGTCTCCAATATGGGGTGTATGGCAACCAAACTGGCAAATGTGTCCTTTTCAATAACCACCAGGAAGCAGCATCAGAAGTGAATCCATTTCACCTGGAACAGACAGTGGTGTTAACACTCTGTGCTGAACTAGGGATATGGTAATTCTCCTGATCTTTGTCACAGTATAGTCGCAAAAGATCTAGGCATTGTGAGCATCCTACAATACAGCATGCTGATCCACAATATTGATAATGTCATGTGAATCAGATTTGATGAACACAAAATGTGAATACTGTGGAGACCTTGCTAAGGATCCATGTGCTCTAGAAGAGAAGAGAAAAGGATTCCAGAGGCTGCCACACTGGTAATATTTTTAAGCATCCTGTCTACAGCATACCAGGACACCACTGCTGAACATCCGACCTGCCAGCAAGAGAGTGGCCCTGAGTCCCTCGTAAGGTACCATCCTATGAGAGGATCAGCCAGTTACTTGCTGCTGATGGAATTGACATACAGTCAGGCGATGGGCTTGCATTTTCTGCTTGCAGTGCCTCAGCCAGCACCGTTATATGGGGGCCCAAGAGAACTTGTTGTGGCAGTGTGGAATCCTACCTAACTTCACCTTTGACTGATCAACCCCATATGGAGCACAAGGTGTGTGGCAATGGGCAGGTAACTGTAGATACTCTGTTACCCACAGTATACTTTATGCTGCACCATCCAGAAACAGCTGAACGGATAGTGTGATGCAACCACCTCTTGAAGCCATAATGGAGGTCTCAGCTTGGAGATGACACCCTGTGAGGTGGAGCGCTGTTCTTCAGGATGCAGTAAGAATTATTACACCAATCACCATCACATGGTACTGTGTCCACAACAGGTAAAATACATTAATACAGAAAACCAAAGTGTGGACAGAGGAGTTGCTCACTCACCTTCATGCCCTGTGAGCCACTTGAGGGAATTTGTGCTCCCTCCCAAATAACTGTAAGTTTTATGGAGAGGTCCTGGCTCCAAGAAGGGAGGAGCCACCTCCAGGGGGCATAGTAAGGATTTGATTGGAATTAAAGCTATGGTTGTTACCTTATCACTTTGGCTGGAGAAAAGCACATAAAGAAAAGGGCTGTTGCCACAGGCAATTGGCCTCATCATCATGAGGAAGTAGGACCACTGCTATGCCAATGGGGACAGGGAGGAATATATTTAGCACTTAAGTGATCCTCTGGGACATGCTTGGTGCTTCTACTTCCAGCCTTGACTGCATATGAGCAAGTTCAAGGGCTCAAGCCTGATAAGGACACAGTAACCAAGGCTTAGAGCTCTCAGGATGAGGACTCGGGTTACCCTACCAAGCAAGTGACCTAGACCAGAAGCAGGGGTGCCCATGACCCCTCCTCTCATACGTTTCTCTAGAAACTGTGACCAACCAGTTGGAGTGAGCCTAATGAGAGAAACAGCTGCAGCTGAGCAGTGCCAGAGGTGGACTACAGGGCTCCCTATCCTGATCCCATTTACCAGAAAGATACCCCCATCCCCAAGCTAGTGTAAGTAGGACAGCCAGCAGCTCCCTTTGTTCACCTGCACACTTCTCCAGATAGTTGTCCTCAGCTTACAGGAGCCACCTCATCTGGAGGATTCCGCCCTCTTCGCATCCTCTTCCTCTCCCACAGGGTGGGCCATAGCTAGTGGTAACTGATGTAGGATTGTAAAGTTCCAACGACCTTACCTCTCAGAAAGATGGGTCTGTAATACCATTCACACTCTAGAGCTTCCTGTGGGGTCAAATGACAATAAAATCCTTTTGGGCTTAGCCTCTTCTACAATCCTATTCTGTTTCCGACATTTCCTTACTGATTTCTCCTGAGAGCATTTTCTTATAAAAGTCACTTGTGCAAACATCCTGTTTTAGATCTTTCTTTGGTGCCTCCAACTTAGCAGCATGGCTCAGGGTGAAACCTTTTTCAATATAGCCTTTTTTAGGATGAGAATCACCAACACGGTGGTTGTGTCCTATCCCTCAGATAAAACGATGTGAAGAAAAAAACAATCAAAGACAACTAGTTTAAAAGCAAACATGCATATTGAAATAAAAACTTTAAAAATTAAAATTCTTAAAAGAAGACCAAAAAAGTAAATGAACAAATAATAGAAAAAAATTGTAATGCGCAAAAATTGAAAAGAAAAAAAACAGCAAAATGTTCAGAGGTGTCCATTCAGGTGACAGTAAACTCAAGAGTTGATCAAAATCTATGGTAACCATTCATATTGTACAAAAACATTTTGAAGGACACTAATACTGAGATTAGGAATGCTGCTGTTTTAGATTGTGTGCTCTCTGGGGCAAACCCACAAAAGAGGATCTGAGAACATGTGGTATATTTGGACGATTAACCCAAGAAACACTGGAGGAAACTTGAAGAATGACCCTGGGAAGGAGGGAAAGTCATTATAGAGTGAGTTCATGATCAGAATGTTCCTGCAGGCATCTGGTATAAATCCCGCTGAAGACCTCTGGAAGACTGGTTTGACATACCCCCCACTGGAGGGAAACAAGCCAGGGCATATATTACCAACTCCCACTCATTCTCTGAGTGCTGTTCCTAGAGGCTTTAAGTCTCCAGCCCAGAGTTTGCTCCTTTATCCAGAGAAAGTCCTCAGGTAGAGAGTTCCAGGTGCCTGCTCTAAGGAACCATTTTCCTATGTTTGAATGGAGAGTGCTGATAGGATAGAGGTGGAGCCCCTGATATCATCTGCTGTGGTCTTCTCCCTCTGCAGGGAAGAACATCAGAAAATTTGACAGGTAAGGATGAGAATTCAAGAAGGAAAAATGAGACACAATGCCCGTATATTATTTGTATGCCTCAAAAATTAAAATTTATTTAAGATAGAGGAATAGCTCCATGTGATAAATTATGGTAGAGAGCAAATATTTCAATTCAGGGAACATGGGGTTGACATATTTCAGAGAAAATTCAAACTTGTATTCATTTGGTAGAGGGTAGCAACATAGTGTTTGGTGAGCATATTTGGAGGCCAAACTCAATCCAAGAATTGGTTGGAACTGAGGTTGTCCAATTGGCCTTGCATGATTCAGTTCACAGGTGGATCATATCAAGAATGCTGGTTAATAAAGGCAGGTGAGTATAGGTGAGGGCATCAGCAGCAAGAGCCACTAGAGCAGGTTGGGCGGCAGCAGGTGGACACACAGCAGCTGGGGCGGTAGCAGGTGGTCCTGCAGCAGGTGGTCTGGCCACAGCTGGGGCGGCAGCAGGTGGGCTGGCAGTACACAGACTGGCAGCACTGGGGTCTGAAGCAGCTGGACACACAGCAGCTGGGACGGCAGCAGGTGGTCCTGCAGCAAGTGGTCTGGCAGCAGCTGGGGCTGCAGCAGGTGGGCTGGCAGCACACAGACTGGCAGCACTGCGGTCTGCAGCAGCTGGACACACAGCAGCTGGGGCGGCAGCAGGTGGTCCTGCAGCAGGTGGTCTGGCAGCAGCTGGGACGGCAGCAGTTCTCTAGGCCACAGCCCTGGTCAGAGCACACAGAGCCACAACAGGAGTTGACCATGGTGTCAGAGGGTGGAGGTTCTGGGTGGATTTCCAGGAAGGTGGGTTTGGAAGGTTTGGAAGTTTCCTTGCCCCAGATCCTCTTTTATACCCTGCTAAGGCCTGATGTCATCAGATGCAACACTCTTTCCTTGTTATTATTTGTCCTGATATGTAGGCAATTATCAAATTAGGCAAGTTTGTTGTTCTGGTTAACTTATCCACATAGATGGAAACACTGTCTCCTTTCCCTAATGTGTTAGGACTCCTTAGCTCAGCTCTTCCTGAACCACCTCCTGTGTCTCTCTTACTATAGCTTCCTCCTAGAGCAGCCATGTGACATCTGCCTGTAAGCACATACTATGTGCTTCAGTCTCATTTGCTTAACACATCATGACTACTCTTGGGTGATTACTATTCTTACAGGCCCTTGACTCTTTCTGGTGACTCAGGAGGATAAAGCTGCATTTCAGTCTGATGGCTCCTTCATTATGGGTCAGATGGCCTGTGAAGGTTTCAGTGTGAAACAGATTTCAGTGTGAAACAGATGACCACTGGTGTGAGAACGAGAACACCGTAGGACCTATCGCTTTTTTATCTTCCGCACTCTGAATTGTGACCCATTTTCTAGACCTTCTGATGAGAAATACAGAGCTGTTTTAAGGTGGAAAACTAAGCTGTGAAAGTTTGATGTTTCCTTTTCTACAGAAACAACCCTCCAAAATTCAGATTCAGGGCCTCTTGGGGAATGTTGGCTTCAGAGAACAGCTATACTTAAAGGTCCAAGTCCCTCATTTTTTTGCTCCCTGGGGCAGATTTTCCTTGTGACTTTGCCTTTCTGCCTTCCTAGCTCTAACAGGGCACATGAGCTCATCTCTCCAGGTTCCAAAATTTTCTGGCCAACCCAAATTAGATGACTCAGTATCCTTTGCTTGCTCTAATTCGCTCCCAGCCCTCTTGCTTTCTCTGCTGAATTGCTGGGCCTTGAAGATGTCCTATACTCTGCTGCTTCCTTATAGAAGTTGTTGATCCAATTTCACACTTTACATCTTTGTTTTCAAAAAATAAATCAATAAAGAGAGAAAGAAAGCAGAAAACAGGTATCAAGAACAAAGGATATCAGCCTATATTTTTTCATGTAGGGATGGCTGACTATTGTTTCAAAAATGTGCTATGTTGTCAATTCATTAACTCATCAGTTAATAAATATATATGTATTTCCCCACCCCTGAGGAGTCAAGGAACCCAGGGAAGGGGGTGGAAAAATGTCTGACTTACCATGATAGAAATGTTTTATGAACTGGGCAGCCTCTGCAGATAATCAGGGGAGGAGTTTCAGTGTAAGCTGGTGTTTCTGAGGGAGATCCAAGAACCAGATGGAGGGGATTGGATGAATGAGGGAGATTCCCTTTCTTCTCTCAGGTGCTTATAAGTCTAATAAATCAAATTGTGGTGTTCTTATGATGCTGCTATGTTCCAAGCCAGTTCCTACTCCTGCCCTGGCCCTAATTTCCAGGTGATTCAAGCAGAATGAAAACAACTTGGGCTCCCAAGTGAACCCCTGCTTGGTGCGCTGGCTGGTGTTCTGAGCCTGCACTGTTCTCTGGCTCTGATGTACCCAGACATCATATTTTATTGAGGGATGAAAGTGGGTTCCATGATGCTGTGGAATTAAGACCCTGTGAGCCCCATGGTGGTGTACGAGAACAACTCTAAGATTTCCAGGAGACCTTGTATTCTGGAAAAGAATCGTGCCCTTGAGAAGCCGTGACGATTGGTGCCTGCTGATGATTCAGTAGAGATCACTTTATATTAACTATTTTTCTTCATGATGTGAGTGTGTGTGAGTGTGTGTGTGTGTGTGTGTGTTTTCCTTAAGATAAATTTACATTATATTTAGGAATCTCTCACGATTTCTTCTAGTACTTTAACAATTTCATTTTTTCTACCTCTACTCAGCTATAATTGAAATATAAAATTGTATGTATATAAGGTGTACACCCTGATGCTCTGATATGTATATATTGTGAAATTATTGTCATGATCAAATTAGTTCACCTCCACCACTTCACATAGTTACCATTTTTTGAGTGTGTGTAGTGAGAACATTTTAGATCTAGTCTTTCAGCAAATTTTAAATATACAATACAGTGTAATTAACTACAGTGACCATGCTGTACATTAGATCCTCAGAACCTATTCTTCTTATAAATGAATATTTTCTCCCTTTGACCAACATTTCCTCATTTCCTCCATCCACAACCTTTGACAATCACCATTCTACCCTCTGTTTCTATGAGTTTTTAGATTCCACATGTAAATGAGATTATTTGTCTTTCATTGTCTGACCTACTTCACTTAGCATAATGTCCTCAAAGTCCATCCATGTTGTCCCAAATGACAGGATTTTCTTCATTTCATGGCTAATAACATTTCAGTGTGTGTGTGTGTGTGTGTGTAAAATCCTTGCAATCTTACATTGGTGTTTGTGCCTTTGAGGACACAGTCTCCTCTTCCACACTTTACAAGTTCCCTTCAGCAGGGAAAGACTCTCAGCAGTCAACTCGGCCTGGGATTCTGGACGGGGAAGCTGGTAGCATTTGTGAACAGGCAGGGCTTACTCTTGGGGGTCTCTGGGTGGGTAAAACTCCTGCCCAGGCCCTGAGGTTCAGTGGGGCTGCTGCCTGGGCTTTTGTGCAGCTGTGGCTACTGGCTGGGATCCACGGTTAGGTGTGGCCACTGAACGGTTTCATTTTTATGTTGAATATTTTATCTGGATGAAATTTGTTTTGATTTAACAAATGAAAATCTCTCCTTTTTTTCTTCATTCTGTACATCTTTCATTAATCCCTTTTATTCTTTCTTGCTTTTTTCCCTTTCCTTCGTTTATTCCTGAATTTGGCTACCTGTTTTATAGTATATTTGAAGTAATCCTTTCCATACTGCTTTTAAGACACCAGCTTTAGGATATAATTAATTTGTATAGACTTTTTTTTTTTGAGATGGAGTCTCGCTCTTTCGCCCAGGCCAGAGTGCAGTGGCGCTATCTTGGCTCACTGCAAGCTCTGCCTCCCCAGTTCACGCCATTCTCCTGCCTCAGCCTCCTGAGTAGCTGGGACTACAGGTGCCCGCCACCATGCCTGGCTAATTTTTTGTATTTTTAGTAGAGATAGTGTTTCACCGTGTTAGCCAGGATGGTCTCGATCTCCTGACCTCGTGATCCACCTGCCTCTGCCTCCCAAAATGCTGGGATTACAGGAGTGAGCCATGTATAGACTTTTAAGTCAATTTCTGGGCTCTACTCAATGGCAAACTTCACTGTTTGAAAATCTCTGGGTTAGATATCTCTAACGTGACTTCCAGTTTACAAACCTATACATTTATGACTTTTTTTTGATTCCCTTTTACTTGATGACTCATTGTTATCCTTTATCCCTCCCATCCATGTTCATGCTTATCTTTTAAAATTTGTAATTGTCCTCAGGTTCAGTCATGTAAAATCCCATTTTTAAGAGTATGGATCCTATAAGATATAGTAATTTTCCCTACATGCTCCTCCTAGGAGAGAAGCAATTCAAAATAAAATACCCAGCCACAAATACCCGAAAGACATTTCTGTCTAACCTAAATTATGACTTAAAACAGTGATATAAACTCTTCAAAAATTATTTTTCCCAACAACCATATTACTAGGTTAGTGCTGAATGCACCAAAGTCCTCCAAATATTAGCCATAATTAGATAGGCCACAGGAATAAATACAACCTGCATTTTTATACTTCTGGCAACACATCTTGCCTGTTTTGTGCCTATGTTCATTTCAAAATTTAACTGAGACATAAGCTAATGTTTACCCAGAAAAGTGTATTTAGATTCTCATAAGAATAGAGCGATACCCTTACAAGAAAGAATAAAATATTAGAACTCTTTCATCCAGAAAGAAAATAGAAGGTTGGTTAAGAAACTCTTAAAAGCCTTGGCCGGGCATGGTGGCTCATGCCTGTAATCCCAGCACTTTGGGAGCCCGAGGCAGGTGGATCATGAGGTCAGGAGATCGAGACCATCCTGGCTAACACGGTGAAACCCTGTCTCTACTAAAAATACAAAAATTTAGCCGGGCACGGTGGTGGGTGCCTGTAGTCCCAGCTACTCAGGAGGCTGAGGCAGGAGAATGGCGTGAACCCGGGAGGCAGAGATTTCAGTGAGCCAAGATCGCGCCACTGCACTCCAGCCTGGGCGACACAGTGAGACTCCATCTCAAAAAAAAAAAAAAAAGAATGTGACTTTCTTTATGACACTAATGTTATATTGCTCTACTGATATGATAATGTACTTTAATTTTTGCCATTTTCTTCTTCGTCCTTGTCTAAATTTTGCTTCTAACTAAAGTCCTTAACTCTTGGGCCTATTGATATTATTTGGTTATGGAATGGAAATTATCTCAAAGACATGAGAAACTGTGATAAGTTTGAACTTCCAAAAGGGAAAGTAGTTGCTAAAGAGCAGAGGAAACAACCAGATGGCTGCCTTGGAGCTAGGCTGCCTTGGGTAAAACATTCACTTGTCATGGGGAGATGAGAGGCTGCTGTAAACATGGTGACACACGCTATAAAGACAAAACAGATAACATTTCTTGACAATTTGCTTTGCCTATCCCAGACAAGTGTGGACAGTAATTGGTATTTAGGTATAAATTATACCAATGAAAATGAGAAATCTACCAGTATTTCTCGCTTTACCTTCCTGCTGTCTACCCATCAGCTGAGTGGCACCCCCATCATTTGCAATGACCTTCCACTGCATCTGTGCTTCACCTTGACAGCCTTGGCATTACTGCTTACTGCACTCCTGCCCATATTTTCTGATCCTTCATGATTATTATCATTATTGAAAAGAATATTATTTCCCCATTTTAGAACATCTATAATTTTTTTGGTCCTTTCCTGAGGATAATTTTTATTCTATTAAATCCTGTATTTTGCTCAAGTATATTTTTTTTTCATGTGGAAGTGACATCAGGCAGAATAAGCAAAGCCATGTGGCTACAGGAGACATATGGTTTGCTTGTCTGAATATGACCAAGTTTACCTGAGATACAAGAAAGCTGTAGAGTCTAAGCATATCCCGAGAGTGCATTCTTAGCTCACAGCTTAAAATTACAGCCTGAGTCCTTCTCTTTTACAACTCTATCATTGCCTACCATTCAAACCCTTACCCAACTCCTCCCTGACTCTTCCCCAAAGAGGATATTCCCTTGTCCTTGTGTGGCTCCATCTTTGACTAAGAGCTTTCTCATTTGCCTATGACTTTTAGTATAGTACCATTAACATAGAGGTGATGGGATGAGGCCAGTGAGGTTTAACTTCCACCAAATTTGGTCAACACCAACTGTTTCTTAGCTCATCTCAGTCTTGTCCTCATAAGAATGTAAACATTTTCCTATATTTTCCTCCTCTTCATTTCATGGGTCTGTGACCTGCACATCTTCCCTGTACCAACTTAACTCATTCTATTATTAAATGTGTGTATATGTATATTCCTAATGTCTTACTCTTCCCCAAGACAGAAAGTTCTCCTCTGATCAGTACTACCCAGCACAATCTATCTACTTTGCTCTTTCCTCTTATTTCCAAGATTAGACGGTGAGCTCCTTTTAGGAAGCTCCTGTGCCTCACATATCTTGATGTGATCTCCAGAGCCCAACAGTGCAATGAACATGACAGATGATCAATAATTTCATTGACTGAATAAGAAACTTTTGTTAGTTAAATACAGCGAGTTATCTTATTTTGAAAAATTTATGAAGTCCTTTCTATAATATAAGCATTACATTATATTTACAAAATCAGTTTTCTTTCCTGGTCGTGGTAACCCAAATTTGTCTTTATCTTGAGAGAAGTAATGCTAAAAAATAAACTGACAACTAATTCTCAAAAAAATTGAAAAAAGAGAAAAGAATTACTGATATTAAGATAATATTTATTGAAGAACAGTTAATATGTAATTTTGAAGGTCAAATCAAGCATAACAGTCAGAAACTTAGAGGCTTAGTCTAACTGCATCATGCATCTGAGGTCTGAATGCTGCTGGGAAGAGATCCATGGGAAAAATGAGTGGTATTAAATGTAGATGGATGCCCTTTCACCAGTTACTTAGTGGAATAACAGGATAATAAAGCTGATGGCCATTTAACACATGGACAAGTTGATATAAATGACACTTTCATATCATGGGATGGTGACTGGCTCATGGTTGATAGTCCAATATGAGGTTCAACAAGAGGATCCACAGCAGCTGGGGCGGCAGCAAGTTGCACGGCAGCAGGTGGTCTGACAGCAGAGTGGACGGCAGCAGCTGGACACACCACAGCTGGGGCGGCAGGTGGTCTGACAACAGAGTGGACGGCAGCAGCTGGACATACCACAGCTGGGGTGGCAGGTGGTCTGACAGCAGAGTGGGCGGCAGCAGCTGGACACACCACAGCTGGGGCGGCAGGTGGTCTGACAACAGACTGGGTGGCAGCAGCTGGGGCGACAGCAAGTGGTCTGGCAGCAGGTAGTCTGAGAGCAGGATGGGCGGCAGCAGCTGGATACAACACAGCTGGGGCAGCAACAGGTGGTCTGGCAGCAGCTGGGGCGGCAGCAGGTCTCTTGGCAGAGGCCTTGATCACAGCCCTGGTCAGAGCAGACAGAGCCACAACAAGAGTTAACCATGGTGTCAGAGGGTGGAGGTTCTAGGTAGGTTTCCAAGACAGTGAGTTTTTCGAATGTGGGAATCTCCTTATCCCATGTCCACTTTTATACTCAGCTGAGGAGCTGTTGTCACCACATAAAAGCTATTTCCTTGTTATTGTTTATCTTAATAGATAGGCAATTATCAAGTTAGCTAATTGTGGGAAAATATCTGTATAAAAGGTGGAATGCACTTTTATTCTTTCTCTGTGTTAGAGTTTAGCCAATCCAGTCTTTCCTCCTCCTCTTGTCTTCAGTTAATTTAGTGTGTCATTTAATTTCAAAGACTTGTAATCTTACTCATCCAGTCGATTGTCAGGTGACAGATCACTTGGAACTCAGCATTCTGTGTGTCATCCTGAAAACTGTGTGTCTCACAGCAGTCCTCAAATGGGATGATGTTTCTTGTTTTCTGAAGATTCTTCTGAGAAAAATAAACTGTGAAACAACTAGAAGAAAACAGCAGAAATTGTCTTAAAATATTAGAAGTGGAGTGGATTTTCTAATACAGAAAAACTTAACAACAATGAAGAAAAAGATTGAAAAAAATTTACAACAGAAAAAAACTCAAATGCCTGATTGAAAAACAAGAAGGCTAAAGAGTAAGCTGAAAATAAATAATAATACCTTAACCAATCTACAAATAAATGAGCTAATTTTCTTAATCCATGAATACCTCTTACAACCCAATGAGAAAAACAACAACAACAACAACCAAACAGAAAATTGAGTAAAGGATATTAACAGTGATTTCACTAAAAAAAGAAATTTAAGTGCCTTTTGAGCTTCTGAAAGATGTTTAGTCTCACTCATAATTTAAGGTATTTTAATTGAACAACTTATTCACTCATCAAACCATCTACCGAATACCTACTGTGTGCCAGGTTCTACTGCATGCTCTCGGGATATGGCAGTGAATACTTGCTATTTGTAATGACAAATGTAAAATATTTAAGTTTAAAAACTTTAATAAATTGGTGAAATTATAAAGACATTGACATTTTAATACACAGTTGGCAGGGATCTAAATTGAGGCAACTTCTTTAGATGGTAATTAACAGAATCTGAAATTTAACAGTATCTTAAATTAATTTAGCATATTTTGAAATGTGCGTGTGTTTTGATTGAGCCTTTTCACTTCTAGAAATGTATTCAACAGATGCACCTATACATACCTTCCAAGATGTAAGTTCAAGGGTATTCTTTGCAACATTGTTTGCAAGAATAAAGCCTGATTTTAAATTCTATTGTGTTTACGGAGGGGAAAGCCCTTGATGTAGGCAACACACACTAGTGCTCAGAGGCAGTGAAGCATCACTTTCTTTTTATCACCAAAGAAACCTCTTTGACCTATTCTTGCAATTTTTCTATAAGTGCAAGACGACATTAATTTTTAAAAAAAGAAATTAAGAATGTTATCTCTTTAGGCCATCCCTATCCCATGCAGACACCTACTTTCTATTTAGACTGAGTTATTCAGGAAGGAGGGAAGAGGGGATGGAAGGAAGGATACAAGAACATATTTAGAATATATTTTTATGGACATATTTTATGACTATTTGGGGTATATATAAAAATTATGAAAATTCAGTTCGTTAGGCATAAAATGGCATAAAAATATCCATTGTGTCTAAGTTGATAATGATTTTACTCAAATTCTCCATATCTTTGTTTACTTTTCTTCTTCAAATGACCGTTTTTGAAATAGTATGTTTAAAGCCTCTGCTATGATTGCAGTTTTATCACCTTCCTGTCTATTTATAACAGGTTTTTTTCTTTGCACTTAGTTTGAATGTAGCCCAACTTCTTATGACAACAAGAATATTAATATTTTTGCAGACATAATTAATGTATCATAAGGAAGTCACTATCAAGGTCAAAGCAAGTGCAGGTATCATAGGCTTGGGATTCTGGTCTAACTGAGCCACAGTTCTATGGTCACTTGTTTGTTTAGAAATAGCCCTCTCTGTCTGAAGGCAGGGGAGACAGCTTAGAGATAACCCTTCTCCTTAAAACAAGTATGTTTTCAACATGGTAGTTGACTCAGGCTGGTGGTCAGGAATGAAATTCAACAACAGGATCCACAGATTGGTGGTCTGGCAGCAGACTGGATGGTAGCAACTGAACTCACAGAAGCTGCGGCAGCAGCAAGCGGTCTTGCAGCAGGTGGTCTGGCAGCAGCTGGGATGGCAGCAGATCTCTTGGCAGAGGTCTTAACCACACCTCTGGTGACAGCAGAAGGAGCTGCAGCAGGAGCTGACCATGGTGTCAGAAGGTGGAGGTTCTGGGTGTGGGTTTTCAGTGGCATAAGGTACTAGAGTTCATAAGCCTTCTTCCTTCCAAGTTTCCTTCTCTACCCTGCTGAGGACTTGCCATCACCATGACCTGGGTTATTTCCTTGCTATTGTTTATCTTACCTGAAGAGAAATGATCAGATATTCTGATTGAAGCATGACATTGTAGCAGTTAGCCTTGGTTTTTAAAATGGATGCTAAGGTAATTTCCATTTAATCAGTTATTTATCCCTAAAAGCACCATTTTTCTTCCTTTTTTGTTTTAGCATCATCTCATCCATTCCTTCATATACTTTTCAGAGTGTGTCATTTGATATTCTGAGCACAGGACGAGTCATTCTTTTGTTCCAACCATTTAATTTACTGTTCCTGAATGAGCTGCATAGCCACAGTCCCTTCAATTTGAACAGTATTTAAAATAGATGTAAACATGGATATGTTAATACCCAAAAAATAAGACCCCAGTACATTATAGCAAATAGCTGCTAATGAAATCAGCATAGCACACTTATAAATTATGAAGTAGCTAAAAAACATCTAAGGCACGTGGCTTCAAATTTAACTTGTTCAGAATAGAATTGCTCATTCTGTTTCTTTTCCGAACCAATGCCCTAATTAATTCCCCAGTCCTATTACAAATGGTTGTTAGTCCAAATTTTCAAGCTAGGGCTGGGCGCAGTGGCTCACGCCTGTAATCCCAACACTTTGGGTGGCCAAGGTGGGTGAATCACCTGAGGTCGGGAGTTCAAGACCAGCCTGGTCAACGTGGTGAAAGTCCATCTCTACTAAAAATACAAAAAATTAGCCGGGAGTGGTGGCACGTGCCTGTAGTCCCAGCTACTCAGGAGGCTGAGGCAGGAGGATCATTTGAACCCATGAAGCGGGGGTTGCATTGAGCCAAGATCACGCCCCTGCACTCCAGCCTGGGCAACAGAGTAAGACTCTATCTCCAAAAAAAAAAAATCAAGCTAGTAAATGTAAAGTTCTTCATTCAATAATCATGTTTTGGTTCCCGCTATGTGCCAAACCCATTCTCAGGGTGGAGACACAAGTGAAGAATACTCCACCCCATCCTCTCCTTCACTATAACTTCATTCTGACTAAATGAACTGCACCAGATCATTTTATGGGATGAACTGGCAATGCCATTACCCATATGCTGGACCAGCAAACAGAGGCTGTGTCCACCTTCACAGCTAAGGTCAGGATGCCTCAGCAGCAGAGATGGCAGAAATTTTTAGCCACAGTTTAAGTCAGAGCAAGTCAAGCTGTATCAAAAGACCATTTTGTTGCCAGTGAAAATAAGAAACTCTTTATTTGAATAGATTAGCCAGATATGGAAATTGCTAAGCATCCAAAATATTATGCAACTTATTCTGTGTTTTCCCCATTAATACACATGATGGAGTCATTCTCGTCCCGTTTGTTCCTTCATTTAAAACACACGGCCGGGCGCGGTGGCTCACGCCTGTAATCCCAGCACTTTGGGAGGCCGAGACGGGCGGATCACGAGGTCAGGAGATCGAGACCATCCTGGCTAACACGGTGAAACCCCGTCTCTACTAAAAATACAAAAATTAGCCGGGCATGGTGGCGCGCGCCTGTAGTCCCAGCTACACGGGAGGCTGAGGCAGGAGAATGGCGTGAACCCGGGAGGCGGAGCTTGCAGTGAGTCGAGATCGCGCCACTGCACTCCAGCCTGGGCGACAGAGCGAAACTCCGTCTCAAAAAAAAAAAAAAAAACACACACAACGGTGTTTGTATTTTCAAACTGCAATTCAAAGCAAAATATTTTAGTTGTCTGACTAACTGCTTTTAAACTTTTCTTTGCACCACTAAGCGTAAACATCATGTACCCAGGGATGTTTGTACTTAGGGCCATCAACAGATGTGGAGCTCAGCATGGAAAAGATTACGACAATTACAATTGAGCCCAGTCCCCTGTTTCAGGAATTGAGATACCCAAGTGGAGTTGCTATTACTATTAGAATTACTGTCATTGAATCTGTGTTTGTGTGACACAGATGAAAAGTTTGATAAAAAATACATTTTAACGGAAAATATTTTAAAATATGGTTTACATTTGTCACCTTGAGTTAATCACCATGTTCTAGTGCTGGAGGGGAAAATGTAGGTGGTGACAATAGTTCTGGCCTCTTCAAGTTAGTTTCAGTTGTCAGGGGATCAGTCAATGTACTCTGTCTTAAAGAATGATAATTCAGGCGAGGCACAGTGGCTCATGCCCGTAATCCCATCACTCTGGGAGGCTGAGGTAGGAGGATCGCTTAAGTCCAGAAGTTCAAGGCCACAATGAGCTATGATCGCGCCACTGCACACTAGCCTGAGTGACAGGTGAAACCTTGTCTCTAAGATAATAATAGCAGTAAAATAATAAATAAAAATATATACTTTATAGTTAAATGATGCTATTGATGTTGATCACCTCTCTCACTTCTGGATATAAGTTTTTATGGGTTATCTATTGTTAAGTAGAACAATCATTTATTTTCAGAAGATTCATAACACTTAAGGAACACTTCGTCCCTGGGCAATTCCCTATAGGTTATGAAAAATAATGTCATAAATAATAACCAGGAAAATTCTGCTCATTGGTTCCAGATTTGGGAACCAGTGTATAAAAGGTCCAGATACTAGAAGGGGGTCATCAGATTCTTGGAAACTCACCTCTGAACAGGAGCCCACCCTTCACCCCTGACACCATGACCCACTGCTGTTCCCCTTGCTGTCAGCCTACATGCTGCAGGACCACCTGCTGCAGGACAACCTGCTGGAAGCCCACCACTGTGACCACCTGCAGCAGCACACCCTGTTGCCAGCCCTCCTGCTGTGTGCCCAGCTGCTGCCAGCCTTGCTGCCACCCAACTTGCTGTCAAAACACCTGCTGCAGGACCACCTGCTGCCAGCCCACTTGTGTGGCCAGCTGCTGCCAGCCTTCCTGCTGCAGCACACCCTGCTGCCAGCCCACCTGCTGTGGGTCCAGCTGCTGTGGCCAAACCAGCTGTGGGTCCAGCTGCTGTCAGCCTATTTGTGGGTCCAGTTGCTGTCAGCCTTGCTGTCACCCGACTTGCTATCAAACTATCTGCTTCAGGACCACCTGCTGCCAGCCTACCTGCTGCCAGCCCACCTGCTGCAGGAACACCTCTTGCCAGCCCACCTGCTGTGGGTCCAGCTGCTGCCAGCCTTGCTGCCACCCAACATGCTGTCAAACCATTTGTAGATCCACCTGCTGCCAACCATCCTGTGTGACCAGATGCTGCAGCACACCCTGTTGCCAGCCAACCTGTGGTGGGTCCAGCTGCTGTAGCCAAACCTGCAATGAGTCCAGCTATTGTCTGCCTTGCTGCCGTCCCACCTGCTGCCAGACCACCTGCTACAGGACCACCTGTTGCCGCCCCAGCTGTTGCTGCAGTCCTTGCTGTGTCTCCAGCTGCTGCCAGCCTTCCTGCTGCTAATCCACTTGCTGCAGACCCACCACCCACCAGAGACATATTTCCTGAAACATTTTGTCAAAGTTCCTATTCCACCAAGAAACATTCGCTAAGCTTTTCTGAGAAACAACATTCTGACACTGAACTTTGTGATCATCTTCTTCCTACCATGCTTGGGATTCTGCTGAAGGTTTGCAGTCTACCTCACTTTCATTCTTCTTCATTCCCTCTGTGTTAATGTACCAGATGGTGGTCAGTCAACTCCACCTAATTGACATGGATACATGGACTCAGCCACAGAAAGTGGTCATCAGCTTTTGCCCCTATGGAACTTAAAAAAAAATTCTTAAGACTGCATATCTAACTCTCTATAATGATCAATACTGATCATCTTTTTAGATATATACATTTTATTTAGTAGCCTCTGCCAGATTACTAAACTCTTTCATGATCACTTTTAATTGTCTCCCTACCTGGTCTTTCCTAATAAAATTTATATTATCCTGCATCCTATGGTATGATTTTTGTTCCATTTGTTTGTTTGTTTGCAGCAGTTGCTTTGTGAAGCCTTACTTTTGAGTTGTGGTTTATATTTATTATCTTGTTCAAGTCTCACAATGACCTACAAGTTGGACAGAGCAAACATTTTAGTGATGAGAAAATGATTTGCCATACAACTAGCAATTGACAAGGGAAGGTTCAATGACCAGGTACTTTGAATCCAGGTTAAGGACACTTTTTTAAAAACATTTTTCTCCGGGTAGATGCAACAGTGGTGATTGAGTGCAGGGAAGATGTACATTTTAAGTCACATCTCAAGCAAACACTTTTCTATCTACAAAGCACTTCCCAAATACTCTCCCCACCTCTATGACCACTAGAGACCATCTTTAAGAGTTCTAGGAATGCTTTTACACTCTTGGTGGGAGTGTGAATTAGTTCAACCATTGTGGACAACAGTGTGGCTATTCCTCAAGGATCTAGAACCAGAAATGCCATTTGACCAAGCAATCCCATTACTGGGTATATACCCAAAGGATTATAAATCATTCTACTATAAAGACACCTGCACATGTATGTTTATTGCAGCATTATTTACAATAGCAAAGACTTGGAACCAACCTAAATGTCTGTCAGTGATAGACTGGATAAAGAAAATGTGTCACATATACACCATGGAATACTATGCAGCCATAAAAAGATTGAGATTATGTCCTTTGCAGAGACATGGATGAAGCTGGAAGCCATCATTTCAGCAAACTAACATAGAAACAGAAAAACAAAACACTGCATGTTCTCGCTTATAAGTGGGAGTTGAACTGTGAGAATACATGGACACAGGAAGGGGACCATCACACACCAGGGCCTGTCGGGGGATGGGGGGCAAGGGGAGGGAGAGCATTGAGACAAATACCTAATGCATGCGGGGCTTAAAACCTAGATGACAGGTTGTTAGGTGCAGCAAACCACCATGGTACATGTATACCTATGTAACAAACCTGCACATTCTGCACGTGTAACCCAGAACTTAGAGTAAAATAAAAAATAAAAATAAATAAAACTTTTTAAAAAGTGTTCTAGTCCATGAAAAGAGCTTTGTGTCTCTGGATTCTGATCCACCACTGAAGAATCTGTCACCAACAACTAGTGTGACATGGGTTTTCCCGGCCCTACTCTCACCACGAAGAACCTCCTCTTTGCTGTCATGATTAAGCATCTGGGTATCATTTCATTTATTTTAACAGGAATTAGGATTAAGAATCACTTTTGCAAAGCGCACAAGATTGGACCATGCTTCCTGGGTTCCCAAATTTTGAGGCAATTTTGTTTCCTAACATGAACTTTGTTAAGGGAAGATAAATTTGTACAGAATCCTAAGAATTAAGGTAACCATGCAATGGACTTATGCCCTTTGATCTAATCATAATCTCTGGGCCATAAAAGAAAACAAAATAACTCCCTGTGTTTTATGAGATAAAGAAGATAAAGTCAATTATGCTAAAGGAAGTCAAAATCAGAATTTTCAGAAAAAAAGGGAGAAATGTTAGAAACATGAAAATGGGAACAAATGATGCACTATTTAAAGCCAAGATGGGCATTAAGTTGGTTCCTAAATGGAGGAAACTGGATCTTCTGATGAGAAACTGAATAAGGAAAGGAATAGCCAGAGGACGCAGCAGTACGAAGGCTAATTCAGCTTTGGGAGGACACTAAGAGGTTTTGACTGTGGCCACCTTCTTTTTAATTATTATTATTATTTTTTAATTTTAATTTATATATTTTTATATTTTTTTATTATACTGTAAGTTCTAGGGTACATGTGCACATCGTGCAGGTTTGTTACATATGTATACATGTGCCATGTTGGTTTGCTGCACCGATTAACTCATCATTTACATTAGGTATATCTCCTAATGCTATCTCTACCCGCTCCCCCCACCCCACAACTGTGGCCACCTTCTTAAGAGACCTGAAGGTGCTTTGGGTGAGCGAACTACTAGATGTGACAGAGACATGTCATCTTCCTAGGGGATGTATCTGGAATTCTCTGCCGGGTTATTAACTTTCCAACAGGGGGAATGAATGGGTAATTTGCTGACATTTACTGAGAGCCTGCTATACACTAGGTATTGAGGTAGTTGCTCCATGCGCCCTCTGTCTCATTCCCAGGCAATCCCAAAGGTAAGTATTAGTGGCCCCATGTTCAAGCTGAGGAAGTCAGTGTTGAAGAAGTTAAAGCAACTCATATGTGTTGCATAAATGATACAACATTTTTCTGCTTTCCAAAACAAAGCTGTTTGGGGGAAGTACTGGTGAAATGAGAGATATAGATCAATGGAAAATATTGAGAGACAAGAAAGAGATTCACATATATATTATCAATTGATTTTTTGACAAGATGCCAAGTGGATATACAGATAATCTGTGGTCTTTTGAATAAACAGTGCTGGAACAATTAAACATCCATGAGCAAAAAGAAAAAAAAATAGAACTTTGATTTATACATTACATATATACAAAAATAAGCTCAAAATGGATCACAGGCCAAAGTGTAAAACCTAAAACTACAAAACTTTTAGAAGGAAACATAGAAAAAAGTTTTAGGACTGTAGATTAGGTGAAGATTTCTTAGATGAATACATAACTCCCTCAAAAAGTGGGCAAAGGATATGAACAGACACTTCTCAAAAAAAGACATTTATGCAGCCAATAAACATATGAAAAACAGCTCAACATCACTGATCATTAGATAATGCAAATCAAAACCACAATGAGATACCATCTCATGTCACTCTGAATGGCGATCATTAGAAAGTTAAGAAACAATAGATGCTGGTGAGGTATGGAGAAATGGGAACGCTATTACACTGTTGGTGGGAATGTAAAATAGTTCAACCATTATGGAAGGCAGTGTGGCGATTCCTCAAGGATCTAGAACCAGAAATACCATTTCACTCGGCAATCCCATTTCTGGGTATATACCCAAAGGAATATAAATCATTCTGCTATAAAGACACATGCACACGTATGTTTATTGCAACACTATTTACAATAGTGAAGACTTGGAACAAACCCAAATGCTCATCAATGATAGACTGGGTAAAGAAAATGTGGCACATATACACCATGGAATACTATGCAGCCATAAAAAAGATTGAGATCATGTCATTTGCAGGGACATGGATGAAGCTGGAAGCCATCATCCTCAGCAAATTGGCACAGGAACAGAAAACCAAACACCACATGTTCTCACTCATAAGTGGGAGTTGAACAATGAGAACACATGGACACAGGGAGGGGAACAACATACACCAGAGCCTGTCTAGGGTGGAGGGCAAGAAGAGGGAGAGTATTAGGACAAATAGCTAATGCATGCCAGGCTTAAAACCTAGATTACGGGTTGATAGGTGCAGCAAACCACCATGACACATGTATACCTATGTAATAAACCTGCATGTTCTGCACATGTATCCCAGAAATTAAAGTACAATTTTAAAAAAAGTAAACTGATATCCAAAACACATTGCATCATATCATGGCTATGTAGATTTTTGCCCAAAAACTTTCAGTTAAAAGTTAAAATGAAAAAAATAAAGTTGAGATGAAATGGGGAAAAAAATAGAATAGGTAAGATTGTGAATATCCAGCAAAAGTTCTGTGAACTCAATTCTAACAAAGCAGAAGTTGTGGTTAATAAGGTCAGTGATGGTCTTCACAATAGCAAAGACATGGAATCAACCTAAATGCTTATCAATGGTAGACTAGATAAAGAAAATGTGGTATATGTATGCCATGGAATACTACACAGGCATAAAAAAAGAATGAGATCATGCCCTTTGCAGCAACATAGATGGAGCTGGAGGCCATTATCCTAAGCAAACTAACACCGGAACAGAAAATTAAATACTGCTTATTATCTCCACTTATAAGTAGGAGCTAAAAATTGAGTAAATATGGACACAAAGATAGGGACAACAGAGATACCTGTGTCTACTTAAGGGTGGAGGGTGGGAGGGGGGTGAGGATTGAAAAACTGCCTGTCAGGTACTATGCTGATTACCTGGGTGACAAAATAATCTGTACACCAAACCCTGCAACATGCAGTTTACCTATATAACAAACCTGCAGCCGGGCGTGGTGGCTCACGCCTGTAATCCCAAAACTTTGGGAGGCCGAGGTGAGTGGATCACCTGAGGTCAGGAGTTCGAGACCAGCCTGACCAACATAGAGAAAGCCTGTCTCTACTGAAAATACAAAATTAGCCGGGTGTGGTGGCGCATGCCTGTAATCCCAGCTGCTTGGGAGGCTGAGGCAGGAGAATGGCTTGAACCCAGGAGGCGGAGGTTGCAGTGAGCTGAGATCGCACCATTGTGCTCCAGCCTGGGCAACAAGATCTAAACTCCATCTGAAAAAAAAAAAAAGTCCTGCACATGTACCCTTGAACTTAAAATAAAAGTGAAAAAAAATAAAGAAATAAAGTCAGTGATGAAGACCTTGGGAAACAGTGAGCATCTTAAAGTCTGCAAAGGCTGGGGAGAAGAAATACGCCTGGTAAGAATGTCATCTGTTCAGTAAGAAGGCAGATGCCAGAGCTTAGAAGAAATTTAAGGTGATTTTTTTGGGACGAAGCACTGGGAGAAAAGATGGCTAGTAAGAGTAGGAACCTCACAGGAATTCCTTTCGGTTCATTCCATTTGCAAATGATCCCAATGAGGAAAAATTGCCAGAGGCCTAGAGTGGAAGGAGCTAATGCAAAAATTATTCTGGCAATGTGAATTCTAAACACTATTGGGATGCAAGCGTTGGCTGGACAATCATTAGAACATTGTGCCAAGGATTCGCAGTGTCTGGTAATTGGTTATTATTATTGGACTTCAGAGGTCACTTCAGTTCTTGAGATACTTCAAAAGTTCCCAAATGTTTTTGTTGGATTCAAAATTGACCATTCGCTGATTTTTGAAGTCCATAAGCAACAAAATATGTAAAATATGTAAAATTTAAAAAGAAACACAAAGTGCCATACATACTTATTAGGCATCCTTTGGAGGAAACAGGAAGGCTGTCTTCCAGGGTAGTAAATACTACCTTGAAAAACGTACCAGTATCTGGCCTTCAGCCTTGCACACTCCAGAAACTGAAATTATTTACATTCTAAGAGTGAAACCACCTCTGGGAGCAGGCTCACTTTCACCAAGCCCATAACATTAGTACCAGTTGAAGAATCTACATGAGAAATAACTTAAAGAGAAGATGACATTTTCATGGGTCTTTTTGACCAGGATATTTTCTTCCTATAGATATACCTGCATGAAAAGTGAAATTATAACCAAAGGTTATTTTCTTTTTTATAATTAAACTTTTTGAGATAATTGTAGATTCACATGCAGTTGCAAGAAATAATACAAAGAAACCTCTGTACTCTTTACCAAGTTTCCCCCCAATGATAACTTCTTGCAAAACTACAGTACGGTATCACAAGTCCAATGGTGACATTGATACCTTCAAGACACAGAGTAGCTCCATCAGCACAAGGATCCCTTGTATTGCCCTAAAAGCTTATTTTCTCAGCAAATATTTAGAACATTCTAATATTCTAGAAGTTCTAATAATACGGAATGGCATCTAATGCATTTGTTCTAAAACAGATTTTGCCAGGCACTCTGGAAAATTCAAGTGCCTTGGGTGGCTCTCCCTCCCCCATGCAATGTGTCGTAACCAGCACTTCTGAATTTGTCTCAGACTCTCTCTTTTCTCTAAGCTGCCATGGCTCACCAAACCTCCACCCCCATTTATAAGTCCCAGGTTCTTTTTAAAACCATCTTCAATCAACTTACAGTAATTTCTGCAGGTCTTGAAGCAGCCCCTCCCATGTTCCCCAACTTCTGATACAACCTCATTTATGCCTTTGCCTCATAAAGACCTACAAAACATTTTTAATTTTGTTTACTTTTGCCATCATATTTATGGATCATTTATGAAGTTTCAGGCCATAGCATACAAATTATATTTTAGGCAACTCCGGATTTTGTCCACTTTCTCTTTCTTCCAAATAAAAATATAAGCTGCAGCCATGCAGGTCTGTCTTCAGAAACTGGCATGGGCTCTTTGTTATCATTAGACAGTAACATGACATCATACACCTGTTTGTGTGATTCCCCCATCACACTCCTTCCCCTGGGATCCCTCAGTGAGTTCTGATGGTTTATGCACATCCTACTGCAATTTTTCCTATGACTGCCATTAAACATAAAAGACAATTCCACACTTCAGTCCTCTATTAAAATATAATATTATTATGGACAAGACCAAGTAATGCTTTCACGAAATGGTTTTTCATTTTCTTTAGCTCTGTCCAGTGTACAATGTATGTAACAAAACTTCCCTATTTTTCCACTGGAGAACCTCCATTCAGAATTCCCCCTAGATGGCAGATGTTGGCATGATTTTACTCCAGTATGTGTTTTAAAAAGAAAAGGAATGACACTCCCTAATTCCAATCCCAGCTATAACATTGATAGTTTAAGAAGTGTGAGAGAGCCCCCAGAACTGCCAATATTGGAAGTCCTATCAACATCAGATTGACTCACTGGAGAATTGTGAGGTTTGTTATGTTCAGAGTTTGCTCATGTGTAAAATGTGGAAAAATGGAAAAAGAATCAGAGGAACATGTATAATGATTCCCACTGAGGTTAACAAGTGTAGATTTGTTTCTAAGATATTAAGAACTTCATGAAATTATAGAAATTTTGAAGACTGATAATACTGATATTATATGAAATTATAGAAATTTTGAAGACTGATAACACTGTATTATGTAAGTTGTTCTGAGAGATTCCCACGGTATTTGTATGATGTTTCAATACCTTCTTTCAGCTTAGATAAGAATATTGGAATCTTCTGAAAATCGATATCAGAATCTACCCAACCTAAAAGCTTTCTACTGTACCTGTCTAATTAATATAAAAGCTTGAGAGTACTTGATATAAGTATAAATAAATGATATAAAGGCTTGAGAGGATGTTGATAGAACTTCTAGGGATTGGATTTAGGGAGTGTCCTTCCTTTTCTTTTTAAAACACATACTGGAGTAAAATCATGCCAACATCTGAAGTCCCCTCAGAATGGAGTACAGATATTATGAATCCAGATTCACCAAGAAGTTAGTTTTTTTTTTTTTAATTTAAAAAGCTGCTCATGCTGGGAATGTAAACTGGTACAACCACTGTGGAAAATAGTGTGGAGATTCCTTAAAGAACTAAAAGTAGAACTACCATTTGATCCAGCAATCCCAAAACTGGATATCTACCCAGAGGAAAAGAAGTCATTATACGAAAAAGATACTTGCACGTGCATGTTTATAACAGCACAATTTGCAATTGCAAAAAATATGAAACCAGCCCAAATGCCCATCAATCAATGAGTGGAAAAAGAAATGGTTGTATATATGATGGAATACTACTCAGCCATAGAAAGGAATGAATTAATGACACAGCAATCTGGATGGAATTGGAGACTATTATTCTAAGAGAAGTAATTCAGGAATGGAAAACCGAACCTGAAATCTTGTAAGTGGGAGCTAGCTATGAGGATGCAAAGGCATAAGAATGATACAATGGACTTTGGGGACTCAGGGGAAAAGATGGAAGGGGTGATGGATAAAAGACTACAAATTGGGTTCAGCATACACTACTCGGGTGATGGGTGCACCAGAATCTCACAAATCACCACTAAAGAACATACTCATGTAACCAAATACCACCTGTTCCCCAAAAACTTATGGAAGTAAATTTTTTTTTAAAAAAAAAGCTGCTCAGCTCTGTCTGATGCATGATCTCGTGGTAACAGTGGAAGTGGTCAGATGTTTGTCCGATCTCCAAAACCCATGTTCTTCTACCTTTTAAAGATAAAATGCTTCTTAAAACTGTTTCATCGGGGCATGGTGGCTCACGCCTGTAATCCCAGCACTTTGGGAGGCTGAGGCAGGTGGACTGCCTGAGGTCAGGAGTTCGAGACCAGCCTGGCCAACATGATGAAATCCCATCTCTACTAAAAATAGAAAAAAATTAGCTGCGCGTAGTGGCGTGTGCCTGTAATCCCAACTACCTGGGAGGCTGAGACATGGGAATTCCTTGAACCAGGAAGATGGAGGTTGTAGTGAGCTGAGATCGCACCACTGCACTCCAGCCTGGGCAACAGTGAGACTCCGTCAAAAAAAAAAAAAAAACACCACTAACACACACACAAAAACCTGTTTCTTCCTTTGTTAAATTAAATTTCTAATTAAAATTTTTATTTTTAAAGAATAGAGATTGGCATGCCATTGTAAGATGTGATACAAGAGATCCATGTACTCTTTGCCCAGTTTCCCCAAAAAATAACATCCTCCAAAACTATAGAAAAACATCACCAACAGCATATGATATTGATATTGACATAGCCAATGTACAACACATTTCTGTCACTGCAATGATCTCTTTTGATTGTTCTTTTATAGCCACTCTCACCTGCCTCCCACACCCACTCCTTTCTTTATACCTGGCAACCACCAATCTGTTCTTCATTTGTATAATTCTGTCATTTCAAGGATGTTGTATAAAAAGAATCATACAGTGCTTAACATTTTGAGACTGGTTTTTTCAACACAGCATAATTCCGTGAAAATTTAAACAGATTGTTGAACAGTTTTTCCTTTTTGTCACTAAGAATTACCCTCTGGTATGTATGTACCACAGTTTGTTTGATCATGTGTTGAAGGACATCTGGGTCGCTTCCAGTTCAAAGCAGCCATAAACATTCATGTACAAACATTTGTGTGAACAAGTACAATTACTGAGTTGTATGGTAGTTACATGTTTAATTTTTTTTTTTTTTTTTTTTTTTTACAGAGTCTTGCTCTGTCACCGAGGCTGGAGTGCAGTGGCACTGTCTCGGCTCACTGCAACCTCCGCCTCCTGGGTTCTAACGATTCTCCTGCCTCAGCCTCCCGAGTTGCTGGGATTACAGACATGCGCCACCACGCCCGCTAACTTTTTGTATTTTTAGTAGAGACAGGGATTTACCATGTTGGCCAAGCTGGTCTCAAACTCCTGACCTCAGGCAATCCATCCGCCTCAGCCTCCCAAAGTGCTGGGATTACAGGCATGAGCCACTGTGCCCGGCCAGCATGTTTAATTTTTAAGCAACAGCATCAACTGTTTGCAGAGTGTCTGTACCATTTTACATGTATGACTGATTCTGTTTCTTTGAACACTCACCAGCATTTATTTTAGCCATTTTGATAGGTGTGCTAACTTTTCGTGGTTTTAGTTTGCATTTCCCTAATGGCTAATGATGTTGAACATCTTTTCACATGCTTATTTGTCATCTGTATATCTTTTTCCATGAAATATTTCTTCATGTCTTTTGCCCATGCTGTACTTTTAGTGTTTGCTTTCTAATTGTTCAGTTTTTAAAGTTCTTTATACATTCTAGGTACTACTCCTTTGTCAAATATGTGATTTGCAAATATATATCATGTATAGTTCACAGCTTGTCTTTTTCTCCTCTGTTCTTTTGCAGAACATAATTTTTTTAATCAATTTATTAATTTCTCTTTAATGGATCATGTTTTTGGTGCTACCTAAGAACTCTTTGGTCTTACATGCTAAAGATTTTCTTCCATTTTTTTCTAAAAGTTTTATAGTTTTATATTTTATATTTAAGTTTGTAATTTATTTTTTTGATTCTTTTTTGTTTGTTTTGTTTTGTTTTCTTTCTTTTTTTTATTATACTTTAAGTTTTAGGGTACATGTGCACATTGTGCAGGTTAGTTACATATCTATACATGTGCCATGCTGGTGCACTGCACCCACTAACTCGTCATCTAGCATTAGGTATATCTCCTAATGCTATCCCTCCCCACTCCCCCGACCCCACCACAGTCCCCAGAGTGTGATATTCCCCTTCCTGTGTCCATGTGATCTCATTGTTCAATTCCCACCTATGAGTGAGAACATGCGGTGTTTGGTTTTTTGTTCTTGCAATAGTTTACCGAGAATGATGATTTCCAATTTCATCCATGTCCCTACAAAGGACATGAATTCATCATTTTTTATGGCTGCATAGTATTCCATGGTGTATATGTGCCACATTTTCTTAATCCAGTCTATCGTTGATGGACATTTGGGTTGGTTCCAAGTCTTTGCTATTGTGAATAATGCCGCAATAAACATACGTGTGCATGTGTCTTTATAGCAGTATGATTTATAGTCCTTTGGGTATATACCCAGTAATGGGATGGCTGGGTCAAATGGTATTTCTAGTTCTAGATCCCTGAGGAATCGCCACACTGACTTCCACAATGGTTGAACTAGTTTACAGTCCCACCAACAGTGTAAAAGTGTTCCTATTTCTCCACATCCTCTCCAGTACCTGTTGTTTCCTGACTTTTTAATGATTGCCATTCTAACTGGTGTGAGATGGTATCTCATTGTGGTTTTGATTTGCATTTCTCTGATGGCCAGTGATGATGAGCATTTTTTCATGTGTCTTTTGGCTGCATACATGTCTTCTTTTGAGAAGTGTCTGTTCATGTCCTTCGCCCACTTTTTGATGGGGTTGTTTGTTTTTTTCTTGTAAATTTGTTTGAGTTCATTGTAGATTCTGGATATTAGCCCTTTGTCAGATGAGTAGGTTGCGAAAATTTTCTCCCATTTTGTAGGTTGCCTGTTCACTCTGATGGTAGTTTCTTTTGCTGTGCAGAAGCTCTTTAGTTTAATTAGATCCCATTTGTCAATTTTGGCTTTTGTTGCCATTGCTTTTGGTGTTTTGGACATGAAGCCCTTGCCCATGACTATGTCCTGAATGGTGATGCCTAGGTTTTCTTCTAGGGTTTTTAGGTTTTAGGTCTAACGTTTAAGTCTTTAATCCATCTTGAATTGATTTTTGTATAAGGTGTAAGGAAGGGATCCAGTTTCAGCTTTCTACATATGGCTAGCCAGTTTTCCCAGCACCATTTATTAAATAGGGAATCCTTCCCCCATTGCTTGTTTTTCTCAGGTTTGTCAAAGATCAGATAGTTGTAGATATGCGGCGTTATTTCTGAGGGCTCTGTTCTGTTCCATTGATCTATATCTCTGTTTTGGTACCAGTACCATGCTGTTTTGGTTACTGTAGACTTGTAGTATAGTTTGAAGTCAGGTAGTGTGATGCCTCCAGCTTTGTTCTTTTGGCTTAGGATTGCCTTGGCAATGCGGGCTCTTTTTTGGTTCCATATGAACTTTAAAGTAGTTTTTTCCAATTCTGTGAAGAAAGTCATTGGTAGCTTGATGGGGATGGCATTGAATCTGTAAACTACCTTGGGCAGTATGGCCATTTTCACGATATTGATTCTTCCTACCCATGAGCATGGAATATTCTTCCATTTGTTTGTATCCTCTTTTATTTCCTTGAGCAGTGGTTTGTAGTTCTCCTTGAAGAGGTCCTTCACATCCCTTGTAAGTTGGATTCCTAGGTATTTTATTCTCTTTGAAGCAATTGTGAATGGGAGTTCACTCATGATTTGGCTCTCTGTTTGTCTGTTATTGGTGTATAAGAATACACCAATTGTGATTTTTGTACATTGATTTTTTATCCTGAGACTTTGCTGAAGTTGCTTATCAGCTTAAGGAGATTTTGGGCTGAGACAATGGGGTTTTCTAGATGTACAATCATGTCGTCTGCAAAGAGGGACAATTTGACTTCCTCTTTTCCTAATTGAATACCCTTTCTTTCCTTCTCCTGCCTAATTGCCCTGGCCAGAACTTCCAACACTATGTTGAATAGGAGTGGTGAGAGAGGGCATCCCTGTCTTGTGCCAGTTTTCAAAGGGAATACTTCCAGTTTTTGCCCATTCAGTATGATATTGGCTGTGGGTTTATCATAGATAGCTCTTATTATTTTGAAATACGGCCTATCAATACCTAATTTATTGAGAGTTTTTAGCATGAAGGGTTGTTGAATTTTGTCAAAGGCTTTTTCTGCATCTATTGAGATAATCATGTGGTTTTTGTCTTTGGCTCTGTTTATATGCTGGATTACATTTATTGATTTGTGTATATTGAACCAGCCTTGCATCCCAGGGATGAAGCCCACTTGATCATGGTGGATAAGCTTTTTGATGTGCTGCTGGATTCGTTTTGCCAGTATTTTATTGAGGATTTTTGCATCAATGTTCATCAAGGATATTGGTCTAAAATTCTCTTTTTTGGTTGTGTCTCTGCCTGGCTTTGGTATCAGAATGATGCTGGCCTCATAAAATGAGTTAGCGAGGATTCCCTCTTTTTCTATTGATTGGAATAGTTTCAGAAGGAATGGTACCAGTTCCTCCTTGTACCTCTGATAGAATTCGGCTGTGAATCCATCTGGTCCTGGACTCTTTTTGGTTGGTAAACTATTGATTATTGCCACAATTTCAGCTCCTGTTATTGGTCTATTCAGAGATTCAACTTCTTCCTGGTTTAGTCTTGGGAGAGTGTATGTGTCAAGGAATTTATCCATTTCTTCTAGATTTTCTAGTTTATTTGCGTAGAGGTGTTTGTAGTATTCTCTGATGGTAGTTTGTATTTCTGTGGGATCGGTGGTGATATCCCCTTTATCATTTTTTATGGTGTCTATTTGATTCTTCTCTCTTTTTTTCTTTATTAGTCTTGCTAGCGGTCTACCAATTTTGTTGATCCTTTCAAAAAACCAGCTCCTGGATTCATTAATTTTTGAAGGGTTTTGTGTGTCTCTATTTCCTTCAGTTCTGCTCTGATTTTAGTTATTTCTTGCCTTCTGCTAGCTTTTGAATGTGTTTGCTCTTGCTTTTCTAGTTCTTTTAATTGTGATGTTAGGGTGTCAATTTTGGATCTTTCCTGCTTTCTCTTGTGGGCATTTAGTGCTATAAATTTCCCTCTACACACTGCTTTGAATGCGTCCCAGAGATTCTGGTATGTTGTGTCTTTGTTCTCGTTGGTTTCAAAAAACATCTTTATTTCTGCCTTCATTTCGTTATGTATCCAGTAGTCATTCAGGAGCAGGTTGTTCAGTTTCCATGTAGTTGAGCGGTTTTGAGTGAGATTCTTAATCCTGAGTTCTAGTTTGATTGCACTGTGGTCTGAGAGATAGTTTGTTATAATTTCTGTTCTTTTACATTTGCTGAGGAGAGCTTTACTTCCAACTATGTGGTCAATTTTGGAATAGGTGTGGTGTGGTGCTGAAAAAAATGTATATTCTGTTGATTTGGGGTGGAGAGTTCTGTAGATGTCTATTAGGTCCGCTTGGTGCAGAGCTGAGTTCAATTCCTGGGTATCCTTGTTGACTTTCTGTCTCGTTGATCTGTCTAATGTTGACAGTGGGGTGTTAAAGTCTCCCATTATTAATGTGTGGGAGTCTAAGTCTCTTTGTAGGTCACTCAGGACTTGCTTTATGAATCTGGGTGCTCCTGTATTGGGTGCATATATATTTAGGATAGTTAGCTCTTCTTGTTGAATTGATCCCTTTGCCATTATGTAATGGCCTTCTTTGTCTCTTTTGATCTTTGTTGGTTTAAAGTCTGTTTTATCAGAGACTAGGATTGCAACCCCTGCCTTTTTTTGTTTTCCATTTGCTTGGTAGATATTCCTCCATCCTTTTATTTTGAGCCTATGTGTGTCTCTGCACGTGAGATGGGTTTCCTGAATACAGCACACTGATGGGTCTTGACTCTTTATCCAATTTGCCAGTCTGTGTCTTTTAATTGGAGCATTTAGTCCATTTACATTTAAAGTTAATATTGTTATGTGTGAATTTGATCCTGTCATTATGATGTTAGCTGGTGATTTTGCTCGTTAGTTGATGCAGTTTCTTCCTAGTCTCGATGGTCTTTACATTTTGGCATGATTTTGCAGCAGCTGGTACCAGTTGTTCCTTTCCATGTTTAGTGCTTCCTTCAGGAGCTCTTTTAGGGCAGGCCTGGTGGTGACAAAATCTCTCAGCATTTGCTTGTCTGTAAAGTATTTTATTTCTCCTTCACTTATGAAGCTTAGTTTGGCTGGATATGAAATTCTGGGTTGAAAATTCTTTTCTTTAAGAATGTTGAATATTGGCCCCTACTCTCTTCTGGCTTGTAGGGTTTCTGCCGAGAGATCTGCTGTTAGTCTGATGGGCTTCCCTTTGAGGGTAACACGACCTTTCTCTCTGGCTGCCCTTAACATTTTTTCCTTCATTTCAACTTTGGTGAATCTGACAATTATGTGTCTTGGAGTTGCTCTTCTCGAGGAGTATCTTTGTGGCGTTCTCTGTATTTCCTGAATCTGAACGTTGGCCTGCCTTGTTAGATTGGGGAAGTTCTCCTGGATAATATCCTGCAAAGTGTTTTCCAACTTGGTTCCATTCTCCCCATCACTTTCAGGTACACCAATCAGACGTAGATTTGGTCTTTTCACATAGTCCCATATTTCTTGGAGGCTTTGCTCATTTCTTTTTATTCTTTTTTCCCTAAACTTCCCTTCTCGCTTCATTTCATTCATTTCATCTTCCATCGCTGATACCCTTTCTTCCAGTTGATCGCATCGGCTCCTGAGGCTTCTGCATTCTTCACGTAGTTCTCGAGCCTTGGTTTTCAGCTCCATCAGCTCCTTTAAGCACTTCTCTGTATTGGTTATTCTAGTTATACATTCTTCTAAATTTTTTTCAAAGTTTTCAACTTCTTTGCCTTTGGTTTGAATGTCCTCCCATAGCTCAGAGTAATTTGATCGTCTGAAGCCTTCTTCTCTCAGCTCGTCAAAGTCATTCTCCATCCAGCTTTGTTCCGTTGCTGGTGAGGAACTGCATTCCTTTGGAGGAGGAGAGGTGCTCTGCGTTTTAGAGTTTCCAGTTTTTCTGTTCTGTTTTTTTCCCATCTTTGTGGTTTTATCTACTTTTGGTCTTTGATGATGGTGATGTACAGATGGGTTTTTGGTGTGGATGTCCTTTCTGTTTGTTAGTTTTCCTTCTAACAGACAGGACCCTCAGCTGCAGGTCTGTTGGAATACCCTGCCGTGTGAGGTGTCAGTGTGCCCCTGCTGGGGGGTGCCTCCCAGTTAGGCTGCTCGGGGGTCAGGGGTCAGGGACCCACTTGAGGAGGCAGTCTGCCCGTTCTCTGATCTCCAGCTGTGTGCTGGGAGAACCACTGCTCTCTTCAAAGCTGTCAGACAGGGACATTTAAGTCTGCAGAGGTTACTGCTGTCTTTTTGTTTGTCTGTGCCCTGCCCCCAGAGGTGGAGCCTACAGAGGCAGGCAGGCCTCCTTGAGCTGTGGTGGGCTCCACCCAGTTCGAGCTTCCCGGCTGCTTTGTTTACCTAAGCAAGCCTGGGCAATGGCGGGCGCCCCTCCCCCAGCCTCGCTGCCGCCTTGCAGTTTGATCTCAGACTGCTGTGCTAGCAATCAGCGAGACTCTGTGGGCGTAGGACCCTCCAAGCCAGGTGCGGGATATAATCTAGTGGTGCGCCGTTTTTTAAGCCGGTCTGAAAAGTGCAATATTCGGGTGGGAGTGACCCGATTTTCCAGGTGCATCCGTCACCCCTTTCTTTGACTCGGAAAGGGAACTCCCTGACCCCTTGCACTTCCCAAGTGAGGCAATGCCTCGCCCTACTTCGGCTTGCGCACTGTGCGCGCACCCACTGACCTGCGCCCACTGTCTGGCACTCCCTAGTGAGATGAACCCAGTACCTCAGATGGAAATGCAGAAATCACCTGTCTTCTGCGTCGCTCACGCTGGGAGCTGTAGACCAGAGCTGTTCCTATTCGGCCATCTTGGCTCCTCCTCTTGTAATTTATTCAAGTTAATTTTTAGGGGTTTTTTTCCTCTAGATGTCTAATTGCTCTAGAACAATTTGTTTAAAGGGATAGCATTCCTCTATTGAATTGTTGGTGTACCTCTATCAAAAATTGGCTAGGGATACAGCCAATCCTTAAACAATGCAAGGGTTAGGAGCAGCAAACCTCCACACAGCTAAAAATATGCATATAACATTTGACTCCCCCAAAACTTAACTACATATATTCTACTGTTGACTGGAAGACTTATCAATAAAATAAGCAGTCAATTAACACATATTTTGTATGTTATATGTATTATATATTGCATTTTTATAATAAAGCAAGCTGAAGAAAAGAAAATGCTATTAAGAAAATCATAAGAAATAGAAAATATATTTACTGTTCATTAAGTGGAAGTGGATCACCATAAAGATGTTCATCCTGGTTGTCTTCATGTCGAGTAAGCTGAAGAGGAGGAGGAAGAGGAGGGGTTAGTCTTGCCATCTCATTAGTGGCAGAGGCAGAAGAAAATCCACATATAAGTGGACCTGTGCACTTCAAACCTATCAACTGTATTTGTGTAGGTCTATTTCTAGGTTCTTTGTTTTAATCCGTTCATTCAGCTGTCCATTCCTCCTCCAATACCACACAGCCTTGATTACTGTAGCTACATCATAAATCTTGAAATTAAATAGACTGATTCCATCCACTTCATTCTTTGAAATTGTTTTAGCTATTCTAGTTCTTTTGTCTTTCTGTATACATTTTGGAAGATCTTATTGATATCTACTTTTTTAAAAACCTGCTGTGGTAAGCCCTGTACATGTTTTTTAAATTTACACCTAAGTATGTTTTAGAGAGATTGTAAATGACATTTATTTCAATTTCTGTGTCCATGCATTCATTGCCAATATATAGAATACAGCTGATTGTGTATGTTTATCTTGTAGCTTCCAATCTTTCAAAACTCATTCATTAGTTCTCAGAGTTTGCTTGCTTATTTGTTTGTTTGTATTCATAGATTCCTTGAGATTTTCTATGTAGATAATCATGCTACCTACAAACAGAGACAGTTTTATTTCTTCCTTTCCTTTATTTTTTTTTCTTGCCTTATTGTGCTGGTTAAAACTTTGAGCACTGTGTAGAGTAAGCAGTGAGATTTAGTATTTCCAGTTCAGGGGAAAGCATTCGATCTTTCACTGTCATTTATATTTTCAAAGAACCAGCTCTTTGTTTCACTATTTCACATTGTTTTCTTCATTATTATTCTGTTTTCAATTTCATTGATTTCTGCTTTTATATTTATTATTTCCTTCCTTGCGCTTGCTTTTAGTTTATTTTTCTCTTCTTTTTCTAGGTTCTTGAGGTGGGAGCTTAGATAATTAATTGAGACTTTTCCTCTTTTCAAATGTATGCATTTAATGCTATGACTTTCCCTCTCATCACAGCTTTAATTGTGTCTCGCAAGTTTTGACATGTTGTATTTTCATTTTCATTCATTTCAATGCATTTTTAAAAAATTTCCCTTAAGTATTCTTTGATGACCTAGAGATTATTCAAAAGTATGCTGTTTAGTTTCCAAGTGTTTGAAGATTCCCCAGTTATCTTTCTGTCATTAATTTCTAGTTTGAGTCCATTGCAGTTGGAGAACATACTCTATGATTTCAACTCTTATAAATTTGTTGAGATTGTTTTATGGCTCAAGATGTGGTCCATCTTGAAATATATTCCATGGACACTTGAAATGAATGTGTATTTTACTATTGTTGGATGGACTGTTCTATAAACGTTAATTAGATCCTGTTGGTTGATGGTGTTTTTGAGTTCTTCCATATCTTTGTTGATTTTCTACTCATTTTAGTTCTTTTCTGTCAGCACTTGAAAAATAATGAGAAATCCACTGTAGTTTTAATTGTTTTCCCCTAAAGATAAAGTTTTTCTTTCTCTTGTTGCATTTACAACTTTTTCTTTATCTTTACTTTTCAGAAGTTTAACTACTATGTGTGTTGGCACAAATTTCTTTGAGCTTATCCTGTTTGGGATTTGTTCACCTTCTTGAATTTGTAGGTTTATGTCTCTCGGTTAATTGGGGAGATTTTCAACTATATTGTTTTTGAGTACTTTTTCACCCCTGCCCTCTTTCATCTTTCCTTCTAGGACTCTGGTGAGATGAATATTAGATAATTTGTTTTAGTCCCACAGGTCCCTTAAGCTCTGTTAAATTTTTAGGCTTTTCCAGTGTATTTTCTCTGTTGTTTGGATTGGACATTTCCTAATGTTCTATCTTCTAGTTCACTGATACTTTTCTTTTTACCTCCGTTCTGCTGTTGAGCCATCAACTGAGCCTTTTATTTTGGTTATTGGGTTTTTGAGTTCCAAAATTCACATATATCATTTTATCTTTTATTTATTTGTGGCACTTTCTACTCTTTCATTTGTTTAAAGTATATTTTAAACATACACTTTATGTTTTGCTCATTGACTTTTCTTTTTTTTAGACGGAGTCTTGCTTTGTCACCAGGCTGGAGTGCAGTGGCCCGATCTTGGCTCACTGCAACCTCCAACTCCCTGGTTCAAGCGATTCTCCTGCCTCAGCCTCCTGAGTAGTTGGGACTACAGGGGGCCGCCACCACACCCAGATAATTTTTGTGTTTTTGGTAGAGAGAGGGTTTCACCATGTTGTCCAGGATGGTCTCAATCTCTTGACCTCAAGATCCTCCCACCTCGGCCTCCCAAAGTGCTGGGATTACAGGCATGAGCCACCACGCCTGGCTTCATTGATGTATTTTTATCATGACTTGCTTTAAACTCTTTGTCAGATAATTCTAACATATCTGATATCTCAACGTTGGCATTTATTGATTGTCTTTTTTCATCCAGTTACATATCCTCCTGGTTTTTGTATGTTAAGTGATTTTTATTAGTATCTGGCCCTGTTTGTATTATGTTATGAAACTCTGGATCTTATGTAATCTTTTGTTTTGGCTGGCTTTCTCTGACATTGTTCTAGCAAGGGACTAGGGGCTACCTCATTACTGTCACATGAAGGTAGATTAGTTCCCCTATTCAACCTGTGCTGACAATCAAGGTAGGGGAGCACATCATTACTGCTGAGCAGAGATGAGAACTCCGGCCCTTCACATGGTCTACACTGGCACTCTATGTCTATGTCTGTTGGGGACGGGGGTCATTACTGGCTGGCAGAGATTAGTCTGCCAGCCCTACTTGGCCTTCTCAGACATTAACTCAGTGGGAGGTGTTAGGGAAACTCATTACAGCTTCTCAGGGATGGAAGTCTATCTCCTCACCCGGCTTTTACTGGAGTGATTGGCAGTGAAGCTGTAGTTGTTTCTGGAGCACAGCAGATACCATCTAAATGTTTTTCTTCTTGCTAAGCCACCTCTTTTCTGACCCTTTAGGTAGAGAGAAGCATTTATTGGAACTGTGTGTGTGTGTGTGTGTGTGTGTGTGTGTGCATCCACTAGAGTTTCAGAGTTACAGGCTTCTCAAGCTCCAAGTCTGGGGGGTACTTGCAGCACAAAGAAAACCCAGAGAACCCCACCTTATTGTTCCTTAAGTCCTGAGGCTTCTAGCCTGGCTGCTTTCTTCACTCCACCTTTCAGAGTCCTCTCGTGTTTGCTTTATATATAATATCCAGAATTTTTAGTTGTACTTAGCAGAAAGAATATGGAAAAGTCTGTCCACTCCATCTTCCCAGTCAGCAAATCTTCAACTGGGTTTTAACTAAACATAATAAATGCATTTAAAGACATAAAGGAAGCTATTACCAATATAGACAAATACAAAAACACACACACACACAACATGAATAAGAACCAACCAGAGACTATCCTGCAACGGCATTAACATTTTGGTTTTGATCATTGGGCTGTGACAAGAAACACACACTGAAGTACATAGGGATAAAGTGGTATTTAGTGATAAAGGGAAATTCTATCTGCAACTTACTTTTAAAAACCAACAGTAGTAACACATATATGTATAGAAATAATGTTAAAGAAGCATGGTAAAATGTTAACATTTGAGGAATCCAAGTGAAGGCATATGGGAATCCTTTGTACTGTGTTTACAATTTTCTATGAGTATGAAATTATTTCAAAATGAAAAATTAATAAAAACAAACATGTATAATGGGGTAGGAGACACAAGCAGGCATAATATCTGATACTAAATTAATAATAGAGCATATAGTCATTAAAGTACACAATAAGTGAGATAAGCTGCAGAAGATATACTGACTTGGAAGACCAAAATGGAAGAATCTCTAATGTTAAGGAAAAAATGTGTAACTCAATTATAATGAAAATATTACATATCAAGACTTGTGGGGTGTTATAAAATGATCTTTGATAAAATGTACACACTTTAAATAGCCTTTAATATTTAAATATTAAACAAGAATAAAACCTAAAAATAAATGAACTAAGTGTTCACCTAAGTGAATAAGAAAAAGGAAAACAACCAAAATAGCATAAAATGTAAATCAATGAACTAGTTAAAAACGACATCACAGAGAAGATGAACAAAGCCAAAATTTCTTTTTCAAAAAAAATACCAATAAATGATAAGCCATTGAAAAGATTGATCAAGAAATGTAAAGAAGACACAAATAAATAATATTCTGGATGAAAATGAGAACATATCCAGCAATAAAGCTGAAAATGTTCCATAATCAAAGGAATCATAATCAAACCTGTTTCCAGTATTTACATGGAAAAGTATTTACATGGAAAAGATGAACTTGGATTCTGATCACTCATCATGTAGGAAAAAAATCAATTCCAGGTGTATCAATATCTTGAAGGTCAAAAAAAATCTTAAATCCTCACTAGATGATTTATGTGATTTTTTTTATTTTTAGGTAGATAAATACCTCCTGACCAAGACAAAAATATTATTATTCGAAAAGAAATGACTGATAATTTTAACTGGATAAAGCTTTAGAAAACTTAACCATCAAAAATCACATTTCAGACTGAGAGAAGGAATTGTGATAAACCCCTTTAACGCCTATCTCTCCTCTGCTCTCTATGTGGACTCTATTTCTTCTGGCATTTGGCCATAACAGCTGCAGCTGCTGCAGCAGGTGGACTGGCAGCAGGATGTGCTGCAGCAGCAATTTTGAAAACATACAAACCCATGTGTTTCTTTTTTTACCCCATGTGTCTTCCTTCAAGGATCATAACCCAAAGCTGATTGTCATCCAATATCTGCAAACAGTTGTTTTATATATTTACAAAGCTTTTATTATTGTTTATAGCAGGAGGATAAATCTTATACTAGCTTCTACATTACAGGTGGCATCACAAGCCCTCCCTAAACTTGGTTTTTAACTCATCACCATGACTCAACATCATCCTATCTTCAGAGGTACTTTCCAAAGTAAATAGCAATAAGGAAAAACAGATGGTGACTAACAATTGTCCTGACATCTCACTAAGCTACATAGGACCTGTTAGATGACCAAATACTGTACTCAGCTTTAAAAATGAGGATCAGTGCTTAATTGGTAGGGAGAATGATTCATTTCTCAGTTCAGGAAAATAGTCCTGACTGGTTATTTGTCAATTAAGAAAGCAAATAAATCAATTACTCAAAGAAAATTCACAGCACTGAATAGACAACTTCCTCCTTGGGACATTTCCCAAAAGACTAGAGAAGTATCAAAGACAAGTTCTGCTCATTAATCAAAACTTTGGGGTACCATGTATAAAAGGTTCAGATTGAATAACGTTATCAAACTCTAGGAAACTCACCTCTGAACAGGAGTGCACCCTCCACCCCTGACGCCATGACCCACTGCTGCTCCCCTTGCTGCCAGCCTACGACGTGCTGCAGGACCACCTGCTGTGTGTCCAGCTGCTGCCAGTCTTGTTGCCACCCCCCCAGTTGCTGCAACACATCCTGCTGCCAACCTAGCTGCTGTGCACCCGTCTACCAGAGAACGTGCTACCATTCCATGTGTGTCTGCCTGCCTAGTTGCCTAGACCAGATATGTGGATCCAGCTGCTGCCAGCCCTGCTGCCTGCTGCCCAGCCTACTGTGAGGCCACCTGCTGCAGGACCACTTGCTGCCAGTACACCTGTGTGACAAGCTGCTGCCAGTCTTCCTGCTGCAGCACACCCTGCTGCCAGCCCACCTGCTGTGGGTCCAGCTGTTACGGCCAAACTGGCAGTGGGTCCAGCTGCTGCCAGCCCAGCTTCTGTGCACCCATCTACTACAGGAGAACTTGCTACCACCCCATGTGTGTCTGCCTGACAGGTTGCCTAAACCAGAGCTATGGATCCAGCTGCTGCTAGCCCTGCTGCCAATCAGCCTGTTGTGTGTCTAGGGGCTGCCAGCCTTGCAGTTATTGATCAACTTACCACAGATTACTACCTGCATAGAATAAACTTCCATCATCAGACCAGCCAGGTATCCATTTATTCTTTTTTTTTTTTTTTTTTTTTTTGAGACCCAGTTTCGCTCTTGTTGCCCAGGCTGGAGTGCAATGGCATGATCTTAGCTCACCGCAACCTCCACCTCCTGGGTTCCAGCCATTCCCCTGCCTCAGCCTCCCGAGTAGCTGAGATTACAGGCATACGCCATCATGCCCAGCTAATTTTGTATTTTTCGTAGAGATGGGGTTTCTCCATGTTGGTCAGGCTGGTCTCAAACACCTGACCTCAGATGATCCACCCGCCTTGACCTCCCAAAGTGCTGGGATTACAGGCATGAGCCACCACGCCCAGGCCAGATATCCATTTCTATGGCAAACTCACTCCACTTCCTCTGCTGATAACATACATACTGTCACTAAACTGTCAGTCATCTTCTTGTTAACAAATTATGAACTTGCTTAATGAGTGTAGCCTTTTTCACTCCGATAGTCTCTTCATTGAGCCAGCTGCTGGTCAGCTTCATCTGTTCTTGACCTGGATTTATGATCTGAGCGTTGACAAAATTATCTTTGTTTTTTTACTCTAGGAAAATTTCTAAAAAGAAAAAAAATTCTCATAGCTGTCTTATTAATTTTTTTTTTCTTTTTTTTTAAACAGAGTTTCACTCTTGTTGCCCAGGCTAAAGTGCAATGGCGCGATCTCAGCTCACTGACACCTCTGTGCTCCCAGGTTCAAGTGATTCTCCTGCCTCAGCCTCCCAAGTAGCTGGGATTACAGGTTCCTGCCACCACATCTGACTAATTTTTTGTATTTTTAGTAGAGACGGGGTTTCACCATGTTGGCCAGGCTGGTCTCAAACTCCTGACCTCAGGAGATCTGCCCACCTCGGCCTCCCAAAGTGTTGGGATTACAGCCATGAGCCACCACACCCGGCCCTTATTAGATCTTTACAATGATAAATATCATTTTGTTTCAAATTAATACTCACTTTTGTGACTTTCCATGACAACTCTGTATTATCTTCTTAGCAGAAAGGAGCATTGCTTTATTTATTTCCTAATAAAGCGTTTACTATAGTGCCTCCTGTGTTGTGTTTTGTTTTGTTTCAGTGATTGTTTTGCATCTCACATATATTATCTCATCTAAGTCACATAGAAGCCTCAAACTTGGACAGAACCAAGATGAGTAAAGTGGCCTGCATCGTGTCATGTAGCTAAGGATGGACAGAATTGGCTCTAGGCTCAGGGTTTCTGATTTCACCTCTACTGATGTCACATTTACAGAATTATACTAAGGACTTAGAACCGGGAAGGGGTGCACTCGAAGTTGTTCTCTGACAATGGAAACACCAATTCCACGCATTTGCAGACCATTTTCTACTAACAAAGTTCTTTCCAAATTCATTCCCCTAACCAATAGCCACATCTTAAGAGCAACAACTCGTTTTAAGAGCCCTCGTGAATCATGTGAACATTTTATATTCTCAGTCTCTTGTCAGGCACTGGTGAAGTTCTTTAAATATTTTTGAGCACCCATTGTGTTCCTGCCTCTGTCCTGGGACTTTGGTGTGAGAGGCTCATCTAGAAATACTTGTTTGTTGAAATAATGGAATTGGCATTCTGTTTGTCCTCATTCTTCTGGTCACCTAAATAAATGGTAATAGAAGATTAAGTCATGGCCCAAAAAACTTAGGCCACATTTCATTTGCACCCAAACTTTGAGAGATAATTTGTTTTCACATCAAAACTTTTTATTCCTGGCTTACTGTTTTTTTATTGTGGTAAAATACACATAAAATTTACAATTATAATCTTTATTTATTTATTTATTTTTGAGATGGAATTTTGCTCTGTCACCCAGGCTGGAGTGCAGTGGCACGTTCTCAGCTCACTGCAACCTCCGCCTTCCAGGTTCGAGCGATCCTCCTGCCTCAGCCTCCCGAGTAGCTGGGACTACAGGCATGTGCCACCATGCCTGGTTAATTTTTTGTAGTTTTAGTAGAGATGGGGTTTCACTATGTTGGCCAGATTGGTCTCAAATACCTTACCTCGTGATCCACCTGCCTCAGCCTCTCAAAGTGTTGGGATTACAGGTGTGAGCCACCGTGCCCAACCACAATTATAATCATTTTTACATATACAGTTCAGTGGAAGTAAGTACACTCATGTTGTTAGACAACCATCATCTGTCTCCAGAAATTTTAAAAAATTTTTTAAATTATTTATTTTTTATTTTATCAACTTTTATTTTAAGTTCTGGGATACGTGTGCAGGATGTGCAGGTTTGTTACATAGGTAAATGTGCCATGGTGGTTTGCTACACAGATCAACCCATCACCCAAGTATTAAGCCCAGAACCCATTAACTGTTCTTCCTGATGCCCTCCCTCTCATTGCCTGCAACAGGCCCCAGTATGTGTTGTTCTCCCACCCCAACGTTTGTCCATGTGTTCCCATCATTCAGCTCCCACTTATAAATGAAAACATGTCATTTTGGTTTTCTGTTCCTGTGTTAGTTTGCTGAGAATAACAGCTTCTAGCTCCATCCATGTCCCTACAAAGGACATGATCCAGTTCCTTTTTATGGCTGCATAGTATTCCATTGTGTACATGTATCATATTTTCTTTATCCAGTCTACTCTTGATGGGCATTTGGGTTGGTTCCATGTCTTTGCTATTGTGAGTAGTGCTGCAGTGAACATATGCATGCATGTATCTTTATGATAGAATGATTTCTATTCCTTTGGGTATATATCCAGTAAAGGGATTGCTGAATCAAATGGTATTTCTGGGGATGGTGCTATCTGGTCCAGCTACTATGCTTTTCTATGGTCTTCACAACTCACAGACCAGGAGATTCCCTCGGGTGCCTACACCACCACGGCCCTGGGCTTCAAGCACAAAACTGGGTGGCTGTTTGGGCAAACACCAAGCTAGCTGTAGGAGTTTTGTGTTTTTGTTTTGCTTTGTTGTTGTTGTTGTTGTTTTCATATCCTAGTGGTGCCTGGAATGCCAGCGGCACAAAACTGTTCACTACCCTGGAAAGGGGCTGAAGCCAGGGAGCCGAGTGGTCTTGTTCAGCAGATCCCACCCCCAAGGCACCCAACAAGCTAAAATTCACTGGCTTGAAATTCTCGCTGGCAGCACAGCAGTCTGAAGTCGACCTGGGACACTCGAGCTTGGTGCGGGGAGGGGCGCCCACCACTGCCAAAGCTTGAGTAGGCAGTTTTCCCCTCACAGTGTAAACAAAGTTGCCGGGAATTTCGAACTGGGTGCGGAACCACCTCAGCACAGCAAAGCCACTGTGGCCAGACTGCCGCTCTATATTCCTCCTGTCTCGGGAGGTCATCTCTGAAAGAAAGGCAGCAGCCCCATTCAGGGGCTTACAGATAAAACTCCCATCTCCCTGGGACAGAGCACCTGTGGGGTGGGGCAGCTGTGGGCACAGCTTCAGCAGCAGACTCAAACGTTCCTGCCTGCGGGCTCTGAAGAGATCGACTGTTCTCCCAGCACAGCGCTCAAGCTCTGCTAAGGGACAGACTGCCTCCTCAGGTGGGTCTCTGACCCACATGCCTCCTGACTCCTCCCAGCAGGGGTCAACAGACACCTCATAGCGGAGAGCTCCGGCTGGCATCTGGCAGGTGCCCCCTGGGACAAAGCTTCCAGAGGAAGGAGCAGGCAGCAATACCCAGGCAAACAGGGTCTGGAGTGGACCTTCAGCAAACTCCAGCAGACCTGCAGAAGAGGGGCCTGACTGTTAGAAGGAAAACTAACAAACAGAAAGCAACAGCATCAATATCAACAAAAAGGATGCCCACGCAAAAACCCAATCCAAAGGTTACCAATATCAAAGACCAAAGGTGGATAAATCCAAGAAGATGAGGAAAAACCAGCACAAGAAAAGGCTGAAAATTCCAAAAACCAGAATGCCTCTTCTCTTCCAAAGGATTACAACTCCTCACCAGCAAGGGAACAAATCTGGACAGAGAATAAGTTTGATGAATTGACAGAAGTAGGTTTCAGAAGGTGGGTAATAACAAACTCCTCTGAGCTAAAGGTGCATGTTCTAACCCAATTCAAGGAAGCCAAGAACCTTTATAAAATGTTACAGGAACTGCTAACTAGAATAATCAGTTTAGAAAAGAACATAAATGACCTGATGTAGCTGAAAAACACAGCACGAGAATTTTGTGAAGCATATACAAGTATCAATGACCAAATGGATCAAGCAGAAGAAAGGATATCCGAGATTCAAGATCAACTTAATGAAATAAAGCGTGAAGACAAGATTAGAGAAAAAAGAATAAAAAGGAATGAACAAAGCCTCCAAGAAATATGGGACTATGTGAAAAGACCAAACCTATGTTTGATTGGTGTACCTGAAAGTGATGGGGAGAATGGAACCGAGTTAGAAAACACACTTCAGGATATTATCCAGGAGAACTTCCCCAACCTAGCAAGACAGGCCAACATTCAAATTTAGGAAATACAGAGAACACCACAAAGATACTCCTCCAGAAGAGCAACCCCAAGACACATAATTGTCAGATTCACCAAGGTTGAAATGAAGGAAAAAATGTTAAGGGCAGCCAAAGAGAAAGGTCGGGTTACCCACAAAGGGAAGCCAGGAAGCCCATCAGACTAATAGTGGATCTCTCTGCAGATACCCTAGAAGCCAGAAGAGAGTGGGGGCCAATATTCAACATTCTTAAATAAAAGAACTTTCAACCCAGAATCTCATATCCAGCCAAACTAAGCTTCATAAGTAAAGGAGAAATAAAATCCTTTACAGACAAGCAAATGGTGAAGGATATTGTCACCACCAGTCCTGCCTTACAAGAGCTCCTGAAGGAAGCACTAAATATGGAAAGAAAAAACTGGTACCAGCCACTGCAAAAACATACCAAATTTTAAAGTCCATCGACACTATGAAGAAACTGCATCAACTAATGGGCAAAATAACCAGCTGGCATCATAAAGACAGGATCAAATTCACATATAACAATGTTAACCTTAAAAGTAAATGGGCTAAATGCCCCAATTAAAAGACGCACACTGGCAAATTGGATAAAGAATTAAGACCTATCGGTGTACTGTATTCATCAGACCTGTCTCACATGCGAAAATTGAGACCTATCGGTATACTGTATTCATCAGACCCGTCTCACATGCGAAGACACACATAGGCCCAAAATAAAGTGATGGAGGAATATTTACCAAGCAAATGGAAAGCAACAAAAAAAAAGCAGGTGTTGCAATCCTGGCCTCTGATAAAACAGACTTTAAACCAACAAATATCAAAAAAGACAAAGGGCATTACATAATGGTAAAGGAATCAATGCAACAAGAAGAGAAACCTAACCTAAGCATATATGCACCCAATACAGGAGCACCCGGATTTATAAAGCAAGTTCTTAGAGCCCTACAAAAAGACTTAGACTCCCACACAATAATAATGGGAGACTGGCCGGGCATGGTGACTCACACCTGTAATCCCAGCGTTTTGGGAGGCCAAGGTGGGTGGATCATGAGGTCAAGAGTTCAAGACCAGCCTGGCGAGCATGGTGAAACCCCGTCTCTACTAAAAAATACAAAAATGAGCTGAGCATGGTGGCACGCACCTGTAATCCCAGCTACTGGAGAGTCTGAGGCAGGAGAATCGCTTGAACCCAGGAGGCAGAGGTTGCAGTGAGCCAAGATCATGCCACTGCACTCCAGCCTGGGTGACAGAGCAAGACTCCATCTTAAAAAAAAAAATAGTGAGAGACTTTAACACCCCACTGTCAGTATTCGACAGATCAACAAGACAGAAAATTAACAAAGATATTCAGGACTTGAACTCAGCTCTGGGCCAAGCAGACCTAGTAGATATCTACAGAACTCTCCACCCCAAATCAACAGAATATACATTTTTCTCAGCACCACATAGCACTTACTCTAAAATTGACCACATAATTAAAAATAAAACATTCCTCAGCAAATGCAAAAGAATGGAAATCATAACAAACAGTCTCTGAGATCACAGTGCGATGAAATTAGAACTCAGGATTAAGAAACTCACTCAAGGCTGAGTATGGTGGCTCACATCAGTAATCCCAGCACTTTGGGAGGCCGAGGCGGGCAGATCATGAGGTCAGGAGATGGAGACCATCCTGGATAACATGGTGAAACCCCGTCTCTACTAAAAATACAAAAAAAAATTAACCAGGCATTGTGGCACGTGCCTATAATCCCAGCTACTCAGGAGGCTGAGGCAGGAGTGAGCCCAGGAAGTGGAGGTTGCAGTGAACCGAGATCACACCACCGCACTACAGCCTGGGCGACAGAGCAAGACTCCATCTCAAAAAAAAAAAAGTGGGAGACTTTAACACCCCACTGTCAATATCAGACAGAACAATGAGACAGAAAATTAACAAGGATATTCAGGACTTGAAATCAACTCTGGACCTAGTGGACCTAATAGACATCTACAGAACTCTCCACCTGAAATCAACAGAATAAACATTCTTCTCACTACAACATAGCACTCTAAATTTCACCACATAATTGGAAGTAAAACAGTCTCTCAGATCACAGTGCAATCAAATTAGAACTAAGGATTAAGAAACTCACTCAAGGCCAGGCACGGTGGCTCATGCCTGTAATCCCAGCACTTTGGGAGGCCGAGTGGGCAGATCACAAGGTTAGGAGATCGAGACCATTCTGGCTAACACGGTGAAGCCGTGTCTCTACGAAAAATACAAAAAATTTAGGCAGGCATGGTGGCAAGCGCCTGTAATTCCAGCTACTCAGGAGGCTGAGGCAGGAGAATCGCTTGAACCCGGGAGACAGAGGTTGCAGTGAGCCAAGATCACGCTACTGCACTACAGCCTGGGTGACAGAGCGAGACTCTGTCTCAAAAAAAGAAAGAAAGAAGAAAGAAGAAAGAAAGAAAGAAAGAAAGAAAGAAAGAAAGAAAGAAAGAAAGAAAGAAAGAAGAAAGAAAGAAAGAAACTCAAAACCACACAACTACATGGAAACTGAACAACCTGCTCCTGAATGACTATGGGTAAATAACAAAATTAAGGTAGAAATAAATAAGTTATTTGAAACCAATGAGAACAAAGACACAATGTACCAGAATCTCTGGGACACAGCTAAAGCAGTGTTTAGAGGGAAATTTATAGCACTAAATGCCCACATGAGAAAGTGGGAAAGATCTAAAATCGACACCCTAACATCACAATTTAAAGAACTAGAGAAGCAACAGCAAACAAATTCAATAGCTCACAAAAGACAAGAAATAACTATGATCAGAGCAGAACTGAAGGAGATAGAGACACAAAAAATCCTTCAAAAAATCAATGAATCCAGGAGCTGATTTCTTGAAAAGATTTACAAAATAGAGCACTAGCCAGACTAATAAAGAAGAAAAGAGAGGAGACTCAAAGAGACACAATAAAAAATGATAAACGGGAGATTACCACTGATCCCACAGAAATACAAACTACCATCAGAGAATACTATAAACACCTCTACTCAAATAAACTAGAAAATCTAGAAGAAATGGATTAATTCCTGGACACACACACCCTCCGAAGACTAAACCAGGAAGAATTCGAATCCCTAAATACACCAATAGCAAGTTCTGAAATTGAGGCAGTAATTAATAGCCTACCAACCAAAAAAAAAGCCCAGGACCAGACGGATTCACAGCCAAATTCTATCAGAGGCACAAAGAGGAGCTGGTACCATTCCTTCTAAAACTATTCCAAACAATAGAAAAAGGTAGACTCCTCCCTAACTCATTTTATGAGGCCAGCATCATTCTAATGCTAAAACTGGGCAAAAACATAACAAAAAAAGAAAATCTCAAGCCAATATCCCTGATGAACATTGGTGCGAAAATCCTCTATAAAATACTGGCAAACCGAATCCAGCACCACATTACAAAGCTTATCCACCACAATCAAGTCGACTTCATCCCTCGGATGCAAGACTGGTTCAACATAAGCAAATCAATAAATGTAATCTATCACATTAATAGAACCAATGACAAAAACCACATGATTATCTTGATAGATGAAGAAAAGGCCTTCAATAAACTTCGACACCTCTTCATGCTAAAAACACTCAATAAACTAGGTATTGATGGAACGTATCTCAAAATAATAAGAGCTATTTATGATAAACCCACAGATAATATAATACTGAATGGGCAAAAGCTGGAGGCATTCCCTTTGAAAACCGACACAAGACAGGGATACCCTCTCTCACCACTGCTATTCAACATAGTATTGGAAGTTCTGGCCAGAGTAATCAGGCAAAAGAAAGAAATAAAGCATACTCAAATAGGAAGAGAGGAAGTCAAATTGTCTTTGTTTGCAGATGACATGATTCTATATTTAGAAAACCCCATCGTCTCAGCCCAAAAACTCCTTAAGCTGATAAGCAACTTCAGCAAAATCTCAGGATACAAAATCAATGTGCAAAAATCACAAGCATTCCTATACACCAATAATAGACAAGCAGAGAGCCAAATCATAAGTGAACTCCCATTCACAATTGCTACAAAGAGAATAAAATACTTAGGAATACAACTTACACGAGATGTGAGGGACCTCTTTAAGGAGAACTACAAACCACTGCTCAAGGAAATAAAAGAGGACACAAACAAATGGAAAAACATTCCATGGTAATGGATAGGAAGAATCAATATCATGAAAATGACAATACTGCCCAAAGTAATTTATATATTCAATGCTATCCCCATCAAGCTACCATTGACTTTCTTCACAGAATTAGAAAAAACTACTTTAAATTTCATATGGAACCAAAAAAGAGCCTGCATAGCTGAGACAATCCTCAGCAAAAAGAACAAAGCTGAAGGCATCATGCTACCTGACTTCAAACAATACTACAAGGCTACAGTAGCCAAAATCCATGGTATTAGTACCAAAACAGATGTATAGACGAATGGAACAGAATAGAAACCTCAGAAATAACACCACATATCTACAACCATCTGATCTTTTACAAACCTCACATAAACAAGCAATGGGGAAAGGATTCCCTATTTAATAAATGGTGTTGGGAAAACTGGCTAGCCATATGCAGAAAACTGAAAGTGGACCCCTTCCTTACACTTTATACAAAAATTAACTCAAGATGGATTAAAGACTTAAACATAAGACCTAAAACCATAAAAACCCTAGAAGAAAACCTAGGCAGTACCATTCAGGACACAGGCATGGGCAAAACCCCTATCAAAAAGTGGGTGAAGGATATGAACAGACACTTCTCAAAAGAAGACATTTAGCTAACAAACGTATGAAAGAAAGCTCATCATCACTGGTCATTAGAGAAATGTAAATCAAAACCACAATGAGATACCATCTCACACCAGTTAGAATGGCAATCATTAAAAAGGCAAGAAACAACAGAGGCTGGAGAGGATGTGGAGAAATAGGCACATTTTTACACTGTTGGTGGGACTGTAAATTAGTTCAACCACTGTGGAAGACAGTGTGGCAATTCCTGAAGGATCTAGAACCAGAAATACCATTTGCCCCAGCAATCCCATTACTGAGTATATACCCAAATGATTATAAATCATTCTACTATAAAGGCACATGCACACATATGTTTATTGCAGCACTGTTTGCAATAGCAAAGACTTGGAACCAACACAAATGCCCATCAGTGATAGACTGGATAAAGAAAATGTGGCACATATACACCATGGAATACTATGTAGCCATAAAAAAAATGAGTTCATGTCCTTTGCAGGGACATGGATGAAGCTGGAAACCATTATTCTCAGCAAACTAACACAAGAACAGAAAACCAAACACTGCATGTTCTCACTCATAAGTGAGAGCTGAACAATGAGCACACATGGACACAGGGAGGGGAACATCACACACCAGGGCCTGTCAGGGAGTAGGGGGATACAGGAGGGATAGCATTAAGTGAAATACCTAATGTAGATGACGGGTTGATGGGTGCAGCAAACCACCATGGCACGTGTATACTTATGTAACAAATTTGCACGTTCTGCACATGTACCCCAGAACTTAAAGTATAATTTTTAAAAATAGGCCATATCAAATAGCCTAGATGTATAGTAAGCTATATGATCCAGGTTTAAGTACACTCTACAATGTTCACACAATGACAAAATTACCTAGTGGTTCATTTCTCAGAACCTATCCCCATTGTTAAATGACAATAACAGGATTCATGTTTTGGTAAAAATTAAAAACAAAATTTAACAAAAAAAAGAGAGCAAAAAGGAAAGATAAAACACAGCATGTGACAAAATATTTATACCATATCCACTCAATAAATGATAAACTCCTGATACATATATATCTTATATAAGTTTATAGAAAATAATCTCCACATTATCTATCTATCTATCTATCTATCTATCTATCTATCTATCTATCTATCTATACACTAGTCAGAACATACGTCCAAAATCTATAAAACACTAAGAAATTAACAACCATGAAGAAGTATGGGTAGAAGACTTGAACAGGCATCTTATGAAAAAGGAAAAAGGAACAACCAATGCCTATTAGACATTAGTCATCAAATAAATGCAAATCTAAAACATAAATACATACCAGTACAATTCAGAAGGTTCACAATATTAGGGTCAAGCAGGAGTCACTACTGGTTGTAAAATGTTGAAACACTGCTTTTTTCTTTCTACTAATGCTGATTATAAGTGTTTCCTATGACGTGGCAATTTCACTCCTACATATATTCCCAGAGGGAAGAATTTGAATGCCACATTCCCATATAAGAAATATTCATTTTCAAATCCTTACCAGACTAGAATAAATTTGGCTAGCTTCGAAGCCATTCATTCTTTTTAAGATGCCTGTGCATAACTTTGCTCTGTTTCTTTTTGTGTAACTTTGAAGTTCCAAGGGCAATCTAATCTTATTTTTCTATCCAAAGCCATCCCTCTGTAGGGTCTAAATAGTGATATTTCTTACATGTTAGTGTAAACTTTCACTTCATTCATTTCTGCCATAATATTTAAGAACCGATAATGATATTCTGTCATACACGTCTACTTATATTCTCAGGAAACTCAGTGTTTACTTTCCACTCTCTTCAAAAATCTACATGTAAAACTCAGTGCAATAGGCCTGTTGTTAGAGAGCTGCATGGGCTCTCATGTTTTATGTGTTTGTTAATCAAGTGATAATCTGATACCACTGTCTCGTTATTTGGGATCCACCAATCACACTTTCCCCCAGGTTCTCCTCAATGAATTTAACTGATACCTACATATGCTGATGTAATTTCCTCCTCCTATAATTTGAGTTGCAGATTAAAGACAATTCCTCACTCACGTTTTCTAGATTAACACAATATTGTTGTAGAAATGACTAAGTACAGATTTCAGATAATTGGGCTAGACTTCATTGTTTCTGTCAAAGTAGATAAGAAAGACTACAACTGGGCTACAAGTATCTCCTGGGAGTTCCCCCCATGGGGTGTGTGTGTTTGAAAGGGACCCATGGGATAGTCTAGTGCCCCTGTTGAAAAAAGAACTGTTGATCCCCAAGCCCACACTCTGCAATAGAACTGCTAGAGTATTTCATGGGGCATGAAATTGCCTTTAGAAAAACCAATACAGGGGGTCACATCAAGGTCAAATTGGGCACAGAAGGGTAGGAATTTTGCTATATTCGGAATTTCTTTACTTAGAGAAGGTAGAGGAAATAGAGTAAGAATAGGAGAATATATTTTTGGAATGCAATGATAGTAAATATCCTAAACAAAATATAAGTAAATAAAATCCAATGGCATATACATATGATCGTAACCACATGAATTGTTTTCAGAAATGCAAGACTGGGCTAATATTTGAACATTAATCAACTTTTAAAATAACACATTTTGGGAAGCCGAGGCAGGTGGATCTCTTGAGGTCAGGAGTTTGCGATCAGCTGGCCAACATGGTGAAACTCTGTCTCTATTAAAAATACAAAAGTTAGCTGGGCATGGTGGTGTGCTCCCATAGTCCCAGCTACTCAGGAGGCTGAGGCAAGAGAATCTCTTGAACCCGGGAGGTGGAGATTGCAGTGAGCCAAGATTGTACCACTGCACTCCAGCCTGGGTGACGAAGCAAGACTCTGTCTCAAAAAACATAGAATAAAACAACACTTACTGAAAAGGTAGAATAATCATAACATTATTTCAGCTTATAAAGAAAAAGCATTTTGTAAATTTCAGTACATTTTCAGTTTTCTGTCTCTCAGAAAATAAGGAATAGAACAAGACCTGTTGCTATGATGAAATGAATCTACAAAAAAGACAGAAAGCATCGTAATTAATTGTGAAATACTGAGAGTTCTCCTTTCTATCCAACGAATATAAAAAGATATACACTACACCATTCTATTAGACATTGCCCTGGAGGGTCTACCCCTGGACAAGGGCCAAAAAAAAAGCAAGATTAAAAATACTCTTATAAAGCGAAGAAAACTATTACTATTTTTTATGAGTCATGACTGCACATGTGCAATTTTCTGTCACACCAAAAAAAAATACAAAAAGTATTAGAATTAACAAGCTAGGACCAGAACTCAGCTTGATTTGCCCGAATCTAGAGCACTTACGTCACAGAGAGTCCCATGCTGGTAAACCCTTCAGTCCCAGGCAAATCAGGGTAAATGGCAACACCATCACAGAGACACTCGATGCTTTCTGAATCCCAGTGGACTCCTTTTTCTACCCACCTGCTTTGGTCTAGCTCTGCATTTTGGAATACATTGTGCCAAACACCCTTTCCCTAGTGAGTGTAATAGAACTGGAAGACACAGGTGGAATAGTTTGTAGCGAGAAAGATGCTTGTTACTCTTGAATCAGACTTTTGTGGGTAAATAGGCTTGGTGCCGGGCACGGATTCAATGCATCACTGTGAACATAACAGCATCACGCGACTGCCCACAGACATTTCCCAGTCTACATACAGTCAACCATGAGGCTGGACAGAGAGAACTATCTGCTTCCCGGATCACCAGGAACTATCACATGACCAGATGATGGTCAGAGCAGGAATGATGCTGGTGATGAGACTGCCTTCCTTTTATCTGAAACAAAGTTTTTATGAGTAATTCTCAATTAAGAAACAGATTAAACCCTTACTTTCAAAAGATTCATAAGATTTCAGAAACAACTTCCCCTTTGACAATCGCAAAGGGAGTATGGAAAACAGTGTAAACAACAACAAGGAAAAGTCCTGCTGATTGGTGGAAACTTTGGAGGCCAGATGTATAAAAGGTCCAGATTGCAAGGGGTCATCAGATTCTGGGAAACTCACCTCTGAACAGAAGCCCACCCTCCACCCCTGACACCATGACCCACTGTTGCTCCCCTTGCTGTCAGCCTACCTGCTGCAGGACCACCTGCTGCAGGACCACCTGCTGGAAGCCCACCACTGTGACCACCTGCAGCAGCACACCCTGCTGCCAGCCCGCCTGCTGTGTGTCCAGCTGCTGCCAGCCTTGCTGCCGCCCAACTTGCTGTCAAAACACCTGCTGTAGGACCACCTGCTGCCAGCCCACCTGTGTGACCAGCTGCTGCCAGCCTTCCTGCTGCAGCACACCCTGCTGCCAGCCCACCTGCTGTGGGTCCAGCTGCTGTGGCCAAACCAGCTGTGGGTCCAGCTGTGGCCAGAGCAGCTCCTGTGCACCTGTGTACTGCAGAAGAACCTGCTACTACCCCACGACTGTCTGCCTGCCTGGTTGCCTAAACCAGAGCTGTGGCTCCAACTGCTGCCAGCCCTGCTGCCGCCCAGCCTGCTGTGAGACCACCTGCTGCAGGACCACTTGCTTCCAGCCCACCTGTGTGTCCAGCTGCTGCCAGCCTTCTTGCTGCTGATCACGTTCCAAGAGAACCACCATCCTCACACAACAAATTTCTGCTCAACTGACTCATCTTTTGGGGGACTAATTTAATTTGCTGCTGACAGCCACCATGCTCTCACCCAAATTTTTATGAATTCTCTACATGTTTAAAATCTTGGAAATCTGCTTGAGGGAGGGCAGAATACTTCATCCTGATTCTCTTTTTCCTTACACCTTGTGGATCATGTGCCAGCTTCATCTGTTCTCAAGTTTGAGTCATGGTCTCAGCTTTGACTCTAAAGTCAAGAGCTTCATTCCCTGCTTCTAAGGAATTTAGGTTTCTGCAACTGATCGATGATCTTTGCAATCTTTTTTTTGTTTTCAATATCCTCCTCATCGTTCTTGTATCCTTCTTTCTTCTTTTCATGATAAATTTGTGTTGTGTCCCTGGTAGCAGAAATCCTTACCTATATGTTTCTGAATAAATTCTGAACCATCCTCATCTCATATAGTGTTTTGTTTTATTTGAAAGCACTCCTGATATGGGATTTACACACATATCACATACCATAGTTATTATCCAATTTGATTCTCAAAACAGGTGGTCATGCATTATTACCTTCATTTTTCACCTGAAAAAAAATTAATATGTGATGTTATGTAGCTAATAAAGGACAGATTCTGATCCAAGCTGAGGTCCTCTCTTTCTGCCCAAGGACACTTACATTTAACTCTCAACATAGTAGAAATGACATTGGAAGTCAGCACTAGCAAGACATGCACTTGAGTTTATTTAACAATGAGAGAAATAATCTCTCATATTTGCAAATAATATTTTTATTCACAAAAAAATCCCAAATTATTTTTTCCCACACCTCAGTGAGCAACAGCTGCATGACATGGCAGCAGGGATTGCATTTAATGGCTGCCCTGAATGCAGGGATCTTTTTGTCTCAGCCTCTGACCAGCCAATCATTCAATTCATCCGCATCAAAAAGATGCTTGAGAATTCATTATATCATCATAAGAGAGAGTCTCATCTGAAGTGACTTATTCTCAGTATGATGTAAATAAAATTCTTACACAGCCTCCCCCTCCTGAATACCTGTTGACAAAGTCAATGAAACTAAGTTATTCCTTGTAAAATACAGACCACACCTTATGCCACATTAAGACAATTTGTCCCCTAATCGAAATGTTATGAGGAAAATTAAGTAAGGAATTAAGCTGGGAATTGAGAAAGTACGCAATGGGTATGTAAGACGTGGCACAATCCATAATCTCTAAACCAAGGAAGGGAATGAAAGAACCTTCTGAATTTTGTAAGACCAATATGAGGCATCTAAAGAAACTGAAAACGGTGTTTGCAGGGAAATCAGAAGAATGTAAGAAAGGAGCAAAGTAGAACGTGTGCATTCATAGAAGTCATGATAGACAGAGGTTGGTGCTTTTGGTTCTGAACTGGTGCAAGCTAAGCATTCACTCAGGGAAAGATAGATTGATACTGGCTCTGAGAGAAATACAAAGTTTGGGGACCTGGGTCACCTTCTTGCGACCTCCTACCAGCATGGGAGTGGTAGAAATACCTCTGATGAGCTAACAATGTAGATTTCCATGACAGATGCCAACTTCTGAGACTGTGAATCTAGAATGCTCTGAAGACTTGGCTGAGGGATGAAGGCCACTTACTGTGATCATCGTTCAGGGATGAAGTAAAGGACATGAAAACTAGGACATTCCTTTTGACTAGCATCAGTTATGAAAGGTGAATAAGTTCAGCATGTCTACTGTACAGTAGTGTCACTATAGTTGTAAACACTGTATCATACACCTGAAATTTGCCAAGAAGTTAGATCTTATATGTTCACACCACAAAAATAAAAAGGAAATGGTAACTACGTGGGCTAATAAACATGTTATTCACAATGGATATATATATTAGAGCATCATCTTCCATACCTGAAATAGACACAATTTTTATTTGTCAATTACACCTCAATACAGCTCGAAAAAGTATTTGGTTGATCTGGTTAATTATTACAAAAATATTCTTATCTTCAACATTAAAATTAGAAATTTTCTGAACAAAAACACTAATTCTGGGCTGCCTGCTATAGGAGACATATTGGCTAAATGCTTTGTGTACACTATTATTAATTCTTTTTTTTTTTTTTTGAGATGGAGTCTTGCTCTGTCACCCAGGCTGGGGTGCAGTGGTACAATCTTGACTCACTGCAAGCTCTGCCTCCCTGGTTCATGCCATTCTCCTGCCTCAGCCTCTCGAGTAGCTGGGACTATAAGCACCCGCCACCACGCCCGGCTAATTTTATGTATTTTTAGTAGAGACGGGGTTTCAACATTTTAGCCAGGATGGTCTCGATCTCCTGACCTTGTGATCCGCCCGCCTCGGCCTCCCAAAATGCTTGGATTACAGGCGTGAGCCACTGCACCCGGCTATTATTAATTCTTTAACAAACTTTCAAAACAGGTATTAATGTTCCCTTTGTAGAGATGAAAAAATTGAGGCTGAGAGAGTTAGTGTATTGTCATAGATTAGTTTCTCCCAGAAGAGACTCTGAGGAAAGCATTCCAGTGAAACTAGTTTATTCGGAAGTGCAGATCACACTGGTAGGGATTGGGGAAGTGATACAGAAAAGGGTACACTATCAAGTCAGTATCACAGTCACCAACTAAAGCTTAAACTAAAGGGAAAACTATCAGAAATGACAAAAAAACACACAGCTAGAGTTATCCTACTTCAGGAATGAGGAAGCTAGAGTCTTTATAAATCAGCTCTCCAGAATCATTGGTTGAGAGTTTTTCTCTGTGTTGCATTCACAGGTGACATGACTTCTTACAGCAGCAATACAAGAGCTCTTAGGCACAGAGATGCAGATTCTAACAGATGGAAATTAGTCCAAGCACACTAAGATCTAATATATATGGGTGCAGTCATGAAAACTTATCTATGATCTACAATTAGCTCCACTCAAGTAAAACCTTTGCTACTTAAATGTGATGGACAGGCACAAGCTCTAGAAGAAGGAAGAAGAGGAGGTGAGAAAGAGGAGTAAGAGAAGGGACAGAAGATGAGTGGAGGACAAAAGAAAGAAAGAGAGAGAGAGAAAGAGAAAAAGAAGGAAGGAAGGGAGAGAGAGAGAAAGAAAGAAAGAGAGAAAGAAAGAAAGAAGAAAGAAAGAAAGAGAAAGAAAGAAAGAGAAAGAAAGAAAGAAGAAGAAAGGAAGGAAGAAAGGAAGGAAGAGGAAGGAGAGAGAAGAAGGAAATGAAAAGAAAGGAGAGGAAGTGAGATGTAAAATGAAGGCCAATGAAATAAGCTACACTTACTGCTGCTATAGTACAGTGCACCTGAGATTCACAGTCTCCGTTTATTACCACCAGTTCTATTCTCCCTTCACCGCTGGCCAGCACTCTTCTTGGTCTGGATAACTGCCTGATAACTGCCTTGATAACTTCCTTCCTAAATTGTCTGAGCCTCTAGTTACTATACCACTGTCCACTGTGATTGCTGTTCTTACCGATTTGTAGTTATCACTGGACATGGACACACTATGAGATTCTCCAGTGTTATGGGTTAATTTGTGTCCCCCAAAACTCATATTCAAATAGAATCATTTAAAGTGTTATGTGATAAGGCAAGGTCATATTGGAAACAATTAGGCCTCTGATTAAATATGACTGATGTCTATATAAAAGGGGGAAATTCAGAGACAGCATGCATATAACAGAAAAATTATATCAAACACACATGGAAATGATAGACATCAACAAGTCAAGGAGAGAGACCTGGAACATGTACTTCCCTCACAGGCTTCAGATGAAAACAACATTGCCAAAACCTTAATTTCTGAACTGTGAAAAGATAAATTTAAGCCACTTGGTTTACAGTAATTTATTATGGCAGTGCTGGTAAGTTAATACACTTACTAAGTATCCTGAGCTATAGATATATTCTGCTACACTATATGGCTTAAAGATAATTACCCCTCACCAAATAGTAACTCCTTTCTCTGTCTGCTGCTCTGCTGACGGGAAGAGTCCAAAATGACTAGGCGATAACGATTCCTTTTGATTATAACAAAGAAACAGAGAAGCAAATACTATAATTTTTATTCACATGGAAATTTTAAAAAGCCAAAGTCATCTACTGGATTATAACTTGATAGAGTGATTAGCTGTTTGGAAATGAGTAAGCGGATATAATTGGGAGAGAATGGCATTAATTTCTATTTCCTAACCTGGTAATGGGGACATAGATGTATTTACAATGTAATACTATATCAGGTTGGAAATTAATAATTTGCATTCTTCTCAAGTGAATGATATACCTAGACAATGTTTTCAACATGTTAGAACTCCACGATGAATCAGGTGTCATCTCAACTCATCTAATCCCTTCATTGAAAAGAAATAGAAGAAATTACTTCTACTTACTTCTTCTTCTAGTTACTGCTAGTAACTAGGTTTAGGGCTAGAGCCACAGCACATGCTGGTTGGCCTGAATTTCAACGCTTACTTCTAGTTACTGCTAGTAACTAGGTTTAGGGCTAGAGCCAGAGCACATGCTGGTTGGCCTGAATCTCAAGAAGTTACGTGATAGAAAGTCCTCCATTCTCATCCCGGAAATCCCCACACTCCCAGACAAGTCAGAATGAATGGTCGTCCTAGGGCATACATTGCTTGATGCTGTCTAAATCTCAGCAGATTTCTCTGCATCCACCTGTTCTCGATCTGCTCTGTCGCATGGAACACACTGTGCAGTCACCGTCTTCCCAAGTGACATTCAAAGAACTGAAAGACACAGATGATGTGGGTGGCACAAAGAGATGCCTGTTAGTCTTGAGTCAGAATTTGGTGGGTGAATAGTCTTGGGCCCAGGCATGGATTCATTTTGTCACTGTAAATATATCAGCATCATGCTTCTCCCCACAGACACTTCCAAGTCTATATACAGCCAAACATGAGGCTGGCCAGAGAGAACTTCCTGAGCCCCCCGGATCAACAGGAACTGTCACATGACCAGATGATGGTCAGAGCAGGAATGATGCTGATGATGAGACGGGCTTCCTTTTATCTGAAACAAACTTTCTATGAGTAACTCACAATTAAGAAACAGATTAAACCCTTAGTTTAAAAGGTTCATAAGATTTCAGTAACAACTTCCCCTTTGACAATCCCAAATGGACTGTGGAAAACAATGTAAACAGCAACAAGGAAAAGTCCTGCTGATTGGTGGAAACTTTGGAGGCCAGGTGTATAAAAGGTCCAGATTGCAAGGGGTCATCAGATTTTGGGAAACTCACCTCTTAACAGAAGCCCACCCTCCATCCCTGACACCATGACCCACTGTTGCTCCCCTTGCTGTCAGCCTACCTGCTGCAGGACCACCTGCTGGCAGCCCACCACTGTGACCACCTGCAGCAGCACACCCTGCTGTCAGCCCTCCTGCTGTGTTTCCAGCTGCTGCCAGCCTTGCTGCCACCCAACTTGCTGTCAAAACACCTGCTGTAGGACCACCTGCTGCCAGCCCATCTGTGTGACCAGCTGCTGCCAGCCTTCCTGCTGTAGCACACCCTGCTGCCAGCCCACATGCTGTGGGTCCAGCTGTGGTCAGAGCAGCTCCTGTGCACCTGTGTACTGCAGAAGAACCTGCTACCACCCCACAAGTGTTTGTCTGCCTGGTTGCCTAAACCAGAGCTGTGGCTCCAACTGCTGCCAGCCCTGCTGCCGCCCAGCCTGCTGTGAGACCACCTGCTGCAGGACCACTTGTTTCCAGCCCACCTGTGTGTACAGCTGCTGCCAGCCTTCTTGCTGCTAATCAACTCCCAAGAGAACTACCATCCTCACACAACAACCTTCAGCTCAACTGACTTGTCTTTTGAGGGACTAATTTACTTTGCTGCTGACAGCCACCATGCTCTCACCCAAATTTTTATGAATTCTCTACATGTTTAAAATCTTGGGAATCTGCTTGAGGGAGGGCAGAATACTTCATCCTCATTCCCTCTTTCCTTACACCTTGTGGATCATGTGCCAGCTTCGTCTGTTCTTAATTTGGAGTCATGATCTCAGCTTTGTCTCAAAAATCAAGAGCTTCATTCTTTGCTTCTAAGGAATTTAGGTTTCTGCAACTGATCAATCATCTTTGCAATTATATTTTCATTTTAAATATCCTTCTCATGGTTCTTGTATCCTTCTTTCTTCTTTTCACGATAACTTTGGGTTATGTCTCTGGTAGCAGAGATTCTTACCTATATGTTTCTGAATAAACTCTGAACCATCTTCATCTCATATAGTGTTTTGTTTTATTTGAAAGCATTCCTGATATGGGATTTACACACATATCACATACCATAGGTATTATCCAATTTGATTCTCAAAACAGATGGTCGTGTATTATTAACTCCATTTTTTCAGCTGAGAACAATTTAATGTGTGATGTTATGTAGCTAGTAAAGGGCAGACTCTGGTCAAAGGTGAGGTCCTCTCTTTCTGCCCAAGGACACTTACGTTTAACTCCCAATATAGTAGAAAAGACACTGGAAGTCAGCACTAGCAAGACATGTACTTGAGTTTATTTAACAATGAGAGGAATAATCTGACATATTTGCAGATAACACTTTTGTTCACACACAAAAAAATCCCAAAGTAGTTCCCCACACCTCAGTGAGCAAAGGCTGCATGATATGCATTTAATGGCTGCCCTGAATGCAGAGATCTTTTTGTCTGAGCCTCTGACCAGCCATTCATTCAATTCATCTGCATCAAAAAATGCTTGAGAATTTATTGTGGACTCAGGAGACGGAGCCTCATCTGAAGAAACTTATTCTCAGTGTGATGTAAATAAAATTCTTATACAGCATCGGTCTCCTGAATACCAATTGACAAAGTAAATGAAACTAAGTTATTCATTGTAAAATACAGACCATACGTTATGCCACGTTAAGACAATTTGTCCCCTACTTGAAGTGTTATGAGTAAAATTATGTAAGAACAAAGCTGGGAATTGAGAAACTATGCAATGGGCATGTAAGACTTGGCACAACCCATAATCTCTGAGCTAAGGAAGGGAATAAAAACAACCTTCCACATTTTGTGAGGCCAATATGAAGAATCTAAAGAAATGAAAAACTTCTTTTTCCACGGAAATCAGAAGAATGTAAGAAAGGAGCAAGGTAGAACTTGTGCATTCATAGAAGACATAATAGACAGAGGTTGGTGCTTCGGGTCCTGAACTGATGTAAGATAACCATTCACTCATGAAAGGATTGATTGATGCTGGCTCTGAGAGAAATTGAAAAGTCGGGGACCTGGGGCACCTTCTTGGGGCCTCCTACCAGCAGGGGAGTGGTAGAAATACCTCTGATGAGCTAAAAATGTAGATTTCCATGACAGATGCCAACTTCCGAGACTGTGAATCTAGAATGCTCTGAAGACTTGGCTAAGAGACAACAGCCACTTACTGTCATCATCGTTCAGGGATGAAGTAAAGGAGATGAAAACTAGGACATTCTCTTTGACTAGCATCAGTTATGAAAGATGAATAAGTTCAGTAGGTCTAATGTACAGTAATATGACTATAGTTAAAAACACTTTATCATATACCTGAAATTTACTGAGAAGGTAGATCTTAAATATTCACACCAGAAAAATAAAAAGGAAATGGTAACTAAGTGACCTAATAAATATGTTATTCACAATCAATATATATATCAGAGCATCACCTTCTATACCTGAAATGTACACAATTTTTGTTTGTCAATTATACCTCAATACAGCTAGAAAAAAACGTATTTAGTTGATCTATTTAATTAATACAAAAATATTCTTATCTTCAACATAAAACTTGGGAATTTTCTGAACAAAAAACACTAATTCTGTGTTGCCTGCTCTATGATGGGTACTGGATAAATGCTTTGTGTACATTATTATTAACTATTTAACAAACTTTCAAAATAGGTATTAATGTTCCTCTTGTAGAGATGAGAAATTTGAGGCTGAGTTAACGTATAGTCATAGATGAGTTTCTCCCAGAAGAGACTCTGAAAAAAAATTCCAGTGAAACTAGTTTACTGGGAAGTGCAGATCATACTGGTAGGGACTGGGGAAGTGATACAGAAAAGGGTACACTATTAAGTCAGTTTCACAGTCACCAACTAAAGCTTAAACTAAAGTGAAAATTATCAGAAATGATGAAAAACACATAGCTGGTATTATCCTACTTCAGGAATGAGGAAGCTAGAGTCTTTATAAATCAGCTCTCCAGAATCATTGGTTGAGTGTTTTTCTCTGTATTGCATTCACAGGTGGCATGACTTTCTACAGCTGCAATACAAGAGCCCTTAGGCACAGAGATGCAGATTTTGACAGATAGAAATTGATCCAAGCACACTAACATGCAAGATATACGGGTGCAGTCATGAAAACTTGTCTACGATCTACAACTAGCTCCACTCAAGTCAAATATTTGCTACTTAAATAGAATGGACAGCCACAAGCTCTAGGAGAAAGAAGAAGAGGAAGAGAGGAAGCAGAGGAAGAGAAGGGACAGAAGATGAGAGGAGAAGGAAAGAGAAAAGAAGGAAAGAAAAACAGAAAGACAGAGAGAAGGAAGGAAGGAAGGACGGACAGGAGGGAGGGAAAAGAGGGAGCAGGGAGGAACCGAGGGAGGGAAAGGAAGGAAGGAAGGAAGGAAGGAAGGAAGGAAGGAAGGAAGGAAGGAAGGAAGGAAAGAAGGAAGGAAGGAAGGAAAGAGATCGAAAGAAAGAAAGAAAGAAAGAAAAAAGAAAGAAAGAAGAAAGAAAGAAAGAATAGAGAGAGAGAGAAGGGAAGGGAAGGGAGGGAGGCAGGAAGGGAGAAAAAGGAAGGAAGGAAGGAAAAGAAAGAAAGAAAGAAGAAGGAAAGGAAAAGAAAGGAGAGGAAGTGAGATATAAAATGAAGGCCAATTAAATAATCTACACTTACTTCTGCTATAATACAGTGCACCTAAGTTTCATAAACTCCGTTAATTACCAAGAGTTCTATTCTCCCTTCACCCCTGGCCAGCACTCTTTTTGGTCTAGATAACTGCTGATAGAGTAGCTCAGAGCATCCTTCCTGAAGGGTCTGAGCCCCTGGTTACTATACCATTGTCCACCGTGATTGCTGTTTTTATTCATTTGTGGTTATCACTGGGCATGGACACACTATGAGATTCTGCAGTGTTATGGGTTCATTTGCGTCCCTCAAAATCCATATACAAATAGAACCATCTAAAATGTTATCTGATAAGACAAGGTCATATTGGAAACAATTAGGCCTCTGATTAAATATGACTGTGTCTATTCACAAGGGAGAAATTCAGAGACAGTATGGATATAATAGAAAAATTATGTCAAACACACTTGGAGATGATAGACTTCGACACGTCAGGGAGGGAGACCTGGAACAGATACTTCCCTCGCAGTCTTCAGATGAAAACAACATTGCCAACACCTTAATTTCAGAAAAGAGGCCTTCAGAACTTTGATAAATAAATTTAAGCCACTTTTTTTCAGTAATTCATCAGGGCAGTGCTAGTAAATTAATATACTCAGTAAATCTCCTGAGCTATAGATATATTCTGCTACACTATATGGCTTGAGGGTAATTATCCCTCACCAAATAGTAACTACTTTCTCTGTCTGCTGCTTTGCTTATATGAAGAGTCCAAAATGACTAGGCGATAAAGATTACTTTTGTTTATGCCAAAGAAATAGAGAAGCAAATACTATACTTTTTATTCACATGAAAATTTTAAAAAGCCAAAAGTTACCTACAGGATTACAACTGATAGAGTGATTAGCTGTCTTTGGGAAAGAGTAAGAGCATATAATTGGGAGAGAATGGAATTAATTTCTATTTCCTAACATAGATGTAATGGGACATAAATGTATTTACAATATAATACTATATCAAGTTGAAAATTAATAGTTTGCATTTTCTCAAATGAATGGTATACCTAGAAAATGTTTTAAACATGTTAGAACTCCATGATGAATCAGGCATCATCTCAACTCATCTAATTCCTTCATTAAAAAGAAATAGAGAGAGAAGACATGATGCTTACTGTGCTGGTAACTGGGTTGCAGCTAGAGCCAGAGCACATGCTGGTTGGCCTGAATCTCAAGCAGTTATGTCATAGAGAGTCCTACATTCTCGTCCTGGAATCGCCACACTCACAGACAAGTCAGAATGAATGGTCACTCAGGGCATAGTTTGCTTGATGTTGTCTAAATCCCAGTGAATTTCTCTGCATCCCCCTGCTCTCGATCTGCTCTGCCACATGGAACACACTGTGACAGACACCCTCTTCCCAAGTGACGTTCAAATAACGGAAAGGCACAGGTGGTGAGGGTGGTACAGAGAGATGCCTGTTAGTCTTGAGTCAGAATTTGGTGGGTGACTAGCCTTGGGCCCAGGCATGGATTCATTTTGTCACTGTAAATATATCAGCATCATGCTTCTCCCCACAGACACTTCCCAGTCTATATACAGCCAAACATGAGGCTGGCCAGAGAGCTTCCTGAGCCTCCCAGATCAACAGGAACTATCACATGACTAGATGATGGTCAGAATAGGAATGATGCTGATGATGAGACGGGCTTCCTTTTATCTCAAACAAAGTGTCTATGAGTAATTCACAATTAAGAAACAGATTAAACCTTAATCTGTTTAACCTTAAGGAAACAACTACCCTTTGAGAATCACAAACGGACTGTGGAAAACAAGATAAACAGCAACAAGGAAAAGTCCTGCTGATTGGTGGAAACTTTGGAGGCCAGGTGTATAAAAGGTCCAGAATGCAAGGGGTCATCAGATTCTGGGAAACTCACCTCTGAACAGAACTCCACCCTCTACCCCTGACACCATGACCCACTGTTGTTCCCCTTGCTGTCAGCCTACGTGCTGCAGGACCACCTGCTGGAAGCCCACCACTGTGACCACCTGCAGCAGCACACCCTGCTGCCAGCCCTCCTGCTGTGTGTCCAGCTGCTGCCAGCCTTGCTGCCGCCCAACTTGCTGTCAAAACACCTGCTGCCAGCCCATCTGTGTGACCAGCTGCTGCCAGCCTTCCTGCTGCAGCACACCCTGCTGTCAGCCCACCTGCTGTGGCCAAACCAGCTGTGGGTCCAGCTGTGGTCAGAGCAGCTCCTGTGCACCTGTGTACTGCAGAAGAACCTGCTACCACCCCACGACTGTCTGCCTGCCTGGTTGCCTAAACCAGAGCTGTGGCTCCAACTGCTGCCAGCCCTGCTGCCGCCCAGCCTGCTGTGAGACCACCTGCTGCAGGACCACTTGCTTCCAGCCCACCTGTGTGTCCAGCTGCTGCCAGCCTTCTTGCTGCTGATCACGTTCCAAGAGAACCACCATCCTCACACAACAAATTTCTGCTCAACTGACTCATCTTTTGGGGGACTAATTTAATTTGCTGCTGACAGCCACCATGCTCTCACCCAAATTTTTATGAATTCTCTACATGTTTAAAATCTTGGAAATCTGCTTGAGGGAGGGCAGAATACTTCATCCTGATTCTCTTTTTCCTTACACCTTGTGGATCATGTGCCAGCTTCATCTGTTCTCAAGTTTGAGTCATGGTCTCAGCTTTGACTCTAAAGTCAAGAGCTTCATTCCCTGCTTCTAAGGAATTTAGGTTTCTGCAACTGATCGATGATCTTTGCAATCTTTTTTTTGTTTTCAATATCCTCCTCATCGTTCTTGTATCCTTCTTTCTTCTTTTCATGATAAATTTGTGTTGTGTCCCTGGTAGCAGAAATCCTTACCTATATGTTTCTGAATAAATTCTGAACCATCCTCATCTCATATAGTGTTTTGTTTTATTTGAAAGCACTCCTGATATGGGATTTACACACATATCACATACCATAGTTATTATCCAATTTGATTCTCAAAACAGGTGGTCATGCATTATTACCTTCATTTTTCACCTGAAAAAAAATTAATATGTGATGTTATGTAGCTAATAAAGGACAGATTCTGATCCAAGCTGAGGTCCTCTCTTTCTGCCCAAGGACACTTACATTTAACTCTCAACATAGTAGAAATGACATTGGAAGTCAGCACTAGCAAGACATGCACTTGAGTTTATTTAACAATGAGAGGAATGATCTCTTATATTTGCAGATAACATTTTTGTTCACAAAAAAGTTTTCCCAAATAAGTTTCCCACACCTCAGTGAGCAACAGCTGCATGATATGGCAGCAGGGACTGCATTTAATGGCTGCCCTGAAAGCAGGGATCTCTTTTTGTCTCATCCTCTGACCAGTCATTCATTCAATTCATCTGCATCAAAAAATGCTTGAGAATTCATTGTGGACTCATGAGAGAGTCTCATCTGAAGGAACTTATTCTCGATATCATGTAAATAAAATTGTTATATGGCCTCCATCTCCTGAACACCTATTGACGAAGTAAATGAAACTAAGTTATTCCTTGTAAAACACAGACTGTACCTTATGCCACATTAAGAAAATTTGTCCCATAATTGAGACGTTATGAGGAAAATTAAGTAAGAACAAAGCTGGGAATTGAGAAAGTGTGCAATGGGCATGTAAGACTTGGCACAATCCATTATCTCTATGAGAAGGAAGGGAATGAAACAACCTTCTGCAGTTTTTGAGGATAATATGAACCATCTAAAGAAACGAAAAACTTGTGTTTTCAGGGAAATCAACATAATGTAAGAAAGGAGCAAAGTAGAACTTCTGCATTCATAGAAGTCATGATAGGGGGAAGTTCCAAGGTGGCTGAATGGGAACAGCTCCAGTCTACAGCTCCCAGCATGAGTGACGCAGAAGATGGTTGATTTCTGCATTTCCAACTGAGGTACCGGGTTCATCTCACTGGGGCTTGTTGGACAGTGGGTGCAGGACAGTGGGTGCAGCCCACTGAGCATGAGCCAAAGCAGGGCGAGGCATTGCCTCACCCAGGAATTGCAAGGAGTCGGGGGAAGCTGTGACAGATGGCACCTGGAAAACTGGGTCACTCACACCCTAATACTGCCCTTTTCCAATGGTCTTACAAACGGCACACCAGGAGATTATGTCCCGTGCCTGGCTCAGAGAGCCCACGCCCACAGAGCCTCTCTCATTGTTAGCACAGCAGTCTGAGATCGAACTGCAAGGTGGCAGTGAGGCTGGGGGAGGGGCGCCTGCCATGGCTGAGGCTTGAGTAGATAAAGTGGCCAGGAAGCTCGAACTGGGTGGAGCCCACCACAGCTCAAGGAGGCCTGCCTGCCACTGTAGACTCCACCTCTGGGGCAGGGCATAGCCAAACAAAAGGCAGCAGAAACCTCTGCAGACTTAAATGTCCCGTCTGACAGCTTTGAAGAGAGTAGTGGTTCTCCTAGCACACAGTTTGAGATCTGAGAACAGACAGACTGCCTCCTCAAGTGGGTCCCTGACCCCCAAGTAGCCTAACTGGGAGACACCCTCCAGTAGGGGCAGTCTGAGACCTCACATGGCCAGATACCCCTCTGAGATGAAGCTCCAGAGAAATGATCAGGCAGCAACATTTACTGTTCAGCAATATTCGCTGTTCTGCAGCCTCCGCTGCCGATACCCAGGCAAACAGGGTCTGGAGTGGACCTTCAGCAAACTCCAACAGACCTGCAGCTGAGGGTCCTGACTGTTAGAAGGAAAACTAACAAACAGAAAGGACATCCACACCAAAACCCCATCTGTATGTCACCATCATCAAAGACCAAAGGTAGATAAAATCACAAAGATGGGGAGAAACAGAGCAGAAAAGCTGAAAATTCTAAAAATCAGGTGCCTCTCACCTTCCAGAGGAGCACAGCTCCTTGCCAGCAACGGAACAAAGCTGGATGGAGAATGACTTTGATGAGTTGAGAGAAGAAGGCTTCAGATGAACAAACTTCTCCAAGCTAAAAGAGGAAGTTCGAACCCATTGCAAAGAAGCTAAAAACCTTGAAAAAAGATTAGACAAATGGCTAACTAAAATAACCAGTGTAGAGAAGTCCTTAAATGACCTGATGGAGCTGAAAACCATGGCATGAGAACTACGTGACGAATGCACAAGCTTCAGTAGCAAATTCAATCAACTGGAAGAAAGGGTATCAGTGATTGAAGATCACAGGAATGAAATGAAGAGAGAAGAGAAGTTTAGAGAAAAAAGAGTAAAAAGAAAGGAACAAAGCCTCCAAGAAATATGGGACTATCTGAAAAGACCAAATCTACATCTGATTGGTGTACCTGAAAGTGACGGGGAGAATGAAACCGAGTTGGAAAACACTCTGCAGGATATTATCGAGGAGAACTTCCCCAACCTAGCAAGACAGGCGAATATTCAAATTCAGGAAATACAGAGAACACCACAAAGATACTCCTCGAGAAGAGCAACTCCAAGACACATAATTGTCAGATTCACCAAAGTTGAAATGAAGGAAAAAATGTTAAGGGCAGCCAGAGAGAAACGTCGGGTTACCCACAAAGGGAAGCCCATCAGACTAACAGCAGATCTCTCGGCAGAAACTCTACAAGCCAGAAGAGAGTGGGGGCCAATATTCAACATTCTTAAAGAAAAGAATTTTCAACCCAGAATTTCATATCCAGCCAAACTAAGCTTCATAAGTGAAGGAGAAATAAAATACTTTACAGACAGGCAAATGCTGAGAGATTTTGTCACCACCAGGCCTGCCTTACAAGAGCTCCTGAAGGAAGCACTAAACATAGAAAGGAACAACTGGTACCAGCCACTGCAAAAACATGCCAAATTGTAAAGGCTGTCAATGCTAGGAAGAAACTGCATCAACTAACGAGCAAAATAACCAGCTAACATCATAATGACAGGATCAAATTCACACATAACAATATTAACCTTAAGTGTAAATGGGCTAAATGCTCCAGTTGAAAGACACAGACTGGCAAATTGGATAAAGAGTCAAGACCCATCAGTGTGCTGTATTCAGGAGACCCATCTCCCATACAGAGACACACATATGCTCAAAATAAAGGGATGGAGGAAGATCTACCAAGCAAATGGAAAAAAAAAAGGAGGGTTTGCAATTGTAGTCTGTGATAAAACTGACTTTAAATCAACAAAGATAAAAAGAGACAAAGAAGGCCATTGCATAATGGTAAAGGGATCAACTCAACAAGAATAGCTAACTATCCTAAATATATAAGCACCCAATACAGGAGCACCCAGATTCATAAAGCAAGTCCTTAGAGACCTACAAAGAGACTTAGACTCCCACACAATAATAATGGGAGAATGTAACACCCCACTGTCAACATTAGACAGATCAACGAGACAGGAAGTTAACAAGGATATCTAGAAATTGAACTCAGCTCTACGCCAAACGGACCTCATAGACATCTACAGAGCTCTCCACCCCAAATCAACAGAATATACATTCTTCTCAGCACCACATCACACTTATTCCAAAATTGACCACATAGTTGGAAGTAAAGCACTCCTCAGCAAATGTAAGAGAAGAGAAATTATAACAAACTGTCTCTCAGACAACGGTGCAATCAAACTAGAACTGAGGATTTAGAAACTCACTCAAAACCACTCAGTTACATGAAAACTGAACAACCTGCTCCTGAATGACTACTGGGTACATAACAAAATGAAGGCAGAAATAAAGATATTCTTTGAAACAAATGAGAACAAAGACACAACATACCAGAATCTCTGGGACACCTTTAAAGCAGTGTGTAGAGGGAAATTTATAGCACTAAATGCCCACAAGACAAAGCAGGAAAGATCTAAAATTGACACCCTAACATCACAATTAAAAGAACTAGAGAAGCAAGAGCAATCACATTCAAAAGCTAGCAGAAGGCAAGAAATAACTAAGATCAGAGCAGAACTGAAGGAAATAGAGACATGAAAAACCCTTCAAAAAATCAATGAATCCAGTCGCTGGTTTTTTGAAAAGATCAACAAAATTGATAGACCGTTAGCAAGACTAATAAAGAAGAAAAGAGAGAAGAATCAAATAGACGCAATAAAAAATGATAAATGGGATATCACCACCAATCCCACAGAAATACAGACTACCATCAGAGAATACTATAAACACCTCTATGCAAATAAACTAGAAAATCTTGAAGAAATGAATAAAGACTAAACCAGGAAGAAGCTGAATCCCTGAATAGACCAATAACAGGCTCTGAAATTGAGGCAATAATTAATAGCCTACCAACCAAAAAAAAAGTCCAGGAGCAGACGGATTCACAGCCAAATTCTACCAGAGGTACAAGGAGGAGCTGGTACCATTTCTTCTGAAACTATTATAATCAATAGAAAAAGAGGGACTCCTCCCTAACTCATTTTATGAGGCCAGCATCATCCTGATACCAAAGCCTGGCAGAGACACAACAAAAAAAGAGAATTTTCGACCAATATCCCTGATGAACATTGATGCAAAAATCCTCATTAAAATACTGGCAAACTGAATTCAGCAGCACATCAAAAAGCTGATCCAACATGATAAAGTGGGCTTCATCCCTGGGATGCAAGGCTGGTTCAACATATGCAAATCAATAAACATAATCCAGCATATAAGCAGAACCAAAGACAAAACCACGTGATATCTCAATAGATGCAGAAAAGGCCTTTGACAAAATTCAACAACTCCTCATGCTAAAAACTCTCAATAAATTAGGTATTGATGGGACGATCTCAAAATAATAAGAGCTATTTATGACAAACCCACAGCCAATATCATACTGAATGGGCAAAAACTGGAAGCATTCCCTTTGAAAACCGGCACAAGACAGGGATGCCCTCTCTCACCACTCCTATTCAACAGTGTTGGAAGTTCTGGCCAGGGCAATCAGGCAGGAGAAAGAAATAAATGGTATTCAATTAGGAAAAGAGGAAGTCAAATTGTCCCTGTTTGCAGGTGACATGATTGTATATTTAGAAAACCCCATCATCTCAGCCCAAAATCTCCTTAAGCTGATAAGCAACTTCAGCAAAGTCTCAGGATATAAAATCAAAGTGCAAAAATCACAAGCATTGTTATACACCAATAACAGACAAAGAGAGAGCCAAATCATGAAGGAACTCCCATTCACAATTGCTTCAAAGAGAATAAAATACCTAGGAATCCAACTTACAAGGGACGTGAAGGACCTCTTCAAGGAGAACTACAAACCTCTGCTCAATGAAATAAAAGAGGACACAAACAAATGGAAGAACATCCCATGCTCATGGATAGGAAGAATCAATATCATGAAAATGGCCATACTGCCCAGGGTAATTCATAGATTCAATGCCATTCCCATTAAGCTACCAATGACTTTCTTCACAGAATTGGAAAAAACTACTTTAAAGTTCATATGGAACCAAAAAAGGGCCTGCATTGCCAAGACACTCCTAAGCCAAAAGAACAAAGCTGGAGTCATCATGCTACCTAACTTAAAACTATACTAAAAGGCTATAGTAACAAAAACATCATGGTACTGGTACCAAAACAGAGGTATAGACCAATGGAACAGAACAGAGCCCTCAGAAATAATACCACACATCTACAACCATCTGATCTTTGACAAACCTGACAAAAGCAAGAAATGGGGAAAGGATTCCCTATTTAATAAATGGTGCTGGGAAAACTGGCTAGTCATACGTAGAAAGCTGAAACTGGATCCCTTCCTTACACCTTATACAAAAATTAATTTAAGATGGATTAAAGACTTAAATGTTAGACCTAAAACCATAAAAACCCTAGAAGAAAACCTAGGCAATACCATTCAGGACATAGGCATGGGCAAGGACTTCATGTCTAAAACACCAAAAGCAATGGCAATAAAAGCCAAAATTGACAAATGGGATCTAATTAAACTAAAGAACTTCTGCACAGCAAAAGAAACTACCATCAGAGTGAACAGGCAGCCTACAGAATGGGAGAAAATTTTTGAAATCTACTCATCTGACAAAGGGCAAATATCCAGAATCTACAAAGAACTCAAACAAATTTACAAGAAAAAAACAAACCATCCCATCAAAAACTGGATGAAGGATATAAACAGACACTTCTCAAAAGAAGACATTTATGCAGCCAAAAGACACATGAAAAAATGCTCATCATCACTGGCCATCAGAGAAATGCAAATCAAAACCACAATGAGATACCATCTCACACCAGTTAGAATGGCTATCATTAAAAAGTCAGGAAACAACAGGTGCTGGAGAGGATGTGGAGAAATAGGAACACTTTTACACTGTTGGTGGGACTGTAAACTAGTTTAACCATTGTGGAAGACGGTGTGGTGATTCCTCAAGGATCTACAACTAGAAATACCATTTGACCCAGCCATCCCATTACTGGGTATATACCCAAAGGATTATAAATCATGCTGCTATAAAGACACATGCACACGTATGTTTATTGCAGCACTATTCACAATAGCAAAGACTTGGAACCAACCCAAATGTCCATCAATGATAGATGGGATTAAGAAAATGTGACACATATACACCACAGAATACTATGCAGCCATAAAAAAGGATGAGTTCATGTCCTTTGTAGGGACATGGATGAAGCTGGAAACCATCATTCTCAGCAAACTATCGCAAGGACAAAAAACCAAACACCACACATTCTCAGTCATAGGTGGCAATTGAACAATGAGAACCGTTGGACGCAGGAAGGGGAACATCACACACCGGGGCCTATTATGGGGTGAGGGGAGTGGGGAGGGATAGCATTAGGAGATATATCTAATGTAAATAACGAGTTAATGGGTGCAGCACACCATTATGGTGCACGTATACATATGTAACAAACCTGCACATTGTGCACATGTACCCTAGAACTTAAAGTAAAAAAAAAAAAAAAAGAAAGAAAAAAAAAAGAAACAGAAGTCATGATAGACAGAGGTTTTTGCTTCGGGTCCTGAACTGATTCAAGCTAAGCATTCACCCACGGAAGGTTGATTGATACTGGATCTGTGAGAAATACAAAGATTGGGGACCTAGGTCACCTTCTTGGGGCCTCCTACAAGCAGGGGAGTGGTAGAAATACCTCTGATGAGCTAACAATGTAGATTTCCATGACAGATGCCACTTCTGAGACTGTGAATCTAGAATGCTCTGAAGACTTGGCTAAGAGACAACAGCCACTTACTGTCATCATCGTTCAGGGATGAAGTAAAGGAGATGAAAACTAGGACATTCTCTTTGACTAGCATCAGTTATGAAAGATGAATAAGTTCAGTAGGTCTAATGTACAGTAATATGACTATAGTTAAAAACACTTTATCATATACCTGAAATTTACTGAGAAGGTAGATCTTAAATGTTCACACCAGAAAAATAAAAAGGAAATGGTAACTAAGTGACCTAATAAATATGTTATTCACAATCAATATATATATCAGAGCATCACCTTCTATACCTGAAATGTACACAATTTTTGTTTGTCAATTATACCTCAATACAGCTAGAAAAAAACGTATTTAGTTGATCTATTTAATTATTACAAAAATATTCTTATCTTCAACATAAAACTTGGGAATTTTCTGAACAAAAAACACTAATTCTGTGTTGCCTGCTCTATGATGGGTACTGGATAAATGCTTTGTGTACATTATTATTAACTATTTAACAAACTTTCAAAATAGGTATTAATGTTCCCCTTGTAGAGATGAGAAATTTGAGGCTGAGAGAGTTAACGTATTGTCATAGATTAGTTTCTCCCAGAAGAGACTTTGAAGAAAATATTCCAGGGAAACTAGTTTACTGAGAAGTGCAGATCACACCGGTAGGGACTGGGGAAGTGATACAGAAGAAGGCACACTATTAAGTCAGTATCACAGTCACCAACTAAAGCTTAAACTAAAGGGAAAACTATCAGAAATGATGAAAAACACACAGCTAGAATTACCCTACTTCAGGAATGAGGAAGCTAAAGTCTTTATAAATCAGCTCTCCAGAATCATTGGTTGAGTGTTTTTCTCTGTGTTGCATTCACAGGTGGCATGACTTTCTACAGCTGCAATACAAGAGCCCTTAGGCACAGAGATGCAGATTTTGACAGATGGAAATTGATCCAAGCACAGTAACATCCAAGATATATGGGTGCAGTCATGAAAACTTGTCTACAATCTACAATTAGCTCCACTCAAGTCAAATATTTGCTACTTAAATAGGATGGGCAGCCACAACCTCTAGGAGAAGGAAGAAGAGGAAGAGAGGAAGCAGAGGAAGAGAAGGGACAGAAGATGAGAGGAGAAGGAAAGAGAAAAGAAGGAAAGAAAAACAGAAAGACAGAGAGAAGGAAGGAAGGAAAGAAGGAAGGAAGGAAGGACAGGAAGGAGGGAGGGAGGGAAAGGAGGGAGCGGGGAGGAACTGAGGGAGGGGAAGGAAGGAAGGAAGGAAAAAAGAAAGAAAGAAAGATAAAAAGAAAGAAAGAAAGAGAAAGAAAGAAAGAGAGAGAAAGGGAGAGAGAAGGGAAGGGAAGGGAGGGAGGAAGGGAGGAAAAAAGGAAGGAAGGAAGGAAAAGAAAGAAAGAAAAGAAAGAAAGAAAGAAAGAAGAAAGAGGAAGGAAAGGAAAAGAAAGGAGAGGAAGTGAGATATAAAACGAAGGCCAATTAAATAATCTACACTTACTTCTGCTATAATACAGTGCACCTAAGTTTCATAAACTCCGTTAATTACCAAGAGTTCTATTCTCCCTTCACCCCTGGCCAGCACTCTTGTTGGTCTAGATAACTGCTGATAGAGTAGCTCAGAGCATCCTTCCTGAAGGGTCTGAGCCCCTGGTTACTATACCATTGTCCACCGTGATTGTTGTTTTTACTCATTTGTGGTTATCACTAGGCATGGACACACTGTGAGATTCTGCAGTGTTATGGGTTCATTTGCGTCCCTCAAAATTCATATTCAAATAGAATCATCTAAAGTGTTATCTGATAAGACAAGGTCATATTGGAAACAATTAGGCCTCTGATTAAATATGACTGTGTCTATTCACAAGGGAGAAATTCAGAGACAGTATGGATATAATAGAAAAATTATGTCAAACACACTTGGAGATGATAGACTTTGACACGTCAGGGAGAGAGACGTGGAACAGATACTTCCCTCGCAGTCTTCAGATGAAAACAACATTGCCAACACCTTAATTTCAGAAAAGAGGCCTTCAGAACTTTGATAAATAAATTTAAGCCACTTTTTTTCAGTAATTCATCAGGGCAGTGCTAGTAAATTAATATACTCAGTAAATCTCCTGAGCTATAGATATATTCTGCTACACTATATGGCTTGAGGGTAATTATCCCTCACCAAATAGTAACTACTTTCTCTGTCTGCTGCTTTGCTTATATGAAGAGTCCAAAATGACTAGGCGATAAAGATTACTTTTGTTTATGCCAAAGAAATAGAGAAGCAAATACTATACTTTTTATTCACATGAAAACTTTAAAAAACCAAAAATTACCTACAGGATTACAACTGATAGAGTGATTAGCTGTCTTTGGGAATGAGTAAGAGCATATAATTGGGAGAGAATGGAATTAATTTCTATTTCCTAACATAGATGTAATGGGGACACAGATGTATTTACAATATAATACTATATCAAGTTGAAAATTAATAATTTGCATTCTTCTCAAATGAATGGTATACCTAGAAAATGTTTTAAACATGTTAGAACTCCATGATGAATCAGGCATCATCTCAACTCATCTAATTCCTTCATTAAAAAGAAATAGAGAGAGAGAGAGAAGACATGCTGCTTACTGTGCTAGTAACCGGGTTGCGACTAGAGCCACAGCACATGCTGGTTGGCCTGAATCTCAAGCATTTATGCCATAGAGAGTCCTACATTCTCATTCTGGAATCGCCACGCTCACAGACAAGTCAGAATGAATGGTCACTCAGGGCATAGATTACTTGATGCTGTCTAAATCCCAGTGGATTTATCTGCATCCACCTGCTCTCGATCTGCTCTGCCACATGGAACACACTGTGACAAACACCCTCTTCCCAAGTGATGTTCAAAGAACTGAAAGACAGGTGGTGTGGGTTGCACAGAGAGATGCCTGCTAGTCTTGAGTCAGAATTTGGTGGGTGACTAGTCTTGGGCCCAGGCATGGATTCATTTTGTCACTGTAAATATATCAGCATCATGCTTCTCCCCACAGACACTTCCCAGTCTACATACAGCCAAACATGAGGCTGGCCAGAGAGAACTTCCTGAGCCTCCCAGATCAACAGGAACTATCACATGACCAGATGATGGTCAGAACAGGAATGATGCTGATGATGAGATTGCCTTCCTTTTATCTGAAACAAAGTGTCTATGAGTAATTCACAATTAAGAAACAGATTAAACCTTAATCTGTTTAACCTTAAGGAAACAACTACCCTTTGAGAATCACAAACGGACTGGGAAAACAATGTAAACGGAAACAAGGAAAAGTCCTGCTGATTGGTGGAAACTTTGGAGGCCAGGTGTATAAAAGGTCCAGATTGCAAGGGGTCATCAGATTCTGGGAAACTCACCTCTGAACAGAAGCCCACCCTCTACCCCTGACACCATGACCCACTGTTGCTCCCCTTGCTGTCAGCCTACATGCTGCAGGACCACCTGCTGCAGGACCACCTGCTGGAAGCCCACCACTGTGACCACCTGCAGCAGCACACCCTGCTGCCAGCCCTCCTGCTGTGTTTCCAGCTGCTGCCAGCCTTGCTGCCGCCCAACTTGCTGTCAAAACACCTGCTGCCAGCCCACCTGTGTGACCAGCTGCTGCCAGCCTTCCTGCTGCAGCACACCCTGCTGCCAGCCCACCTGCTGTGGGTCCAGCTGTGACCAGAGCAGCTCCTGTGCACCTGTGTACTGCAGAAGAACCTGCTACTACCCCACAACTGTCTGCCTGCCTGGTTGCCTAAACCAGAGCTGTGGCTCCAACTGCTGCCAGCCCTGCTGCCGCCCAGCCTGCTGTGAGACCACTTGCTTCCAGCCCACCTGTGTGTCCAGCTGCTGTCAGCCTTTTTGCTGCTGATCAAGTCCCAAGAGAACCACCATCCTCACACAACAACTTTCTGCTCAACTGACTTATCTTTTGGGGGACTAATTTAATTTGCTGCTGACAGCCACCATGCTCTCACCCAAATTTTTATGAATTCTCTACCTGTTTAAAATCTTGGGAATCTACTTGAGGGAGGGCAGAATACTTCATCCTGATTCTCTTTTTCCTTACACTTTGTGGATCATGTGCCAGCTTCGTGTGTTCTCAATTTTGAGTCATGGTCTCAGCTTTGACTCAAAAGTCAAGAGCTTCATTCTCTGCTTCTAAGGAATTTAGGTTTCTGCAACTGATCAATAATCTTTGCAATCATATTTTTGTTTTCAATATCCTCCTCATGGTTCTTGTATCCTTCTTTCTTCTTTTCATAACTTTGGGTTATGTTTCTGCTACCAGCAGAGATTCTTAGCTATATGTTTCTGAATAAACTCTGAACCATCCTCATCTCATATGGTGTTTTGTTTTATATGAAAGCATTCCTGATATGAGATTTACACACATATCACATACCATAGGTATTATCCAATTTGATTCTCAAAACAGATGGTCGTGTGTTATTACCTCCATTTTTTCAGCTGAGAACAATTTAATGTGTGATGTTATGTAGCTAGTAAAGGGCAGACTCTTGTCCAAGCTGAGGTCCTCTCTTTCTGCCCAAGGACACTTACATTTAACTCTCAATATAGTAGAAATGACATTGGAAGTAAGTATTAGCAAGTCATATACTTGAGTTTTTTTAACAATAGGACAAATAATCTCTTATATTTGCAGATAACGTTTTTGTTTACAAAAAATTCCCAATTTCCCACACCTCAGTGAGAAACAGCTGCGTGATATGGCAGCAGGGACTGCATTTAATGGCTGCCCTGAATGCAGGGAGCTCTTTTTGTCTCAGCCTCTGACCAGCCACTCATTCAATTCATCTACATCAAAAAAAGCTTGGGAATTTATTGTGGACTCATGAGAGAGAGTCTCATCTGAAGAAACTTGTTGTCAATATCATGTAAATAAAATACTTATACAGCCTTCATCTCCTGAATACCTATTGATGAAGTAAATGAAACTAAGTTATTTCTTGTAAAATGCAGACCATACATTTTGCCACATTAAGACAATTTGTCCCCTAATTGTAATGTTATGAGGGAAATTATGTAAGAACAAAGCTGAGAATTGAGAAACTACACAATGGGCATGTAAGACTTGGCACAATCCATAATCTCTGAGCCAAGTAAGGGAATGAAACAGCCTTCTGCATTTTGTGAGGCCAATAGGAAGCATTCAAAGAAATGAAAAACTTGTGTTTCCAGGGAAATCAGAAGAATGTAAGAAAGGAGCAAAGTAGAACTTGTGCATTCATAGAAGTCATAATAGACAGAGGTTAGTGCTTTGGGTCCTGAACCGATGTAAGCTAAGCATTCACCCATGGAAAGATTGATTGATACAGGCTCTGAGAGAAATATAAAAGTTGGGGACCTGGGTCACCTTCTTCGGACCTCCTACCAGCACTGGAGTGCTAGAATTACCTCTGATCAGCTAAAAATGTAGATTTCCATGACAGATGCCAACTTCTGAGACTGTGAATCTAGAATGCTCTGAAGACTTGGCTAAGAGACAACGGCCACTTACTGTGATCATCGTTCAGGGTTGAAGTAAAGGAGATGAAAACTAGGACATTCTCTTTGACTAGCATCATTTATGAAAGATGAATAAGTTCAGCATGTCTACTGTACAGTAATGTGACTATAGTTAATAACACTTTATCATATACCTGAAATTTACCAAGAAGGTAGATCTTAAATGTTCACACCACAAAAATTAAAAGGAAATGGTAGCTTCGTGACCTAATAAACATATTATTCACAAGGAATATATATATCAGAACATCACCTTGTATACCTGAAATAGATACAACTTTTATTTGTCAATTATACCTCAATACAGCTAGGAAAAAAAGTATTTAGTTGATCTAGTTAATTATTACAAAAATATTCCTATCTTCAACATTAAAATTGGTAATTTTCTGAACAAGAAACACTAATATGTTCTGGATTGCCTGCTATAGGATGGGTATTTGCTAAACACTTTGTGTACATTATTATTAACTCTTTAACAAACTTTCAGAATAGGTATTAATATTCCCAGCGTAGAGATAAGAAAATTGAGGCTGAGGGAGTTAACATAATGTCATAGATTAGTTTCTCCCGAAAAGACTTTGAAGAAAAGATTCCAGTGAAACTAGTTTACTGGGAAGTGCAGATCACACCGGTAGGAATTGGGGAAGTGATACAGAAAAGGGTACACTATAAAGTCAGTATCACAGTCACCAACTAAAGCTTAAACTAAAGGGAAAACTATCAGAAATGATGAAAAACACACAGCTAGAATTATCCTACTTCAGGAATGAGGAAGCTAGAGTCTTTATAAATCAGCTCTCCAGAATCATTGGTTGAGTGTTTTTCTCTGTGTTGCATTCACAGGTGGCATGACTTTCTACAGCTGCAATACAAGAGCCCTTGGCCACAGAGATGCGGACTCTGACAGATGGAAATTAATCCAAGCACACTAACATGCAAGATATATGGGCGCACTTACGAAAACTTGTCTGAGATCTACAATTAGCTCCACTCAAGTCAAATCTTTGCTGTTTAAATGTGATGGAGAGCCACAAGCTCTAAAAGAAGGAAGAAGCAGAGGAGAGGAAGAGAAGGAACAGAAGATGAGAGGAGGAAAGAGAAAAGAAACAAAAAAGAAAAAGAGAAGGGAGGAAGAAAGGAAGGAAAAGGAAAGGGAAGGGAAGGGATAAAGGAACCAAAAAAAAACATGAAGGAAGGAAGGAGAAGGGGTGATTGAAGAAAAAGAAAGAAAGAAAAATGAAGAAGGAAACGAAAAGCTGGGGGAGGAAGTGAGATATAAAATGAAGGCCAATGAAATAAGCTACACTTACTGCTGCTATAATACAGTGCACCTGAGATTCATAAGCTCCATTAATTACCACCAGTCCTATTCTCCCTTCACCCCTGGCCAGCACTCTTGTTTGTCTAGATAACTGCCTGAGGGAGTAGCTCAGAGCATCCTTCCTGAAGGGTCTGAGCCCCTGGTTACTATACCACTGTCCGCTGTGATTACTGTTTTTACTGTTTTGTGGTTATCACTGGGCATGGACACACTATGAGATTCTGCAGTGTTATGGGTTAATTTGTGTCCTCCAAAATTCATGTTCAAATAGAATCATTTAAAATGTTATGTGATAAGAAAAGGTCATATTGGAAACAATTAGGCTTCTGATTAAATATGACTGATATCTATACACAAGGGGGAAATTCAGAGACAGTATGCATATAGTAGAAAACTTATGTCAAACACACATGGAAATGATAGACATCTACAAGTCAAGGAGAGAGACCTGGAACAGATACTTCCCTCGCAGGCTTCAGATGAAAACAACATTGCCAACAGCTTAATTCCAGACTAGAGGCCTTTGGAACTGTGAAAAAATAAATTTAAGCCACTTGGTTTGCAGTAATTTACCATGGCACTGCTAGTAAGTTAATATACTCAGTAAATCACCTGAGCTATAGATACATTCTCCTACACTATGTGGCTTGAGGATAATTACCCCTCACCAAATAGTAACTCCTTTCTCTGTCTGCTGCTCTCCTGACATGAAGAGTCCAAAGTGACTATGCAATAACGATTACTTTTGATTATGCTAAAGAAATAGAGAAGCAAATACTGTAATTTTTATTTACATGAATATTTTTTAAAGCCAAAAGTTAGCTATAGGATTACAACTTGACAGAGTGATTAGCTGTCTTTGGGAATGAGTAAGAGGATATAATTGGGAGAGAATGGGATTAATTTCTATTTTCTAACATAGATGTAATGGGGACATAGATGTATTTACAATATAATAATGTATCAAGTTGGAAATTAATAATTTGCATTCCTCTGAAATGAATGGTAATTCCTAGAAAATGTTTTAAACATGTTAGAACTCCACGATGAATCAGGTGTCATCTCAACTCATCTAATTAATTCATTAAATAGAAGGAGAGGCTGTGGATGGTGGCTCATGCCTGTAATATCAGCACTTTGGGAGGCCGAGGCAGGCAGCTCACAAGGTCAGGAGTTCGAGACCAGCCTGACAAATATGGTGAAACCCTCTCTCTACTAAAAATACAAAAATTAGCCGGGCATGGTGGCCGGCATCTGTAGTGGCAGCTACTCGGGAGGCTGAGGCAGGTGAATCCCCTGAATCGAGGAATCAGACGTTGCAGTGAGCCGAGATCACGCCACTGCACTCCAGTCTAGGCGACAGAGAAAGACTCCGTCTAAGAAAGAAAGAGAAGAAATGATACTGACTGTGCTAGTAACCAGGGTTATGGCTAGAGCCACAGCTTATGCACGTTGGCCTGAATCTCAAGCAGTTATGTCATAGAAAGTTCTACATTCTCATCCCGGTAATCCCCACACTCGCAGACAAGTGAGAATGAATGCTCACCCCTGGGCGTAGATTGCTTGATGCTGTCTAAATCCCAGTGGATTTCTCTGCATCCACCTGCTCTCGATCGGCTCTGCCACATGGAACACACTGTGACAGACACCCTCTTCCCAAGTGACGTTCAAATAACTGAAAGACACAGGTGGTGAGGATTGCACAGAGATGCCTGTTAGTCTTGAGTCAGAATTTGGTGGGTGAATTGTCTTGGGCCCAGGCATGGATTCATTTTGTCACCGTAAATATATCAGCATCATGCTTCTCCCCACAGACACTTCCCAGTCTACATACAGCCAACTGTGAGGCTGGGCAGAGAGAATTTCCTGAGCTTCCCAGATCACCAAGAACTATCACATGACTAGATGATGGTCAGAGCAGGAATGATGCTGATGATGAGATGGGCTTCCTTTTATCTGAAAGGAAGTTTCTATGAGTAATTCACAATTAAGAAACAGATTAAACCCTTACTTTCAAAAGATTCATAAGTTTTCAGAAACAATTTCCCCTTTGACAATCCCAAAGGGACTGTGGAAAACAGTGTAAACAGAAACAAGGAAAAGTCCTGCTGATTGGTGGAAACTTTGGAAGCCAGGTGTATAAAAGGTCCAGATTGCAAGGGGTCATCAGATTCTGGGAAACTCACCTCTGAACAGAAACCCACCCTCCACCCCTGACACCATGACCCACTGTTGCTCCCCTTGCTGTCAGCCTACCTGCTGCAGGACCACCTGCTGGAAGCCCACCACTGTGACCACCTGCAGCAGCACACCCTGCTGCCAGCCCTCCTGCTGTGTGTCTAGCTGCTGCCAGCCTTGCTGCCGCCCAGCTTGCTGTCAAAACACCTGCTGCAGGACCACCTGCTGCCAGCCCACCTGTCTGACCAGCTGCTGCCAGCCTTCCTGCTGCAGCACAACCTGCTGCCAGCCCATCTGCTGTGGGTCCAGCTGCTGTGGCCAAACCAGCTGTGGGTCCAGCTGTGGCCAGAGCAGCTCCTGTGCACCTGTGTACTGCAGAAGAACCTGCTACTACCCGACGACTGTCTGCCTGCCTGGTTGCCTCAACCAGAGCTGTGGATCCAGCTGCTGCCAGCCCTGCTGCCGCCCCGCCTGCTGTGAGACCACCTGCTGCAGGACCACTTGCTTCCAGCCCACCTGTGTGTCCAGCTGCTGCCAGCCTTCTTGCTGCTGATCAAGTCCCAAGAGAACAACCATCTTCACACAACAACCTTCTGCTCAACTGACTTATCTTTTGGAGGACTAATTTACCTTACTGCTGACAGCAACCATGTTCTCACCCAAATTTTTATGAATTCTCTGCATATTTAAAATCTTGTGAATCAGCTTGAGGGAGGGCAGAATACTTCATCCTGATTCTCTTTTTCTTATACCTTGTGAATCATGTGCCAGCTTCATGTGTTCTCAATTTTGAGTCATGGTCTCAGCTTTGACTCAAAAGTCAAGAGCTTCATTCTCTTCACTTAAGAAACTTAAGTTGCTGCAAATGATTAAGAATCTTCACAACTATGTTTTCTTTTCAATATACTCATGATTCTTGTATCCTGCTTCCTTCTTTTAATGATCACTTTGGGTTATCTCCCTATAACCAGGGATCTTACCTATATATTTCTTAATAAATAAATTTGGAACTATTATTCATACCATATGGTGATTTGTTTTATTTGAAAACATTCCTGATATGGGATTTACACATATATCACATACCATATGTATTACCCAATTTGATTCTCAAAACAGACAGTCATGTATTATTGCCTCCATTTTCCAACTGGGAAAGTTTTAATGTGTGATGTTATGTAGCTAATAGTGGACAGACTCTGATGCAAGGTTGCGTCTTCTCTTTCTGTCCAAAGACACTTACATTTAACTCTCAATAAAGTAGTAATGACATTGGGATTCAGCACTAGCAAGTTATGCACTTGAGTTTATTTAACAATGGAAATAATAATCTCTAGTATTTGGCAAGAGATAACATTTCAGTTCACAAAAGTCTTCCCAAATTAATTGCCCAGCCGTCAGTGAGCAACAGCTACATGATACAGCAGCAGGGTCTGCATTTAGCAGCTGTCATGAATGCAGGGATCCTATTGGCCTATACCAGCCAATCATTCAATTCACGTGCATCAAAGAAATTTTTTAACCTTTTTTTAAGGTTCAGGGGTACGTGTGCCGGGTTATTTTATAGTTAAATTGTGTGTTGCAGGGTTTGGTGTACAGATTAGTTCTTCACCCAGGTAATAAGCATAATACCTGATAGGCAGTTTTTTGATTCTCATTCTCCTCCCACAGTCCACCCACAGGTAAGTTCCAGTGTCTGTTGTTCCCTTCTTTGTGTTCATATGTATTCAATGTTTGGCCCCCACTCTTATGTGAGAACATGTGTTATTTGGTTTTCTGTTCCTGTGTTAGTTCCCTTGGGATAATGGCCTCCGGCTCCATCTGTGTTGCTGCAAAGGACATCATCTTGTTCTTTTTTTCCTTTTTTTTCTGTATAGTATTCCATGGTGTATATGAAACACATTTTCTTTATCCAGTCTACTTTTGATGTACATTTTAAGTTGACTCTATGTCTTTGCTATTGTGAGTAGTGCTGCAATGAACATACGCATGCATGTGTCTTTATGGTAGAACAATTTATATGCATTTGGGTATATACCCAATAATTGAATTGCTGGGTCAAATATTAATTCTAAGTTCTTTGAGAGATCCCAAAACTGCTTTCCATAATGGTTAAACTAATGTGCAATTCCACCAACAGTGTATAAGTGTTTCTTTTTCTACAAAAACTTGCCAGCATCTTTTATTTTTTGACTTTAATAAGAGCTATTCTGACTTGTGTCAGAGGGCATCTCATTGTGGTTTTAACTTGCATTTCTCTAATCATCAGTGATGTTGATCATTTGTTCATATCCTTTTTGGCCGCTTGAATGTCTTCTTTTGAAAAGTGTCTGTTCGTGTCCTTTGACCACTTTCTAATGAGATTGTTTGGTTTTTGCTTGTAAATTTGTTTAACTTCCTTACAGATTCTGGATATTAGACCTTTGTTGGATAGATAGCTTGCAAATATTCTCTCCCATTCTGTAGGTTGTCTGTTTACTCTGTTGATAGTTTCTTTTGCTGTGCAGAAGCTCTTAAGTTTAATTAGGTCCCATTTGTCAATTTTTTCTCTTTTTACAATTACTTTTGGTGACTTCATCATAAAATCCTTGCCTGGTCCTATGTTTAGAATGGTATTGCCTAGGTTGTCTGCCAGCGTTTTTATAGCCTTAGGTTTTACATGTAAGTTTTTGATCCATCTTGAGTTGATTTTTGTATACCATGTAAGGAAGGGGTCCAGTTTCAATCTTCTGCAAATGACTAGCCAGTTATCTCAGCACCATTTATTAAATCAGGAGTCTTTTCCCCACTGCCTATTTTCATCAACTTTGCTGAAGATCACATGTTGTAGGTGTGCAACATTATTTCTGGGCTCTGTATTCTGTTCCATTGGTCTGTGTGTCTGTTTTTGTACCAGTACCATGCGGTTTTGGTTATTGCAGCCTGTAATGTAGTTTGAAGTCAGATAATGTGATGTCTTCAGCTTTGTTATTTTTGCTTAGGATTGCCTTGGCCATTCAGGCTCTTTTTTGGTTCCATATGAATTGTAAAACATTTTTTTTCTCATTCTGTGAAGGCTGTCATTGGTAGTTTGATAGGAGTGATACTGAATCTGTAAATTGCTTTAGGGAGTATGGCCATTTTAACAATATTGATTCTTTCTACCCATGAGCATAAAATATGTTTCAATTTGTTTGTGTCATCTTTAATTTCTTTGAGCAGTGTTTTGCAATTCTTGTTGCAGAGATCTTTCACCTCCCTGGTTGGCTGTATTCCTAGGTATTTTGTTGTTTTTTGTGGCTATTGTGAAAAGGATTACATTATTGATTTGGCTCTCAACTTGGATGTTGTTGGTGTATAGGAATGCTACTGATTTTTGTACAATAATTTTGTATCCTGAAACTTTGCTGAAGTTGCTAATCAGATCAAGGAGTTTTTGGGTAGAGACAATGAGGTTTTCTGGGTGTAAAATCTTCTTCACACACAGAGATAGTTTAACTTCCACTTTTCCTATCTAGATACCTTTACTTTATTTCTCTTGCCATATTTCTCTGGCTAGGACTTTCATTACTATTTTGAATAGGAGTGGTGAGATATGGCATGTTTGCCTTGTTCTGGTTTTCAAGAGGACACATCAAAAACTTTTCAGAATGCATCATATCCTCATTTGAAGAGACTAATTCCTTCGTATCAAATAAATCAAATTCATATCTGGCCTCCTGCTGAAATTTCATTGAAAGAGCAAAATGGAATTAAGTAATTCCATGTAAAATACAGACCATACCTTATGCAACATTTAGACAATTTGACTTCCTGATAAAAATGTTATCAGGAAAATTAAGTAAGGACAAAGTTTAGGATTGAGACACTATGCAACAGGCACATATGACTTTGCATAATCCATAATCTCTGAGTTATCTAATGGGTTAAAACAATCTTCTATGCTTTATGAGGCCAAAATTAAGCATCTAAAGGAAATAAACATTTGTGTTTTCAGGGAAATCAGAAGAATGTAAGACGGACTGAAAGTAGAAAAATGTGTACATTCATAGAAGTCATGATAGGCAGATGGCTGGTGCTTTTGGCCCTGAACTGATGATGCAACCCAAGCATTCACTAATGGAAGGACTGATTTATACTGGCTCTGAGAGAAATAGAAAAGTCTGGGACCTGGATTACCTTTGTGGGACCTCCTACCAGCATGGGAGTGCTAGAAATACCTCTGATGAGCTAACGATGTAGACTTCCAGGACGGATCCCAACTTCTGAGACTGTGTACCTAGAGTGCTTTGGAGACTTGGCTAAGAGACAAAATCCATTGACTGTGATTCTTCTGGGGTGACAGGGTAAAGGAGATGAAGACCTAAAACATTCACTTTGGCCAAGATCAGGTATGCAAGGTAAATAAGCTCTGCAGACCTAGTGTACAGTAGTGTGGCTGTAGGTAAAAATATTTTATTTTATACCTGAAATGGCAAGTATGTGAGCTAATGAATATGTGAATTAGCTTCACTGTGATGAATATCTCACTATAAATATATATATCAAAACATCACTTTTTATACCTTAAATATATACAATTTTTATTCAATTATACCTCAGTAAAGTTAGTAAAAACCAAATCTAGCAGCACATCAAAAAGCTTATCCACCATGATCAAATTGCTTCATCCCTGGGATGCAAGGCTGGTTCAACATATGCAAATCAATAAACATAATCCATCACATAAACAGAACCAATGATAAAAACCACATGATTATCTCAATAGATGCAGAAAAGGCCTTCGATAAAATTCAACATCCTTCATCTTAAAAACTCTCAATAAACTAGGTATTGATGGAACATATCTCAAAATAATAAGAGCTATTTTTGACAAACCCATAGCCAATATTATACTGAATGGGCAAAAGCTGGAAGCATTCCCTTTGAAAATGGCACAAGACAAGAACGCCCTCTCTCACCACTCCTATTCAACATAGTATTGGAAGTTCTGGCCAGGACAATCAGGCAAAAGAAAGAAATAAAGGCATTCAGATAGGAAGAGAGGAAGTCAAATTGTCTTTGTTTGCAGATGACGTGATTCTATATTTAGAAAACCTCAGTGTCTCATCCTAAAAACTCCTTAAGCTGATAAGCAACTTTAACAAAGTCTCAAGATACAAAATCAATGACAAAAATCACAAGCATTCTTATACACCGATAATAGACAAGCAGAGAGCCAAATCATGAGTGAACTCCCATTCACAATTGCAACAAAGAGAATAAAATACCTAGGAATACAACTTACAAGGGATGTGAAGGACCTCTTCAAGGGAAACTACAAACCACTGCTCAAGGAAATAAGAGGGGACACAAACAAATTGAAAATCATTACATGATCATGGATAGAAAGAATCAATATCATGAAAACGGCCATGCTGCCCGAAGTAATTTATAGATTAAATGCTATTCCCATCAAGCTACCCTTGACTTTCTTCACAAAATTTAAAAAAAAACTACTTTAAATTTCATATGGAACCAAAAAAGAGCCCGTATCACCAAAACAATCCCAAACAAAAGAACAAAGCTGGAGGCATCACGCTACCTGACTTCAAACTATACTACAAGGCAACTGTAACCACAACAGCATGGTACTGGTATCAAAACAGATATATAGACCAATGGAACAGAACTGAGACCTCAGAAATAACACCACACATCTACAACCATCTGATCTTTGACAAACCTGACAAAAACAAGCAATGGGGAAAAGATTCCCTATTTAATAAATGGGGCTGGGAAAACTGGCTAGCCACATGCAGAAAACTGAAAGTGGACCCCTTCATTACACCTTATACAAAAGTTAACTCAAGATGGATTAAAGACTTAAATGTGAAACCCAAAATCATAAAAACCCTAGAAGAAAACCTAGGCAATAACTTTCAGGACATAGACATGGGCAAAGACTTCATGACAAAAATGCCAAAAACTATCACAACAAAAGCCAAAATTGACAAATGGGATCTAATTAAACTAAATAGCTCCTGCACAGCAAAATAAACTATCATCAGAGAGAACACACAACCTACAGAATGGGTGAGAATTTTTGCAATCTACCCATCTGACAAAGGTCTAAAATCCAGAATCTACAAGGAACTTAAACAAGTTTACAAGAAAAACAAACAACCTCATCAAAAAGTGGGCAAAGGATATGAACAGACACTTCTCAAAAGAAGACTTTTATGTGGCCAACAAACATATGAAAAAAAGCTCATCATCATTGATCATTAGAGAAATGCAAATCAAAACCACATTGAGATACCATCTCATGCCAGTCATAATGGTGATTATTAAAAAGTCAGGAAACAATAGATGCTGGAGAGGCTGTGGAGAAATAGGAATGCTTTTACACTGTTGGTGGGATAGTGAATTAGTTCAACCACTGTGTAAGACAGTGTGGCAATTCCTCAAGGATCTAGAACCAGAAAAACCATTTGACTCAGCAATCCTATTACCGGGTATATACTCAAAGGAATATAAATGATTCTACTATAAAAACACATGCACATATATGTTTATTGCAGCAGTATTTACAATAGCAAAGACTTGGAACCAACCCAAATGCCCATCAGTGATAGACTGGATAAAGAAAATGTGGCACATATAAACCATGGAATCCTATGCAGCCATAAAAAACAATGAGTTCATATCCTTTGCAGGGACATGGAAGAAGCTGGAAGCCATCATTCTCAGCAAAGTAACACAGGAGCAGAAAACCAAACACCACATGATCTCACTCATAAGTGGGAGTTGATCAACCAGAACACACAGACACAGGGAGGGGAACATCACACACCAGGGCCTGTTGGGGGGGTCGGGGGCAAGGGGAGGGAGAGCATTAGGACAAATACCTAATGCATGCAGGGCTTAAGACCTAGAGGACAGGTTGATAGGTGCAGCAAACAATCATGGCACATGTATACCTACTCAACAAACCTGCACATTCTGCACATGTGTCCTGGAACTTAAAGTAAAAGAAAAAAAGTTGATCTAGTTAATTATTATAAATATATTCTTATCATCAACATTAAAATTAGTTTAGGAATTTCTGGAGAGAAAAGAAATAATATGTTTTCAGTTGCCTATCATTTGATGGATATTGTGTAAATCTTTTATGTACATTATCATTAATTATTGAAAAAACTTTCAAAGTAGGCATTAGTGTTCTAATTGTAGAGATGAGGAAATTGAGGCTGAGAGATGTAATGTCATAGTTTGGTTTTTCCCAGAAGATACTCTGAGAAAAAGATTCCAATGAATACAGTGTATTAGGAAGGGCAGAACAGGCCAGAAGGGATTGTGGCAGTGATACAGAAAAGGGTATACTATTAAGCCAGTATCACAGAGATCAACTGAAGCTTAAGCTAAAGGGAAATTTTTCAGAAATGATGAAAAACACACAACTTTGAATTCTCAAACTTCAGCAGTGAAGAAGCTAGAGTCTGTATAAATCCACTCTTTAGAATTTTCAGTTGAATATTTTTCTCCCTGTAGTGTGCACAGGTGACATGACTTTCTGTAGTTGCAATACAAGAGCCCTAAGGCACAGAGATGCAGATTCAGGCAGATGGAAATTGGTATGAGCACCCTAAGTTCCATGATATACAGGTATGGTAATGAAGACCTGTCTACAGTAACATTTGCTCCATTCAAGTCCAATCTTTCCTTCTTAAATGTAATGGACAGCCATGAACTCTAGGAGAAAAAGGAGGAGGAGGAAGAGGAGGAACAGAAGGTGAGAGAGGAGGAAAAAACTAGGAAAGATATGGGAAGAAGACAATATACACAGACAGGAAGAAAGGAACGGAGGAAGAAAGAGAGCAAGAGACAGAAGGAAAGAGAGTGAAAAGGAAGGAAGGAATGAAGGAAGGAAGGAAGGAAGGAAGGGGAAGGAAGGAAGGAAAAGGAAAGAAAGAAAGAAAGGGGAGGGGAGGGGTGGGGAGGGGAGGGGAAAGGAAGGGAAGGGAAGGAAGGGAAGGGAAGGGAAGGGAGGGAAGGGAAAAGAAACTACTGCTGTAATAGGGTGCTTCTGAGATTCATAATCTCCATCAGTTTCCGCCAGTTCTATACTCCCTTCATCACTGGCCAGCACTCCTGTTAGTTTAGATAATTGCCTGATGAAGTAGCTCAGAACTTCCTGCCTGATGGGTCTTACCCTCTAGTTACTTACTACACCATTGTCCAACTGTGGTTGCTTTTGTTACTCATTTGTGTTTATCAATGGGCATGGATACACTACGAGATATTCCAAGGTTATGGGTCGAATTGTGTCCCCAAGAACTCATATTCAAATAGGGTCACTTAAATGCAAGATGGTAAGATAAGGTCATATTGGAATAAATTGTGCTTCTGATTCAATGTGACTGGTGTCTGTATAAACAGGGGAAATTCAAACAGGATGCATATAGAGGGAAGATGATGTAAGAGACACATGGAGAAGATAGACATCTACAGGTCAAGGAGAGAGACCTGAAACAGATATTTCCCTCACAGCCCTCAGATGAAAACAACATTGCCAACACCTTTATTTTAGCCTTCAGAACTGTGAGAAAATAAACTTCAGCCACTTGATTTGCCATAGTTTTTAATGGCAGTGTAATGCTTTAATATATATAGTAAATTTCTTGAGTTTCAGATATATTCTCCCTACGCTCTATGGCTTCACGAAAATTATCCCTCATGGAATATTAACTCCTTTATCTACCTGCTGGTCTGCTAACATGAAGGATCCAAAATGAAATGACCAGGTTATAATTGCTGCTTTTGATTATGCCAAAAACACAGTGAAGCAAATTCTATAATTTTTATTTACATAAAAGTCAAAGAAAAAAACAAAACTGACCTACAGGATTAAAACTTGATAGAGTGACTAGCTACCTTTGGAGATAAGTAAAAAGATATAATTTGGAGGGAATGGAATTAATTTCTATTTTGTAAACTGGTAATGGGGACTTAGATGTATTTATAATGTAATATTATATCAAGTTGGAATTCATAATTTGCACTCTTCTGAAATGAATGGTATAATTTAAAAAGTTTTAAACAATGGTAAACCTCAAAGAGGAATCAGATATCATCTCAACTCACCTAATTCCCTCACTGAAAACAGAGAGACAGAGAGAGAGAGAGAGAGAGAGACAGAGACAGAGACAGAGACAGAGACAGAGACAGAGAAATGGCAATGATTGTGCCAGTAACCTGGATTAGGGCTAGAGCCACAGCTCATATTGCTTTGCCTGGACCTCAAGCAGTAATGTCACAGTAATTCCCAGTCCCACATTCTCATGCTGGTAAGCCCCTCAGTCCCAGACAAATCAGGGTGAATGGTCACCGCAGCACGTAGATTGCTTGATGCTTTGTGAATTCCAGTGAACCCCTCCTCTTTCTACGTGTTTGCTTTGGCTCTGCTCTGCCACATAGCACACATTGTGCTGAACACCCTCTTCCCAAGAGGCTTTTATAGAACTGGAAGAGACAGGTAAAGTAGGTTGTACATAGAGAGATGCCTATCAGTCTTGAATCAGACTTTGGTGGGTGAACAGTCTTGGTCCCAAGCATGGATTCAATTCACCACTGTGAATATATCAACATCATGCTTCTCCCCACAGACACTTCCCAGTCTACATACAGCCAAAGGATGAGACTGGGCAGAGAGAACTTCCTGAGCCTCCCCAGTCACCAGGAACTATCACATGACGAGATGCTGGTCAGAGCAGGAACGAAGCTGATGATGAGACTGCCTTCCTTTTATCTGAAACAAAGTTTCTACGAGTAATTTACAATTAAGAAACAGATTAAACCCTTACTTTCCAAAGATTCATAACATTTAGGAAATGACTTCCTCTTTGACAATGCCAAACTGACTATGGAAAACAACTGTAAACAGCAAGAAAGAAAAATCCTGCTGATTGGTGGAAACTTTGGAGGCCACATGTATAAAAGGTCCAGATTGCAAGGGGTCATCAAATCCTGGGAAACTCACCTCTGAACAGAAGCCCACCCTCCACCCCTGACAACATGACCCACTGTTGCTCCCCTGGCTGTCAGCCTACCTGCTGCAGGACCACTTGCTGCAGGACTACCTGCTGGCAGCCCACCATTGTGACCACCTGCAGCAGCACACCCTGCTGCCAGCCCTCCTGCTGTGTGTCCAGCTGCTGCCAGCCTTACTGCCACCCAACTTGCTGTCAAAACACCTGCTGCAGGACCACCTGCTGCCAGCCCACCTGTGTGACCAGCTGCTGCCAGCCTTCCTGCTGCAGCACACCCTGCTACCAGCCCATCTGCTGTGGGTCCAGCTGCTGTGGCCAAACCAGCTGTGGGTCCAGCTGTGGCCAGAGCAGCTCCTGTGCACCTGTGTACTGCAGAAGAACCTGCTACCACCCCACGACTGTCTGCCTGCCTGGTTGCCTCAACCAGAGCTGTGGATCCAGCTGCTGCCAGCCCTGCTACTGCCCAGCCTGCTGTGTGTCCAGCTGCTGCCAGCATTCTTGTTGCTGAGCAGCACCACAGAGGACCATCATCCTCACACAACAACCTTCTGCTCAACTGACCTTTTTTTTCTTTTGAGACGGAGCCTCACTGTCACCCAGGCTGGAGTGCAGTAGCACGCTCTCGGCTCGCTGCAACCTCCATCTTCTGGGTTCAAGTGATTCTCCTGCCTCAGCCTCCTGAGTAGCTGGGATTACATGCCTGTGCCACCACGCCTGGCTAATTTTTTGTATTTTTAGTATTTTTAGTAGTTTTCACCATGTTGATCAGACTTGTCTGGAACTCCTGCCCTCAGGTGATCCACCTGCCTCAGCCTCCCAAAGTGCTGGGATTACAGGTGTGAGCTACCACACCCAGACCCAACTCACTTATCTTTCAGAAGACAGATTTACTTTCAAACTTTACTGATACACAGTATGCTTTCACCAATTTTTTTTATTTCTTTGCCTGTTTAAAATCTTGGGAATCAGCTTGAGGGAGGGCAGAATACTTCATCCTGATTCTTTTTTCCTTACACTTTGTGGATCATGTGCCAGCTTCATGTGTTCTCAATGTGGAGACATGGTCTCCATTCGACTCTAAAGTCAAGAGCTTCATTCTCTCCTTCTAAGAAACTTAGGTTTCTGCAACTGATCAATAATCTTTGCAATCATATTTTTGTTTTCAATTTTGTCCTCATGTTTCTTTTACCCTTCTTTCTTCTTTTCATTGTAACTTTGGGCTATGTCCCTAGTAGCAGGGATTCTTACCTATATATTTCTGAATAAATTCTGAACCATCCTTCATCTCATATGGTGTTTTATTTTACAGAATTGCTGATATGAGATTTACACACATATTGCATGCTATATGTATTATCCAATTTGATTCTGAAAACAGAGTTATTATTATGTATTATTACCTCAATTTTTCAGCTGAGAACAATTTAGTGTGTGATTTTATGTAGCTAATAAAGGACAGACTCTAGTCCAAGGTGAGAGCTTCTCTTTCTGCCCAAGAACACTTACATTTAACTCTCGGTAAAGTAGAAATGATATTGAGACTCAGCAATAGCAAGACATGCACTTGAGTTTATTTAATGTGGGAGGTATAATCTCTCATATTTGCAGACGACATTTCTGTTCACAAAGGTCTTCCCAAATTAGTTTTCCACACCTCAGTGAGTAATAGCTACATGGGATGACAACAGGGACGGCATTTAATAGCTGCCCTGAGTGAGGATCCCTTTTTGTCTCAGTCTTTGACCAGCTATTTATTCAATTAATCTGCATCAGAAAATTTTGAGAATGCATTGTGTCCTCATGAGAGAGGATCTCATTTGGGGATTTTTTTCCTGGTATCACGTAAATAATATTCTTATATGGCTTCCTTCTCCTGAATACCTGTTGACAAAGCAAAAAGAATTTAAGTTATTCCTTCTAAAATATGGACCATACATTAAGCCACATTAAGTCAAATTGTCCCTCAAATCAAAATGTTATTAGGAAAATTAAGTGAAACAAATTTGGGGATTGAGGGACTATGCAATGGGCATGTATGACTTTGTACAAACCATAAAGGTATAAAACAACCTTCTGAGTTTTGTGAGGCAAATAGGAAGCATCTCAAGAAACCAAAAACCTGTGTTTCCAGGGAAATCAGAAGAATTTAAGAAGGAGGAAACGTGGAAGAACTTTCTCATTCATGGAAGTCATGATAGATGGAAAACTGGCGCTTTTGTTCCTGAACTGATGATGCAACTGAAGTATTCAGTCATGGAGGGATTCATTGATACTGGCCCTGAGAGAATTAGAAAAGTTAGGGACCTGGGCCACCTTCTTGGGACCTCCTACCGGCATGGGAGTGGTAGAAATACCTCTGAGGAGCTAACAATGTAGGTTTCCAGGACAGATACCAGCTTCTGAGGTGGTGTATCTAGAATGCTCAGAAGACTCAGCTAAGGGACAAAAGCCACTGACTGTGATAGTTGTTGCATAATGGGGTAAAGAAACTGAAGAACTATCACATTCTCTTTGACCAACATCGGTTATGCAAGATGAGTCAGTTCTGCAGATCTAGTGTACAGCAACGTGACTATAGTTAACAAAAATGCTTTATTTTATACCTGAAATGTGCTAAGAAGGTAGATCTGGAGTGTTGCTAAGAAGGTAGATCTGAAGTGTTTACACCACAAAAATAAAAAGGAAATGGTAACTATGTGAGCTAAGGAATATATGATAATTCACAATAAGTATATACATATCTCAAAACATCACCTCGTACACATTAAATATACACAATTTTATTTTTATTTATCAATTATGCCTCAATAAAGCTAGTAAAGAAAGAAGTGAGTTGATCTGGTTAATTATTATTCATGTATTCTTATCTTCAACATTAAAATTAGGAGTTCTCTGGACAAAAAAAAAACTAATATGTCCTAGGTTGCCTACTATTTAATGGGTATTGATTAAATGCTTTATGAACATTATCATTAATTCTTGAAGAAACATTCAAAGTAGGTATTAATGTTCCCATTGTAGAGATGAGAAAATTGAGTCTGAGAGAGGAAATGTAATATCAGAGTTTGGTTTTCCCATAACAAACTCCAAGAAAAATATTCCAGTGAAAGTAGTTTATTGGAAAGTGCAGATCACACCAGCAGGTATTGGAGAAGTGACACAGAAAAGGGTAGACTATTAAACTAGTATCACAGTGACCAATTAAAGCTTAAACCAAACAAAACACTATTAGAAATAATGAAAAACAAACAAATTAGAATTATCCTACTTCAGGAATGAGGAAGCTAGAGTCTTCACAAACCAGTGCTCTGGAATCATTGGTTGAGTGTTTTTCTCTGTGTGGCACGCACAGGCGACATGACTTTCTGCAGTAACAATACAAGAGCCCATAGGCACACAGATGCAGATTTGGGCAAATGCATATTGGTCTGAGCATACTAAGATCCAAGATATAGGAATGGGATAAGGAAATCCTATCTACAATCTACCATTTGCTCCACACAGACCCAATCTTTGCTTCTTAAGTGTGGTGGGCAGCCACAAACTCTAGAAGAAGGAAGAGGAGGAGGAAAGGAAGAGGAGAAAGAGGAAAAACAGAAAATGAGAGGAAGAAGAAAGATGGAAAAATGAAAGAAAGAGAGAAGAAAGGAAGGAAGGAAAGAAGGGGGGAAGGAAGAAAGGAGGGAAGGAGAGAGGGAAGGAAGAAGGAAAGGAGGGATGGAAGGAAGAAAGGAAGGAGGAAAGAAAGAAAGAAAGAGAGAGAGAGAAGGAAGGCAGGAAGGAGAGAGAGAAAAAGAAGAAAGAGAAAGAAAGAAAGAAAAAGAAAAAGAAAGAAAGAAAGAGAAAGAGAGAGAGGGAGGGAGGGAGGAAGGAAGGAAGGAAAGAAGGAAGGAAGGAAGGAGAAATTAAGAAGCAAAGAAAGGAGGGGGAGAGATATGTAAAATGAAGGCCAATGGAACAAGCAACAGTTACTGCTGCTATAATAGGGTGCACCTGACAGCCATAATCTCCATTAATTATCAAAAGTCTATAGTTCCTTCACCACTTTCCAGAACTTTTACTACTCTAGATAATTTCCGGAAGGAGTAACCCAGATGTTCCTGCCCAAAGGGTCTGAGCCACTAGTTACTGTACCACTGTCCACTGTGATTGCTGTTTTCACTCACTTGTGGTTATCTCTGGGCATGGACACAGTATGAGATTCTCCAGTGTTATGGGTTGAATGAGTCCCCCAAAATTCATATTGAAATGAGGTCATTGAAAACATAATTAGTTAAGATCAGGTCATATTGGAACAAGTTAGGCCCCTGATTCAATAGGACTGATGCCTGTATAGAATGGGGAAGTTCAGACGCCATGTGCATCTAGAAGGAAGATCATGTAAGAGACATATGGAGAAGACAGGCATTTACAAGTCAAGGAGAGACACCTGGAAGAGATGCTTTCCTAACAGTCCTCAGGTAAAAACAACCTTGTCAACACCTTAAATTCAGACTACTAGCCTTCAGAACTGTGAGAAAATAAATTTCAGCCACTTGGTTTGTAGTGGTTTATCATGGCAGTGCTAGTAAATTAACATATTCAGTAAATCTCCTGAGCTACAGATACATTCTCCTACATTCTACGCCTTCAGGATAATTACCCCTCACCAACTCTGTTCTCTGCCTTCTAATCTGCTGACATGAAGAGTGCAAAATGACTAGGCGGTAATTATTACTTGCGATTATGCGAAAGAAATAGAGAAATAAATTTTGTAATTTTTATTCACACAGAAGTAAAAAAGGAAAAGCCAAATTGACCTACAGGGTTACAACTTGATAGAGTGATTAGCGGTTTTGGGGGATGAGTAAGGAAATATAACTGAAAGGGAATGGGATTAATTTCTATTTCCTAACCTGGTAATGGGAACACAGATGTATTTACAGTTATATCAAGTTGGAAATTAATAATTTGCATTCTTCCAAAATGAATGGTATACCTAAAAAATGTTTAAATATGTTGGAACTCCAAGACAAATCAGGTATCATCTCAACTCATCTAATTCCTTCATTAAAAAGAAATAGACAGAGAGAGAAGAAATGGCCCTGATTGTGTTAGTACCAGAGTTAGGGCTAGAGCTACAGCTCATGCAGGTTTGCCTGAATCTAAAGTAGTTATGTTACAGAAAGTCCCACATTCTCATCCTGGTAAGTCCCTCACTCCCAGACAAATCAAGATGAATGGTCACCCCAGGGCAAAGATTGCCTGATGTTATCTAAATCACACTGGACTTCTCTTTGTACCCACCTGCTTTGGTTCTCTCTGACACATAAAACACATTGTACCAATCACCCTCTTCCCAAGTGACTTTGATGGAGCTGAAAGACACAGGTGGTGTGGGTTGTACAGAGAGCAATGCCTGTTAGTCTTGAATCAGACTTTGGTGGCTGAACAATCTAGGCCACAGATATGAATTCATTTAGTCATTGTGAACACATCAGCATCACGCTTCCCGCAACAGACACTTCCCAATCTACATACAACCAAAGAAGGAGGCTGGGTAGAGAGAACTTCCTGAGCCTAACCGGTCACCAGGAACTATCACATAATCAGAAGATGGTCACATCAGGAACGATGCAGATGTTGAGAGGGGCTTCCTTTTATCGAAAATAAACTTTCTATGAGTAAACTACAATTAAGCAACAGAAAATAACAGAAAACTAAGAAATTAAGCAACAGAAAATTAAATAATTTTCTTCTGAAAATTACTTTCAAAAGATTCATAACCTTTAGGAAACAACGTCCCCTTTGACAATACCACAATGACTGTGGAAAACAATGTAAACAGCAACAAGGAAAAGTCCTGCTGTTTGGTGGAAACTTTGGAGGCCAGGTGTATAAAAGGTCCAGATTGCAAGGGGTCATCAGATTCTGGGAAACTCACCTCTGAACAGAAACCCACCCTCCACCCCTGACACCATGACCCACTGCTGTTCCCCTTGCTGTCAGCCTACATGCTGCAGGACCACCTGCTGCAGGACAACCTGCTGGAAGCCCACCACTGTGACCACCTGCAGCAGCACATCCTGCTGCCAGCCCTCCTGCTGTGTGTCCAGCTGCTGCCAGCCTTGCTGCCACCCAACTTGCTGTCAAAACACCTGCTGCAGGACCACCTGCTGCCAGCCCACCTGTGTGACCAGCTGCTGCCAGCCTTCCTGCTGCAGCACACCCTGCTAACAGCCCACCTGCTGTGGGTCCAGCTGCTGTGGCCAAATCATCTGTGGGTCCAGCTGCTGCCAGCCCAGCTCCTGTGCACCCATCTACTGCAGGAGAACCTGCTACCACCCCACGAGTGTCTGCCTGCCTGGTTGCCTAAATCAGAGCTGTGGCTCCAGCTGCTGCCAGCCCTGCTGCCGCCCAGCCTGCTGTGAGACCACCTGCTGCAGGACCACTTGCTTCCAGCCCACTTCTGTGATCAGCTGCTGTCAGCCTTCTTGCTGCTGACCAACTCTCCAGAGGACCACCATCCTCACACAGCAACCTTCTGGCAACCTTCTGTCCTCCTCTTGGAGGACAAATTTACTTTCAAACTTTGCTGACAACCAGCATGCTCACCCTAATTTTTATGACTTCTCTGCATGTTTAACATCTTGTGAATCAGCTTGAGGGAGGGCAGAGTACTTCATCCTGATTCTTTTTTTCTTTATACCTTGTAGATCATGTGCCAGCCTCATGTATTTTCAATTTGAGTCATGGTCTCAGCTTGACTCTAAAGTCAAGAGCTTCATTCTCTTTCTCCAAGAAGCTTAGGTTTTGCAACTCATCAATGATCTTCACAATCATGTTTTCATTTTCAATGTCCTCCTCGTGTTTCTTGTATCCTTCTTTTCATGATCATTTTGGGCTATCTCCCTAGAAACAGGGACCATTACATATATGTTTCTTAATAAACTCAAAACCATTCTTCTTATCACATGGTGTTTTTTTTTATTTTACAGCATTCCTGATATGGGATTTACACACATATTGCATACCATGTATGTTACCTAATTTGATTATCAAAACAGACAGTCATGTTTTATTACCTCCACTTTCCAGCTGAAAAAATTTTAATGTGTGATGTTATTTAGCTAAAAATGGACAGACTCAGATGCAAAGTTGGGTCTTTTTTTCTGTCCAAAGGCACTTACATTTAACTCTCAATAAAGAAAAAACTATATTGGGACTCAGCATTAGCAAGATATGCACTTAAGTTTACTTAACAATGGAGGAATAATCTCCTGTATTTGCAGATAACATTTCCATTCTTATATGGCTTCCTTCTTCTTCTCCTGAATACATATTGACAAGGCAAAATGAACTTAAATTATTCCTTATAAAATACAGATGCCATCTTTTGAGACTGTATATCTGGGATGCTGTGAAGATTCCAGAGAGAGAGAAAAGCCGCTGACTGGGATAGTCGTTGGGTGATGGGGTAAAGGAGACGAAGAACTAGCACATTCTCTTTGACCTACATCAGTTATATAAGACAAATAAGTTTTGCAGATCTGGTGTACACTAATTTGGATATAGTTTAAAATACTTTTTTGTACACCTGAAATTTGCTGAGAAAGTGGATCTTAAATATTCCCACCACAAAAATAAAAAGGAAATGGTAACTATGTGAGCTAATAAATATGTGATTATTTCACAATGAATATATATATCAAAACATAACCTTTTATACCTTACATATACACAATTTTTATTTGTTAATTATACCTCAAAAAAGCTAGTAAAGAAAGAATTTAGTTGATCTGGTTAGTTATTATACATATATTATCTTCAAAATTAAAATTATTTTTTAAGTTTTCTGGACAAAAAAAGAACTAATATGTTCTGGGTTGACTTCTATTTGATAGGTAGTGACTAAATGCTTTATTTTCATTAATATTTATTCTCAAAGAAATGTTCAAAGTAAGTATTAATGTTACCATTGTAGAGAGGAGGAAATTGAGGCTGAGAGAGTTAATGTAATATCATAGTGTGGTTTCTCCCAGAACAGATACCAAGAAAAATACTCCAGTGAAAGTAGTTTATTGGGAAGTGCAGATCACACCGGTAGGGATCAGGAAAGTGACACAGAAGAGGGTACACTATTGAGCTGGTAAGTATCACAGTGACTAACTAAAGCTTAAACCAAAGGGAAAACTATTAGAAATGATGAAAAACACATAAATTAGAATTCTCCAACTTCAGGAATAAAGGAGCTAGAGTCTTTGTAAATCAGCTCCCCAGAATCAATGGTCGAGTGTTTTTCGCTCTGTGGCATGCAGAAGTGACATGACTTTCTGCAGGTACAATACAAGAGCCTTTAGGCACAGAGATGCAGATTCTGGAAGATAGAAACTGGCCTGAGCACACTAAAATCCAAAATATATGGATGGGATAATGAAAACGTTATCTATGATCTGCCATTTGCTCTACTCAGATTTATTCTTTGCTTCTTAACTGTGATGGATAGCCAGAAATTCTAGGAAAAGGAGGGAGGGGAGGAGAGGAAGAAAATGGACAGAAAGGTCTGAGCTGCTAGTTACTGTACCATTGTCCACTGCGATTGCTGTTTTCACTCATTTGTGGTTATCACTGGGCATGGACACACTATGAGATTCTCCAATATTATGGCTTGACTTGTGTCCCCCAAAATTCATATTCAAATAGGGATATTGAAACTGTAATTACTTAAGATCCAGTCATATTGGAATCAGGCTTCTGATTCAATATTACTGATGCCTGTATAGAATGGGTAAGTTCAGAGGCAGTGTGCATCTAGAAGGATGGTCATGTTAGAGACACATGGAGAAGACAGACATCCACACTTCAAGGAGAGAGACCTGGAACAGATGCTTTCCTAACAGTCCTCAGGTGAAAACAACCTTGGCAACACCTTAAATCCAGACTGCTAGCCTTCAGAACTGCAAGAATATAAATTTAAGCCACTTGGTTTGTAGTGGTTTATCACAGCAGTGCTAGTAAATTAGTATGTTCAGTAAATCTCCTGAGCTACAGATACATTCTCCTACATGCCATGAAAACAGGATAATTACCCCTCACCAAAAAGGAACTCTTTTCTCTGCCTTCTGATCTGCTGACATGAAGAGTGCAAAATGACTAGGCAATAATTATTACCTCTGATTATGCAAAAGAAATAGAGAAGCAAATATTATAATTTTTATTCACACGAAGTAAAAAAGGAATAGCCAAATTGACCTACAGGGTTGCAACTTGATAGAGTGATTAGTGGTTTTTTGGGATGAGTAAAGGAATATAATTTAAAGGGAATGGGATTAATTTCTATTTCCTAACCTGGTAATGGGGACATAGCTTTATTTACAAAGTTATAACAAGTTGGAAATTAATAATTTGCATTCTTCTGAAATGAATGGTATACCTAAAAAATGTTTTAATATGTTAGAACTCCAAGACGAATCAGCTATCATCTCAACTCATCTAATTTCTTCATTAAAAAGAAATGGAGAAAGATAGAGAAAAGAAATGGCACTGACTATGCTACTACCAGAGTTAGGGCTAGAGCCACAGCTCATGCTGGCTTGCCTGAGTCTAAAGCACTTATGTTACACAAAGTCCCACATTTTCATTATGGTAAGCCCCTCTCTCCCAGACAAATCAGAATGAATGGTCAACCCAGGGCAAAGATTGCCTGATGCTATCTAAATCCCACTGGACTTCTCCTCGTACCCACCTGCTCTGGTTCTGCTCTGACACATAGAACACACTGTACCAATCACCCTTTTCCCAAGTGACTTTGATGGAGGTGAAAGACACAGGTGGTGTGGGTTGTACAGAGAGAGATGCCTGTTAGTCTTGAAACAGATTTTGGTGGGTGAACAGTCTTGAACATAGGCATGGATTCATTTTGTCTTTGTGACCATATCAGAATCATGATTCTCCCCACAGACACTTGCCAACCTACATACAACCAAAGAATGAGGCTGGGTAGAGAGAACTTCCTGAGCCTCCCTGGTCACCAGGAACTATCACATCACCAGAAGATGGTCAGAGCAGGAACAATGCTGATGATGAGACGGGCTTCCTTTTATCTGAAATAGTTTCTATGAGTAATCCACAATTAAGCAACAGATTAAACCCTTACTTTCAAAAGATTTATAACCTTTAGAAAACAACTTCCCCTTTGACAATACCAAAATGACTGTGGAAAACAACATAAACAGCAACAAGGAAAAGTCCTGCTGATTGGTGGAAACTTTGGAGGCCAGTTGTATAAAAGGTCCAGAGGGCAAGGGGTCATCAGATCCTGGGAAATTCACCTCTGAACAGAAGTCCACCCTCCACCCCTGACACCATGACCCACTGTTGCTCCCCTTGCTGTCAGCCTACCTGCTGCAGGACCACCTGCTGGAAGCCCACCACTGTGACCACCTGCAGCAGCACACCCTGCTGCCAGCCCTCCTGCTGTGTGTCCAGCTGCTGCCAGCCTTGCTGCCACCCAACTTGCTGTCAAAACACCTGCTGCAGGACCACCTGCTGCCAGCCCACCTGTGTGACCAGCTGCTGCCAGCCTTCCTGCTGCAGCACACCCTGCTGCCAGCCCATCTGCTGTGGGTCCAGCTGCTGTGGCCAAACCAGCTGTGGGTCCAGCTGCTGCCAGCCCAGCTCCTGTGCACCCATCTACTGCAGGAGAACCTGCTACCACCCCACGAGTGTCTACCTGCCTGGTTGCCTAAACCAGAGCTGTGGCTCCAGCTGCTGCCAGCCGTGCTGCCGCCCAGCCTGCTGTGAGACTACCTGCTGCAGGACCACTTGCTTCCAGCCCACCTGTGTGACCAGCTGCTGTCAGCCTGCTTGCTGCTGATCAGTTCCGCAGAGGACCATCATCCCCATACAGTAACCCTCTGGCAAAAGATTTACCTTCTGGGGGACAAATTTACTTTCAAACTGTGATGAAAACCAACAAAGTGAACTTAGGGTGAACTTTGCTCACCCTAATTTTTATGACTTCTCTGCATGTTTAACATTTTGTGAATCAGCTTGAGTGAGGGTAGAGTACTTCATCCTGATTCTTTTTTCCTTACACCTTGTGGATCATGTGCCACCTTCATGTATTTTCAATTTGGAGTCATGGTCTCAGCTTGACTCTAAAGTCAAGAGCTTCATTCCCTTTCTCTAAGAAACTTAGGTTTTGCAACTGATCAATAATCTTCACAATCATGTTTTCATTTTCAGTGTCCTCCTCGTGGTTCTTTTATCCTTATTCCTTTCATGATCATTTTGGGTTATCTCCCTAGAAACAGGGACTCTTACCTATATGTTTCTTAATAAACTCAAAGCTGTCCTTCATCTCACATGGTGTTTTTTTTTATTTTACAGCATTCCTGATATGGGATTTACACACATATTCCATACCATACATGTTACCTAATTTGATTATAAAAACAGATGGTCATGTTTTATTACCTCTACTTTCCAGCTGAGGAAAATTTTAATGTGTGATGTTATTTAGCTAAAAATGCAGACTCAGATTTAAGGTTGGGTCTTCTCTTTCTGTCCAAGAGCACTTATATTTAACTCTCATTAAAGTAAAAATTACATTGGGACTCTACATTCGCAAGACATGCACTTAAGTTGACTCAACAATGGAGGAGTAATCTCCTGTATTTGCAGGTAACATTTGCAGATAACATTTCCATTCTTATATGGCTTCCTTCTTCTCCTGAATACATATTGGCAAGGCAAAATGAACTTAAGTTATTCCTTAAAAAATACAGATGCCATCTTTTGAGACTGTATATCTGGAATGCTCTGAAGATTCCAGAAAGAGAGAAAAGCCGCTGACTGGGATAGTCGTTGGGTGGTGGGGTAAAGGAGAACTAGCACATTCTCATGACCAACATCAGTTATATAAGACGAATATGTTCTGCAGATCTGGTGCACTCTAATGTGGACATAGTTTAAAATACTTTATTGTATACCTGAAATTTGCTGAGAAAGTGGATCTTAAATGTTCACACCACAACAATAAAAAGGAAATGGTGACTATGTGAGCTAATAAATATATTATTATTTCACACTGTATATATATATATACCTCAAAACATAACCTTTTATACCTTACATATACACAATTTTTATTTGTTAATTATACCTCAATAAAACTAGTAAAGAAAGAATTTAGTTGATCTAGTTAGTTATTTTAAATATATTCTTATATTCAATATTAAAATTATTTTTTAAGTTTTCTGGACAAAAAAAGAACTAATATGTTCTAGGTTGCCTACTATTTGATAGATAGTGACTACATGCTTTATGTTCATTAATATTTATTCTTGAGGAAATGTTCAAAGTAGGTATTAATGTTACCATTGTAGAGATGAGGAAATTGAGGCTGAGAGAGTTAATGTAATGTCATAGTGTGGTTTCTCCCAGAACAGATACTTAGAAAAATATTCCAGTGAAAGTAGTTTATTGGGAAGTGCAGATCACACCATTAGGGATCAGAGAAGAGATACAGAAAAGGGTATACTATTGAGCCAGTAAGTATCACAGTGACCAACTAAAATTTAAACCAAAGGGAAAACTATCAGAAATGATGAAAAACACATAAATTAGCAATCTCTATCTTCAGGAATAAGGGAGCTAGAGTCTTTGTAAATCAGCTCTCCAAGATCATTGGTTGAGTTGAGTGATAGTCCTCTGTGTGGAATGCACAGGTGACATGACTTTCTGCAGTTGCAATACAAGAGCCCTTAGGCACAGAGATGCAGATTCTGGCAAATAGAAACTGGCCCAAGCACACTAAGATCTGAGAAATATGGACAGGATAATGAAAATGTCATCTATGGTCTGTCATTCGCTCCACTCAGATCCAATCTTTGCTTCTTAACTGTGATGGACAGCCAGAAATTCTAGGAGAAGGAGGTAGAGGAGGAGAGAAAGAAGAGGGACAGAAGGTTCTGAGCTGCTAGTTACTATACCGTTGTCCACTGTGATTGCTGTTACTCATTTGTGGTTATCACTAGGCATGGACACGCTCTGAGATACTTCCATATTTGGATTGATTTTTTTCCCCAGAAATTCATAGCCAAATAAGGTCATTGAGAATGTAACTAGTTAAGTAAGGTCACATTGGAATAAACTGGTCTTCTTATTCAATATGACTGGTGTCTGTATGAAAAGGATGGTAGAATAGAAGGAAGGGAAGGTAAGAGGAAAGGAAGGCAGGAAGGAAGAAGGGAAGGAGAGATATAAAATAAAGGCCAAATGGAACAAGATACAGTTACTACTGTAATAGGGTTCACCTGAGATTCATCATCTCCATTAGTTACCACAAGTTCTATACTCCCTTCACCACTGGCCAGCACTTCTGTTGTCTAGATAATTGCCTGATGATGTAAGCCAGAACCTCCTGCCTGAAGGGTCTGACCCTCTAGTTACTGTGTTATTGTCCACTGTGATTCCTGTTACTCATTTGCAGTTATCATCAGCCATGGACACACTCTGAGATACTTCAATATTTGGATTGACTTGTTTCCCCAGAAATTCATCACCAAATAGGGTCATTGAGAATGTAACTAGTTAAGGTAAGGTCACATTGGAATAAAATGGGCCTCTGATTCAATATAACTGGTGTCTGCATGACAAGTAAAGTTCGCCACACACCTACAGTCACCTCATTTTCAACAAAGGTGCCAAGAGCATACACTGGGAAAAAGGCATTCTCTTCAATAAACCATGCTGGGAAAACTAGATATCTCTATGCAGAGGAATGAAACTAGATCCCTCTTTCTCACCACATACAAAAATCAAATCAAATTAGATCGAAGACTTGAATCTAAGACCTCGAACTATGAAACTACTACAAGAAAATATTGGGGAAAATCTCCAGGACATTGGTCTGGGCAAAAATTTCTTGAGCAATACCCCGCAAGCACAGGCAACCAAAGCAAAAATAAACAAATGGGATCACATCAAATTAAAAAGCTTCTGCACAGCAAAGGAAACAATAACAAAGAGACAACCCACAGAATGGGAGAAAATATTTGCAAAATACCTATGCATTGTTAATGAATTAACAACCAGAATATAAGGAGGTCAAATAATTCTATAGGAAAAAAAATCTAATAATCTGATCACAAAATGGGCAAAAGATTTGAATTGACATTTCTCAAAAGAAGACATATAAATAAGCATATGAAAAGGTGTTCACCATCATTGATCATCAGAGAAATGCAAATCAAAACTACAATGAGAGATCATCTCACCCCAGTTAAAATGGCTTATATCCAAAAGGCAGGCAATGACAAATGCTGATGCAGATGTGGAGAAAAGAGAACGCTCGTGCATTCTTGGTGGGAATGTAAATTAGTACAAGCGCTATGGAAGACACTTTGGAGGTTCCTCAAAAAACTAAAAACTGAGCTACCATATTATCCAGCAATCACACTCCTCGGTATATACCCAGAAGAAGAGAAATTGGTATATCAAAGAGACATCTGCACTCCTATATTTGTTGCAACACTGTTTACAATAGCTAAGATTTAGCAGCAATGTAAGTGTCCACCAACAGATGAGTGGATAAAGAAAATGTGGTACATACACCAAATGAAGTATTATTCAGCCATAAAAAAGAATGAGATCAAGTCATTTGCAACAACATGGATGGAGTTGAAGATCATTATGTTAAGTAAAATAAGCCAGGCACAGAAAGACAAACACCACATACACATCCGGAGTAGGTTGCACAAAGACAGGTAGGTGCCTGTTATTCTTGAATCAGGCCTTGTAGGTGAATAGCCTTGACGCAGGCATGGATTCAGTTCATCACTGTGAACCTATCAGCATCATGCTCCTCCCCACAGACACTCCCCAAAGAACAAGCTGGGGAGAGACACCTGCCCTGACCTTCCAAGGCCAGTAGGAACTATCACATGACCACATGATGACCAGAGCAGGAAGGATGTCAATGATGTGACCACCTTCCTTTTATCTGAAACAAAGTTTCTAACAGTTATTCTCAATTAAGAAACAGATTAAGCCCTTACTCTCAGAAGATCTATAATATTTAGGAAACAACATCCTCTTCAATAATCCCAAACTGACTACGGAAAACAATGTAAACAACAACAAGGAAAAGTCCTGCTGATTGGTGGAAACTTTGGAGGCTTAGTGTATAGAAGGTCCAGATTGGAAGGAGTCATCAGATTCCGGGAAATTTACCTCTAAACAGGAGCCCACCCTCCACCCCTGACATCATGACCCAGTGTTGCTCCCCTTGCTGCCAGCCTATGTGCTGCAAGACCACCTGCTACAGGAGCATCTGCTGTGGGTCCAGCTCCCGCCCGCCTTGCTGTGGCCCAATTTGCTGTGCAATCACCTGCTACAGGACCGTCTGTGTGACCACCTGCTGCAGCCCACCCTGCTGCCAGCCCACCTACTGTGAGTCCAGCTGCTACCAGCCTTACCAATGAACTAACTCCCACTCCCCTGACTTTGTTGACAACCAACATACTGTTGCCAAACATTTGATGTGTTATATTGTTAAATTGTGAGGCTGCTTAGTGAAGTGGAGCTGGCTTCACTTTGATTTTTCTCTTCCTTATTTCCTATATATCAGAGTGCCAGCTGCTAGTCATCTTCATGGATCCTTGACATGAACTCAAGATCTCAGCCAAGGAAAAATTGTCATCCCCTTTTCCCTCTAACAATCTTAAAATATCAAATCCCTAAGACTGTTCTCTTAAGTCTCTGCAACTGATCAATATTGCTGCAAACGCCCAATATCAACCACGTTATATCAATGTACTCATTATTCCTGTGTCCTGCTTCTCACCTCCATAATCAGTTAGAATTATCTTCAAGGATCTAGAACTAGAAATACCATTTGACCCAGCAATCCCATTACTGGGTATATACCCAAAGGCTTATAAATCATGCTACTATAAAGACGCATGCACACGTATGTTTGCTGCGGCACTATTCACAATAGCAAAGACGTGGAACCAACCCAAATGTCCATCAGTGATAGACTGGATTAAGAAATATGGCACATATACACCATGGAATACTATGCAGCCATAAAAAAGGATGAGTTCATGTCCTTTGCAGGGACATGGATGCAGCTGGAAACCATCATTCTAAGCAAACTATCACAAGGACAGAAAACCAAATACCGCATGTTCTCCCTCATAGGTGGGAATTGAACAATGAGAACACTTGGACAAAGGGCAGGGAACACCACACCCCAGGGCCTGTCATGGGGTGGGGGTCAGGGGGAGGGATAGCATTAGGAGAAATACCTAATGTAAATGACGAGTTAACGGGTGCGGCAAACCAACATGGCACATGTATACCTATGTAACAAACCTGCATGTTGTGCACATGTACCCTAAACTTACAGTATAATAAAAAAATTATTTTAAAAAAAAGAATTATCTTCCTAAAGTCTTTCCTGTCATGGACCATACATTGGGGTTTTGTTCTGCACAGCTATTCCTTTAAAAGGCCTTGCATGTGTATTGTATTTCCTATTATCTCTTCTAATCTCATAGTAACCCCACAAGGTGGGCAAAGCAAAGACTATCATTTGCACATTACAAATGGGAAAAATCACTGGCCTCAGGTCATACAGTTAGAAATTGATAGAATTAAGTCCAATACCCAGATGTTCTGAATCTTGATCCAGGGCATTATTATTTAGATTTTAATACAAGTAGAAATAACTCTGGTGTCTGAGTTTTAGGGAAGGTGTATGATTTGAGTTGCTTGTTGACAAATGAAAATGAAATGTCTTGTACATGTAGGTCACTTTTCTACCTAAAAATGCAGAATACTTGAACAAAAAAGACTAAGAAACACCCTGCAATGCGCACAAGACACAGTTTCTGTGCTCCAAATGCTGGATCAACCTAGCTTCTCAATCAGAGGATTATAAGGGTAGTGCATATTTACAGAATCCTCAGAATTGAAGTAACTGAGCAATGGGTATATAATGCTTTGATCCAACCAGTGCCTCAATGTTGTGAGGCAAAGTTGAAGCAGAGGAGATTCAACATCAGAGTATTAGAAAAAGAAAACATAAGGATTTGAGAAAGAAAATAAAGGAAACTGGTCACTCTTAAAAAGTATACTGGATATAATGACAATAGACGTTATTGTAGTCCCCCAAAGTGGGAGCTAGACTTTCCGAAGAGCTGAACACCAAAGAGGATACCAAGATATTTCTTGAAAAAAAAGAACAGATACTGGCTCCAGGGGAAAAATAATATTCTGTGGCCTGAGCTATCACATAGTAGTTAGGTCTTAGGAAATCTAAGAAGGTGGAGGGATTTTCCAAAGAGGCTTCCATGTTGTCTGACTTGCTAAGTGCTTGCTCTCCTGATGCATTCAAGGATGAGCTGAGGCACTACCATTTACTGAGTAACTACAGGTATTAGTCTAGGTTTTTCTAATTCATAATCCACCAATGTTTTATTTTCCTCATTTCACAGATGAAGAAACAGAGGCTAAGGGAGATGAAGGAACTTGTTCAAAGTTGTACAGTTAACAGTTGACCTGGCTTCAAACACTAAGCTGTCTACACTACACTCACTGTGTGTGCTATGCTCCCTGCCCCTACCAGTCTAGAGACATAACCGGGTCTATGGAGTCTTGAATATGACAGCAAATTACTTGGTACCCTCACACAGTCTCATTTCCTTATTCTACCAATAGTTGGGACTTCGGGAGAGTGAATAAGAATAAAGACTTACATCTGGATATTAAAACAATCCTTTATTTAAATAAGATTTATTGAGCACTTACTGTGTGTTAAGTACTGTGCCAGGTGCTGTGATTACAGAAGTGAACGAGACATTCAACATCCTCACCTTTATTGTGCTTCGGGAAGAATACAAACAAGAGACAAAATTTATACAGTAGAAGTGAGGAAGGTGAGCCTATATTATTAATGATATAGGAAGGGTGGTTCATGACGACTGTATCTAACAGAATTGTATCTTAGCAACGAATCAGAGAGGGAAGGAAATAAAAAACTTCCATTTTGAACCCATGAATCAATTTACCAAGTAGAACAACAGGGGTGATACTGAAAGAACTCAGGTACAAAAATTCCCCAAAAATGTAAATGCAGAAACAATAAAACATGGTTGGAATATATTAAGTACTTCCCCCAAAGCCTGCAGCTTGTAGGTAGCAGAACAGGCATGATGCAAATACTCATCTATGTGATTTCGATCCTCATGGCCCAGACTTTCCTGCCTTCTTCCACAGTGGAAAACCTGTGCATGAACAAAGAAGGGAAGATGAACCCATGAGCTCTCTTTGTGTGGACATACTGCAGTCTTCCTGGCCAAACACAGGAAATTGATGATACATTGCAAAGGCAGATCACAAAACCAGCACACATGGGAGGAGAAGGGATGAAGGAACATCCAACAATCTAGCTATTTTGTGGGGACCTCAGAATCACTAAAATTGAGCAGAAGGTTCTTAGGCAACCAGGTAAACCACCTTGATCTAGATTTTAACAATGAGAAGGACTTGGTAAGCAAAGGTTAGTGATGATAAACTTGCTGCAAAAGGACCATGTAAAAATTTGTGATAGCAAGGCAAGGAAATGCTTGTTTGGCTGGAACTGCATTCTACAGAGCAGGAAGATAATTGGCTATTTACAGGAACATGAATGTGATTTTCCAGCAAAGGGCACTGGAATAGAGGATGGAGCTAAGGGTAGGGAAGCGCTCAGAAAAGCCATTCTGATTGCTTAGTCACAGATGCTTCTAATGAGGAAAAAGTTCAGGGGGTCTAGAGTGAGTACAGAAATTCTCTAAAAGCTCTTTAAAAGATCTTCCTAGGAATGGAACAGACCACCCCGGGTGTATGAATTTCCATTTACTAGACACTTAAGCATTGGATCTGGCAACACATGGCAGGAAGTTTATTAGGATTCCTTCCATGCCTGAGATTCTTTGAGATCCTTAAACACTCTGTCTTGCCCCATCATTATTTGATTAATTAATTGCTAACAGGTTGTTATTCTCTGAACTCCGTAAGCATTCACATACATAATGCTTTAAAGAAAGCATACACACTGTCATGATAATTGGCATTCCCTTGGAGATAAAAAAAAAAAAAAAATAAGGACTATCTCCCCAATGGCATGCAAGGTAGAATTCACAACCCTTGATAAATGTACCTGGTTCTGGCCTTTAGCCTTGCAGACTCAGAGACCTGATTTTGCTTACATTCTAAGGGTTAAGCCACGTCTTAGAGCAGACACCTGTTAGCCAAGCCCAAAAAGCAAGGATGCCTATTTATTAAATTACAGGAGAATTAAGTAACAGGAACTTCTAAAACACCACATGAGTAAGGAATCAGACAGGAAGTTATATAAACTAAATGTTGAATGGCATTTGACATGTTCGTTTCACAATAGTTCTCACCAATGGAAATTGAAAATTCATAGTCCCTCTCCTGTGGGCAGTTGCCTGGAGGCACACTGCCAACATTCACCCCAGCACTTGTCTTAACCCTGATTTTCCATGGTTCAACAATACTCTAATTTAACTTTCACATTTTTACATCTTCAATTAGACTTGAATCAATTCCTCAGACTTTGAATGCATACATCTTTTTAAGGTGACGCTACATAATTTGGTTTTGATCGTTTTGAACATAGGTTCCAAGTCTTGGATGATATCTGACTGTACCAATGCATTCTCATTCACACCATTGCATGGTGAGCATCCATGATGAAATTTATATTTGGTTTAGTTCATGTCTACCATCATATCTGTTGACTATTTGTAATATTTCTATTGCATGTCAGGATAACTTGGGCTTTGTTTATCTTTCTTATCTCACTAAGTCTTTAAAAAAAGATTACTGTGTGATACAGAGTTGTCATCATAGTGATAATGTAGAATTATCATCAGAGTGTTGGGTTGACTCTTATGATTTTGTGTGTGTCTTTGTTCATCTAATTATAATCTAACATCACCAACCTGTTATGAGTGACACACCACATACTTCTTCCTTCCTCCCTGCTGTGAGTTATAGTGGTGATTGGACTATAATTAATTTATTCTTCTTAGAATTTGAATTACACATAAAAGACAATCCCTAGGTTAGGCCCTCTAGTGCAATGTAATATTGTTATGGAAAGAACAGGGATTAATTTCAGAAAAACCAGCCTGTGTTTCCTACATTCAAAATAGGGAAAACTCGGCTCTTTCATCACTGGACACCTTCTCCTTGGAACCTCTTCTGACAGATGGTTCAGATAACACAGCTTGGGATTTTTCTTGTGAATATGCAGGAAACAAGAATGAATGTTATATTCTAAGATCAAACGCTGGGATAAATTTAATTAAATTGTAGGTTTGGAGATAACTAATGCAGAAAATATAGGATTAAAAATCAGAAATAAAATTAAAATGATTCCCACTTAAATAAACAAATATAGACATTATTCTAGAATATAAATCAAGAAAGCCTAAATTGGATAGATTGTATAAACTCGCTAAGGAAAGCATGCAAGCCTTATCCATCCTTTATTATCACTGCGTTCCACAGTGGCTGTGGCCTGTCCCAGACCAGAAAACCTTCAGATCCTCTTTCTAAACAAAAGCATTCCTTATGCAAGATAAGGACAAGGTAAAAACCAAGCTCTTCAGCCCCAGTCAGATTCCTGCTTGGAACAAAGATTAAGATGGAAAGGGTCAAATTTCAATAATCTTCTGCCCTTTAAGGTTGATTCCTAGCAAAATCAACCCAGTTTTTTCCAAGCATTCCCCTTTAAGTGCCCAATAGTAATAAATATAGCAAAGCATAAGTATACTTAATATATAAAACAAACCACTCACTAAGACCAACATTAAGTCCACTATGAAAGAACTGTACCTACACAAATAGGTGATGATAAGAATATAAGGGATTTCATTTAAGATCTACTGGTAAAATTATGATTAAGACATAAGAAAGGAGGACTTCTTAATATTACTTATATATTCAAAGAATAATATTTGAACAGAATTGTGTAGAAGGACAGCTGGAAAGGGGAATAGTGGCCCCAAATGGATGTAAACAGCATAGGAGAGAATTTAGTTTCTTTAAATGAGTTCTAGTTTCCTGACCGTGGACAAACTACTTCTCAGATACTGAGACATCTTCCAAGTGAGAACATTGAACACTGAGCTCTTTTTTTTTTTTTTTTTTTTTTTTTTTTTTGAGATAAGTCTCGCTCTGTCACCAGGCTGGAGTGCAGTGGTGCGATCTCGGCTCACTGCAACCTCCACCTCCAAGGTTCAAGCAATTCTCCTGCTTCAGCCTCCTGAGTAGCTGGGATTACAGGTGCCCGCCACCATGCCCATGTTTCACCATGTTGGCCAGGATGGTCTCGATCTCTTGACCTCATGATCTTTGGGAGGCCCACACTGGCCTCCCAAAGTGCTGGGATTACAGGTGTGAGCCACCACACCCAGCCAAGAACATTGAACTCTTATTGGTGATGTTTGAAGAATCGTGGGGAACCTAAAATTTGGGAGACTGGATCTATATTAGCATCAGAGAAAATTTTCATTCAATCTGAACTGATCAAAATAAGGATAGCTCCCTCTCCTTCAGGAAGCATTGAGCATGCCAGCATTTGCAAAATATATACCCGAACTTGAATTGCAAGAGCAGTTTTTTCCTTTTTGGCCCTGAAAATAACTTACAACATCCAAGAAGACTTTAAACAATCTATCTTTTACCTATTGCACAATTTGTTATTATACAATAGGGGGCTTATTGTTATTATTGTTGTTTGTAATGGTATTTCTAGGGCTTTCTATATTTCAAATGACTGACTCTTAATTCTGTTTAGTGCTGAATCACTGTTTTCCTCTTTCGTTTTTCTTTTAACTGGTAAATATTAACTTCCTTCATACAGCTCTGTCCTAAGACAGGTACAGCTAGCTTATTGGTGACAGCCGGACATGCTTGCACTGAATGACCGATGGTTTCCACTCTTCTTCTTTCCTCCTCTTTCCTAGTAGCTCAGTTCAATAAGGTTAAGCCCTTTTCTGATGGTTTGAGATACATTTAAAATGAATTTCTTATATTTATTTTTCTGGTGAAATAATATGTTATCAGGGAAACAATAGGGATTTGGCTTTTAAAAATTCATCATAGTCTTGTTAAAAAAAAAATTATTCAATGGCACTTGTGAAAGCCTGGTAAGGGAGACTTTATTCAGGAACACTGCAGTAAACAAAGGAACCACCATAACAGGGTCTTGCATTGGGAGACAGAGATTGGACTCATCTCCTAACATAGCATGGGCAAGTGAGAATTTACAGCCAAGGAGCAGGGTGGCGGTCAGTGGATGGAAAATTACTAAGAGGAAGCATCACCAGTAGGGAAATTTTGGCTAAACTGACCTAAAAGTGCTCTTGCTGAAGACAGGCGAGGGTGATCAAACATCACTTGGAGAATGGTGGCAGATAAGAGATCTGATCCGCTATTAAGGGTGATCAGATATCGAGGATGGGGAGTTCTTGCTAAACCTATTTAGCAGGGCTCTTTGCTAAAATTTTACAAAACTGGATTTTACAAGGAAGTGCACCCATGGGCCTATGAGAAGGTTCAGAAGCTTGACTAAACTATGGACAAGGAAAAAAATCTTCATTGGTCCTTACTGCCTTTTTAAAGAAACATTGGACTTCATGGCCACTAGTGAGGGTTTGGATTTAACTAATGAGTATCACTAGAAATTGGACATGCATGAGATTCACCATCCCTGTCCACCACCTCTGCTGATTGTCTTAATAACTGGTTAATTTTGCCACCTCTAAAATATCTTTCCTGCACATTTCTTCATTGTATTTATAATTTGAATTATCTTCTTTGCAACTAAGGCATTTCCCAATTTATCACCTAGTAATCTATACTCATCTTGCATATCCTTTCGTGACCTAGATTATGTGTGCAGTATATCCTTCATAAGCTCTTAAATTTAAAGGATATTTTATATTTTACAAAGCTTTTTCCCATTTTGGCCTGGCACAGTGGCTCACACCTGTAATCCCAGCACTTTGAAAGGCCAAGGCAGGAGGATCATTTGAGGTCAGGAGTTCGAGACCAGCCTGGCCAACATGGCAAAACCCGTCTCTACTAAAAATACAAAATTAACCAGGCTTGGCAGTGTGCACCTGTATTCCCAGCTACTCGGGAGGCTTAGGCACGAAAATCACTTGAACCTGGGAGGCAGAGTTTGCAGTGAGCTGAGATCGCGCCACTGCACTCCAGCCTGGGTGAAAGAGCAAGACTTTGTCTCAAAAATTAATTAATTAATTAATATTTTTAAAAAAACAAAGTTCTTTCACATCTATTCCCATGCCACTAAGTCAAGAGACTAATTTTTAAGACTTCGGGAAAGATCTATGGATCCCATCCATGCTGACTTAGAGCATAAGCAAATAGTTCATTTAAACAGCAACCCTTTAACCAGGCACAGTGGCTCACACCTGTAATCCTAGCACTTTGGGAGGCCAAGGTGGGTGGATCACTTGAGGTCAGGAGTTCAAAACCAGCCTGACAAATGTGGTGAAACCCCGTCTCTATTAAAAATGCAAAAAATTAGTGGGGTGTGGTGACACGCACCTGCAATCTCAGCTACTCGGCAGGCTGAGGCAGGAGAATCGCTTGAACCCAGGAGGCGGAGGTTGCAGTGAGCCAACATCAAGCCACTGCACTCTAGACTGTGCGACAGAGCAAGACTGTGTCTAAAAAGAGCAATCCTTGGATTTTGTTTGCAACAGCTCTAGACTATTTATCAGGAAATCACTACCATCAAATATTTTTCCAGTTCCAGCTAGGTTCAGGTGTTGCCAAGAAGTTTCTGATGAAGTGGGCTACAGGAGGGAACTTACTTCTAGATGTTATAGAACTATTGTTGTAAGATGAATTTATTTAGGTGGGCAAACTGATGAGACCAACATGAGTAACACCAAATGCCGTACACCACGCAGATGGGCAAGTTTCATGTTATACTGGGGACTCATGGGCTCATTACACCCATCTTTTGGGCCATTTTTATGTCTCAAATATCAGTTTTTATTCTGTTGTCTTAACTTATAGCCACTGAGATAACTCCCTACTGATATTTAGTTTCCAAGTTGACCTTTACAAGGCTGCCTTAACTTTGCCCCTTAACATCCTTTATCAAAGCCCATTACACGAATCCCACATTTGAGATTTCCAAAATAAGACAATCATGCATAGCTTTTCCTCAGGAATGGAACTTCTCAGGACAAGTCTGACGTGTACCCTAGTTATTAAATAGATAGGGAAACAATCAGAAAAATGACAGGGGAAATTTCATTCTAATAGACACTGGGAGAAAAGATGGCTTATGTTGACTTAATTCTTTTTAAAATACTTTACTGTGTGTGATTAGTATCCTAAGGCCTTTTAAAATACTTTTCAGTATACTATAAAGATGCCAGAGGGAGTTATAAGGAGCTATGGGCTGGGATTTGATTGAAAAAGTCCAAGTAGGTCAGGCGTGGTGGCTTGTGCCTGTAATCCCAGCACTTTGGGAGGGCAAGGCAGGCAGATCACTTGAGGTCAGGAGTTCAAAACCAGCCTGGCCAACGTGGTGAAACCCCATCTCTACTTAAAAAAATAAAAAATAAAGGCCAAGTAGAGAATACGAGTTTGAGCCATATGAAGTTTCCATTTTTGTAGATCAAAAATAACTGCATAGCTACAACTTCAAAGGTTTAGCCTTAGGAAGAAAGATTCGTGAACAAGTCATTAAACAGGGATGGTAGGAGTCCATGAGAAGAATGAAAGAAGCTCCAGATGCTTTTTGGTTGGAAAAAAACAAAAACAAAAACAAAAACAAAACAGCAGAAAACATGGTGAAAATGTGTTTTTTAATGAAATGGTTGTAAACAAAGTGAGTATGCCATTAAACAGGAAAAGGCCTATTGCTTTGTACTGATAATCTTGTACTGTGCTTGCGATATAGAAATCAACGCTCCTCTTATTTCTCTTTAGTCTTTTTTTTTTTTTTAATAGACAGAGTTTCGCTCCTGTTGCCCAGGCTGGAGTGCAATGGTGCGATCTCGGCTCACCGCAACCTCCACCTCCTGGGTTCAAGCAATTCTCCTGCCTCAGCCTCCCAAGTAGCTGGGATTACAGGTGCCCACCATGCCCGGTTTCTTTCTTTCTTTCTTTTCTTTCTTTTCTTTCTTTCTTTCTTTCTTCCTTTCTTTCCTTCTTTCTTTCTTTCATCTTTAGTAGAGACAGGGTTTCACCACATGGGCCAGGCTGGTCTTGAACTCCTGACCTTAGATGATCCACCCGCCTCAGCCTCCCAAAATGCTGGAATTACAAGCATGAGCCACTGTGCCCAGCCTTTTCTTCAGTCTTTCTAATGAGAATAGTAACCAACCATCTGTAAAGAGAAAGAGAAAACCAAGATTAGGGCATAATAAGCAGTAACCAGTAGTTTGTCCCTGGGGAGGGGGATGTGGATGGGGTGTTTGGAAACTAGGACTTCCCATTTTTTTTCCTACATTGTTTTCCCCCTCAAGCACAGGTTACTTTTATAACAAAAGAAAAATTGAAATGTTTCCTTCTGAACTGAAATGAGAAAACTTGCAACAAGAGCGACAGATTTTAATTCCTTTTGATCTGAATAAAGAGAGCTATAAGCACTAAAAGAAGTTTAATATGAAGTAAGCTCCTCAGTGTGATGTTGCATTTTTTGTATGATGCATTTGTATCCACCCTTCATCCAATTCATGATCCATGAACTGTAAATATGTCAGTATCTGGCAAGGAAAATCTGGGCTTATAAAAGGAACCTGGCCTCCTTATTTCAGGCTGAGAGCAGGGATTGAGAGAAGATCTGAGATCTCCCGGTGGCGTATGGCACAAAGACTGTGAAGGTTATGCTAGAAACACTCTTATTTGGTGTCTATCTTTTCAGACAATAGGAAATAATTGAATTGGAAAAATGACTAAACATTGATAAGGACAAATCAATTTTGCAAATGCTTAGATTCTCTAAATAAATTCATGTCACTGCATGCTGTGCACATTAGGTCCCAGAGCAGTTAGAGACTGAAAATAAACCACATATTGATATTTGAGGAATGTTAGAGAACAAGAGCTACTCAACGTGTTGAGACAAGCAAAGACCATCCCAATTTTTCAAGTTTCTGCAAACCATACACCAATCAGCTTGATCTTATCTTAGAAAAAGACTTTAGAATAAATTGTTCAGATGATCTTTTGTGAATGCCAAAAAATAAAACATGGTACCACTTAGACCAACCCATGTAAAATAACTTTTTATTTTTGCTAGATTCATTGATAAACGAAATTCAGTACAAAATGAATCTGGATTTCAGCAGAGCATTTCAAAAGGACTCTCATCGTAGCTTATGAAAACATTGCAGAAAGGTGGATTCAATTCAGTGACAATTTGCCAAGACATGTTTTATTCTAATGTCACTGTCTTACTTTATCCAATAATAATAAGAACTTGATCCTAAATTCAAACTGAGGCCCTGGATAAGAGATGGGCTAGAGGGGCAGATAGGCAGACAGTTTGGGGCAGACTCACTGGACAGTCTTTTCTGCAGATGCTCAGAGCATCTAGAGATTGCTAGGAGGAGACAGTATTGTTAACTTGGACTCAAACTAACAAGCCATACTTCTGAAGCTAATATTAAACCTGAACCTGAAGAATTCCCTCTTCCAGGCAGTGGCGGTCAGGACATCATTATGGCTGGAGTAGAAATCTGAACTTAGAAACAGGCATTCAAAAGCAGGAACATACTGGGCGCAGGGGTTCATGCCTGTAATCCCAGCACTTTGGAAGGCTGAGGCGGGCAGGATCACCTGAGGTCAGAAGTTCGAGACCAGCCTGGCCAACATGGTGAAACCCTGTCTCTACTGCAAATACAAAAATTAGCTGGGCATGGTGGTGGATGCCTGTAGTCCCAGCTACTCAGGAGGCTGAGGCAGGAGAATCGCTTGAACCTGGGAGGGGGAGGTTGCAATTAGCCGAGATTGCACCATTGCACTCCAGGCTGGGTGACAAGAGCAAAATTCGGTCAAAAAAAAAAGCAGGAACAAAGGATATCAATACAGGGACCAGAAAACCTTTGAGCAGTGGTAGAGGTTGCCCCTACAGGAGGACAAATGCCACCTCACTAAATAGGGACTTAGACATTCAAATACCAGCACATTTCCTCTTCAGGGCGGAGATCTCTGTAATCCCAGCACTTTGGAGGCTGAGGCAGGCAGATCATGAGTTCAGGAGATCAAGACCATCCTGGCTAACACGGAGAAACCCCGTCTCTACTAAAAATACAAAAAATTAGCCGGCCGTGGTGGTGGGCACCTGTAGTCCCAGCTACTCAGGAGGCTGAGGCAAGAGAATGGCGTGAACCCCGGAGGCGGAATTTGCAGTGAGTGGTGATCGCGCCACTGCACTCCAGCATGGGTGACAGAGCGAGACTCTGTCTCAAAAACAAACAAACAAACAAAAGAATAGTATTTAATTATATCATCAGGCAGACATGACCTGGAAAATATGGACTATACTCAAAAGAAGAGGATGGCTATTCCCTATCCTGTACTGGCTAACAGATAATTTGATCGTGAGTTAGGCTCTGATCATGCCCCTTTTAAAGGAATATTGAATAATTGGAAAGTCTTGCAAGTAGAGCAACTATCCTGAGAATAGGACTGGAATTCAAGTCACATAATGAAAAATGATGGTATCCAGTGATAATTATCCCAGAGAAAAGAAGATCTTTGGGGGAAGGGAAAGACTTAATGTAGAAGATGGATTAGATGTGTCCTGTGTGGCCTTATAGGGTCAAGAAACAAGACGACCGATTTAAGCAAAAATAAGTGAAAAGTCATTCCTGGAGCTGACTAGAGAGACACATGTTTTCTTGGGAAGTCGTGTGCCCTATTCTCTGGAGACAGGAAAACACAGACAAAAAAACTAATAGGGATGTCACAGAATGCTTGCGTAAATAAATGGGTAATTTGATCAACTGATATGCAAGATTCCTTAAGTCATTAAGGATTTATGAAGGCATGTCTCATGCCTGTAACCCAGCACTTTGGGAGGCTGAGGCAGGCAGACCACTTGAGGTCAGGAGTTTGAGACCAGCCTTGGCTAACATGGTGAAACCCCATCTCTAGTAAAAATACAAAAATTAGCCAGTTGTGGTGGCATGCACTTGTAATCCCAGCTACTTGGGAGGCTGAGGCTGCGGCTGCAGAATTGCTTGAACCCAGGAGGCGGAGGCTGCAGCGAGCCAGGATTGCACCATTGCACTTCAGCCTGGGCGACAGAGTGAGACTCTGTCTCAAAAAAAAAAAAAGACTTATGAAAGCAATGATCATACAAGTTCTGACCATTGTCCTGAATTTTAACCAAGGTACCCGTCAGAGTAGGAAACCTACATCTCAGAGTGGTTTTGCCATTACCAAAGCCATTCTTGACTTTAGTTGTTTTCAAAGTTTACACCACCCGATTTAACTGCCATTATCCTTCCCATTGGCTGTTTTCATCAGTTTCCAGGCAATTCCACCCATTTATTTGTGGGTCACTGTCTTTCTTTTCTCCTCTAGGCCTGTCTCTTTTTTTTAGTGAATTCAACTTCCATAAGGATAATTCATCAAACATCTTGATCTCTCAGTTCGTTGACCTCTTCACCAGCCATGAGTTTTCCCCTTCCTCCATCCCAGTCACTCATTACCAGAATAATTTCCTGATCCTCATTATCACAAAAATGGAACCAGATGAGAAACTAACCAGAGTATTTCTTTCCATAAGATTTATTACACTTAGTTAACAACTTTCTGCCAAACCATCCTTCAGAGCTAAAGGGAATACCATATACAGTAATAAGGAAAGGATGTTTCCTTCCCAAAGACAGGAATTGTTGCAAAACTGATATATTTAAAACCCCAGAGGAAAAAAAATTGTATTCTTAGATTTGGGGAAACTTGTCCCTACATAGAAAGCCTCCAGGTGATTCTAGCCCATAGCCATTTGGATATTTCCAACCAAAGTCCAAGACATCTCAGATTGTAGACAAGCTCTCTCTGCTGTGCACTGGCTGAATTCCTGACCCACAGAATCCACGAGCATATTGGAAACTGGAGAAAGGAAAATTCTTGCTATGCAGTGGCAGAAAGTACTCTGTCATCCGCAGTTTTGAGGCAAAAGTAGAAAGGTTCCTGGTGAACTGAGTGATCTAACTAAGGAAATTTCCAACTAAAGTCTTGAAGGTGTTCTTTGATTTCTTCTTGCTGACTATAATAAAATGTGAGAAGAGAAAGATAAATTGAGAGAAGGGCTGATTAAAAAAAAAAAAAAGGATCCTGGACAGTATTGTTTGTTTTGAAAATTCTCAGCCTCTCCAATGGCAAATAATGCTAAAGTTTAAAAATGACTTCTAAGCAAATATCAAATTGAAGACAATGCCAGAGAAATTCAGATATACCAGAAATCATGCCCTAAAGATAAAGCTAACGTGTGGCTATAAGATTTTTTAAGATCTGAGAAAGTCAAAAATTAGAAAATTATTTTCATTTCAAAAATGAAAAATGGGGAACAGCTACATACAAAAGCCCCTCTAAAGATATTAAGCGAGGCCGGGCGCAATGGCTCAAGCCTGTAATCCCAGCACTTTGAGAGGCCGAGGCGGGTGATCACAAGGTCAGGAGATCGAGACCAGCCTGGCCAATATGGTGAAATCCCCTATCTACTAAAAAATACAAAAATTAGCCGGGCATGGTTGTGGGCGCCTGTAGTCCCAGCTACTTGGGAGGCTGAGGCAGGAGAATCGCTTGAAACAGGGAGGCGGAGGTTGCAGTGAGCCAAGGTCGCCGCCACTGCACTCCAGCCTGGGTGACAGAGTGAGGCTCTGTCTCCAAAAAAAAAAAAAAAAAAAAAAATATTAAGTGAGAACCTCACAGACACTCTCGGATAAGTCAAAGAGGCTTCTAGGAAACTTAAGGGCATTGTCCTCAGCTATTACATCAGGGGTCCAAGTGTTTATCTCTAGATGATCTGTGGTAGTAACTTTTGTCTAATAGAGTAAACTCCAAGAAGATTCACAGGAGAACCACAAATTTTTTCTAAAAATTATATATACAAACAAATTGCCAGCTTGAACAGAGGCATGTCTCACATGGTGGCAGACAAGAGAAGAGAGCTAGTGCAGGGAAACTCCCCTTTTTAAAAACATCAGATCTCGTGAGACTCATTCACTATCACGAGAACAGTGTAGGAAAGACCCACCCTCATAATTCAATCACCTCCCACTGGTTTCCTCCCATGACACATGGGAATTGTGGGAGTTACACTTCAAGATGAGATTTGGGTGAGGACACAGTCAAACCATATCATTAGGTTAGGCTGTAAAGGGACTGTGACTTATATATATATATTATATATATATATATTTTATACTTTATATATATATATTTTATAATATATATTTTATATATTATATATCTATTTTTTATACTTTAAGTTCTAGGGTACATGTGCACAATGCGCAGGTTTGTTACATATGTATACACGTGCCATGTTGGTGTGCTGCACCCATTAACTCGTCATTTACATTAGGTATATCTCCTAACGCTATCCCTCCCCCAACATACCAGGCCCTGGTATGTGATGTTCCCCTTCCTGTGTCCAAGTGTTCTCATTGTTCAAGTCTCACCTTTCTCTTCGCTTCCTCTGGGAGAATCCAGATGCTGTGCTATGAGGACAATCAGCCAGAGTATGGAGAAGCCCATGAGGCAATGAACTGATATCTCTGGCTAACAGTTGGTGTGAACCAGTGGCCTTCCAGTGTCCACATAAATGAGCTTGGAAGTGAATCCTTCTCTAGTTGAGCCATGAGATGACCGCAGCCCCAGCCAACACCTCACCAACCATCTCATAAAAGACCCCAAGCTGTAGGTATCTAGCTAAGCCACATCTAGTTTTCTAACCCACAGAAACAGTGAGATAATAAACTTTGTTGTTTCAGCCACTAAGTTTTGAGATAATTGTTATGCAACAATAGGTAACTAATATAATGAAACAGGTCCATGTATCAAAATGCATAGTTCTTAAAAGCAATAATGAAATTTAAAAAGTAAATTGCATAATTTTACATCACATACATAAATTCTTAAATCTGCAATCCTTCATACTAGGTCTTGTTTAAATACTTTATAAATATAAGATGTTTATATTTTTATATAAATTAACAGTGACTGGGAGAATATACAATAAAATTATGATAGAAGTTATATCTGAGATGAAAAAAGGGAAATAAGACTGAAGAGGGGACTTCAACTTTACAAGCATAATGTTTCATTTCAATTAATTTTTTAAAGATCCAAAGCAGAAGTAAGAAAATGCCAATTTGGAGAGGCAGGTTCTTGTAATATTTTTCTCAAAATTTTCTTGTATTTTTAAAATTGTTCCCTGCCCTGAAAATAAGTGTAAAGAAAGATTTAGTTACATGTTCAGGCTTGGCAGAACATTGCTTATTAGAGGAGATTCAGATGTTTTATGGACAAGCCCTAGCAAACTTAAAAGGAGAAAATACATGCTATGTCATTTAAACTGTTGCCAAGCATGGTTAAAGACACAAAGCTTCTCAACTCATGTTTCACATTTGACATGTTTAGAATGTGAAGTTTGCATGTTGGCAGATGGCCGGTAAACACACTTGCCTATAAAACTGAGAAATCTGTCATTGGGACAACAAAAACTATGAGGTAGATGGGTAAAAAAAAAACTATTATAAAATGAAATTTGAAGTTTCAGGTGTCTTGAGAATCCTGGTATCAATCAACAAATTATTAAAGTTAATATAACTCCTAAACAATGTCTGCATCCTCTTGTAAGAAGCATTCTTGAAAAGTCTATGCAATATGAGATGAGGTGCATCTGCTTCCCAGAGCCATATCCTTCCTCTAGCATGATGGAAATCTCCATGGAAGGTGTGGGAGAGAGAATTTGAACAGGGTGTCCATCAAAATGTCATTTCTGGAAGACATTCTATCCACGGTAATTCCTTTGTGGTGTCAAGTTCCCTCTCTCTCCTTCTTCCTTTTTAAAAAAATTTTCTTTTGGGACCTTAGTTATAAATAATTGAATTATTATCATCTGTGATTTTTGCATGGTCCCTCTCTTATTTATTTTTTATGTACTTATAAATCAGTTAATTTACTTCTTCTTCTCCCTTTACTCCCTTCGTTTCCTATAGGCCACTATGCTATTCTGTCTAATGTATATTCAACGCATATTAAATTTATTTAATGGATTTGTATATATCCTTATAAAGTATTGTTCAGTACACATATACTTTATGTAAATAGCAATCAGTAATATATCTCATTCTGGTTTGTCATTAAGCAGAATTTTTAAAAATCCATCTATGCTACAGTGTGTATATGTAATCTATTGTTATTAATTCCTGCATGATACTCCATGAAGAGGATCACCGAGTTGCCTACCCACTTTCACAGTGTTGGACACCAGCTTTCCTTTGACGTTTTTGCCACCATAGGGATGCTATAGTGAACATCCACATGTACACCTCCCTGAGGACCTGTGTGAGAATTTTCTGGAAATACACACTCAGGTGTTGGATTGCTGGATCATGGAGCATCACTTACATAATTTACATAAATAGTTTCAGATTGTTCTTTAGAGTGGCCAAACAAGCCAACAATCCCATTAGCAATGCAGGAAAATTCCTGTAAATTCCCACTCCCACCAACACTTGGCATTATATAGCACAGGAGTCAGAAAACTATGGCCCATTGATACAGGAGCGGGGCAGGGAAGTGCTGGGAGAAGAAGGGTGGGTCCCTGGTGAGGACTCCACCCCTACTGTGCCCACGGACCTAGGGAACAGGCATTTCTGAATGAATAAGAACAGGCATTTCTGTTTTTGTGCCCAAACGTTGCATTTCCCAAAACCACCCTGGCCCACCACGCCCTCATCCTGTGCCTAGTGGGAAGAGACACAGGCAGCTGGACATCCGAGAGGAGCAAATCGTCAGAAGAGCACACCGACAGGCAGCGGCAGACGCCAGCAGGACGGCAGGCCATCGACAGGGGGAACCATAGTGAGTTTGTCGGGGGCGGGATGAGGGAAGCCTGGCTGAGCAGCCCAACTCCAGGGGAAAACCACCTTCCCACTCCATCCCCCTTCTGGCTCCCCCGTCTGCTGAGAGCTACTTCCACTCAATAAAACCTTGCACTCATTCTCCAAGCCCATGTGTGATCCGATTCCTCCAGTACAACAAGGCAGGAAACCCTGGGATACAGAAAGCCCTCTGTCCTTGCCATAAGGCAGGGGGTCTAATTGAGCTAACTAACACAACCCATCTATGGACGGAGGCTAAACTGAAAGAGTACCCTGTACACACACCCACTGGGGCTTCAGCTGTAAACACTCACCCCTAGACGCTGCCGTGGGGTCAGAGCCCCAAAGCCTGCCCATCTGCATGCTTCCCCTAGAAGTGTGAGCAGTGGGGCACGGAAGAAGCGAGCCACGCCCCCGTTGCACGCCCTGCGAGGGGAACAAGGAAACTCTTCCCGTCTCACCATGAGCCAAACAGAGCCCCAGCCTGTTTTTACAAAGTTTTATTAGAACCCAGCCACACTCATTTGCTTACATATTGTCTATAAATGTAATGATATAATGCAATGATACAACGGCAAAATTCAGTAGTTGCAACAGAGACCATGTGCCCCACAAAGCCTAAATTATGTATATCTGTCCCTTTACAGGATAAGTTTGCTGGGCTCTGATATAGCACTCTATTTTTTGCAAATCTAATACCTGTAAAGTAATATGTAATTGTTATTTTAATTTTGAAATCTCTGAGAAATAATACTTTTGAGAATTCTTTCACAGGCTTACTTAAGGATTCATCTTCCGTGAAGTTCCATTCATGTCTCAAGAGAGGTTTTGCACAGGGTGTCCACCCAAAGATCGTTTCTGGGAGACATTCCATCCATGGCACTTCCTTTGTGATATCAAGTTCCCTCTCTCCCCCTCCTCCTTTTTGTTTCTAATTTTCTTTTTGGACCTCAAAATTAGTCAATCACATTTCTTATTTTATGGCATACTAAAAAGATATCCTTCCAAATCTCTTCCCCATCAGTTCCAGAAGTACAAGAGGCTTCAGTTTTAATCAGTTTGAGAATATTTAGAACCTCACAGAACACATCAACAAACTCACAAGATCATGTAAATAAATGAGCCCTCAGAGGTAGAATAAACTAACTTCTTCGTGTTATAGATTAGCACCCTGGTGTTACATAAGGTCATACAGTAAATAAGTGGCCAGGATGCAACTCAAGCCTTCTCCTTTGAGCCGTGGTCTAGTGCTTTTTCCTCACCACCACCATAGAAGTCCTCCTCTGAGTTGCATTTCCAAGCAGGTCATAAGGCAAATGCCCATACTCTTGTCCTTCAGTGACCTTGATGTCTCATTATTCCCGGGCTCTTTTGGTTAGTTTTCCTTCATCTGTAAGGTTTTTTTTAGAATGTCCCACACATATTGGCAAGACCTATTTAACTACTGAGAACCTCAAATCACAGTGATTGAGAGGACTGGAACGAGAGATGCTCAGCCAGTGACCATCAGGTAAGTTTATGAGCAGATCCTAAGGTCCCTCCTCGGGTTGGGGAGAAGGCCCGATCTGGGAGAAAGTCAGGGCACTGGTCATAAAGACATAAGGACAGAAGTCCAACCATTTAAACTGGGACAGGAGTCATCCAAAGGGCAGGGGGGAACAAGAGGGTGATATCAGCTGGGCCAGTTAGATGGGGAAGGCTAAAATGCTAAAATCAGTCTTTTAGTGCACTTTACTCAGGTTTGGCTAGGCATGTTTTATAGGCAATTGTAAATCATGGAGCAAATAAATCAACCTTAAGTGCAGCCATACAACTAAGTTGAAATGTGGTGTGTGTCTGTGTGTGAGTGTGTGTGTGCATGTATGTGTGTGCATCTGTATCTGAGTGTGTGTGTGTGTACCTGTATGCATCTATATGTGTGTGCATGTGTGTGGGTAGAAAAGGTACTGAAGGCAATACCCATACATAGTTAGAAATAAAAGGAAAATACCCATTAGAAGACTAGAACAGATCTAGCTACTTGAACTGTTGAAATGATAAGCCCACCTATATCTAGGGATTCAAGAAGCATTCAATGCTTCTTGAATTCAATTCAAGAAGAGATTCAGTGCTGACATTAGTCAATTCAACTGCAGGTAGAAATTCTCCACCTGGACCCTTCCATGTTCAGGTGCTAGATTTTGTTCTTATGGCCATCCCCCTCTTTTTTGACCCAGAACCTTCTTTCAAGACTACGACCCTTGTGATTCTAAAACTGGGGATAAAACAATTAATAGTCTCTCTACAGATCCAAAGTATACCTCAGTGACAGAAAAATGTGAACTATGAAGATTTGTTTGCTAGTTACCAAATTATTGCTGCTCACCTACAGGTACACCCTTCATTGCCTGCTCTATGATAATACAAAGGGATCCTATGAATATTTCTCCTTAGCCAGCTGACACAATGTCCCAGGCAGGAGAATCGCTTGAACCCAGGAGGCAGAGGTTGCGGTGGGCCGAGATCACGCTCTTGCACTCCAGCCTGGGCAACAAGAGTGAAACTCTGTGTCAAAAAAAAAAAAAAAAAAAAAAGAATCTTAAATGAATTAACCCTAAGCTATTCTCTATGGCCAATACCTCATGTTTGTTTTCATCTGTGGCTTTCCAGAACCATTTTTGTTGTTGGCTTCCTGTCTACTCACTATAGGGAAAATGAGCCCACTCAGCTCAAAAGAACTCTTGGTGGTGAAAATTTTGGAAGCCAGTGAACTGTTTGCCCTTACTCTCGTCCAGCTGGAGAATCTATAATCCTAGACACTAGCTACCCTTGCAGACCAATGCAGACCCACTGACTTAGATGACTCAGGCTCATTGTGTTCAAATGTGACCTGAAGGAAATCTACATAGAGGTGTGTGTAGGAATGAAAGCACTCCAGGAGTCTTATTTATTATACTTAACCAGTCACATTTTTATTAGCAGCTGGCAGCAACGAGGTCTTCTGAAAGACCAGGCAGCATCAAGAAAGAGAAACAAGAGAGGGTTTGCTAAAGTGAAATGAATTGACATCATCAGGAAATGCAAGCAGCAGTGTGGTAGTCCATGGTTGCTGAAAGGTTATTCTCGGTTAAGAAGGATCTCTTCGTGCCTGGACAAGTTCCCTGGTCAGCACCTGGAGAGAATGTGAAGGTGGAATCAGGGTAAAGTTAGAAAGCAGGCAGCATTTGTACTCGGTGGGAGGCAGGCACCCAGGGATGGCTATGCATTTATAGACAGCCGCAGACCCTCAGAGGAGGTGTGAAGAGGGCTCCATTAACAAAGTGTTGCCTTGCAGAAGCTGGACTCACAGCTGGGTTGGCATGAAGTCGGCAAGCAATTGGAGCCACTACTGGGTGATGTGCCTAAACCAGTCACACAGCAAGCTGATTTGCAGCCACTCTGGTTATAGGAAGGGGGTCCATCACAAGTTGGTTGGCCAGAAATCACAGTGTCACAAGAAGCTGGTTTGCAACAGTTCTTTGTGGAACAAGGGGCCTGGCAGTTAGCCACTGGCTGGTAGATGAAGCATGTGGAAGGAACCAGTTGGCAGTGAGGTGGCTGGCAATGGGAAGGCACACAGCAAGTAGTATTGCAAGAACTGAACACACAAGTCGATGGCTGGCAGGGAACAGGCATGTAGAGGGCTGATTGGCAAGGCTTGAAAATATAGCAGATGGGTTGATAATAAGTTGATTTACAGGGCTGGCCTTCACCACTGACGGGTTGACATGAACTTCCTTGGCACCAAGTTGGTTGGCATGGACTAGCTGTACAGATGGTTGGTAGGCAAGAAGTTTCCGGACAGGAGGTCACTTCAGAGCAGGATGGCTGGCAGGATCCAGCATCACAGCAGACTGATTGGCCACAAGCTGCCTGACATGATCCAGACATGCAGACAGATTCCTGGCAGGAGCTTTGCTGGCAGGGACTGGCATCGCAGCACTTTTCCTGACAACAAGTAGATTCCGAGCAGGATGGCTGACATGAGCTAACCAGACAAGGAGACTGACCAGTGCCAGACTGATAGCAGGCTGCGTGGGAGCACATAGGTTGGCAAACAAAACCCACACAAGACGTTGCTGGAAGGCGGGTAGGTTGACACGAAGCAGGATCACAGCCACTTGGGGCACCAATGGATGGCTGACAGCTTTCTTGGCATGTGACCAGTTGCCACATTCTGCTGTGGCAGGAACTAGGCAAACAGAGAGCATGTCGAAATCCACCTTTAACTGGGTATGTGGTGATGGTGGGCACAGCTGGAATGGCTGTGGTGTTTCCAGGACAACAGCCGTCTGCCATGGTGCTGGTGCTGACCTTGCTGGGAAGTTGCAAGCTCAGTATACCTGCATTGGAAAGACATCCGATACAGAGGGGCTTTTATAGTCCTTCACTAGGGGTGTTGGCACGCCATGCAGCATCTTTCCTTGTTATTGTTTTTACTCATTTGCATGCAAACATCTGATTAGCAGGCTTCAGGAGCCTGGGAGATGTTTCAACTTTGAAAAGGTGTCTGTTGAGTCGGGAGTTTTCTGCGCTGCATTTGGATTCGTTGACACTGCTCCTGCTCTTGGATGAGCTGTCTCTTTTACAGGTTGCTCTCCAGCCTCACTGAAGCAGGCCTTTCCTGGCACTAACCTTTCATCAGGAGGCCTCTGCCAAGCCAGAGTGGCCCTGCTGTTCCTCCAGGAATGCAGCTTTGCACCATTCAATCAGAAATGAAGCCTTGACCCAGTTTGGGGAGAGGATGTCAAGACGGGAAATGGAAAATTAGTCCAAGGAACCCAGGGACACTTAAGTGCCTCTACCTCTTTTTAAAACCTTCCCATTTATCATTCCTGAAACTTGTTTACTAGTACTATTACTAATAATAACAATAGAAATGGCTTTCATTTATTGCATAGTTACTAGATCAAGTCCTTGGCTGCATTTTTCACTGGATCCTCACAATGACTTCAGTAAGTATAATTGTCATCACTATGTTAGAAGTGGCAAAACTAAAAAAAAGTAATAAATAAAGAAGAAACCAGGTTTAAAACAAAGTTAAGATTAAAATATAAAACTTCATTGGCCCTTTTAGGAAGCTTAAAATCTCCCCCAAATTGGTTCCTCTCAAGATTTTTTTAGAACAGAAAAGAAGAAAACAGAAGTGGCAAAACTCATAGAGTTTAAATCATGTTCCCAAAATTATGCAAATGAAAAGGGGTAGAAACAAAATTCAAACCTAGCTTTGTCTGACCACCAAACCCCTGATCTTAACCACCTATTAGACCCCCTGACTTTGGGGAGGCAGGGAGAAGGCGACACTGATATAGTGGCTGCAGGCTGACACCCCTATGGCAACAGACTGGCTCGTGAGCAGGTTGCCCAGGCCCCATCCTGGGGATCCTCCGCCCACTCCAGTGACTGTAATCAGCAGCTAGACCACACTGGTGTGAGTACTTACCTCTACTTATCAATACACTCAAACACAGTCTTTTAATTTTGGAAATTTTTTAAACTACCAAATATTTCATCAGGAAGTATCAAACCCACCCTAGGGCATCAATAGCATATGAATTCTATACAAATAAAAACACGCCAGCAGTGATAATAAAAAAAATCACTGTAAAGTGGTGTTAATGTTAAACCAATCCCTTCCAAGAGGAATTCGTGAGGGACTTTCTTGGCCCTTCTGCTTTTCCTCCGGGCTTGTCCTGGCTCCGCATCACCAACCAGGTCCGGTGTTCTACACCAGCCAACGTTCTGGCCGGTTCACGCTGGAGGCACATGACGGAGTGGAAAGATCACGGTGTGGGGAGCCAGATGGGGCTGGCCTTGATTTCTGGCTCTGCCACTAACTCATTCTGTTGAATATGTTAGCTAATTACCTAAGTCTTCAAAGTATGGCGATTTCATCAACTGCGTTGTCATGTCTCAGGTTAGTTTTTTGTGGGTGTTTGTTTGCTTTGGTTGCTTCACAAATTATTGAAAATACTGAAAACGCTGAAGGGTACTTTGCAAACCCCCAGCTACAAAATGCCTTCTCCTTGGCACCCTCTTCACCTCCATTTTAAAAAGAAGAGAAACATTTTTGATCAGAACAATGTCTGGAAAACCTTCTCCCCTGCCATTGAAATGCCTTTTTCCCCACAGTTGGTTTCTATGTCACACCATGGATCACTTCTTTTGCCCTCCTTCTTGTCTGTATTCATGTTGGCATCTTTCAATCTGCAGGAATCCATGCACTGTGTTTTATTGCTGAATATTTACCCCCAAAGCTCTTCATCTTCCCAGAGGATGTATTTAATACTTTCAGTCTTACCAAATATGTCAATCAAACTGGGAACATGAGCATGTTTGAAAAATCACATCAACTTCAGTCCAATATCCTATACCACTTTTATAGTTTTAAAGCAATCCATTCTACATCCATTTTTCTCTAAGTGATTCTGCTCTTGTTTTCTTTTCTCCTAAAGGAAACTCTTAATAGCAAGAACATCTGTCTTGCTGTAGTTCAAGGCACTAAAAACACCTAGTGTATCAACAAAGACACCTGTGACCACATTGAGACATATCATGATCCATACAGAACCTAGGCTTTGGAAAGAACTGGGTTTTAGTCATTTGCATGTTACTTATTAGCCATGACAATCGTGAATTTTATCACTCCCTTTATATATATGTGTTTGTGTGTGTACATATGTGTATAAATGCATGTATACTCATACATATGTGTGTCTGTGGTTTTTGAACAATACACACATATATGTTTGAGTGTGTGTATATATATACACACATTATATTAATATACATAAATATATACACACACGTATGGTTTTCTGGAGCTTGTTTATATCAATCAACACTATGTTAGTAAGATTCATCCATGCTATTGCATGTCGCCATTTTCCAGTCATCTTCACAGTATAATATCCCATTGGGTGAATATACCACAATTTAATTGTCCATTGATGGGCACTTGGATTGTTTGTCCTTCGAATTCTGCATCTTATGTATAGGTGAAAAAATAGGAGAGAATACATATTACTTCAAAGAATTGCTGTAATCCATATGAAATGCTTAGTCCAGTGCTTGGCACAGAGGTTCAAAACCCTAGCCAACTCCTGTGTGTGTGTGTGTGTGTGTGTGTGTGTGTGTGTTTAGACAGAATCTCTCTCTGTCGCCCAGGCTGGAGTGCAGTGAAGTGATCTTGGCTCACTGCAACCTCCTTCCAGATTCAAGCAATTCTCCTGCCTCAGCCTCCTAGTAGCTGGGACTACAGGCGTGCGCCACCATGACCAGCTAATTTTTGTATTTTTAGTAGAGATGCGGTTTCACCACGTTGGCCAGGCTGGTCTCGAACTCCTGACCTCAGGTGATTCACCCACCTCGGCCTCCCGAAGTGCTGGGATTATAGGCTTTAGCCACAGCATCCGGCTGGCCAACTCCCCTCTTGACTCTGGAAGGAGACAATGATAAATCCCAATGGCTTGATGAGACAGTAACTCCAACACCAATGTGATTAAGTTTTGCTTTTGACTTTCTCCCTCTGCCATAGTCTGACCCAGTGGTTCTCAAACAGGGGTGATTTTTGCACTCCCAGGCAATGTTTGGCAATGTCTGGAGACATTTGTGATCATCACCCTCAAAGGATGCTACTAGAATCTGGTTCATAGAGGCCAGGGATGCTGCTTAACATCCTATAATTCACAGGACAGCCTTTACAACAAAGAATCGCCCAGCCCAAAATGTCAATAATGCTGAAGTTGAGAAGCCCTGGTCGACCCTCACACTGTGCTCATGATGACTCAAGCTGCCCCTTGAGGACAAGGAATAGGCCTCCATTCTGTGCACTAAGTGTAGGGAGTGACTGCTTTGAAGAGACTCTGTCCTTGGATTTTGTAAGATACAGAATTTATCCTATGAGTGTCTTGGAGGAAGTAGGAGAACATAAACAAAATTCTCACACAAGAAATCCAAGTTACCCAACCTTCTTTGTTGTAAGTATGATCCCTGATCCCCACTTGTTTTTCTTCCTGTGGACCCAAAAACAATTGGCTTCCTTTCCTCCCCAGTCTCTCTATATCCAGAACCATGTTCTTCCATTGAGTTCTCCACACCAACCAAGGCCAGAGGGATGTTCCAAAACCAGTGCTCTTCCTGTCACCTCCTTGCATGCAGCCCCTTGATGCTTTCATGTCAGCCCTGCATCAAACCGAAATACCTCTGTCTAGCATGCAAGACCCCACATAGACAGATCACTGTCTACGACCTGACCTCATGGCTCATTCCTCAAAGAACAACTCTCCCATGCCTCACCTAATGAACAATTTGCCCTCAAGCCCCATTCACTTGTACAAGTCTCCTTTGCCTAGAAAGTTTTTCCTTTCCTGTTTGTAACTGGTTAATTCCTACTCATACTGAAAGACTCGATGCCAGTATCACATTCTCCAATAATTCTTTCCTTGTTCCCCAACTATGCTCTGCTGAGTTCATGGTGCTCTATGCTTATCTCCAAGTACTTGGCACAAAGGAATGTCATAATTGTCTTGCTGCCCACCAGAGAGTGAGTTTCTTGAGAACAAAGACTGAGACTTCTTATGTTTATTCTTAGAGCTAAACACAGTCCCTGGCACCTAGCTGCTGTCTAATAATGCCAGAGGGATGGGTGGGTGGATGGATGGTTGAATGGAGCTGCTGTTAAAGAAGAAGCAAGTCACTGATGAGACTATGGCATTAATGGAAGAGCAAGGAGAACAGCAAGTTGCTTCAGCTTAGCCACCTTTATTGGACAGTTACATATTTTACCTGATTGGAGAAGTCCCTAAGGAACACAAGCATGCATAGCAAGGGAGCACATACATGATGACAGAAAAAACTACATGCAGGAAAGAGACCCGAGATGATGTGGCAAAGCAGCTCTTCTCAGCTTAATCGTAGCAGAAGACAAGAACCTGGAATGTCTCCCTCTCACTGTCCAGAAGGCCTTCATTTAAGTGATCAGGATACTGACATTTCTGATGAGTTCTTTGAGGGGTAAGCCGATTGTGAGTAACAATGCAGAAAGAAAGAGCTCCTAGCTAAGTCATAATGAGCTTTGGGGAGGACAGTGCAGTTTTGTCTCTAGCTGGTGGCTTGACTTGCAAGAATTGGGGGGCTGAAGCCAATTTAGCAGTTGGCAGGCTTGCTGGCAGCAGGCTGAGCTGCTGCGGCCTCACGGGTGGTTGGGCTGATGGGTTTGGCTTCAGTGGGCTGGCAGGGAGCCTCTTCTGAGACATCCACCTTGCAGGGGGTTGTGTCAACACAATCCAGTTGGCTGGAAGTGGATTTTTTGCAATCCCGTTTGCAAGAGTCAGACTCAGTGCAAGATGGGCGGAAGTAGACTGGGCGGCAAGAGTAGGAAGTGACACAGGCTGGGCGGCGCAGGATGGAGTAGCATGGGCGATAGCAGGCAGGACGGTAGGAGATGGATGTCATGTATGGCTGCCTATAGGTGAGGAGTCCAGAGCAGATTGGGCGGCAGATCGGACGGGAGACCGGGCGGTAGGAAATCGTAGCACTGCAAGGCCGTTTGCTGGAACTGGGTATGTAGAAAGTCCTAGGACAAGTTGGTCGGCAGATGGCAGATGCAGAAGACCCTGGACTGCAGGAAAGAGGTCGGCAGGAGGTAGATGGGCAGGAAACTGGCTCAGGGCAGACAGAAGGACAGCGCTTGACTACATAGCAAGTAGGTTGGCATGGACTGGACACACAGACAGCTGGTGAGCAGGGGCTGGGCTCAGAGCAGATGGGTTGGCAGATACTGGAGACACAACAAGAAGGCTCTTGGCAAGTGCTGGGGACAGAAGGTGGCTCGCACGAGCTCTGAACACAGCAGACAGGGCGGAGGCAAACTGGCTCACAGACCAGAGCCACACACGTAGCTGGCTGGCAGATGCTAGACTCTGAGCAACTTGGCTCACAAGGGCTGGGGTCACAGCAGACAGCCTGGCAGCTACTGGTCACAGAGCAGGTAGGTGTCGGGCACACCGGCTGACAGCAGGAAGGCTCACAGACCACAGGTTGGCAGGAACTAGGCAGGGTGCAGACAGCTGAACAGCAGCTGGGCTCACAGACAACTGGCTGGCAGCAGCTGGATTTGCAGAGGACAGGCTGGCAGGAAGTGGGCACACAGAGGACTGGTTGGCAGGAAGTGGCTTCAGAGCCTACAGGCTGGCAGCAGCTGCTCACGGAGCAAGAAGGCTCACAAATAGCAGGCTCACAGCACACAGGTTGAGCACAGCTGCTCACGGAACAAGAAGGCTCACAAACGGTGGCCTCAAAGCACACAGGTTGGCAGCAGTTGCTCACTGAGCAAGAAGGCTCACAGATGGTGGCCTCGAAGCACACAGGTTGGTAGCAGTTGCTCACAGAGCAAGAAGGCTCACAGGTGGTGGCCTCACAGCACACGGGTTGGCAGCCGCTGCTCACGGAGCAAGAAGGCTCACAAATGACAGGATCACAGCACAGGGGTTGGGCACAGCTACTCACAGGACAGGAGGGCTGACGGCACTGTGGCCCACAGCTGGATGATCCACAGCTGTCTTGACAAGTCACCAGCTGCCATGTCTGGCTCTGGCAGGAACTGGGCAGGCAGATGGGGCCTCCACAGCTCACCTCAGTGGAGCAGAGAGAGGTGGCTGGCACGGAGAAGCATTTCCTAGAAGAGCAACTGCCAGACATGGTGGAGGTGGCCGTGCTTCCTTGTGCTGAGTGCTGAGAGGTTGCTGCCTCACTGTGACAGCTCCCTGAGGCCCTCACTTTTATACCCCCTCACTGGCGTGTTCTGTTTGGGACTCCTGCATCTTTTCCTCATTGTTGTTTGGGCCAGTTTGCAGAGGAACATCTTATTATACCACCGTTTGTTGATCTGGAAGCTGTTTATCTACCCGTAAAGAAGGTGTTTATTTATTGATGTGCTAAATTTGGAATCCTCAGAGCTACAGGTAGTCTTGGAAGAAGCATCCTCACCTCCAAACTGGATAATCTATATTTCTGAGCATTGTGAACAGGGAAAGAAGAATGAAACTTATGATTTATCCACCTTCTAGTCTTCCATACAGGGCCCTGGGTTGGATTCAGAGGATGCCACAGGAATAAGACCTATTCACCCATTCTCTTGGATCTCGCCTTCTAGTGGGCAGATAAGCATGCAGACAAACTCACTGCAATACAATAATAAGTTCAACAATAGACATACAGAGATTAATTGAGAGGAGAGGTGATGAACTCAGTTGGGAAAAGAACAACTGGGCTGGATTTTAAATGACTGCACCTTACAGCAATGATCTTGCTTAAAACCACCAGCAATCTCATGAGGCAGAGATTTTTCTCCACCATTAGAAATGAATAAATGGTCCAGGAACCATGGCTCACGCCTGTAATCCCAGCACTTTGGGAGGCTGAGGCAGGCAGATCACCTGAAGTCAGAAGTTCGAGACCAGATTGGCCAACATGGCAAAAACCCATCTCCACTAAAAATATAAAAAATAGCCAGGCATGGTGGCACACACCTGTAATCCCAAATGCTTGGGAGGCTAAGGCAGGAGAATCACTTGAACCTGGGAGGTGGAGGTTGCAGTGAGCCAAGATCAAGCCACTGCACTCCTGCCTGGGTGACAGAGGAAGACTCTGTCAAAAAAAGAAAAAGAAAAAAAAGGAAGGAAGGAAGGAAAGAAGGAAGGAAGGAATGAAGGAAGGAAAGAAGGAAAGAAGGAAGGAAGGAAGAAAGAAGGAAATAAAGAAAGAAAAGAAAGAAAGAAGAAAGAAAAGAAGAAAGAAAGAAAGAAAGAAAGAAAGAAAGAAAGAAAGAAAGAAAGGAAAGAAAGAAAGAAAGAAGGAAAGAAAGAAAGAAAGAAAGAAAGAAAGAAAGAAAGAAAAGAAAGAAAGAAAGAGAAAGAAATGAAGAAATGGGGGCAGAGGGTCAGAAAGTTTCAGTCACTTGCTAAAGATCACACACAGTCTGTCCCTGATCTAAGGCGGCTGTCCCTCCTTCTCACCAACCTGTCTAGACCTACCTTTCTCAGAAGACTTCATCAAAGTCACATATCGCCAGCTTAGCCCACCGCTGTCCTCCATGCTATCCCATGAACATAGAACATTGGCTTGACCTGTTCCTGGAAATCATGTGACCCAGCCTTTCTGCTCTTCCTCAAGCATTCATTAGACCTCCAGGGTCTTCCTTGCTTTTAATGATTTTGACAGTTCCTTTAAAAAAAAAAAATCTCCAAGACCCAAAGGGTAAATAGTAAAAACAAGAGACTTCTCAGGTGTGTCTCTCAAAGACTTTGTGAACAAAAGACTCGTCTTTGCTACTCTTGAGACAGATGAAGGGAGAAATGAATCCTAGGTTTCTGAATTCCAGGACTTAACATCTTGCTCAGTGAAGGGCCTAGTTTGCCTCCACCATG